>NC_000001.11:143184587-143809587 GCF_000001405.40 Homo sapiens | reverse complement strand
TGTGTGTGTGGCTATTTTAAATGGGATTAAGTTCTTGACTTGGCTGTCAGCTTGAGCATTTTTAGTGTATAGAAATGCGATTGATTTTTGTATGCTCATGTTGTAACCCGAAACTTTACTGAACTTGTTTTTCAAGTCTAGGAGTATTTTGGAGGAATCTTTAGAGGTTTCTAGATGGAGGATCATGTCTTTGGTGAACAGAGATAATTTGACTTCCCTTTTTCCTATTTGGATTGCTTTTATTTCTCCTGACTGATTACTCTGGCCAGGATTTCCAGTACTGTGTTGAATAGGAGTGGTGAGAGTGGACATCCTTGTCTTGTTCCAGTTATTAGGGGGAATGCTTCCAACTTTTGCCTATTCAGTATGATATTGGCTATGGGTTTGTCATAGATGGCTCTTATTATTTTGAGTTATGTTCCTTTGATGCCTGGTTTGTTGAAGGTGTGTATCATGCAACGGATGTAACATTTTATTGAATGCTTTTTCTGCATCTATTGGGATAATAGTATGGTTTTTGTTTTTAATTCTGTTTATGCAGTGAATAGCATTTTTTTTTTGCGTCTGTTGAACCATCCTTGCATCCTAGGAATAAAGCCCACATGATCATGATGAATTATCTTTTTGATGTGCTGCTGGATTCAGTTTGCTAGTATTTTGTTGAGAGTTTTTGCATCTGTGTTCATCAGGGATATTGGCCTGTAGTTTTCTTTTTTTATTGTGTCCCTGCCAGATTTTGGTATCAGGATGATACTGGTTTCATAGAATGAGTTAGGAATCCCTCATCCCCAATTTTTTGGAATAGTTTTAGTAAGATTGGTACCAGCTCTTCTTTGCACGTCTGGTGGAATTCAGCTGTAAAATTCTGTCTGGTCCAGGGCTCTTTCAGATTAGTAGAATTTTTATTACTGATTCAATTACATAACTCATTATTGGTCTGTTCAGGATTTCAATTTCTTCCTGGTTCAATCTTAAGAAGCTGTGTGCTTCCAGGAATTTAACTATTTCTTCTAGGTTTTTCTAGTTTGTGCATGTAGAGATGCTCATAGTAGTCTCTGAGGATCTTTTGTATTTCTGTGATATGAGTTGTAATGTCACCTTTGTAATTTCTGATTGTGCTTATTTGGATCTTTTTTTCCTGGTTAATCTAGCTAGTGGTCTATCAATCATTCAAATAACCAACTTTTCATTTCATTGATCCTTTGTATTTTTTTTTTTATCTCTGTTTCATTTAGTTCTGCTCTGATCTTAGTTATTTCTTTCCTTCTCCTAGCTTTGGGTTTTGTTTCTTCTTCTTTTCCTAGTTCTTTAGGTGTGGTATTATGTTGTTAATTTGAGATCTTTCTATCTTTTCAAGGTAGGTATTGAGTGCTATAAACTTTCCTCTTAACACTGCTTTTCTATATTCCAGAGTTTTTGGCACATTGTGTCTCTACTTTCATTTGTTTCAATTTTTTTTTATTTCTGCCTTAATTTTATTGTTTACCCAAAAATGATTCTGTTGTTTAGTTTCCATGTATTTGTGTGGTTTTGAGAGTTCCTCTTGGCATTGATTTCTGCTTTTATTCTACTGTTGTCTGAGAAGATACTTGATATAATTTCATTTTTTAAAAAATTTATTGAGACTTGCTTTATGACTGAGTATGTGGTCAATCTTAGAGAATGTTCTGTGCACAGATGAGAACAATGTATATTCTGTGGTTGTTGGATAGAGTATTCTATAGACATCTATTAGGTTCATTTGGTCAAGAGTCCAATGGAAGTCCAAAGTTTCCTTGTTAGGTTTCTGCCTCAGTGATCTGTCTAGTGCTGTCAGTGGGATGTTGAAGTCCTCCACTAGTATAGCATGGCTGTCTATTTCTTTGCTTAGGTGTAGTTGTATTTGTTTTATAAATTTGGGTGCTTCAATGTTAGGTGCATATATATTTAGGATAGTTAAATCTTCTTGTTGAATTGAATGCTTTCTGATTATGTAATGCCCTTCTTTGTCTTTTTTCTTTTTTTAACTCTTGTTGGTTTAGTCTGTTTTACTTGATACAAGAATAGCAACTCCTGACCTTTCTTGTTTTCCATTTGCATAACAGATCTCTATCACTTTACTTTGAGCCCCTGGGGGCTATAACATGTAAGATAGGTCTCTCTTAAAGGCCATGGAAAGTTTGATTTTTTTTTTTTCCCAATTTGCCACCCTATGCCTTTTTTTTTTTTTTTGATGGAGTCCCAGGCTGAGTTCAGTGGTGCGATCTTGGCTCACTGCAGCCTCTGCTTCCTGGGTTCAAGTGATTCTCCTGCCTCAGCTTCCCGAGTAGCTGGCATTACAGGCGCCCACCACCACGCCCAGCTAATTTTTGTATTTTAGTGGAGATGAAGTTTCACCATGTTGGCCAGGCTGGTTTCGAACTCCTGACCTCAAGTGATCCACCCACCTTGGCCTCCCAAACTGCAGGGATTACAAGTGTGAGCCACCACACCTGGACTACTCTATGCCCGTTAAGTGGAACTTTCAGGCCATTTACATTCAAGGTTAATATTCATGTGTGAGGTGTTATTTCTGTCATAGTGTTAAGCTAGTTGCTTTGTAGACCCAATTATATATTGCTTTATAAGGTGTACGAGCTTTGTAATTACATGTGCTTTTATGGTAGCAAGTACCATCCATATTTAGAACTCCTTTGAACATTTATTATAGAGACTATCTGGTGTTAATGAATTCCCTTAGCATTTCTCTGTCTGGGAAAAACTATTTCTCCTTCATTTATGAAGCTTAAATTGGCAGAGTATGAAACTTTGACAGGCAGTTTTTTTTTTCTTTTAGGTGGCTAAAAATAGGCCCCAGTTTCTTCTGACTTGTAAGATTTCCTTTGAAAAGTTTGCTGTTAGTCTGATGGGATTTCCTTTATAGATAATCTGGCCCTTTTCTTCAGCTGCCTTTAAGATTTTTTCTTTCACATTTATCTTGGGAAGTCTGATGACTGTATGCTTTTCACTGGTTATCTTGTATAGTATCTTGCAGAAGTTGTCCGAATTTCTTGTATCTGAATATCAATCTCTCTTGAAAGGTTAGGAAAATTCTTTCCTGAATTATTCCTTCAAATATGTTTTCCAGGTTGCTTACTTTTCTTCTTCTCTCTCAGGAATGCCAATAAGTCATAGGTTTGATCGCTTTACATAACCCCATAATTCTCAAAAGCTTTGTTCATTTTTAAAAATTCATTTTTCTTTACTTTTGTCTGACTAGGTGAATTTGAAAGACCAACCTTCAAGCTCTGAAATTCATTCTTCTGCTTGTCTAGTCTATTATTAAAGCTTTCAATGTATTTTGAAATTCCTTTAGTGAATTTTTCAATTATAGAAGTTCTATTTGTATTTTTCTTAATATAGTTTTCTTGTCTTTCATATTCTGTATTGTTTTTCTGATTTCTTTGCATTGGACTTCAACTTTTTCTTGGATCTCATTGAGTTCCCTTGCAATCCGTATTTGGAATTCTTATCTGTCATTTCCGACATTTCAGTCTGGCTAGGATCCATTGCTAGAAACTAGTGTGATCCTTTGGAAGTGTGTAAATACTCTGGGTACACTGGAGTTATTGCACTGATTCTTTCTCATCCGAGGAAGCTGTTGCTTCTTAGTTTTGAATTTGGTATTGTTTGGATGAGGATTTTTAATGTTTTTATTCTTTTTTTCCCTTGATGGTATGACTGTGGTGTATGTTGTGTATGATTGTTTGGCTTCATTTCTGGGTGCTTTCAGGGAGCCCTAGCTTTGTATGGGTTTCTTGGTTGTGGATAGCTTCTGAGCAGTAGCTTTCTCAGATGCTGCTTGTTGTGGTGATGTATTGGAAGTAAAAGCTAACACACTAACCCTTGTTGGGGGCTGAGGGTACGGAATTCTCAGGAAACTTATCTCATGGACTAGCACTAAGCCCTTTGGTAGCAGGGTTTTTGAATTCAGTGGTCCAGTTTAGGATGCAGTCCAGTAGATGGTGCTTAAGAGTCAGGGCTGTTACGTAGGCTGGTGTCCAGTGGAAAAACCTGCCCTGACAGGATGGTGGGAAAGAGATCATGTCGGGGTGTGCTGAGGTCTCAGGGGAAGGGGCAGAGGTGCACTAGCTCCTCCTCCTGAGTAGGCAAGAATGTGATCCGCTTCCCTATCATGCCCTGTCACAGAGCTCACAACCTTCATTTTATAAAGACTTTGTCCTTTGGTTCCTGGCTGTGGTGCAGCTGAAGTCTGTGGATATGGCACTCTGACAGCTACCACTAAAATGGGGTTTAGGGCAAAGCCTCTTCCCCGAGTCCAGGGCAGGCAACTCCATGGTCTGTCCTCCATTGCCAGGGCACTGCAGCTCTGTATAGGGAGGGAGAGTTGGGCCCGTCCTTCCTGAAAGCCCAAGCAGCACAGGCTCACTTTCAGCCTGGGTGGTGCCACCATGAATAACGTGCATAATGTTCTCTCCTGGTGCACACTCACTGGGTCCTGGAGAAAAGAACCACTGCTATGTCTGCAGCCATATACGGGGTAGGAGAGAGATGATCCCTGCTTTTCCTGCTTTTCCACGCCTGTTCCTGGGTGTCAATGCTGCCCCCTTCTGCGATTGGTGCCATGCCAGTGTTTTCTTTGTCCCTAGGAGGGCTTTGGGACAGTGAGCAAACAATTGTTCTGATAAACGCAATTTAACCCGCGACCCTTGGCTCGCTCAGGTCGTGGGGTTGGGCCGCCTTTGCGCTTTTCCTTCGGATCTGCCCTTCTTCTGGGTTTGTTCTCTCGAGCTAGGGGAAGGCCTGGGTCCCCTCTCTTTGGCTCCTCTTGCCGTATCAGAAACCTCACACTCCTTCCTTTTCCAGAGAAGCTTCAGAGTGCTTTGTTGGGTTTGCTGGAACTCGGCAGGGCGCAAGTATGTGGGGATGCGCGCTGTGAGTCTCTGTTTCCTCCGCTGTGACGGCTCTTCCCGCTCCTGTAGGAAAAGGCAATGCCCCTTTTGTCTTGTCTATGTGGGACTCCAAAGGGTCCAGACGAGACAGAAAGGGGGCGAATCCTCTCAGAGTGGGCAGGGGAGGAGATACAATATGGGAATGGGGCGGTAGAGGGGTGGGATTTCATGAAATTTCCTGATTTAAGGCGATCATGAAGTATGCCTCTTTGGGAGGTTGGCCCTCCAGTCGCTGGTAAGGGTAACAGCCCACCAGTCTCTGGTGAGATCCAGTCGCGTCCCCCGACTGCATTTAGAGCCAAAAGCAGAACGAGGCCGGCGCTGCGGCCTGGCGTCCAGTGACCCAGCTGTCTGCATATTCCCCAGGGTGCAAACACTTGGACTTCAGGTGTGAAGGCAATGCGGTCACCACCGCAGTAAGAAAAGCAACTAGGGAAAATGGCACCTTCTTCTCCTAACTTTTTTTTGAGACTCTCGCTCTGTTGTCTAGGCTGGAGTGCAGTGGTGCGATCTTAGATTTGGAAACTATAATAGAAACGGCTGATCTAAGATTTTCATGGTTATGTTTTGCCGCGCAGGTTCCGCGTGTGGTTTCCGTAGTGTAGTGGTTATCACGTTCGCCTCACACGCGAAAGGTCCCCGGTTCGAAACTGGGCGGAAACAGAGGTTTTTTTTGTTTTGTTTTTTTTTTTTTGTTAGCCCTTAAATTTAGTGAGTTTACTCGAGGTTGGAAAACAGAAAAGTAGTTGAACCTGTGACTACATTTTAGACCTCATCAATCTATACAGATTGTCGACCAGGCTACAATTTCCACTGGTCTGCCAGGAAGAGGACGTCACAGCAGGCCTGCTTAATATTAACTTTGGTTCCAGCAATTCCTTAAGGTTCTCTTCATTCTCTTTATCGCCTGAATTTTCACAGGCAGACACCGAAAGTGGATGACATGTTAGCGCATTTCCTAAGGGTCCAGCTTGGCTTCGCTTTACTCTGATACAGTTGCAGATCTGGCTGATTTGCGAGACAACAAAAACAAAATGTTTTTTAAAAACGTTCCAAATCTGCATCTGGAACTCATGGAGTCAATATTCCGAAATCACACGAATTATGTACATACATTTGCATGCATACCCCTTCCCCAAATAATCCTCAGAAAACCGGTAAGCGTCCAAACTACTCTCCGGAGGCTTAGGTAATCAACAATTTAATAAATACAATTGCTAATGTATGGTGTACAGATCCTGTATTGCCCACCCTTCTCTATTGCTTTGTCCCCGCGCGCCCTCTGTTTTGCCTAAATGGGTTCCAGGCCATAGCCACCGACTCTCGCTTTGCCTTCTGGCCTCTCGGCAGTGCGCTTCAGCACCATTGCGCCAGGTGACGCTGCTGAGAACAGCTGAGTGGCCGGCACTAGTGCAGCTGGAAGCCAAGGCCCAGAATTCTCAGGAATCTGCACTTTACCCAGGCGAAAAGCCCAAGGGCTCTCCCCACAGCTTCCCAACATCCCTCTACAGAGTTTTTAAATATTAGACTTATTAACCTGTAGAGATGGAGAGAATCAAAGAAATCACAAGGTATCTCTGAGGGAAAAAGAAGAGCACCAGCAGTAAATCACTTAAGAGTATTGAACCAGCAAGCCAGGGATAGGAGAATGGAATGGAAACTGACAGGATGACTGCAGAGGGTGGTACTGAGGGTGGATGCGAACCACTACTTACTATTAATATATTGAGCCAAGCACACTAATGGGGGCATAACCAAAATACTTAATAGGGCACTCTTTTACCCACCATGTGTTTTACAATATAGTTGCTAAAGGATGTATCACCCTACTGGTTCTAGAAGCTTCTGGAGCCAAGGAGCCAGAGCATGAGAGCATAAAAATCCTGTCAATTGAAGCCTTGGGCTCTACACTGCTAAGCCTGGCCCAGAGGCTGGATTGCAAATGCAGGTGCTAGTGTAATGGAATGGATGTTTGTGTTCCCTTCATATTATATATTGAAGCCTTAACCCCCAATGTGAAGGTATTTTGGAGGTAGGGCCTTTGGGAGGTAATCAGGTTTAGATGAGGTCATGACCATGGGATCTCCATGATGAGATCAGTGTCATTATAAGAAACAGAAGAAAGACGAAAGTGCTCTCTTTCTCTCCACCATGCGAGGACAGAAGGAGAATGTAGCAGTCTGCAAGCCAGGGAGAGAGCCCTCACCAAGGAGGTGAATCCGCTGGCAGTTTGATCTTGGACTTCTCAGCCTCTCAAACTGTGAGAAAGAAATTCCTCGTGTTTAAGCCACCCAGTCTGTGGTATTTTGTTATGGAAGCCTGAGTTAAGACAGCTGGTTCACTGGGGAATCCACTGGTGTGAACCTGTGAAAAGTTTGTGACATGTGAAGTAGTTTGCTGCTCCTGGATTTGAGTATTGGCAAGAGCTGTTAGAATGATGAGCATAGAGTGAAGAAGGGTACAGAGAATATGGTATTAATCATTGTACTGAAGAAATAAAGGGACATTATATGGTTCTAGGCTGAAGTTATGTGCAGATTTAAGCTGTGGAAGGGTCACTCAGCATACAGTGTGGCAAGTGAGTGGTGCATACTACACTGGCTGTAGGGAGTCCAGTTTTTTTTTGTTGTTGTTGTTGTTGTTTTTTTTTTTGAGGTGGAGTCTTGCTTTTTCACCCAGGCTGGAGTGCAGTTGTGTGGTCTTGGCTCATTGCAACCTCTGCCTCCTGGGTTCAAGCGATTCTCCTGCTTCAGCCTCTCGAGTAGCTGGGACTACAGATGGGTGCCACCACGCCTGGCTAATTTTTTTTTTTTTTGTAGTTTTAGTAGAGATGGGGTTTCACCATGTTAGTCAGGATGGTCTCAATCTTCTGACTTCGTGATCCGCCTGCCTTGGCCTTCCAAAGTGCTGGGGTTACAGGCTTGAGCCACCGCACCTGGCCAGGAGTCCAGTTTTTTGTCTGCTTATGTTAATGGATGCAAGAGCCGATAGATGGAAAAGTGTGGTAATAAAGTGGCAGTAAGCTTGTGGAGTATCCAATAAACTTAAACGCTATTTTTTTTGAATTGAACTGAAATTGTTGTGTTATGAAAATGAGAGAGTTTATCCAAAGAAAGATCTGGCTTGGCAAATAGGATAGATGGTGGTGAGGATAAGTGTGCTAGGCAGGGCTAGAAACAGGTTTTAGTGATCATTGAAACACCCAGGGCAGTGCACTACTCTTTGGGAGATGCTGTGCTTGAGTCTGATCATTGGGTTTTGAGGTAGAGGGTGGTACATATTGCTGACAGGGAACTCACCGGTGTGTTGAGTTTTAGCATCTGTGACTCTGAGATGCATATGAGGCCTTTGTAAATTTAGAAGTTGAGAGTAGAAAGTACAGGTTTGTATTTTAGAAGGAGATTTGGGAATAAATGTAGCTCTGGTTGATATAGATAATATGTTAAGGTTTGTTGGCCAGAGCTGGTGTGTGTCTTGGGTGTTGGGCAAAGAACAGAGAACAGTCAAAGCTCTGTGAGGTCAATGTGAAGGGTGATTTCCTTGTTGGGCTCAAGTTTATGACCCAGCCTGGACCTAGCTTGGCTTCTCAGCTAGAGAAGAAGCATGATTCCATGTCACAACTCCTGTCTTTGAAAAAGTCATAATGACTCACAGACCCAACATGTGGGGCAAACTCTCTGAATTTTTCTCTTCAGTTTAATCTCTCCAGGGAAAATTGAGAAAAGAAATCTCTCTATTTGAACTTCATCAAAAGACTAATATGTTAATATTTTGACCATCAATATTTCCTTAAACTAGTCTACTCCTTACATAGCTAATACATCAAAGCATATTAACTTAGGAAATTGGATTCTCTCTAACAATGAAATATTGACTGCAGGCATTATTAATCTTTTTATATCACATTTCCTTTAAATGCTTTATACATCTTCAAGCAGACAAATAACAGTATTATGGTTACAAGACCGATCATTACTCTTTTGCCAAAAAAACCAGCGACAAAAGACTAACTCAGTGGACCAACCTTTGTTTCTTCATTATCTCTACCTTGATTCTGTCCTTTTATTTCCTCTTTCCTCTAATTCTAATTCTGCTTCTGCTTCTTATTTCCTCCCTGGATTAGAACTTTACTTACCTAAGCTACCAGTTAGGTTACCTTCTCAGAACCACTAAGGCAGCAGTTTGACGTTGACAATTGAAGATTTAGGATTACAAAAAAGAAACATGAATGAATTTGTGACGTTTTATTATAGGGGTATGTAATGCAGGTAGAAAGACCTTTTTCAGAGTTAAGAGTTTGATCCGACAAATGAGCTATTTTGATATTTATAACTTTGTTTAGTAAAAGTTTCCTATAAAAACATTTGGTTTGGATGAATGAGCTATTTTGATATTTATAACTTTGTTTAGCAAAAGTTTCCTATAAAAACATTTGGTTTGGATGTCTTTGTTAGCTTTGAGTCGACACTTGAAAAGGCCGCTTGGAAGTTTCTAAGTCTTTCTGGATACTCTTTCCGGTAATTCTCCAAGGGTTGCTGGGGAGAGGCACTGGTGGTTCAGTGGTAGGGTTCTCGCCTCACACGCGGGAGACCCGGGTTCAATTCCCGGTCAAGGCAAGAGGTTTTTTTGCTCTTCACTATGGCTCTTTACCCTTCTGCCCTGCAGAATTACACTGCATAACCTAATAGTGCATTTAAGGGCTTGGCCACCACAAGCTAAACTGACAACAACGCTGACCAAAGTAGCAGCAAAAGACATTCAGGAGACTAACCCGGGACCCACGCAGTTGTTGGACTCAACAAACCGCTAAGCAAAGTGGCAAGCACGTAGTGTTTCTGGTGAGTCACTGCAGTTTTGATATTGGTACCTGTTACTTTCATCTGTTCTCTGGGCGGATTCCTGCAAACCCAAGAACCATCAGTTTCCTGATTCGTGTGCTGGACCTTGGGCTTACCGCTGAGCCACTACGGAGAGGAACAAGAAATGAAGCTCCCGGAAGGAGAGAAGCTGCGGGCGGGGCAATCACCTCGGAGGTCCAAGAGGCCTCAGCGGCCCAAAGAAAGGGGAGGTGTGTGCGGGAGAATCTCAATGGAGATGAGGAGAGCAGCGGTGACTGGTCCTTGCGCAGAGTGGTCCTTGCACAGAGGTAGCCAATGGACCCTCGAGGCTGTACCCCAGACACCGCGAACCGAATTTGCTAACATCTTCAGCCACCGTGGCCTCCGCGTGTTTTGTGGGCCCATCGGTGTTCAGTGAGGGATTCCGTGTGTCTGGCAATGTGTGTCAACAGGTGTTGGCCTGAAATTTGGCCGGGCACGGTGGCTCACGCCTGTAATCCCAGCACTTTGTGAGGCCGAGGCGGATGGATCGCTTGAGGTCAAGAGTTCAAGACCAGCCTGGCTAACATGGTGAAATCCCGTCTCTACTAAAAATACAAAAATCAGCCGAATGTGGTGGCGTGCACCTGTTATTCCAGCTACTTGAGAGGCTGAGGCAGGAGAATCGCTTGAACCCGGGAGGCGGAGGTTGCAGTGAGCCAAGATCGCGCTACTGCACTCCAGCCTGGGCGACAGAGCAACTCCGTCAAAAAAAAAAAAAAAAAAAAAAAAATGGAGCGAAAGAAGGGAGAGGTGTCGATGTCGATGGGACAACGAGACTTCCCAGGAGGCTTGTTGTAGAGGCAGTGGCCAGGTCCTGAGAGATGAGATGTTTTTTAAATTATGTAGCGGAATGGGGAGAGAGTAACGGAGAAGCGCATGAAAGAGAGAAAAGCACGAAAATCTGCAGACGTTCGAGAATAAAGCAGAGAAAATAGTATGAGTGTTTTTACATAAAAAAATATAAGAAGTACAATGGTTGTCAGCAGGCTTTTTGGTCGTGTAGTGGTCAATACTTGCAGCTGTGGTTGCCGCAACCTGGGTTCTAATCTGAGTCACAGTAGTGTTTTCTCTCCTGCGATTGTAGCTAAAAGACCTGTCGTTTGCTTTGCCTTTAATCCTAGCAGCCTCCAGAGAGCGGAGTAAACCGCTGGCCCGGAAGGGCGCCAGCTTCTGGAGTTTAGCCCACAGTGCGTAAACTAGGGGGCGGCCTGGCCAAAATGAAAACTCGGACATGCTCTTTGTCTCACAATGGAGCAGAAAAAATTCCCATAGGTGAAGATGCCGCCTCTCAAGGGCCCTTTGTCTGTAGCTTCCACCGATGAAATAATACGGTTATAGTCTCATCTGGTAGAGAAAACGGCTGTATCAGTGGGATTTTTTAAAAACACAAAACGAGAACGAGCTTTTAATGAGTTTACAATAAAATCTAAACTAGTTGTCATGGTCTACACCGGCTTGCCTCCATTCCCCATCCGCTAATTTTTATGAGAACAGTAAATTATTACTATTACTATTATTTTTGAGATGTAGTCTTGTTCTGTCACCCAGGCTGGAGTGCCATGGCTCAATCTCGGCTCACTGCAACGTCCCGTTTCCCGGGTTCAAGCAATGAGAACAGTAAATAAACTACAGTTCACATAAAGTGCACAAATCTTTAGTGCAGTTCGTTTACTTTTGATGAATGTAATCACCACCCAGCTCAAGTTATAGAAAATTGCCATCATCTGAGAAAGGCCTGTTAGAGCCCCTTTCCAGGCAATTCCCACCCTGTGTCCTCTTAGTTAATCACTATTCTGATGTCTATTCCCATAGGTTACAATTGCCTGTTCTTAAAGTTCACATGAGTGAATGGACATATCTTTTGTATCTGGCCTTTTTTCTGCAGGTATGTTCATTATACTCATGAGATATATCCACGTAGTTTCATAGATCACTTCTCAATTTTGGTGTTATTGAATTCTTGTGATGAATATTCTTCTACAGGTCTTTTTGTGCACTTGAGATTCATGGAAGTACTTCAATTGCTGGGTCACGACCTGAGTACAAGTTTAACATTAGTATAAATTGCCAGTCTTCTAGAATGTTTTTTCACCAGCAATGACAGTTGAAGTGGCACCAAATTCTTGTCAGCATTTGGTGTACTAACTTTTTAAAATGTAGCTATGCTCTCAGACCAAACTGGCCAACATGGCGAAACCCCGTCTCTACTGAAAATATAAAAATTAGCCAGGCATGGTGGCATGCACCTGTAGTCCCAGCTACTCAGGAGGGGGAGGTTGCAGTGACTCAAGATTGCACCAATCGCACCATTGCACTCCAGCTTGGGTGAGAGAGACCCTGTCTCAGAGAAAAAAAAAAAAGTAGCCACACACTGGTGATTGGTTAGTGGTATCTCAGTGTGGAATTAATTTGTACTTGCCTAATGAGCAATACTATGAAGCATATTTTCTTATGGCTTCCAGCATATAAGAAATTCTCCTTTGCAAAGGCCTATTCGAATATTTTGCCCGATTTTATTTGGCTTAGCTCTATATTACTGATTTATGAAAGTTCTCTTATATATTCAGGAGTTGAGTCATTTTTCAAATAAATATATTGCAAATGACTTTTCCCAGTCAATGACTTGACTGACAACTGAAAGCTGTCAACTGAAAAATCACACAATTTATAAATTTAGAAAGGAGATTTTATTTTTTTATAAAGGGTTACAGCCTGCAAGTGGCCATTCTGACAGACGGGGAGGCATAGCTTCCTGCTGAAACCCGAAAAGTAGGTTTCCAGGGAGGGGAGGGCGAATAGTGATTTACGTTGATCTGGCTGGCCACATATACATATTCAACAGGGAATAGGGGGAGCTCTGAATATTTGTGAAGGGATCCTGCTGCATGCATGCTGAGTAAACATGCCTGTTACATGCAACCCATGTTCACTTTGGGGTGGAGACAACATTTAAATACATTATAATTAGGCCCTATGCTTCAAAAGGTGAAGCAGGGACACAAAGGCAATCAAGTGCATAGCTTCTGTAAACTGTCCAGAACCCGCCCACGGCCAGTGGTCTCTTATCAAGAGAAAACTACTGAAATCAGTCTCTTGTCCAATCAAAGCAGTAGTTACGGCTTGTGTAGGGAGGGCTCAGTCAGTTTATGGTAATAGGTGAGCTGCAAGTGCTTCAGCATTGCTTATCTCAAGGCCAGTGCTTGTTTAGCTAGAGAAAAAAAGGAAGAAGAAAAAAAAACTGGCAATTAGAACATAGTGCCTACTGCCACACACATACCACCAAATCCTGCACTCCAAGCTTCTCCTTCTGCACCCTGGACTCCCAACCTCCAGTTAGACAATCCACATCTTCCCACACCTGCCTCAGGCTCCATCAGGCCACTGTGCCTCCCATAGCAACCAGGCCAGGGGGGATCTTGATTCCTATTACGTTTCTGAAGAAGGTGGTCAGGGGGTGTGGAGGATGTAGGTGGGAGGGGGTGAGGTTGAGGGCAGAAGTACACTGTGGTCTTCTGTCTTCTACCTCATTGACCCAGGTGCTGCTCTCCCTCCGGTTGTCTGCTTTCAGCCCTTCGTGGGAAATCAGGTCTGCACCCTGATCTTCCTGACTGTCATTTTGTGAGGAACCTGAAAGGATGAGACGTCGCTCTTGTCCCACAGGTTCTGTCCAAAAGGTGCCCTCCTCTCTGCTTGCTCGGGGGCCTGCCCACTGAGCTCTGGCACTCAGGCTGGGATGCCGCCCAGTACAGAGGCTCTGCAGCCCTGCAGGGGTCTGACTGTTCCACACCAGCAGGATACAGGCCACAGGGCATGCTGTGGTGGAAAAGCATTCAGAGGTGTGGGCTGAAGGCTTCTCTTTCCACAGTCCCTTTGAAGATCCCATGGAAGTAAGCACCCCTTTGAGGAACAAGGTGGCCCAAGGCCTGGCTTCACATGCAGGCTCTTGTGTCCCAGTGGGTCCTCTCTGTGCCTGGTATAGCCGACTGCTTCACACATCTTACCCGGTTTCCTCTCCTCCACCACCCAAGCTCCTCCTCGACCCCCTTGCTCAGCTGTCCTTAGGACAGCAAGATCCCCAGCCCTTGGAAAAGCCCTATCTCCACTGCTTGGAGAGGGAGTTGGGTTCAGGTCTTCTAACCACAGAAGAACAGAGAACCTGAGGCAGGAGGGAATCCCTTCCCTTGCTGGGTCTCTTGGCACAGCCCATCTAGGGGTCTGGGTCAGGGTCCAGGTATCCTCTACCCTCCTTGAGGACCTGAGTTTTCAGGTCCCCGGGGTTTGTCAACGTAGAGTCTTTCCCACTGTTCATCTGGGAACTGTAGGAATATCCCATGGGGCCCTCTCTTACTCATTAGAGACACCCAGAAAGTACTCCTGCAGAAACTGGGTGCAGTGTACCAGACCACAATAATTCTAATTACAGGATGTGGAGGTCAGATACGTTTTGTGACTATTTTCTCTCTGTCTGTGGCTTGCTTGCCTTTTCACTTTCTTAGTGGTATCTTTTGATGAGAAGGTATGGCTAATGTTGATGAAGTCTAATTTATCATGTCTTTTATATATATTTTTTCAGTGTCCTACTTGTTGGTAGGCTAATCTTTACCTACAGAGTATCCTTGAAATGCTTTATATCTTTAACTTTTAAGTTTTGGTGTATAATGCACCTCAAATTACTTTTGTATGTAGTGTGAGGGAGAATAACATTGTTGGTCTCCCCCACCTCCATATGAAAGTCCATTAATTGAAATGATTTATTTTCTTCTATTGAACTGCTTTCATTGAAAGCTCATTTATTGACTGTATGGCTGTGGATCAGTTTCAGGTCTCTTAACTCAGTCTGTTTATCTATTTGTCCCTCCTGATGCCTTGTCTGTAATAGCTTATAGTAAGCCTTGAAGTCAGATAGTACAAGTCCTTGTTCTTTTGCACACATTGCAATAACTGGGTCTGGATTTAGTCCCGTTAGTCTGAGTGGGACTAATGCCACTATAAAAGGGACCCCAGGGAGCTCTCTCTGCCCCCTGAGGATACAATGAGAAGGTGGCAGTCTACAACCAGAAAAAAGTCCCTCATCATAACCCTACCATGTTGGCACCTTGATCTCGGACTTCCAACCTCCAGAACTGTGAGAAATAAATTTCTGTCGTGAATTAGCCACCCAGTTTATGGTATATAGTTATGGAAGCCCGAACTAAGACAGAGATGGAATCCCATGGAGGGTCTCTAATTTGCTGAGCTGGTCATCAGGTGGGATGTTGCAAGTTAGAAACAAGAAGAGCTGACATTTTGTGCATATGAAAGAAGATAGTGGACAGGCCCATTGTCGTCGGCTTTGTCCGCCTTGGCGAACTGGAGACGGAAGCTAGATTCACCTTCGACAGCCACGGGAGGACCGGGAGGACCTCCAGAGGAGGTTAGGTCGACCTCATGGTAACTTTAGATCCTGAAAACTCACAGGATTTTTCTTGTCTTCCCTTTGATCTCTCTTCCGCCTACTCAACAGGACAGGACTCACCGCCTTTCTTTCCCGTCAGAAAGGGATCCCTTCCGGACAGGACAGAAGTGAGCAGATGGTTTCCCCTACGTGTCTTTCCGGGCCTGGGCGTCTCAGGAGCTCAGGCTGACCTGAGACCTAACTCCTGGCAAGTGGGACCAGCAGGAGCCTGGAAGAGCGCGCGCACCGGGGTGGAGGTTGGGCGCCGGGGGTGGAGAACCGCAGTCAAATCCTCTTCTTCCCCGCGCACCGCGCACCTGCCCCCGGGGATGCCGAACGAATTGGCCCATAAAGCTTCTCTGCAACGGAAAGAAGCCTGAAGCTCCAGGAGGTGCGAGAGGAGCCTCGTTGAGCGAGCCCAGCCCTCTGCCCGGCTGGCCCTGGTCAACAGGCTCGGAAGAGGCCGATTTGGAGGACAGAACGGAAGACAAGACCTAAAGGTTTCGAATCTCATGATGTGGAGATGTTAAAGCCTAAATCCTAAGGTCCGACTGTGAGGGGGAGCGAGGGTGTCTCGAGCTGGATCCACCCTTGAGCCTTCACCTGGAGAGTCCTCTGCACAAGTTCAGAGAGAAGGACTACGCGCAGCAATGGTTCTCAACAGGGGGCAACTTGGCCCTCACATGCCTCTCCCAACCCCGCTGGGACACTAGGCCGCGGCTGGGGGAAGCGGGAGGGAGAATGTTATCCCCCTGGCATGTGTCTAGTCAGCGGAGGAGACAGATGCTGCTAAACACCTTGCAATCCACGGCGGGAGGGCCCCTCCCCCACCCCGAAGTAGCCATTCGGCAGAGGTGGAGAAACTCGCGTGTAGATCAATGCCCACGCACTTGGCCGACGGAAATCACGAATTGGTGACCAATTGGATCTTGGATCTGAGGAAAAAGCTCCAGCTTCAGAGGGAACTCTCGAAGTTTTGCCCAGAGCAAACGGAGGGGTTGCGTTGCCATCGCCTAAAATGGGAAAATGGCAGGCGTCACAGGTTGCAGGGGAAGGTTGGAGACCAGTTGAGTGCCCCGGAGCCTTCCTGGAAAGAGTTTCCTATCCAGCCCGTCTCGGTTTCCGCATCCGTCTGATTCCTTATGATGTTGAGGGTGCCGGGGTCTGGGTCCTTTATGATGCAGAGGGTGCCCCTGTCTCACCTCGGGCGCCTCCCCGCTCCCGCCTCCTCCTGGCAACCTGGTGGGCGGCTCCGGACCCGGCGACCCGCGACCATCTTGTCAGTTGCTGCCGCCTCGCAAAGGGCATCTCTAGGCCAGTGGTGAGCTGCGGCCGCGTGGCCGCAACTCGCTCCAGTACTCAGGACTCCCTCGTGGAGTCCTTGGTGTGTCGCCTGCAGGTTCTTTTTTTGAAGAAAGCAGGGAGTGAACGGCCTTGTGAGACGACTCCAGGAGCAAAGGGCGACTCTCACAAGACCCAAGTCCTCCTAGAGCACAGGAAAGTGTCGCTTCAGGTCGAAGAAGGGAGAGAAAGCAGCTTTCCGCATCTGCATGGTTGTCTAGTGGCTAGGATTCGGTGCTGAAAGCGCCACGGCCCGGGTTCGATTCCCGGTCAGGGAATTGTTTTGCACTGGCCGCCCTCCCGCAGAAATCTTCCTTTACCACGCTGTCAGCCGGCCTGCTCCAAGGGCCAGATGTAGAACAGCCTCCGCAGCGAGGGGCAAACCCGGGCAAAGGAGGGCAAGTCGTGGTGGGCCACCTCTCACGTTTATCTCCGTGTCTGTCATCCGCAGAAGCGGCTTTAGAGAGCGACTGAGCGTCTCGCTCAGGTGTACACAGCCGTGCAGAGAGGCCAGTCCCCGTGGAGCTGCACTTAATAAGCGCACCCTCTTTGCCGTCGCCGCCCCAGAGGTGCCTATCGGGCTGAGCTGTGAATAACTAAGAGAGAGGCCAAGCCAAGTCATGGCGTTTGTGCGTGCCCTGGACGTGGGCACCGGTCAGTCAGCGGAGCCTCCTCACCTCCGTTCGCAGCTAACATGCTCGTTAGGCCTTCGGAAGAGGCGACCGGAGGCGATGCCCGCGAAGTTGGGAGGGGAGTGAGCGGCGGGTGAGGTCCTCAAGGGCGGTCCCTTTTGCTGATTGAGCGGTAGAGGGAGGCGATGTTCGCTGACCCAACAAAGACAGCAGGTGGAGTAGGCACAAACGGAAAACTGTTGCCAGTGCCCTAAGCAGAATGCAGGTGTAAAAATCAGCACTAGGACGTCAAAGCGATGGTACCACAGTCAAATCCCACAATGTCTACACTCTACCAAGCACTTGCGCACGCTCCCCCTTTTCCATTCAGTATTCCCAAGAGGGGTTTGGAAGAACCCCGCGTCCACTGTAAGCTCAGGGGAGAGCGGGAGCCAGGGAGGTGAAGTGCACAGACTGGACAGAGGCGGCGGGCAGAACCGCGGGGGTGAGAGGGCGCGTGGTTGCGGGGCGGGAGCCACTGCTGAAAGGCGGCCTGGGTTGTCGTGTGGGGTGACTGTCGGTGGAATCTTTGGCAGAGAGTGGTTTGGAAGAATGGCGAAGGGGGCAGTGGGTAGGGTGGTGAACCTGAGCGTCCGACCAGGGCGAGGACGCTGTGCTGTCCCTGCAGGGCATGCGCTCATTCCCACTTACCTGGCAGGAAAGAGACCGTGGTCACGAAGGGGGTTCTCCCAGAGTGAAGCTTCTTCATCGCACTCTAGAGTTGCTGATCTCTGTGATTTCTTCAATGTGGGAAACGGTGTTTGTGCTAGAAGAGGGCTGCGCTCTCTACCTAACATAAACGGGGTTCAAAACTGACATCGCCTCACGCCTACCCGAAAACGTTTACGTGGCTTCCTTGTCTCTTTGTTTTTTCTGTCCTAAAGTCGCCTTATCCTCACACCCCCTCATGTTTTTCTTCCACACTCGAGAGTGTCTCTCCGTCTCATTAAAAGCCCCACCAAATATTTGAAATATCTCAACCAGAAAGGCTGCAATGAATACAGTATTTCATTTGTGGAAGCTACAGACCAGCTAGGTTGAGAGTTGCTTGATATTTTCTGCTAAACCGTGAGGCATAGAGCACTTGGAAGGTTTCTCTTTGGGCCTTTGTTTGTGTACTATTGGGTTTCCTTCTTTTCCCCAGACCGTATGGCGCTGTGGGGCCAGCGGTAAACCCTGCTTTCTGGCTGCAGATAAAGGCCGCAGCTGGTGCAGGAATTAAAAGCAAACCAAAAGACTCGTGGGTTCGCCCCAGTGGGTCCAAGATAGAGTCTGACTGTACCAGGATTCAGATTAGAACAGAGGTTGCTGCAGGCACAAGGCAGGGTACTAACCACTATAGAATCCCAATGCGCCCCACACCTACTGCCCGTCGTTTTGCTTCCCCACCCCTCTTTTATTTATTTATGCATTTTTTTTGAGAGACAGAATTTCGCTTTGTCGCCCAGGCTGGAGGGCAGTGGCGCGATCTCGGCTCACTGCCACCTCTGCCTCTCAGGTTCAAGCGATTCTCCTGCCTCAGCCTCCTGAGTAGCTGGGACTACAAGCGTCGCCACCACACCCAGCTAATTTTTGTATTTTTAGTAGAGACGGGCTTTCACCATGTTGGCCCGGCTGGTCTCGAACTCCTGACTTCAAGTGAGTGATCCACCCACCTCGGCCTCCCAAAGTGCTGGGATTACAGGCGTGAGCCACTGCGCCCGGTCCCCCGATTTTTTTTTTAATGTAAAAACATTTATGCGATTTTTACGTGTTTATTCTTGGGCAGCTACAGGTTCTTGTGATTTTCCCTCACGTCTTCTCCAGTCCATTCTGATACGTGTCCCATCTTCTCTGCATCCAGCCGCTGCCCTCTGCACCGGCATCCTGGGCTGTCCCATTGTCTCGTCCTGGTCTCCCCTGCTTCTTCTCCCTCCTTCTTTTCAGGTTTTCCCTTTTGACTCCCCTGCCTCTTTCCCGCTCCCGCCCCACCAACCCCATCTACTGAAGCCGAGTTGAGTGAGGGGATAGCAAGCGGAGTAGATGATTGCCTGAAGGCGGCGCAAAAAAACAGAAAGAGCTACCTACCATGAGAGCCGTCGGGGCGTTCAGCTTCCCTTGGGCCCTACTAGGCTCAGGCTGGGGTCGCAGATCCAGGCATTTCCAGAGGCACTGGCTTCTGAAGGAGGCGAGGGTTAATGGAGGGTGAAGGCCATTCGGCCGCCCTTCTGGTTTCAGAGTCAGGCAATGCAAGCGTTTCTAACGTGCAACAACACGATTAGTCGACTCAGCCTCTCCGGTTTTCCGAAGCTTTGTAGTCTGCACAGTTGTCCTGCAGAAAGCGAATGGCAACCCCTAGAGTTTAGTGATTGCTTAATCTATGTTGAGATGAAAGCGACCAACTGAGGTTATCTCCGTGGAGCAATTGGTTAGCGCGTTCGGCTGTTAACCGGAAAGTTGGTGGTTCGAGCCTACCCAGGGACGTGCTTTTAAATGTTGGTTAGTTGTGGTCAGGCGCGGTGGCTCACGCCTATTAATCCCAACACTTTGAGAGGCCGACGTAGGGGAAGCCTCGCCTGAGCTCAGTTCAAGACCAGTGAGAATCCCATCTCATTAAAAAAAAAAAAAAAAAAAAAATTGCAGTTGTTTCTCCTCAGGCCTATCACTGTATTTAAAAAGTGAGAGATTGTTCCCTTGTGTCTTGTGCATCCTATAAGTACATAAAGCAAAAGGTCCCCCTCCAAGCCTCCTATAAAATAAGATCCCTCCAGATCAAACTAGGTTCCAGATAGGCTGGAGTGCAGTGGAACAATCTTGGCTCACTGCAACCTCTGCTTCCCGGGTTCAAGCGATTGTCCTGACTCAGACTCCTGAGTAGCAGAGATTACAGGCGTGGGCCACCACACCGGACTAATTTTTGTATTTTTAGTAGAGAGAGGGGTTCACCATATTGGCCAAGCTGGTCTCAACCACCTGACCTCAAGTGATCTGCCTGCCTCAGCTTCCCAAAGTGCTGGGATTACAGGCGTGAGCCACCACGCCCAGCTAAACAGTCAGATGTTAAAATTATATATTCGTCTATTAGATGTCATGTCTAGTTTTTTTTTTTTTTTTTTTTTGTACAACCAGATTTTCATCCGATGTCAGTTTCGTTCTGCCTGGAGGACTCCTTCAACTTTTTTTTTTTTTTGTGGTAATGGCTGGTGGTAGTGAATTTTCAGCTTTTGTAGAATTTCACATTGACTTTTCCCCTCAGTGCGGTTTTTTTTTTTTTTTTTTTTTTTTTTTTTAGAGGGAGTCTTGCTCTGTCGCCCAGGCTGGGGTGCAGTGGCACCATCTCGGCTCACTGCAAGCTCCGCCTCCCGGGTTCATGCCATTCTCCTGCCTCAGGTTCCCGATTAGCTGGGACTACAGGCGCCCGCCACCATGTCCAGCTAATTTTTATATATATATATATATATATATATATATATATATATATATATATATTTTTTTTTTTTTTTTTTTTTTTTTTTTTGTAAAGACGGGGGTCTCACTGTTTTAGCCAGGATGGGCTCTATCTCTGGACATCGTGATCCACCCGCCTCCGCCTCCCAAAGTGCTGGGATTACAGGCCTGAGCCACGGTGCCCGGCGGCTTTGTGTTTCATAATCTTTTTTTCTGCAGTGTCTAATCTGCTGTTAATTGCATCCAGTGAATTTATTATCTCAGATGTTGTAGTTTTTAATCTCCAAAGTTTGATTCTGACCATTTTTATATGTTTGATACCTCTGCTTAATTCTTTGGACCCATAGAATATTGACATAATAACGGTTTTAAAGTCCTCTGTTTTCTTTTCTTTCTTTCTTTTTTTTTTTTTTAAGACGTAGTCTCACTCTTGCTGCCTAGGCTGGAGTGCAATGGCACAATCTCAGCTCACCGCAACATCTACCTCTTGGAATTAAGCAATTCTCCTGCCTCAGCCTCCCGAGGAGCTGGGATTACAGGCATGCACCACCACGCCTGGCTAATTTTTGTATTTTTACTGGAGACGGGGTTTCATCATGTTGATGATGAAAGGTCCCAAACCTGAGACCTTTCACATGTGAAGGGAACATGTAATCACTACACTACAGAAACCCCTCACAGTTCCTGGCACAAGACATATTCCTGAAATGTTACCATCTGCTGTTTTTAACTACTAGGGTTTCCAATATAACAAATTCGACTGCTTTTCAAAATTTGAGTGATAAATACGCCAGGAAACACAATCCCTCAGGCAGACAGGCTGAACCCTCATTTACGGTTCCGCGCCTAGCCCCGAAGCCAAGACCCTAGGGACCCCCAATCTGGCTTCGGGATCCCGCATCTCATGCAGGGTTTCCAGGAACTGAGTGCCCGTGTGTGGGATTCTCCCTGCTGACTCTCTGGCTCCCAGAAGCTTCAGGAGCTGGTGGAGCCATGAGTGTCCCGTGCCACACAGGAGTGTGAACGCCGCCCCTGCAGGGCTGCTGACTGCCCCTCGGGGGCCCTTTCCCCGGCGCTGGCCATTAGGGCTCTTGGCTCTTGACAGGCGATCATGCTTCGGGTCCTCCCAGGAACCATAGGACCCTCCCTGCCTGCTCTTCCACCAGGCTGAAGGGCCTGACCCGCACGCTCTTTCCTTGCTAGCCCTTTGGCCTCAGCACCTCGAATCTTCCAGAGGGCATCCTTCACTGCCACTCTCGCTGAGTCTATTCGATTCAATGTAAGCTATATTTATCCACACGTTGAAGTTTTAGCAGGTACTATAGCAAAGGCTGTGTCTCAAGGCATTTCACTCTTTGAAAATATAGAGCATCCAACCCAGGCCAAACTGTGCTTCTTGGCCTGCACTGAATTCGTTTGAAGACCAGGGCGTGAAGTTCATAAAACACAAGGGTTTCAGAGCCATCACCACTGAAGGACACAAGAGCAGCCTATTCAGATTTCATGATCACAGGATCTCCACCTCCATCTTGAGATTTTTTTTAAAGGCAGTTTTATTGCATTCTTTCATAATACTTGAAACTTTTTATTTGCATTTTTGATGTTCCTACTCAACAGATCTTGAAGTGAATTATAACAAAGAGGTAAGGGCAGTTTTCAGAGAAAGGCAGTGTCTGTGAACTTTTCAAGTTTGTCTCACAGCAAAAGATCAACAGGCAGAATTTCCTTTTGCTGAAAGATGTTAATGTGGTTTCTAAGGTGTTCCTTAGACATGAGTGTAAAAACAAATTTGGGGAAGAAAGTGCCATTTTCTCCAGCAGTTGCTCTTCTTACTGCAGTGGTTACCATGTTTCCTTCACATCCAAAGTTCAAATGCTCCCACCCTGGGGAAAGTGACAAAATGTTCGTTGGATGCCAGGCTGCAGTGTCCAGCTTTGTTCTGCTTTGGCTCAGACTGGAGACTGGGACTGGACTGGACTATGTCTCCCTCACTAGAGACTGGGAGCCCAGTTCCAGATGAGGCAGGCATCATGGTAACTTTTGATTAGGCAATTTTGTGACATCTTTTTCTGCTTTCTTCCCTCTGAAATCTCTCTCTCTCCCTCCCCACTGACCCAGAGGAGAGGATTCACTGTCTTTCTAACTCAGAACATTCTGGGGTCCTTCCTGGACAGAAAAAAAAAGGCAATTGCCCTTTAACCTACAGGAGCAGAAAGGGCTGCAGGTAACTGGAGACCCACAAACTCACTTCGTGGGCCACTGCACATCTGTGCCTTGTGGGATCCTAGCATACCCAAAACTGTGCGGCTTGAAGCTTCTCTGCCCGCTGAACAGGAAGTATGGGGTTCCTGACTCTTCAAGAAGAGCCACACAGAGAGGTCTTAAGCATGCCTCTGGACCTTGAACACAGGCCAGAAAGAGGCTTGAAGGTGAGGGCAGAGTCAAGAAAGGGTGGAAAGACAGGCCAACCCACTCTCCCAAGGGTACCTTCTTCAGGACAGTGATTTACTCTAATTTAGTGATCAGGAAAGGAGAGGATTGTGTAGAGCAATGTCCGTACTTGAAAACATGAATTCCTACCTAGATGTGGAGTCCGAGTAAAATATCGGCATCAAAAAGAACTCTGGTTGGCTGGGCAAGGTGTCTCATGCCTGTAGTCCCAGCACTTTGGGAAGCCTAGGCAGGCTGATCCCTTGAGCTCAGGAGTTTGAGACCATTCTGGGCAAAATGGCAAAACCCTGCCTCTGTGGTGGCACACCTTTGGTCCCAACTACACCAGAGGCTGACGTGGGAGAATCACTTGAGCCCGGATGTTCGAGGCTGCAGTGAGCCGTGATCATGCTACTGCACTCCAGCCTGAGTGACAGAGCAATACCCTATCTTCAAACAATCAACAACCTGTGATTTTTTTTTCTCTGCGTATTGCAAGGATGAGAACAAAGAGCTCCAACTAAGATGGAAACGGTACAGATGCGAAAGGATTTAGGGGGAAACCTCTGGTGTTCTGTCAGGGACCACTGGCCTTTCTTGAAAGAAATTTCATCCAGGCTGTCTGGTTTCCTGCATGTGTCTCAGGCCTGCTGTTGGTGGTCCCAGGGGCTGAGTGCTTAGCCCCTTCTCAGCTTGGGTGCCTCCCCTTTTGCCTTCTCCCAGCAACCTGGTCCACTGCCATGGTTCCTGTGGCCATCTCTCCAGAGCCATGCTGTCACCTCGAAAAGGGGCATCTCTAGATCAGTTTTTTTTCACTAAATTGGAATATGAATATATTTATTAGCATGCTCACAAAATAAATGACACATTAATTAGCACTCTCCTCATATGATAAAGAATACATATGACCCACACTGTGGCAGGAAACAGGGGTAAGGGCTATCAGAGCTGGGACTAAGTGTCCACTGAAGAAATCTTGATTCACCGGAGAGAAGTTGTTTCCTTGGATTCCATCATCTCTGCTCTAGCTACCAGCCAGGTCTCCACAACCTTCCCAGAATCCTTCATTCCAGCACCAGTTCATGTTCTTTGCCCTGGCCACTCCTGACTCTTTCAAGACCTGAGTGCACTTTCCCATGTCTCACTCACCCACCTCTGAAATCTTGCAGCACATCTCTTTGGTATGCTGCTGCCTGGCCACCATTGGGGGCACAATTGTCAGGTGGAGGAAGAACATACATACCGAAAGCAAAGAGCAGGGATACATTAGTAAATGGCGCTTGGACATAAACTAAACAACCTCACAGAATACATGCTTCCTCCCAAAATGATACATAATCCCCTAGAAGCAAAGGAAACCCTTCGGTCAACATGTATGAATGATTCTGTATGCCAGGCACAGGGGATATATAGTGGGTGGTGTTTACTTCCATTGTGCCCTGCACACAGCAGAAAGTTAGTGACTGGAAGACTGGAAGCTAGAACCAGGTCTGTATCCCCGCTCCCATCAGGTTCTCCTGGCCCTTCCTGCCTTTGATGGTGCCACCACTCTACTTCCTCTGTTCTGAACATTTGTTCATTTTTCAATAGAGAGTTGAAGAGGATGCAGGATGGCAGAGAAAGGGTGGGCATGGAGAAGGGGGAAAACAACCCTGTAAAACAGAACAAAAACTATACAAAACCCCAGAAACCAGATTTAGTACTATAATATTTTATAGCAATAGAAAGTAGCTGAGAATAACCTCAGGGGGAGGAGTCAGCAGAGATTGTGCAGCAGAGGCCACGGGTTTAGACGCCACAGGTTTAGACTAGGAGCCTTTCAACGGACTGCTGAATGGACTGGATCAGCTGTGAGCCTTCTTTGATGGTGACAGAACAGGTGATGACAGGACTGGAGACCCCACAGGCCCGCCCCAGGGCCCGCCTGGAGTGCGCAAACATTCCAGGCAGGCCCAGCACATTCTTCTCTTCACACAGCAGTGGGAGTGCAGAATGCTCTCTTGCAGCGTGGTGTCTGCAGCCACCACAATGAACTCACAGATGCCTCTGTTGAGGGTTTTGATGGCCTCATTGGTTCCTGTCTGAAGCTGCTTGTGGTTCCAGTGGCTCCGCACTTCTCAAGGAGCACAGCGTATTTCAGAATCTCTAGATCAGTTTTGACTTGTGCATCTGGCGGGCTTCGTGAGCATTGCAGACAGGTTCACCTTTTAGAGAAACCTTTGGAAGGCAAGAGGAATGAAAAGTGCTTGCTGTTGTTTCCGTGGTGGTCTAGTGGCTAGGATTCGGCGCTTTCACCGCCTGCAGCTCGAGTTCGATTCCTGGTCAGGGAATACATGCTTTGTAAGGTCTCCAAAAGCGGGCGACCTTAGCCCTTGTTACTGGAACTTGCGATGTGCCCCAAAGCCCACTGCAGGAGAGTTTCTGTAGTCTTGGGTGCCAGAAAACTCTGGTGAAGAAGGGGAGTTAATGGCGACCCTCTCCCTGTTTCTCATGCTCCTGACCGAAAATCTTGTTACCTACTCTTTTCTCCCTTGGGCACCCTAGCACTCCTGTTCTTTTCATATCTCCATTTCTCATACAGCAGTACTGACTTCAGAGGTCGACTAAGCAGCTTGTTCAAGGTTATACAGCCATGCATTGATCCACACCTGGGTGGGGCTCCTGCCCTATTTGCTGGGTTGCCATTACTGACAGAATGAGATCTGCATCTGGTAATGGCTTCTTGCTGCTTTCAGAGTAACTCTCCCACAGATAACGACTATAAACTAGAAAAATTTATTTCATATATATATTATATAATTTGAAGGTGCTGGAAGACTGAACAAAAGCAGGCGGACATATGGAAGAATGGCAGGTAGTGAGTATCCCATTTTGCAAACTTTCAGCAGAGGGCTGTTAACTGAAAAACCATACAATTTGTGAGCTTACAGAGGAGAATTTATTTCTTCTAAAGGGTTACAGCATGTAAGGTGGTCATCCTGACAGGCTGGGAATCGCGGGAAGCCCAGAAGCAGGCACTTTGAGGGAGGGAGGGGCAAGACAGGAATTTAAGTTGAATGGGTGGGCCTAAAATACATATTCAACAAGTTATAGGAGGATTTATGAATATTTGTGAAGGGGTCCTGATGCATGCTTATTGAACAAACATTCACGTAATATACAACCTTGTTCACCTTGTTATGGATACTTAGCATTTAAATGCATTACAATTAGGCCCTATACACAAAGGTCTTTTCAGGACACAAAGGCACTCAAATGCACAGATACTGTAAAACTGACAGAACCAGTCCATGGTCGCTGGTCTTCTCATCAGAAGAAAGTTACTGAAATCAGTCTCTTGTCAGTCAAGGCTGTAGTTATGGCTTGTGGAACAGCGGGGTTCGGTATCTGGTGAGGGGTGAGCAGCAAGTGCTTCAACACTCCCTATTCTCAAGGCCAGTGCTTGTTTAGCTGCTAGAGAAAATCCTTGTGGCAGTTAGAACATAGTTTATTCTTTGCATATATGGGGTGTGTGAGTTAATCCTTGCCCGGAATGGTCCTAAGTCCTATTTATAATTTGGTGTCTTATTGCCATAAAGAGTCTGTTCCGTCAGTCTTATGATCTCCGTGATAACATTAATGTTGGTCAGTTTTGTCTAAATTGCAAAAGGGTGGGAATATAATGAGGCTTGTCTGGCCTCCCGTTCCTTCTTGGCCTGGGACTCAGTTTATAAGGTTTGCCTAGGGTCCCGTTGGCCAACGGGGGGTCCATTTAGTCAGTTGGGGGACTTAGGATTTTATTTTTCGTTTATAGAACAAACTTTGCTCCCCCTTACTTGGATTAGCTAAATTACAATACAAAACCAAACTGTCTTCCTAGATTAAAGGAACAGAGGACAAAGTTTTAGACAACCACAGCAGTTGGAACATCAAGGGGTTAGGTGGAATCTCAGAAAAGAAACAGCACAGTAGGGTGACTACAGCTACCAGCAGTATATTGTACATTTCAAAGGAGCTAAGAAGAGAGAATTTGAAATGTTCCCAACACAAAGAAATGATAAAATGTCTGAGATGATGGATATCCTAAACATCCTGATTTGATCATTACACATCGTAGGCATATATCAAAATATCATATGTACTCCTATAAACATGTATAATTATTCTGTACCAATTTTTGTATTTTTGGTAGAGATGGAGTTTCACTATGTTAGGCAGGCTGGTATCAAACTCCTGACCTCAAGTGATCCACCAGCCTGGGCCTCCCAAACTGCTGGGATTATAGGTGTGAGCCACTGTGCCCAGCTGAATAGTTTTATTGTATGCATTGTGGTGATGATTTTTTTCTTTTTTGAGATGGAGTCTTGCTCTGTTGCCCAAGCTGGAGTGCAGTGGTGCGATCTCCACTCACTGCAAGCTCTGCCTCCCGGGTTCACGCCATTCTCCTGCCTCAGCCTCCCAAGTAGCTGGGACTACAGGCGCCCACCACCACGCCTGGCTAATCTTTTTTTTGTATGTTTTTAGTAGAGACAGGGTTTCACCGTGTTAGCCAGGATGGTCTCAATCTCCTGACCTCATGATCCACCCACCTCGGCCTCCAAAAGTGCTGGGATTACAGGCGTGAGCCACCGCACCCGGCCTGTGGTGATGATTTAATGTGTCCATACTTATTTCCAATCTCAGCAAATTGTGTTCATTACATATGTACAGCTTTTAGTATACCAGGCATACATCAATAAATTGTTTTAAGAAAAAAATAAAGAAAATAAGAAAATATAGTTATTATAATTGTTCTGCGGTGAATAGATGCCAAATAGAGACAAATACAAAATCTAAGAAAACACAGAATATTTGTTGATAAATAGATTCGTACAATAATATTCATGCACAGCAGCCTTCTTCATAATAGTCCAAACTAGAAATAACCAAATTGTCCATCAACAGTGGTGTATTCACATATTGGATAACACTCACCAGTTACACCCAAATAAACTAGATACATATAATAATATGGATACATTTCAAAGATGTGAAAAAAAGCTAACACAAAAAGTGAATTTATATGAATTTCAAGAAGAGAGCAACATAATCTATGGTGATAAACATCAGAATAGTGATAAACCAAGGGGAGAAGGGTGGGATTGCCTGGAAAGGGACTCTTGGACCTTTTTAAATATTTTTTATTTTTTGAATTTGAAAAAAAATTTTTATAGGGATGGGGGTCTTGCCATGTTGCCCAGGCTGGTCTCAAATTGCTGGGCTCAGTCAATCTTTCCGCCTCAGCCTCCCAAGTGCTGGGATTACAAGCATGAGCTACCGTGCCTGGCATCCACAGACATTTTTGGGATGATGGAAATTTTCTATAACTTGATCTGGGTGATGATTTCATTTGTCAATATTTAATAACCTGTCCTAGTTAATATATTTGAATTTTACACTGTGTGAATTACATTTCAATAGTCTGCTCTTTAGCATAAACATGGGGGGTGGGGGATGGAAGATGGAGACAAGCCAGTGTAGACCATGGTAAGGAGTTTGGATTTTATTTTAAACTCAGTAAAAGCTCACTTTCATCCCCCCTCACCCCCCACAAAATCCCTCCTAATATCTCAAACAGAAGAACAGCTATGACTCACAATTTCATTAGTGGAAACTGCAGGCAAGCCTCTTTGAGAAGAGGCATTTCACCTTGTGTGGTGGTTCAATGCATGCCCAGATGTAAGGCACCTCCAAAGTTCCCAATGATCTAGTGCAGGTGTGTTTTTGATGGCCCTGGCTGTATCATGCTGGCAATTCAGTGGTAAGCCTTGTTCTCTAGTCACAAATAAGGGTTGCAGCCATTGTAAGGAACAGTAAAAACCAGTTATGACCACACCACTGCATTAGTGGAAGCTACCAACATGGCGGTTTGAAAGGTGACATTTTACCCTTTGGGATATTTTCTGCTCAATGGTGAGACATAGGGCATGTCCTGGGCCCTAGGTATGTGCAATGTGGGGTCTCCTTTTTGCCTGACTGCACTGCATTGCAGGAGTCAGTGGTAAACCCTGCTAAAGGACTCAGTCAGTGCACGGATTGAAAACAAACCAAAAGACAGCTCAGTTTCTCCCCAAAAAGATGCCACACACTGCCATTTTGGATTGGAATCAAGGTTCTGCATTCACAACACAAAGTGCCAATCACTATACCACCGTGGCACGCCATAAACTTGCTGGCAGATGCTGAGTTTTCTTTAACACTTTCGATGTAAACATATTCACAATATTTTGTTCTTGCATCACTTGCTTTCTGACAGGTTGAGTGGTAAGAAGCACAAATTCCTATATTCTGTTCTTTCCAAAAATGTTTAGTTTGATCAGAATGCAGGATGTTGAACAAGATAACTAGCCTATCCACTTCAAAAACTTAGCAACAAGGACAAAGAAATGGAGGGACAGCTCTAGGTAAGTAAAGTGCAATTGAGGAACTTTACTTGGAACCTAGGGAAGCAACATCAGTACCACAAGTCACTTCTCTCTCTCTCTTAAATAAATATTATATATACACATACATATATATATTACATGTGTATATAATATATAATACACACACACACACACACACACACACACACACACACACAGAGTTTAATTAAGCAAAGAAGAATTCCTGAATCAGAAATTTCCAGAACCAGAATAGGTTCAGAGAGGTTCCAGTGCTACCATGTGGTAGAAGAAGATTTATGGATGGAAAAGGGAAAGTGACTTACAGAAAACAGAAGTGAGGTACAAAAATAATCGGATTGGCTACAGCTCTGAGTTTGTCTTATTTGAACCCAGTTTGAACAGTTGGCCACCTTTGATTGGCTAAAACTCAGTCATTGGCTCAAGAGTAGGTTACAGGTTGTTTACACATCCAGTTAGGTTACAGTTCACTACATATGGAGAAACCTTTAATATATGGATAGAGGCAGCTTCCAGCTAATGATACGTATATATCTTTAAGATATTGATGCATATAAATATTATTAAATTAAAACATTTATGCATATGTAATGTGCATGTGTGTTATATATACACATACATACACACATGCACACACTATGTATGCATAAATATCTATATACATGCACATATATGTGTATAGATGTGACATTTTCTAAACAGAAAATTTCTATCTGGACTATATATTAGATAATGTTATTGAATAAATGTTAATATCCTTAGGTTTGATAATTGAATTGTATTATAATTATATAGGATAATGTCCTTAATCTCATGAAATACATGCTGAACTATTTAGGGATGAAGTGGAGTTTTTTTGGTCTGCATTTACTATGAAATATGAATGTGTGTGTAGGTGTGTGTAGACAGAGAAAAAAGGTAAAGGAATGTTAACTGTTGAACTTGGGTGAATGGTGTAGAGGAGTTCTTTTTTTTTCAATTTTTCTATAGGTTTGAAGTCTTTCAAAGTAAATGATTGTGGAGGAAAATGTAAAACATAGGAGACTGTGAAGAGCTGGCTGAATTCTAGGCTAAAATTTGGCTCTCTCTGGGTCTTGGCCTTGCAGGAGGGGGTGACGGATCTCAGTACCTCTCACTGCTAGAAGAAAGTGTAGGTTACCAGCCTGGTGTACAAACCTATCTAAAGGATCCCCTCCTGTTACCCAGGATATGGGTGAAGTGTCTTCTTAGTCCTTCTTACATGAATCAGCCTTCTAGCCTGGAAGTCTGGTAGGTAAGTTTGAGGCTAATTTGTATGTTTCAAAGCTTCTGAAGAAGATGTCCCACTTTTACATTGGATTGCAAAAGACAAGTCAGTGTGTGTGAAGAATTTATTTTCAGAAAAAGAAATCCAAAGGAGAGTAAGTTAGTTGAAATCTAACAGTCCCATTGGAGTATACTGTTTTTACTTGTTGGTCCTTCAGAAATCTCAAGGGTGGGAATTTGGCCTATACAGGAAGATTTTTCCAGATGATGAGTAAACAGCAAACTTTCAAGATCATTCTTTGGCAGAGATTCTACTGAGGTAGGAAAGTGGCAGGACTTATTTGCGGTTGTGGCCCAGTTGATCAGAGCAGGATCTGGTCCAAACAGGGTGCAGTAAAGAAGCTGACCAAAACCAGCAGATGGAGACAAAAGCTACCTCTAGTTGCTCTCACTGCTCATTAGCATAAAGACACTCCTTTCCAGTGCCATGACAGTTTATAAATGCCATGTCAACATGCCATGGCAATGGCCAGGAAGTTACCTTATATGCTTCTGGAAACTCCTCATCCCTTTTCCAAAAAGTTCTGAATAACCCACTTCCTAATTAGCATCTAATTAAAAGCATCTAAATAAATACAGCTAGCTAGCAACCCACACACTGCCCATGGGTTAGCCTTCCTCCACGAGAAGCAGTACCAGTTTAACAAAAGTTGCTTTCTTTCACCGCTGGGTTGCCCTTGAATTCTTACCTGGGCAAAGCCAAGAACTCTCCTTGGCTAAGCCCCAATTTTGGGGTTGTCCTTCCTTGCATCATCTGGTGACCACAAAGACAAGACAAGATGGGACAGGACATGATATAACACAGGACAGGACAGGACAGAGTCAAGAACTGTTTAAGGCAGGACACTTGGTCGTGAAAAGTCCCTTACTGTGCTGACCCTGAGATGCCAAAGTCACATTGTTCAGTGGCCCCTAACTTGGCCTTTGGGGTTCACCATTGCCTCCCCTGCAGTTTCAGCATTCAGTGTGGGGACCATCACTGGCTGATACTTGGGTACTCTGGGTTTTTGGCATTTCGTTGTGGTGAGAGTTCCACTGTCACTGTTGGCCTCTCCCTGGATGCTCTGGGGTTTTCAGCATTGACATTCCCTATAGGATTGTGGATTAGAGCTCCTTCCCTGGAGGAGTGTGGATGTCATCTTCTCCGCCCTTAAATTAAAAGATTACGATTTTCCATAACAGCCAGTTGTGGGCCCCCTCCTACGTGACTTTGCTCAAGCCCATATTGAACTCTTGGTCACAGGGACCAGGGATTCCTGGACCCCTGGCCCAAGTGACAACTACCCATAGTGGCAGACAAGCAGCAGCCACCCAAACATTTTGCCCAAATAATTTTCCTCAGTCTCTGTGGCTGCTGGGTAGATTTTCTGGCACCTCAGTCTGGACAACGCTGTTCATGCTTTCCCTTCCTCCCTTCCATGATCACCTTGTTTCTTTTAACCCCTCTTTGCCCAAACTAAAATGCTTTCTTCACTCTGTGGAATTCAGACCCATCATTTTACTTCGCATTCATATTTCATAATCTACTTTCATAACACTTTGCTAACTGTACTTACATCTCTGCAGGAGGTGGGAATTTGAAAGGGAAAGTAACTGAGCTTTTGCTAGACTTAGAAAAACTTCTGGGTGTAGTAGAGATCCTTGTTAGACATGGGGACAAAGGCGAGCATCCCAAAGGACTCCCCACTAGGGTGTCTTTAAGGCAATTGGAGCAAATTCAAATGAGATGGCTCAAAGAAAAAGAAACAATTTTCTTGGGAGAACAAGAAATTTGGCCTGAAACTTGTTCTTTACATTATCATACTATTTTACAATTGGACTTATTCAGTAAAAAGGAAGGAAAATGGGGAGAAGTTCCTTACGTACAGGCTTCTACGGCCCCCTACCAGGATTCTGACTTAAGAGTCAACTGCAGGATGTGTCTGGCTCATGTTACTTCCAGGCACCAAGAAACCGCGTGGGATATCCTCGATGCTCCCTTCCTGGCGGCACCCCCTGGAGGGCCCATGCCCTCTCCAGGGTCTTCTCAGTCCCCCAGTTCTGCGAGGGGTCCTGCCAGTTCTCCAGTGTGGGATTTCACCCCAATGTCATCAGAAAACCCTCCCTTTTATTTAGCTAGCTCCAGCCTGTATCCCCCACTGCCCAAGGAAGTAAGCCCAACCAGAACCACCAGGAGTGGAGCTCTCTATCAGCCCCTGAAATTGAATCTGTGTCCATTGCTGGAGTTAGCTGGCAGAGATAGGGGAACAATCAGAGTATATGTGCCATTTCCTTTGTCCAAATTGGCTTTCTTCAAGGAGAAATATGGCTGGTTTTTGAAGGATCCAGGGAAGTTTATAGAGGAGTTTGTCAGGTTGATGATGTCCTTTGATTTAACTTGGCACAACTTGCAAATATTATTGTCCTCTTCCTGTATTATAGAGGAGAAGAGAGGGATTCTGGGTACTGGCCTGTGAATATGCAGTTAGAGTAGCTGCTCATATCCAAGGCCATACCATTTATGTAGGGGGAGATGCAGTTCCACATAGAGACCCTCAGTGGGATTACCAGAAGGGTTCCCAAGAACTTGAACATAGAAATCACATGCTAACTTGTTTAATAGAAAGTATGAAAAGGTGTGTGATTAAGCCAGTTAATTATGACAAGGATAGAGAAGTAACTCAGTGGAAGGATGAAAATCCCATTCTGTTTTAGGGCTGCTTGGTTGAGGCACTCAGGAAATATACTAATGTAGACCCAGACAACCCGGAAGGGTGGGGTCTTCTGGGCATGCGTTGTATTACTCAATCTATCCTTGACATTAGGAGGAAGTTACAAAAGGCAGGAATGGGACCCCAAACTCCATGAGCCAACTCTTAAACATGGCCTTTGGAGTTTACAACAATAGGGACAAGGCAGAGGAAGAGGATAAAACCAAAAGAAATAGCCAAAAAATGCAATTGTTTGCAGCTGCTTTCAGCCTCCTACTGCTTTTGAGCTGCCCATCCTCAGAAAGTGTTGCAAGAGTGGCTTTGGGATGCCCAGACAAAAGCCAGCTCATCATCCCCTAGGCTGGAATCAGTGTGCCTTCTGTAAGCAAGAGGGCCACTGGAGGAAAGACTGCCTCAGTCTCCAAACGGAGTCTGAGCTTCTTGGACCCCTAATGGCTAAGAGAACAGAGGACTGACAGGGCCCAAGATTCCCTACAGCTTCCACCAGACACCTTGCCATCTCTACAGAAGAGCCTCAGGTAATTCTTGACATGGCGGGTAAAAATATTGAGTTATTGGATATGCGAGCCGCCTTCTCAGTTCTGATCTAGTCCTTGGTGCCACTGTCTTCCCACTCCTGTACTGTAATGAGGATTGATGACCAGCTAAAAGCTAGGAGATTCACCCATTCCTTTAGTTGCACTGTGGGGAACCATGTTTTTCCACAGATTTTTGCTTAGTCTTGAGTGCCTTATTCCTTTGCTGGGAAGAGACTTACTTTCCCAATAACAGGCTGCAGTTCAATTTGGAGCACCTCAAGAGAAGGCCACAGGCTGGGAAGGGACACTTCTCCTAGCTCTAAGTTCATGTCTTAACACAGATAAAGAAAAGTCATTCCTTCCATCAAATATTACTTCTCAAGTAGACCCGTCTGCTTGTGACATGGTAGTTCCTGGAAGAACTGCAAATGTTCTCCCAGTCCAGGTTATTTTGAAACCCAGTGTTAATTATCTATGGGGAAAAAAATATCCTTTTAAGTGTGGTGGCCCATGCTTTTAATCTCTGCACTTTCGGAGGCCAAGGTGGGCATATCACTGGAAGCTAGGAGTTTGAGACCAGCCTGGCCAACAAGGCAAAACCCCATCTCTACTAAAAACACAAAAATTAGCTAGGTATGGTGGTGTACATCTGTAATCCCAACTACTCAGAAGGCTGTGGCAGGAGAATTGCTTGAACCCGGAAGGCAGAGGTAGCAGTGAGCCTTGCGCCACCGCACTCCAGCCTGGATAACAGAGCAAGACTCTGACTCAAAAAAAAAAAAAAAAGAAAAATCCAGTATCCTTTTAGACCTTTGGCTCCAAGGGGCATCCATCCCCTGATAATGAAGTATGGATTATTGCAATCCTATCAGTCCCAACGTAACACCCCCATTTTTCCTGTTAATAAGCCAAACGGGGAATATAGATTTGTTCAGGATCTTAGGGCAGTTAATGAGGCATTAGTTCCAGTCACCCAATAGTTCCTAATCTTTATACAATAATAACTCAAGTCCCTGAAGATGCTTATTGGTTCATAGTATTAAATTTAAAAGATGTTTTCTTTCACACACCTTTACACCTGGACACCCAATACATTTTTGCATTTGAATGGACTAATCCAGACACTCATGCTGCATCTCAGCTTACCTGGACTGTCCTGTCCCCAAGGTTTTAGGACAATCCCCATCTGTTTGGCAATGCATTGGCAAAAGAGGTATGGGAACTACAGTTAATTAATGGATCCCTCTTACCATATGTGTATCACCTATTAATTTCCAGCCCTACTAGGGGAAGACTCTGAGAAACATACAACTTCAAGTCCTTAATTTTGAAACAAAACAAGGGTATCAGGTATCCCCCCGAAAGGCCCAAATTTCTGTCCAAAGGGTCACGTATTTGGGACACATTCTCACTCCTGGGACCAGGATCTTGACCCAGGGATGAAAAGAGACCATCCTGGCACTCCAGGTCCCTCAAATTCTTTTTTGAGAATAGCTGGATTCTGCTGGGTTTGGATTCCCAGGTTTGGGCTCATAGCAAAACCACTCTATGAACCTCCAAAAGTGAGTGGTCATAAGCCTTTGAATTGCAATGGAGACTGTCAAAAGGCATTCTTAGCCTTAAAAGAAAAGCCAGGGACAGCCCCTGCTTCAAGACTCTCGAACTTAGAAAAACCTTTCATCCTCTATGTGGATGAATAACAAGGGACAGCTTTGGATGTTCTAACTCGAAGGGTCAGGAATTGCCTCAGACCAGTGGCTTATTTCTCTAAACAGCTAGACCAGGTGGCAGCTGAGTGACCAGGAAGCTTGAGATCTGTGGCTACCATCACTCTATTGGTGGAAGAAGCCAGTAAGTTTACCTTGGGACAACAAGTAGATGCCATACCACCCCCGCCCCCCACCACCCCATGAAGTACAGTACAGAGGGTCCTAGAGGCAAAAGTATACCCATGGCTAATAGGGGGCCAGTTACTTAAATATCAGGCTCTTCTGCTTGACACCCCAGATGTTACCCTTAAAGTATGCTGATTTTTAAACCCTGCTACTCTGTTGCTGGACCTCACATCCCAAGAAACAGATCCCCAACTCATTGACTCCTGGGTGGAAACCATGGAAGAGATCTACTCTAGAAGGTCCAACCTTGAAGACAAGCCCTTGTCTAACCCCAGTGTTGAGTGGTTTAGAGATGGAAATAGCTTTATTCATGAGGGAGTAAGAAAGGAAGGTTAGCTAACAAGAAGTCATTGAGGCCAAGGGTTTACCTTCTCAGAATTCTGCTCAAAAAGCAGAATTAGCTGCTCTAATCAGGACCTTCCAACTGTGAAAAGACTTAAGCCTGGGTTGGATGGCTCACGCCTGTAATCCCAGCACTTTGGCAGGCCGAGGTGGGTGGATCATCTGATGTTGGGAGTTCGAGACCAGCCTGGCCAACATGGCGAAACCCTGTCTCTACTAAAAATACAAAAATTATCCGGGTATGGTGGTGGGCACCTGTAATCCCAGCTACACGGGAGGGTGGGGCACGAGAATCACTTGAAACTGAGAGGCAGAGTTTGCAGTGAGCCAAGATCATGCCACTGCACTCCAGCCTGGGCGACAGAGCAAGACTCCGTTTCAAAAAAGAAAAAAAAAACCCTCAAGAGTCAATGTGTTTACTGACTCTAAGTATGGTTTCCGGGTGCTTCAGGCTCATGCAACCATAGGGAAGGAAAGGGGACTATCAAGAGCCAAGGGATCCCCCATACAACTTTACTCAGATCTTGGAACTTTTAGATGCCATCCAATTCCCAAAGAAATAACAAGTATTCACTGCAGGGGACACCAGAAGGGAGACACTGTTCTTATTAGAGGAAATTCCCTTTTGGAAAGAGCAGCTAAGGCCACAGCTAAGGAAACCCTGGTATTTCAGGCTGCTGCGCTACTACCAGGTCATCCATGTCAGTGGAACCGTACTATACACCCAAGGAAATTAAAGGGACTGAGTAAAAGGCTTCCAGTAAGACCCCTCTAGACGCTTGCTAGAAAAGAACAAACTCTATTCCTGAGGCTGACAAATGGGAAATAATTTAACATTTTCATGATTCCTCACATTTGGGACAGGATTTTCCATTCAAATTAGTTTCCTAAATATTCTTGGGGAAGGGACTGTTCTAAACTATAAAAAGATTTACCAATCAGGAAGCCACCCCATACCCCGCTCCCTGCTTAAACTTGTACAACACCACGGAACATACCATAGTGAAGACTGGCAGACAGATTTAACCCAGATGCCACCTTACAGGGGACTACAATATTTGCTAGTATTTATAAACACTTTCACCAGGTGGATAGAAGCTTTCCCCACAAGGACAAGAAAAGTATTGGAAGTGTCTAAATTCTTACTTAAAGAAATCATCCCAAGATTTGGATTACCAAAATGTTTGCAAGGGGATAACTGACCTCCCTTCCCAGCTAAGGTGACCCAGTGAGGTAATGCCTCAGCCTTAAGCATTACCTATCTTCACTCTTCATGGAGATCTCAATCTTCAGATAACATAGAAAGCCAGTTGTGACATTAGCAAAACTCTTTCAGGAGACCTCAGAGGCCTGAGTTTTCCTCCTACTCATAACCCTTTTGCATGTGAGGATGGCTCCAAAGAGAACTTTAAAGCTTAGTCCATTTGAAATGACTTATGGAAGGCCTCCGCCTTTTTTTTAACTTGATCAACACCACAGTTTAATTGTAAACGTGTCATATGTGTCAATGATCAAATTGACAACACTTTATAGATTTCATTGTATAATATTAACATCCTAACAGAAAAAGATCCACTGTACTCATTTACAGTTTGGTATTTTAAAATCCTTAAATACAAATTGTATTTGAAACACTGAACACAAAAAAGAAACTTGAATGCCAGAGAAAACTGAAAACATCAAGTAAAAGAAACCAATATTCCGCCCCCCCCAAAAAATATAAAATCATCTGATTACATAATTTAAAAAAGAAATAAAGGAAATCAGATGATCTTATTTTTTAATGATATAAAGTTGCGTTTCTTCAAACCCATTTTAGATGTGAAATGTACCATTTTAAGTTATATGTCTTTTTTGATATGTGTTCTTCTTTTCCTCTTGGTTTCTAAAGAATGTTTTCCAGGGTTTAAATTACATTAAAGAAGTCGGGAAAGAAAGGAAGGAATGTGGTAAAAAGCCAAATTAAGTTAACTATTTGGAAAATAATTGGATATAAATTTTTCATGAATCTTCTTTGACAAGTAACAAAGTCTGCATTTTAAATTTACCTTTTTGTTGAAATGGATCAATACTTGTAAGATTGAAGACATTACATGAGTTAATGTATAAGTAAAATGAAGCCAAATTCACAAAGCAAAGTGCAAACATGAACTTTTCACATTTTTGCTAAAAGCTCTAAAAATGCACTCTCCCTCCTTGAGAGTATGAGAAGTCTTCAGCTAAGAATCAGATGATTACTCTTGCCTCATTCAACACAAGAAACCAGAGGGGACCCCATGGTTTTTCAGTACTTTCCCTAAAATTCATGATTACCATTAGGTTCCATTTCTTCCTCCTTTATCTCTCAAAAGAAATATAGCAGCAAATCACTCCCATATTTTAAGCTTTAAATTCACCAACAACTGGGCTCACTGCCAACAAATACAAATGTTCAATTCTTTATTAGTGTACGTGTCATTACAGTTGGTTTAGATGGTTAATATAGGAATACAGAAAATAACTACAGTTCATTCAAACAAAGGAAATTAAAATGAGATTAAAGAGCCCTGATTAAAAAAAAATACAACTTTCAGCTGAAAAACTGTAAAAGTTACATACATACATACCTAATGGCACTAAGAATGTACAATATCAATTATTGGAAAAATAAGTGAGTGACTCACAGTCATAAGAAATAATTTAATATTAGTATTTTTCTTTTATAGACAAACATAACATACACATGGTTTCTACCTTTTATAAGGCAAAGTAGAAAACTAACCGTTACTGCATTTACCTCAAACACAGCACTGACTGTGCCACAGATAACATGGTCCAAAATATTCAATTCTATACATAGGCCATGGTAGTGGATGTGTGGTTAAGTTTTAGGAAAGGCATATATTTCCAGAAGTAAGTATGTTAAATACACAAATGTCTATAAATAACAAAAAGTTATCAGCAAAAACGCTTAGGTTATAACATTCCCAAACGTTCTAACATTTTAAGTGTTTTAGATATGAGTTGTCTGACCAGTTCATTTGGTTACAGTTTTAAACTAGCAAACCATTGCCCTATAAGAGGAGCTAAACTAAACTGTAACACTACACAAACTTCCCAAGGAAGGTAACTTGAAAAGTCTAAAAAGTGATTCCAATTATTCTAATTAACATTTGAGATGCTAAAAGAATCAATGACTCAAGAAACACTTTGAAGTAATTCCATTTTTCTTTATCATTTTCTAAAAATGTATTCACATAAATTTAAGATACAGATTGCTTAAGAGTATGTCTTCAAAGTAGGTTAATCACTAAAGCATTTTGATCCAAAGACATAGTCTTAATGTTTCTAATATGTAATTCTAACCTAAAATCACAATCCTTGGTTTGAAAACATCAAAGGTAAGAAACAAAAAAATAAATCAGGATGAAAATGTGCAGCAGCTATAGCTACAAGAGTGGAAAATAAATTCTACTTTTTCCATAAAGACTCTGTGAAAATATAAAGCCCAAAGTCAGTGACAACAGAAGTCCACATATAAATGGTGTTTAAAAATAGAAAGTTTTCTAAAGCTTCTCATGAGATGTCAACGAATAGTCATAATCTGAATTAAGACCTTATAAATCAAGGTTAAGTTATACATAACCATGATGATTTACATACCTTCTACAATGTCCAATTGACATACATAATTTAGATACCCATAGGAATTCATAATGCCCTATCATATCATCTCCCAATACTGGATGTTTACTGTCTTATAGTTTTACTACTTTAAGTACCAAGAAGCATTTTCAGAGGAAGAGTTCCATCTCTTCCCTTGATCCCCCAAAGTATAGGTAACAAAATATAAAGTTAAACAAGATTGATGTTTGATAAACTAACATATAAAATTATCATTGCAATTTTCACAGTGACTGCTTTTAAACATAACAGTCATCATAAAGCCTATAAAGTATATACTTAGTTTTATAAAAGAAATGCAGATTGTCTCAAGGTAAAAAATACAGTGCTGGATGCTAAAAAGCACTTTGTTGCAATAAGATGTGCAATAAGGAGCAAAACTTCAGAAAACATGAATATGTTCCCCAAACTTTTAATATTAGTAAAGCAAGAATTGCTCCACAGCAGCAGGATGCTTTTTAGTGGCTGACACTATAAAGCTAACGTTAAGAAAGAAAAAAGGCAGAAAGTGTGAGCAGCAAATGGTGTAACCAAATTATTGCAAATGGAGATTAGCAATAAGTGAGGAAGGTGACCATCCACTCCGTTCTGATAAGACACCATCTTTAAATATTAAATTTTTTGCAGGAAGTGGAACACCCATGTCAGCATACGATGACTGTGAAAGCAAACTTGAAAAACTGGGCTCTGTGTGAATATCCAATGTTGAAGCACCTTCCTGGAATGAGTGAACAAAGTTAAGGACTTGCAGAGAGAGTTTTCTACTGGAATGTAAGAGGTTTTGAAGGCTCTCTTTTCTGCAAAGGCCATGTGTAGCAATTTTCCTATAAACTTTCCGGTTTAATTCGGAACTGAACAGTGGAATTCCAAAGCACAGCTCGAGAGGAACCCAATCTGCTTCTGTTGTGGCACCAGAGGTTTGCTTTGTTGCTGAATCTATAGTTGCTTCTTCAATGACCATTTCAAATGACTCTGTACTCCCATTTAACATCTGAGCCAGAAGCCAAATCAGGTTTTCCTCTCTCATCAGAAGCATCACTGAGTTTTCTATTTGCAAGTTGGCTGGAAGCATTCAACATGGTGACATATCCACAGAGATGTTGTAAGTCCACTCTGTTCCTTAGTATCTGCAATGCTTTATGAACACCCATATTGACACGAGTGAACTCTCCTTGTAGTTCTGTTTCATCAAATGGAAATGGGACATGGACAGTTTCTCCTATCCCATGCAGACCATGCCTCTGAATTAAAACTGCAGAATGTGTTAAAGCATCATTCAACATCGTGAGCACATTTGAGGTAGGAACTACTCCAGGATCATGACACCAAGATGTTATTAGCAATCGATCATAACTCTGAAATATATCTGGCAGTTTTCGAGGTCTTGTACCTTTGGATAATAAAAGGGATGGTGGTCCTTGTCCAGTGATATGATAAACGTAAATGTACTGTTTAAACCAGACAGAGCTGACTTCTGGGATAGCTGGTCCAATATGCTGAGGGGTGCCGCTGCTGACAGGCCGGATTTCATTGGTGAGGGGAGCCATGGAAACAAGCAGTGTGTAATTTTTGTTTAGAACTCTGCTGCCAGTTGCAGGGTCCAGACCAAGAAGGCTTTCACAGCGTAAGAGATCCAGAGGAAAACCATAATTGGGTTGGTCTGGCTGTGCAGTTTGCACAACTAGATCTTTGTTATGACGCAGAAACAGTATTGTGTTTCTCAGAGTAAGCGCATGATCAAAATATCTCTGTGCTTCTCTTTCACCAGTGCTCTGAACTGGTGAAAGATTTCCCATCTTTAAGAAGGCAGTAAGAGTGGAGTCAAACAGGAATGCGATGTGCTTCGTGTGTCCTGCAGACAGACTCAGGCTTCTTACACTGGCTGTGTCAGCTGGATCTTCTTGACTATTTGTATCAGTGTCAGTTGCCGATGAAGCTTCTTGTACAGGCCTCCTACTTTCCCCTCCACCCCATGACAAGAGCATCTTCTATGGATCTAAGGTACTCTTTAATCTGTTTATGGATGGAACATTCTTCCATGATGAATGAAGTTGATCCAAATTTATTACTTGTCCCTTCTTATGGGCAAAGCCCAATCAGCAATACATTGAAACAGCATTCTTAACCAGGGATAAGTCAATCTCAAGGACATTTGCAAGCTCTGCCACATTTGTGTGCTCATCTACTGAAACAAATATCTTATAGAGTAGAGTTTCAAAATAATCAAAATAAGCACTCGATTCATTACAAAACCTTCAAGGGGTGCAACTGCTATACAACTGTCATCAGACATTGGTACATCCAGATAAATAAATCCTTTTTTATACAAACTATGTACTACATTGTAATCTAGTGATCCAGAGAGTTGAGGGCCTGAATCAACGGTCTTATCAGTAGCACATTTCTCAGGCCAAGTGCATATCTTGATGTCATCTTCTGTGATATATCCAGCCTGCACCACCCACCATGCCTCTATGGCAATTTCCACTGGCTTTATTGGTAGAAGATCACCGGCTGTTTTCCTTCTGAAGAATTTTTTTGATGATCTACACTGAATCATAAGATCAATATACTGGTTTCTTCCTATGCCAAGAAGCCTTAGACAGTCAGCAGCAGTAAAATTGTGCCCACTGTTCATAATATTCTCCATAATCCCAGTGTAATATGAAAATGGTGTTATGCTCAAGCCCTTCACCATAATATCCAATAGACGGTAAGGGTACAGCATGAGATGATCTCGGCTGTAGTTTAGCAGTTCCTCATAGTATCTGCGTTCATCTTTCTTGACATGTTTAAGTTATTTCTGTATCGTAACTGATTGCAGATACTGTACAGGACAACCTGATTTTCATATTCTCTCTGTGAATTTCCAAGACGGCTGGGATTTTCTTTCTCCTCTGCCACTCTGAACAGCAAGACCAATACTTCCTGTATTTCCTCCTCCTCAGCCTACTTGATGTGAAGACAAAGATGAAGACCTCCATGATGAGCTATCTCCACTTAATGACTGCCTCACGTTGGCCGGCAACTTGTTCCAGGGGTAGTTGTGCCGGATGTGGAACTCCACGTCTATGTTCACGATGCCGCCGCCAGGGCCTGCGGCGGGGGCCGCGACCGCGACCCACCCTAAGCCTCCCGCCTGCCCGCCCGCAGCCCGGCGCCTCACACTGCAGAGGCCTTGGCTGCCCCATGACCTGGGCTCCCACGGGCTTAACTGACCTGGGACAGTTAAGCGCGGCCCGGGCCAACCGAGCACTGGGTCGCCTGAGCAGCTCGGAAGGCCCTTTTTAACTTTAGACCTTCTGTTTGATGAAGAGACACATAGATTATCAACTTAGGCCAGGTTCAAAAGGCCCTTCAATCATATGGAAATGAAACGTAACTTCCCACAAGGAAAAGGATTAACTCCCCCATTCAACCAGGAGACTTAGTCTTACTAAAAACTTAGAAAGAAGGATCCCCCAAGAATCAATTACAACCAAAATAGAAAGGGCCCCTATCAGGCATTATTAAGCACTCCCACTGCTGTTAAACTCCAAAGTTAATTTTTTTTTTTTTTTTTTGATGAAGTCTTGCTCTGTCGCCCAGGCTGGAGTACAATGGCTCGATCTCGGCTCACTGCAACCTCCACCTTCTGGGTTCAAGCAATCCTCCTGTCTCAGCCTCCTGAGTAGCTGGGATTACAGGCACGTGCCACCAGGCTTGGCTAATTTTTTGTGTGTGTGTGTGTATTTTTAGTAAAGATGAGGTTTCACCATGTTGGCCAAGCTGGTCTTGAACTCCTGACCTTGTGAAATGCCTGCCTCAGCCTCCCAAAGTGCTGGGATTACAGGCATGAGCCACTGTGCCCAGCCTCAAAGATTCTTATGAGTCCTCACAGATGTCAGAGGAAGATGCCATGACCTATACTTGCAAACTCCCAGAAGACTTAAAGCTATTGTTTTGCAAATGCACAGATAAATATTAATAACATGATGCTGTGGATGAGCATGAAAGTTTTTCTCTTACTCCTAATTATAATGTTTTCTCTCTTACCGCTTTGCCCTGCTGATGGAATTCAATAAAGGAATCTCTACCAGCAGACACTTGATTTTTACCCTTCCTAGGACCTTTAACAGATATCTTGTTATTACTAATCTTTGGTCCTTGCTTGTTTAACCTCCTTGTAAAGTTTGTGTCTTCTAGATTACAATAATTCCATGTAAAGACGATGCTGGCACAAGGCTTTCAACCCATCCCCTCTTCTGACCCAGAAAATAAAGACATCCTGCCTTTGGGTCTTTTAGAACAGGTATCCAGAGATTTTACTTCTCCAGTGCTAGGCAGGTTCTATGCCCATAACATCAGCAGGAAGCAGTTACAGAAGATGAACCTCCACCCTTCTACAAGCCCCTTAAGATTAAGGAGGAGTATATAATCTCTGATGGGGAAATGAGGTAGGAGACCAGAAGGACTTATTTTCCAGTCACAACCCCATTGAACAGAGCAGGATCTGGTCAAAACAAGGTGCAGTGAAGAAGCCTGCTGAAACCAGCAGATGATGATGAAAGTGACCTCTAGTTGCTCTCACTACTTATGAGCATAAAGACACTACCACCGGGACCATGGCCAGTTTACAAATGTCATGGCAACACACCTTGGCAATGGCCTGGAAGTTACTTTATACGGTTCTGGAAACTCCCTGCCCCTTTTCCAGAAAGTTCTGAATAACCTACCTCTTAATTGGCATGTAATTAAAAGTGGGTCTAAAAACAACTAGCTAGCAGCCCACAGGCACCAACTCTGGGCACATTGCCTATGGGTTAGCCCTGCTCTGCAAGTAGCAGCACCAGTTCAATAAAAGTTGCTTTCTTTCACCAGCGGCTTGCCCTTGAATTCTTTCCTTGGCAAAGCCAAGGAAACTACAGTCTGGAAGAAATTTCCCGGGCTACAAACCAGTTTTGAGGCTCGCCTGCCCTGCATCACTATCATTGTTTCCTTGGGTTTCCCAGGAATGTACATGTGTGAGACTGCTGCCCTGCTTATAGATCTGTTTCCCTGCAGGAAACAGGAGTATCTTGCCTGGGGCTTCCAGAGTTGGAGATACATGTAGTTTCACTACTGAGTGCTAACATTTAATTTTGGAATCAAGTGATGCATTCAGACTGGCTGCTATCATTCTGTGGTATACATGTAGTGAACACATTTGTGACTGAGTTTCCTGCTTTTAGCTGGAGCAAGAAAGTTTTGTAATTGTGATTTGTACAAAAAAATCATAGGCAAGAGAATGTGTGTAAAATAAACTTTATTGTCAGAGGTTTCTAAAGGCTTATCCCTCAAGGAAAATGGACATATGCTGAAGAGCTGATGAACAGTCTACAGCAGTGTTATTCTAACTTAATCTTGATTCCAAGTCCTTGCCATTTTCCTCTAGCTGCTGTTGACTCCAGTTATATATAGGTTGGGGGAAAGGGGATTATTTATGGATCTAGGCATCACTGTCTCTTGGTCAGTTATCACATTTGCAGACTGAAGGGATGTGATTTCTATAATCAAACTATCCATTTGGAATACAAATCTGGAGTGGCTATAAAATTTGCTTCTCAGAGATGGAGCTTTCAGATTTGGACTTTCAATTGTTCTGTTGTTTTAGTTTTTCTCATCAACTGGGGAACTGTTTGTGACTAAGCTTTGTTAAAAGTAGAGAAGAACTTTCCATAGTTCCAACATTAGTTGCTACTTGAAACAAACAAAAACACACACACACATACAACGAAACAATAATCTTTGGTGAGGTCTTGCTGATACCTAACTGAGGCTAGAGTGAGAGCTAAGTGGTGATACAGGCCAGGTGTAAACTGAGTGCAGCTAAATGGATAATCTCTGGTAGTGAACTACAGTCTAGAAGAAGATAGTAATAATAGATTGAAAAGAAAGTCTCCTGAAATGAACTAGCTGGCCTGTGGTGTAGGACACAGGACCCCAGCCACCTTATGGTTCTAAAAGCCTTGCTCAAAGCCGCTGCAGATGAGTTAGCTAGGTCTCTACCACCTCCATAATACTCCTCTGGAGAGAAATAAAGGTCTTTCACACCTCCCAGGAAGTGATTTGCTTAGCCTCAAATGTGCACATTCAGAAATAGCTTGTCATAAGAAAGAGAGGATAGTTTGCAGAGAAATAACCCTTCTAAGTCCACATCCTATTCCTTTTAAATAAGAGAGTGGTGCCAAGGGAAGAGCCCTAGAATGTCAAAGCCAACAGGGTGCTCAGATACCACCCAAGTACAGTTCCATCTTTGGCCATAAGGAGACAATGGTGTCAAGAGGCTAAGGCCATATGATCTGTAGGTGAAAAACCTGGGCTGAGAATCAAGGCCTCAAACCTTTTCCACTACATCACAGATTTAGGAGCAGTTAGAGGGAAGGCTTCAATCTGGAGAACACTAACAGGTTTTAGAGATTATTGGGTCATGGTGGCTGGGACAGAAATAAGGATTCACAGAAAGATGTTTATAGTCAATGTTCTTTTACAGTAAATGTTCTTTTGGGATTTTCCTTGATAAAAAGGCCGAGCAAAAGTGAAAAAAAATTTTCTTTCTTTCTTACTTTCTTTCTTTGTCTTTTTCTTTCTTTCTTTCTTTTTTTTTTTTTTTGAGACAGTTTTGCTCTTGTTGCCCAGGCTGGAGTGCAATGGTACAATCTTGGCTCACCACAACGTCCACCCCCAGGGTTCAAGCAGTTCTCCTGCCTCAGCCTCCCAAGTAGCTGTGATTACAGGCAGGTACCACCACGCCCAGCTAATTTAAAAATTTTTTTTTTTTTATTTTTAGTAGAGACAGGGTTCCTCCATGTTGGTCCGGCTGGTCTCAAACTCCCGACCTCAGGTGATCCTCCCAAGGTGCTGGGATTACAGGTGCGAGCCACCACGCCTGGCCAAAATTAAAAATTTTCTAATTGCAATTCTGAACAACTTATGGGTTGTGAAATCAATATAGTGGACTGCTTACTACTACAGGCTTTATTTAAATACCAGGAAGGGTGGATTACACATAATAAAATATTTTTTAAAAACTGATCACAAAAAATTGTGTATTTCTCACTGCATCTTGTGGTCAGAAAAGTTTGAGAAACTGCTCCACATTGGCAAATTATAGGTTCAATCTATCCATCTACCTCTTTTTCTCTTCTCTTTTTTTCCATGCTATGCAAACAAGACCATGGAGAGAGGAAGGCGAATTCCATCAATGGGTGGGGTTAAGCCTTTTCTATGAGGTAGCTGCACATTTGGGACACTCCTATGCTGACGACTTGACATTCTAGTAGATAGATTGTCCTTTTCATCTTTAGCTACATGTTAAAATTACTTGGGAGCTTTTTAAGACTACTGGTGTCTTCCACCCACCTGGAAGCATTTAAATCAGAATATCTATGTGTAGAGTCCAGGCACTTGTGTTAGTTAAAACCTTACCAGGCTTTATAATATGACAGAATGGTTTAAAGCTACTGAGTAGACCTACCCTATTTCCCACCATTTTCTTTGTTTCTCTTTCACCATAGGCTTCTTTCCCATGAGAAAGTAAAGATTTTAGTCTCTCCTTTCACAGTCCGAAGTAAATCACTATCTTTCTCAATTGGACTTCCAAGGCAAAGATTTCTCTCCATTTACCTATCTGGATTTTTACAAAGTTGGCCTCTGGATTCCCTTTTCCCAAAGCTAATTCACCACAAACGCACCCCTCAAGTCAAGGAGCTGGGCTTTCATACACCTGCACCTGTCAATCATGGGTAAATACTTTGCAGGCAGGGTTGCATGTGGGATTGACATAAACTGCCAGGTATTGCCAGCTCTGAGCCTCAGGCAAGCTTGTGACTAAGTGACTCCAGTAGTCTGAGGACAGTCCTTACTCAGAAGGGTCTTTGGAAGCAAAAGCAAACATAGGCATGAGAGGGTAAAAAAAAAAATCCCATGTGATTTTGGCTTATACCTAACAGAACTTGTGCAAGAATGGATATTAAGGTGGGTATTGTACACAGCAGAGCTTAGTAAATACCAAGTCTGCAGTTTAAGGGATAGGCTGAAGAGATTTTGCAGGTTTGTAAACATTTTTGCCAATTTGAACATACTTTTGTTTGTGTTTGGTTTTTCTCCTCAGTGGTAAGAGCTAGGCACAAAAAGGTAGCTAGGATATTATAATTTCAATCAATAAATTTTTATTTTGCCAAGGACCAAGATGAACTACGATGATTTCAATTATTTAGTACTTTATTTTCATCAGTTTGAAAATTAGGACTTTTGCTCTTTTTTGGCTCATGGCATCTTTTTGGATTTCACACTTTCTCAAAGGCCAGTAACTTAGAATCTAAATTATGATTGCTTATTCTTTCAGTATTCTAGGGGAAAGTTGATTTAATCTTGACAAAATGTATTCAATTAAAATAATTGTTCTCTTAAATCTTTTCTGTCTTTCTTTTTTTCTTTTTTTTTTGAGATGGAGTCATGCTCTGTCACTCAGGCTAGAATGCAGTGGTGCAAACTTGGCTCGCTGCAACGTCTGCCTCCTGGGTTGAAATGATTCTCCTGCCTCAGCCTCCTGAGTAGCTGGGACTACAGGTGCATGCCACCACGCCCAGCTAAGTTTTGTATTTTTATTAGAGATGGGGTTTCACCCTGTTGTTCTGTTAAATCTTTTCACCTTTTAAGTTTGTCCTTCTCTTCTCCAATTTGCAATAGTGGGGTGTGGCTCGCATCGAAATACTGTATTTCTTAGAGCTACTTATTCCTGGAGCCTGGCAGTCTGGGGGCCTGGAGGGGGTGTGTCTAGAAAGCAGCCCTCTCTAAGTTGAGAATGACTATGAGAATTGTGGGTTATAAGGTTTTGAGCAGCTCTGGCCTCCCCGTCCTCTTTTATTTCTACAGTGGAGTGTGGCAAGAGAAGGGACCCATCTGAGAGTGACTTCATATTGTAGCCTTTCACCACTTACCTCTGGAAATTTGATTCAGGCAAGTCGGGGGAGTCTCCGGTATTCTTCTCTGAGAACTCTGTTTTCATTTTACAGCTGGACAATGGAATCTATGATTTGCCTGTAGAGGTTAGAGGTGCATCCTGTTCCAGGAAATAATTACAATTTACGCAAGTTATACACGTTTGCTTAAGAGAATGCTTTCTGCACATTTCATGTTCTTCCTCTCTATCTTAGCCTAGGGAGAAAACCGTGGAGGGCTGGAACGTTAGTGTGATGGGGTGGAAGCTTAATTTTCACATGATTCTCAACAAATGCCAGCACATCACATGTATTATCATGTCCAATGGCTGCAATATGAAGGAGGCTTTTCCAAAATAGTTACTGCTTTGGTATGGGAAGGGACCTGCTTATGATTCTTCTGGCCCAGCACAATGTTATGAAATGACGGCCTCTGTGTGAGAACAATCTAAGAGGAGGGGGGTTGGAGAGAACCACCTTGGGGTGGTAGAATGAAGAGTCACCAAGACATAAGGGAAACTGATGAGGATGGCAGCAGAGGAGACTCTCATTCTGCTACGTGAGGTGCTGAGAAACCTGGGTTCTACTGAATGCCAATCACATAAGAAGCAGAGAGACAGCAGGCAGTGTACAGCAGCAGACAGAAGACAGAAGACAGCCTAGGAATCACAAGAATGATTTTAGAGGTAGATACCACTAAGATGAAGGCAAATCTTTAAGCCTATTTATTTACCTATAAATAGGAATGATAGTAGCTGCCCTACCTCTCTAGCTGGGACATTTGTAATGAATAAGTGAAGTAAAGTATGTCAAAGTGCTTGAAATCTATAAAACTCTGCCCCAGTCACATGCCTTTAGAAAAATACATATTGCCAGAAGCAGGCTGACTTGGGCCTCTCCTACCATTTTCTTCGTCAAAGCTGCTGTGATGATGTTCTAGCTTTTCTCACAGGCAGTTGTTGATGAAAAGGATCTCTTTCAGGTGCTGCCACTGGCTCTGGATCTCATCTTCTGCAGCCATTCCACCAGGACATGGAATGAGATGGGAAGTGAAGATGCTGATCACTAAAGGGATAGTCAGGGGCCTCTCATCAAGATCCCTGCCTTTCACCATTCTTTTGCCAACTTCATCTTCTCATCAGGGAACATAAGGCAACTTTCTTTACGAGCTTTTAAGGTTTCAAAGAAAGCATGGCCAAGTGCTAAGCAAACTCCACAGGGATGCCTCCCACATGGAGATATGGGAAGTATAAGGCAGGTTGACAGGAGGTGGGAAAACACTGAAGGTCTCTGAGTAGGCCTTTTCTAGCACTAGAAAAGGTATGACCACCTCCTTGAGATGACTTATAGGTACTAGGGAATATCTTCCTCTCTACAAAATATCTCTCCTGATCATATTTTGTTTTTGTTGTTGTTTTTTGACAGAGTCTCATTCTGTCACCCAAGCTGGAGTGCAGAGGCACCATCTTGGCTCAGTGCAACCTCCGTCTCCCAGGTTCAAAGGATTCTCATGCCTCAGCCTCCCAAGTGGCTGAGACTACAGGCGTGCACCACTATGCTTAGCTAATTTTTGCATTTTTAGTAGAGACGGGGTTTCAGCATGTTGGCCGGGCTGGTCTTGAACTCCTGACCTCAAGTGATCCACCCACCTAGGCCTCCCAAAGGGCTGGGATTATAGGTGTGTGCCACCGTGCCCGGCCCTGAACATCTTTAACAGATGGTAAAGACCTTCTTCTGCACCTTACTGTGAAATTGGAAAGAGAAATAAGGATGCCTTTGTCAGAAGATGGTATGACTAATTAAAGCCACAAACTTACACCCATCACTGACAGAATGACAAGCCTAATATGGTTTACATTACTGTGAAAGCTCAATGAGTGAATTAATATAATCTCTTTTTATTGCATAGAAGAGTATATAAAGCATATAGTCTCCTAACAATCCAAACTTTTGCCCCCAAAGTAAAGTCAAACATTCAAGTAAGGGAGAGGAGATATAGGTCAAGGATTTAATCTATACACACACCAGAGAGGCTACCAAACCAAAGGGCTCTTATATACCTAATGAAGCTCCAATGGCTAGCGTGGAGTTATTCTGGGAAGAGGGCATGCTGGCAGCATTGCTCTTAGATTCAGCCTTTTCTCCAGCAGATAGCCTCATTGTTTATTTAGATGGAATTACAACACTGAGACTAAACTAACAGACATCTTAAAAATACCTTGGTGCTGCACAAAGATTGAGAACCCTGGCTATTTACCAAAGGGTTGCCAAGATCAAAGTCTTGTCTTTATGGAAATCCCCTGATATTCCAGTAGTCAGATGGAACCTTATGGGAAAGCAAGCACCTGAGGGGAGATGGAGACTGGAGCTTGAAACCCAGGAACCATTATAATTGCACCTCCAAACATATGGACAAGCCTGCCAACATTCTTGGGATGGCTAGAACAGCTTGGGAAAACTGTTCAGGAACTATAATTACCAAGAATATTTCAGGAAGGCTGGGTGCAGTGGCTCACATCTGTAATCCCAGCACTTTGGGAGGCAGGGGTGGGTGAATTGCTTGAGTTCAGGAGTTTGAGGCCAGCCTGGGCAAAAAAGCAAGAACCCACCTCTACCAAAAAGGCAAAAAAAAATAGCCAGGAGTAGTGGCATGCATCTGTGTTCTCAGCTACTCAGGAGGCTGAGGTGGGAGGGTCATTTGACCCTGGGTTTTAGGTTGTGGTGAGCCAAGATCATGCCACTGCACTCTAGCCTGGGTGACAGAACAAGAGACCCTGTCTCAAAAAATATATATATTTCAGGAAAGATGAGATGTCCCATTTTAAAGAAGAAGATCTGTTAAACAGATTTGTACATGTGTGGCAGTAGTGGCAGAGAGTCTGCCATAATCTCTTCACTCTCTCCATTCTGGCCTGCTTTGAGTATACCGGCTTGCAGATGCCCGTCTGGACCAGAGGGACTGAGGTGAGGACAGGAACAGAGCAAATTACCTGACCCACCAGGGACCTGTACTTGAGAGTTGATCCCAGAGCTGTGTTCAGCCTAATCACTTTTTTAAAGTGAATGTTTAGGGCCTGCCTGCAGAGAATAACATCTCTCAGTTTAGACAGAGGTGGTGAGCATGTAGAATGTAGGAGCTACTGAGAGATTGATGGAGCTTTATTTTTCTTATCAAAGGAGCACTTACTGGCTATTTCCACAGCCGAGGGGCCTTCCTGTGCATCAAAGAGGAAGGCATTGCTGCTGGGAAGCTGGTGGGAGTCATGGCAGCTGGAATGAGTCAAATACTGTTCATCTAGTGAGTCCTCCAGGACTTCATCCATTTCTTCCTCCTGGACTTCCCTCTTGAGCCAGGTGAAGTAGGCAAGACAAGGGATTAAACCAGGGCAGCCTGGAACCACATAGCTAGTTCTGATCTGAAGCTCATGGAAGAGGCACCAAAACCAAAGGGACCATCACATCAAAGAGGAAGTATACAGTCCACTTTTGACTGGGAGTAAAGTGTGCCTAGAGTTAGTATAGAAGTGAAAAAAGCAAGTGCTCAGTGCATTGACCTCATAACACACAGATAAGGCAGCAGACTCAACAACTACTCTACAATACGCTCACGGCACACAGGACACACAGTGACCCATACTGTCGGCTTCAAAATGCTGTTTAAATTTTATTTAATATGATGTGGAGTGGTCCACTGAATACTGGCTCTTGAGACAACACAACCTCCCAGGGCTTTTGCAGATTTTAGACCCCTAGCTCTAAATACTTGGTATGGTTTCAATTTATTTTTCAAGGTAAATTTCTGGCTATAAAATATCTGCCAACATAATTCAGGACAACTGTGCAGAAACCAGATAGGCATCTCACTTTGGTTTGTAACCCTATAGGTTTTAAAGATACAGAAACCAGGGATCCCTGGTTAGTTTACTTTTCGGTAAGACTGACTGGTTAACTAAGTGTGAGAAATTACTAGGAACTAGGAACCAATACAACAACTGCAAAGAGAACAGAGAACCATTTTTAAAAGGACACATTGTATAATCAGTCAACAAAAAAAGGAACAATCAGCAGTTTCTGCTTTTTCTAGATCTGGGACCTTTAACCTCTTGAGTCCTTGCTTCTGGAATTCTCTCTAGATTTGGTCAGTCCATTATCAGCCCCTTCATCATGTAGAGTTACCTGGGAGCCAGTGGCTTTTGCCTGTCTTCATTTTCTTACCATTGTGATTTTCTGCAAGCCAAAATTAGAAAGAGCTAGTCAGAATTTAAGCAGGTCCCATTTCACACATTGCACACATGGGCCCTATATGATCAGGGACATAACACCTTACATGTATGTTCAGAATGCTCTGTGAGAATTATTGCAGGAGGCCTCAGGTTGTGTCTTTAGAGAAGTGGCCTGGCAGGCTTGCCTGAGCCCACTGGACAGGGTGTTCCTGATATGGTGAATCATCACCAGACGTCAGCTGCCTGAAGCAGAGCAAAAAGTTTAAAATGCCTTTTGTTCCCCAGCTCAAAGAATACTTGCCTGGCTGCCCTTTGGACTTCTCCCGTTGTAACCTTCCTTCCTGCTACAGGCTGGTTGCCAGACCACGACTGTTTGTCCCATTGCTACTCACACACAGAACCTGCTCCAGTCTCTGAGAGGACAAATAGCCCTGTCCTACCTCTACTCCAAAACCAGAGGACTGCCCAGGTGCCTTCAAGTCTGTCCCTGTTCTACTTCCTCAGATGTTGTTGGGGGTAATTCTTTTTTTTTCTTCTCAGTTTGTTAGTGAGCATTGGGGTTGATTCTGTGAAAAATATTCCAGTATAAATCAACTTTTCTAACACCAGCTTCTACTATATACAGTGCCTGAACTAACCCCAAAAGATTTGGACGGTTTATTGGGACCCAAAAATAAAAAAATAAATAACCCTGAAAGAGAAATACACTCATGAACATTAAGATACTACTTCAACTGATCTGTACAGCAGCCATGGAATTATGATTTGACCCACTTTACAAATGGGGAAACAGAAATTCAAGAAGGATCAATCACTTGCACAAAGTTAGTAAATACAGTGCTGAGACTAGAGCCTAGGTAATGCTGATTCTTAGCCCATGGGTCTTCCCATTCTAACAAGCTGCCTTCTGTCATACTGTTCTTTCTGACCACAAAGATGGAATGGAGACTTCTGCTTCTGGCCAATTTGGAGTAATGGAGACCTGATTTGTCCTCCACCTTAAACAACTGAGAAACTGGAAAAAGTATTTTAAACTCTACCTTCAACATTGGATATAGTGCAGTACTATAATAAATAAAAGAGGTGAGCCCTATAATTGCTCCAGTTTGCTGCCTGAGATTGTCAACTGTAGAGCAGGGAGGGAGGACCCAGGCAGAGCCTGGTAGTAAGTTTGAAGAAGTCAGGGTGGCTAGACATCACAGGACAGACTAGAGAATAGGTTGCTGCACAGATAGAATGCCTTGGATATCTGTCTTCAATCTTCAGCTAAGTACTGATTAGTACATGTATTTGAGGAAATTATGCAAAGCAGGGCAAAGAACTTCCCAAAAGGAATAATCTCTGTAGCTCACACATAGCTTGCAACACTTGGTGTTTCCATCAGCTAGAGTGAAAATCCCTTTTAATAGAGGGAGCATTGGTTAGAACAGGAGTCCCCAACCCCCAGCACTGGTCCATGGCCTGTTAGGAATGGGGCTGCACAGGAGAAGGGGAGCAGCCAGCGAGAAAGCATTACCACCTGAGCTCAGCCTTCTGTCAGATCAGCGATGACATTAGATTAGCATTGGAACACAAACCCTATTGTGAACTGTACATGCCAGGGATCTAGGTTGCACGCTCCTTATGAGACTCTTAACTAGTGCCTGATGATCTGAGGTGGAACAGTTTCGTACTGAAACCACCCAATTCCCAATCCCTACCACCCCACCCCCACCTTGTCTGTGGAAAAATTGTCTTTCATGCAACCAGTCCCTGGTGCCAAATCTGTGGGAGATCACTGACTTAGAATCTTCAAAAGATTATTGCTCCCAATGTAAACTATGGACTTTGTGTGATAATGACATGTCATTGTAAGTTCATCAACTGTAACAAATGTGCCATTCTGGAGAGAGATGTTGATAATCTAGGAGGCTATGCATGTGTGGAGGCAGGGGGTATATGGGAACTTTTTGTACTTCCTGCTCATTTGCTGTGAATCTGAAACTACTCTAAAAAATAAGGTCTATTTTCTTAAAAGTCATTTTGCCTCCACAGTGGGAAAAAGATAGCAGTTGACTAATAGCTGCTCTTATCCTGCCTAAAAAAATTTAAAAGCCAGCCTGAAAAGATGAAAATTGTTTTTAAGTAACTTTATTGTATACCAAAACAAAGCTAAAATAATTTTAACACTAAATTCAAAAAAATCCAGAACTCAGTAAGTTACAATTTGCAACGTCTAACCCCAAATCAAATAATGTTAGGAATGCAGACAGACAGAAAACTATAATCCATGATAAGAAGGGGGAAAAAAATCAATCTACTTAAACTGACTTAGAAAGGACACATCAGGTGAGAATTAAAAAACAATAAAAAGGACACAGATGACAGAATCTGTAGACAAGCACATTGAAACAAACATAACTATATTCCTTGTATTAAAGAAGCTAGGCTGGTGTGGTGGCTCATGCTTGTAATCCCAGCACTTTGCGAGGCCAAGGCGGGTGGGTCACCTGAGGTCAGGAGTTTGAGATCAGCCTGGCCAATGTGGTGAAACCCCGTCTCTCTGAAAAATATGAAAATTAGCTGGGTGTGGAGGCATGTGCCTGTAACCCCAGCTACTCAGGAGGCTGAGGCACAGGAGGCATAGGAATCACTTGAACCCAGGAGGTGAAGGTTGCAGTGAGCCAAAATCTCACCACTGCACTTCAGCCTGGGCAACAGAGTGAGACTCTGTCTCAAAAAATAGAATAAAATAAAATAAAGAAGCTAGAGCAAAATACGAAATGATGAAGAGTTACATAGAAGACCTTAAAGAAAGACATAAATTAAATTTAGATGAAAAATAAAGTTTGAATCCAACTTACAAGGGAAGTGAAGGACCTCTTCAAGGAGAACTACAAACCACTGCTCAAGGAAATAAAAGAGGATACAAACAAATAGAAGAACATTCCATGCTCATGGGTAGGAAGAATCAATATCGTGAAAATGGCCATACTGCTCAAGGTAATTTACAGATTCAATGCCATCCCCATCAAGCTACCAATGACTTTCTTCACAGAATTGGAAAAAACTACTTTAAAGTTCATATGGAACCAAAAAAGAGCCCGCATCACCAAGTCAATCCTCAGCCAAAAGAACAAAGATGGAGGCATCACACTACCTGACTTCAAACTATACTACAAGGCTACAGTAACCAAAACAGCCTGGTACTGGTACCAAAACAGAGATATAGATCAATGGAGCAGAACAGAGCCCTCAGAAATAATGCTGCATATCTACAACTATCTGATCTTTGACAAATCTGAGAAAAACAAGCAATGGGAAAAGGATTCCCTATTTAACAAATGGTGCTGGGAAAACTGGCTAGCCATATGTAGAAAGCTGAAACTGGATCCCTTCCTTACACCTTGTACAAAAATCAATTCAAGATGGATTAAAGACTTAAACGTTAGACCTAAAACCATAAAAACCCTAGAAGAAAACCTAGGCATTACCATTCAGGACATAGGCATGGGCAAGGACTTCATGTCTAAATCACCAAAAGCAATGGCAGCAAAAGCCAAAGTTGACAAATGGGATCTAATTAAACTGAAGAGCTTCTGCACAGCAAAGGAAACTACCATCAGAGTGAACAGGCAACCTACAAAATGGGAGAAAATTTTCGCAACCTACTCATCTGACAAAGGGCTAATATCCAGAATCTACAATGAACTCAAACAAATTTACAAGAAAAAAACAAACAACCCCATCAAAAAGTGGGTGAAGGACATGAACAGACACTTCTCAAAAGAAGACATTTATGCAGCCAAAAAACACATGAAAAAATGCTCACCATCACTGGCCATCAGAGAAATGCAAATCAAAACCACAATGAGATACCATCTCACACCAGTTAGAATGGCAATCATTAAAAAGTCAGGAAACAACAGGTGCTGGAGAGGATGTGGAGAAATAGGAACACTTTTACACTGTTGGTGGGACTGTGAACTATTTCAACCATTGTGGAAGTCAGTGTGGCGATTCCTCAGGGATCTAGAACTAGAAATACCATTTGACCCAGCCATCCCATTACTGGGTATATACCCAAAGGACTATAAATCATGCTGCCATAAAGACACATGCACACGTATGTTTATTTCAGCATTATTCACAATAGCAAAGACTTGGAACCAACCCAAATGTCCAACAATGATAGACTGGATTAAGAAAATGTGGCACATATACACCATGGAATACTATGCAGCCATAAAAAATGATGAGTTCATGTCCTTTGTAGGGACATGGATGAAATTGGAAATCATCATTCTCAGTAAACTATCGCAGGAACAAAAAACCAAACACTGCATATTCTCACTCATAGGTGGGAATTGAACAATGAGAACACATGGACACAGGAAGGGGAACATCACACTCTAGGGACTGTTGTGGGGTGGGGGGAGGGGGGAGGGATAACATTGGGAGATATACCTAATGCTAGATGACGTGTTAGTGGGTGCAGCACACCAGCATGGCACATATATACATATGTAACTAACCTGCACATTGTGGACATGTACCCTAAAACTTAAAGTATAATAAAAAAAAAAACAAAAAAAACCAACACACAATGACAAAGTGGAAAATAAAAAAAAAAAGAAAAATAAAGTTTGAGATGAAAATACACTGGATAGGATTAACAGCAGATTAGATGCTGCTAAAGAAAGATTAATCAATTCCGAGACATGGAAATAGAAAGAAACAAAGAGAGAAAAAAAAGATACAACAAAAATGAACAGACCATTAGTCAGCTATGGTAAAATTTCAAAGCAGCTAATACAAATATAACTGGAGTCTTTGAAGGAGAGGATAGAGAGAAAGAATAGAATATACATTATATATATTTGATATATATGTGCCAAATATACTGTATATGCCATAGATAAGACTATATATGTCATTACTATTCAAATTTGATGAGAACTATAAACATGCAGATGCAAGAAACTAAATAAAGTAAAACAATACTTAAAAGATAAAACTATACATGGTCTTACCTTAATCAAACTGCTTCAAACCAGTGATAAACAGAAAATCTCAAAAGCGGCCAGAGAAAAAGACATATTATGTACAGAGGAACAAAAATAAGAATTATGGAAGACTTCTTGTTGGAAACAATGTAAGCCAGAAGACAGTGGAATATCACTTTTCAAACACTTTTTAAAAACACAAACTGTCAACTAGAATCCTACATCCAGTGAAAATATCTTCCAGAAATGAAGGTGAGTTCTTATGCTCATCAAGATGAAGTAATCCACTATACTCTACCTCTCTTACTGATTGAAACTAAGAACTCTCAGGCCAGGCACAGTGGCTCATATCTGTAATCCCAGAACTTTGGGAGGCCACAGCAGATGGGTCACTTGAGCTCAGTAGTTCAAGACCAGCCTGGGCAACATGGAGAAACCCTGTCTCTACAAAAAATATGAAAATTAGCCAGGTGTGGTGGCACACACCTGTAGTCCCAGCTACTTGGGAGGCTGAGGTGGGATGACTGCTTGAGCCCAGGAGGCACAGACTGCAGTCAGCCAAGATCGCGTCACTGCACTCTAGCTCGGGTTAGAGAGCAGACTCTGTCTCAAAATAAAAAACAAAACTCAGGACTCTTGAAAGAATATGAAAAGTGATTACCTGAGTGCTCTAAAGAGAAAACAATAGAATGCAGATTAAGGACCATAGTCAAAACTAAAATAAAATCTACAATGGAGATAACTTTGCATTTTTTCTCCCCACTTTGGGGCACTTGGGAGGAGCTAAGGGTCTTCAGAGCCTGTAGCCAACTTACCTGTGGCAAGTTTTCTGACAAGGATCTCTGTTAGCTGGCTTCCTTGTACCATTTGCTCACAGAATCTCTGTCTCTGGTAGTAGGCAATGCCAGTGTTCCTGAGAAGGCCCTCAAAAGACTTGACTGTGTTCTTCACATGCTGGGTGAAAAGGTAGCAGACACCTCTCCCTTCTTGTATCTTCTGTCGTAAGTGGGTCAGTTCTTCAGCCTGAGCCTGAATTAAGGGATCATGTATCCTAAGGTGGGAAAGAAGAGTAAAATGTAAGAGGGAATGTAGTGAATAATAGGTTATAGAAGTTTCAGAGGAGAGATCTCTTAGAATCCCTGTAAGGAACTCCCAAGTTGAATTCTTTTTTTTCTTTTTTTTTTTTTTTGAGACAGAATCTTACTCTGTCGCCCAGGCTGGAGTGCAGTGACAAGATCTCGGCTCACTGCAGCCTCCGCCTCTGCCTCCGCCTCCCAGGTTCAAGCAATTCTCTTGCCTCAGCCTTCCAAGTAGCTGGGATTACAGGTGCCCACCACCATGCCAGGATAATTTATATATTTTTTGTAGAGATGGGGTTTTGCCATGTTGGCCATGCTAGTCTCGAACCCCTGACCTCAAATGACTCGTGCACCTCGGTGTCCCAAAGTGCTGGGACTACAGGCATGAGCCACTGCATCTGGCCCAAGATTAATTCTTGTACAAGTTGTGTGACTTGCCTGTGGCAGAAGGAATGAAGAACCAGCCTTGGGTTTGTCTGTTATTTTACTACCTTTGCTTTAAAAAGATGCCCCTTTGGTTCCCCACTTTAGCCCAAGTACATTTTCATACAATATACATCAAGCATTATGCAGTAACTGGCAGAAAAAAAAAAAGCCAGATTCAAAAGTGTTGGGCAGGTATCTCTGGTATTAATTGAAAGTTAAAAAGAAAAATCAGTGAAAAGGTCAAGAAGGGCAGTATTCTTTTGAATGACATGAAGGTAGACCATAATCAGTAAGAAGGCAGTTAAAACTAAAGTTCCGGCCATGTGCAGTGGCTCATGCCTGTAATCCCAGCACTTTGGGAGGCCAAGGCAGGCGGATCACCTTAGGTCAGGAGTTTTGAGAGCAGCCTGGCCAACATGGCGAAACCCCATCTCTGCTAAAAATACTAAAATTAGCTGGTGTGGTGGTGTGCACCTGTACTTTCAGCTCCTTGGGAGGCTGACCTAGGAGGATCGCTTGAACCTAGGAGGTGGAGGTTGCAGTGAGCTGAGATCACACCACTGCACTCTAGCCTCGGCAACAGGGTAAGACTCCATCTCAAAAAAAAGAAGTAATGTTCTGAGTAGTAACTTCATTACTCTATGTGGGATTTCATTGCTTTCTAATTATTGTTCAAATATTTCTCATGGTGATATGGTTTGGCTCTGTGTCCCCACCTAAACCTCATGTTGGATTGTAATCTCCAATGTTGGGGGAGGGACCTGCTGGAAAGTGACTGGATCACGGGGGTGGACTTCCCCCTTCCTGTTCTCGTGGTAGTGAGTGAGTTCTCATGAGGTCTGGTTGTTTGAAAGTGTAGCACCTCCCTCTTTGTTCTCTCTCTCTCTCCTGTTCTGGCCATGTGAAGACCATGCCTGCTTCCCCTTCAACTTCTGCAATGATTGTGTTTCCTGAGGCCTGCCCAGAAGCAGAAGCCTGTACAGCCCACAGAACCATGAGCCGATTAAACCTCTTTTCTTTATAAATCACCCAGACTCAGGTACATGTTTATAGCAGTGTCAGAATGGACTAATACACATGGGTTCCAATGTAGAGTGTGAGCTCTGTGAGTCTAAAGACAGTGCCACCTATTACCCAACTCACAGCACCTGGTAGTATGTACACATACAAGTAGTTATTCAGTTAATGTTTAGAACCATGTAATCCCAGAGCTGGACTGAACATTTACAGTCATCTACCCCATCTAATGCTTGAATTTTCTCCCTGCTATTCTTCAAAGTTGTTATCTGCAGGTCCTCTTTCAAACTCTATTCGACAGAGTTACTAGACAGTGTCAGGGGAAGTAAAGACACATACTGGCGAGAAACAGGGGCTCCAGACCTATCCCTCCTTCAATCAAATATCTCTGCTTTGGTGAGTTTTACACATTTGAGCTTCTATGATTTCATTTCAACAAAGGATTAAAAGAAGTTTCAAATGCTACAATCTACCTTATGTCTGAAACCCTCTAAGGATAGTCAATGCTGGTCCTGAGTGAATTAATAATTCATTTTCCACACAACAGCTGCTCAATCATCTATCTACCCAATAGCCCTACCAGTTAATACTTCACCTAGTATAATACTTTTTAAAAAAGTTTGGAGGAGAAACTTTCTTATCATGAAAGGCACTTTGGAAAGTTTGAAAATATCTCTTATAGGAAATGTTAATGACAATCACCACATCTATAAATGGGAACAAATAAAATAATTACAGAAAATAGTTGTTCAGAGTTTTATATGTGTTAGAGATGGTTTTAACTACTTGCAATTGTGCATTTAATCTTCATAACCCTCTAAGGTAGATACTGTCAGTATTTCCGTTTTATAAATGAGGTAGCCTAGGTTAATGACATGCAGAAAAGTGCAGTAAATTTGACCAAGGATACACAAATAGAAGCCACGTTGCTAGTATTCCAATGCAGGCAGCTGTCTCCATTTTACTAATATGTTCTTTAATGGAAAACCCTAGAGACCTAACTAGACTATAGCCTCATTGTGTCTTAGTCTAGTTCTGTACCTGCCTCATACATTTCTGCCCTTCTCCTTGCACAAATTTGCTCTTTGTTCTACCTGCCTGAGCTGCCCCACCTCAAACAGTATTTATACACTTCCCACAGAGGTACCTCCTTACCGGAGCCTTGCTGCTGGCCTTGGCAATTTGGTCAGCTCCCTCTCCTGAAACTGCAGCTCCTCCTCCAGCACAGATTCTATAAGGTCTTTGCACTCTTCACACTCTGAGAGAAGACAGACATGCCTGCATCATGGAAGGCTGGCCATGCTGCTGTGGTCACTGCCTGCAGGGCAGGAGGCAGGGTCTATCTCAAGGATAAAAGTATCCCCGGTACCAGGCTTTACACTGGGATTTCCATATCTTTATTCCTCAGTCTCTCAACTACTCCCTGTTTTAGAGATGAGGAAAGAAAAGCCCACAGGCCGATAAAGTAACTTGACAAGATGATTCAACTGGAATGAAGCAGTCAGAATTCACGTCCCATGGGGTCTGACTCCACATCTTTTACTTTTCTTTTCTTTTCTTTTTTTTGAGATGGAATCTCACTTTGTTCCCCAGGCTGGAATGCAGTGGCACGATCTCAGCTCACTGCAACCTCTGACTCCCGGGTTATTCTCCTGCCTCAGCCTTCCAAGTAGCTGAGATTACAAGTGTGCCCCACCACACCCTGCTAGTTTTTGTATTTTCAGTAGAGACAGGGCTTCACCATGTTGGCCAGGCTGCTCTCGAACTCCTGATCTCAAATGATCCGCCCACCTTGGCTTCCCAAAGTGCTGGGATTACAGTAAGTGAGCCACTGCACCCGGCCATGACTTCAAATCTTAAGGCCAATTCACCAAGCCTTACAGCCTCTTAAGTAAAACATGAACATAAGGGCATGAAATAATGACTTCCTGTGTATTTAGGAAGATACTAAGAACTGTAGAACTGATGGTTCTCCTGTTTCAAGAGTTTCAATAATTCGAAAATATTTCAAAGATTTAAACATTTATCTGTATACAACTGTGTAAAACTGTATATGGAGGAGAAAGATCCAAATGATATATGCCCAAATGCTAATAGTGTTTTAAAGGGAGAACCAACACATAGTGTTTGTCATGGTACTGTTGCAGTAGGTTTTTAAGAATTATGATCATATGATCATTACCACTATCCAAAGAGGTAGTTCCTACTCTGTTACCATTACAGATGAGAAAACTGAGGCACAGAGACAATAAGTTAGATTTGAACCCAGGAGATTTGGCCCTAGGGTATATGCTCTTTAATCACTGCACAATAATACCTTTATACTAAGGTCTTAGGTAATATCTTTCTTCTTCTCTAGCTTGAGAAATATTTTTCCTACAATTATAATGAATGAAGTTTTTTTTTTTTTTAACTAGTTTTTCAACAAACCAAAGCTCATCTTTTCACTTCTTTAATAAGTGGGCTTTTGGCTTTACTTTTCTATGACAGTAAGTTAGACAGCAAATTTAACCACCCCCCACACGATGATTTATTTAAAAACAATTGTAGAAATTGGAAAGCAAACTCAATTTCAATGTTAACCAGAATCCTCTTCTAATATCCCTGTTCCTCTCATGCCCTTGTTCCCATGTTTCCTTGTCATTATAGCTTCCCCCTTCTCCGACTATTAGTAACAGGTTTGGGATTTTACATTGGATTTAAAAATGTGAGAGCTAACTGTGGAGAGGAAAGGGCCAGCCCCTAACCTGGCCTGGCCTTCTACTGAGAATGGCGGTCTCTTCCACTTGGCCTTGTTCTCATTTTGGCCATATGTCTCATAGCTCTTATCCTGGACATCCACCTGCAGTTGCTTGCTGTCTGTAAAGTTGATACTCAGAGAGAGACAGAAAGGGTGTAACAAAGTCACTGATTTTTATGGAAATACCCTCAATCTAACCAGAACATGAGGAATGGCTTATGTGAACTTATGTGGGAAGAGAATCTTGATCCAGGTATCATAAAGATTTTTCTCCGTGTCTGCTATTGAAGTTTGCATCTCCACATATCTGTGACTCAGTTGAGAATAGGTAGTTTTAAGTTCCTTCAAGGCAGATAGGGTATACTATTACTTCTTTCATCCCTGGTGCTGTTGGCACAGTGCTTTGCAAATGGGCGCTCTTAAAAAAGTTTAAATCGAATCCTGAGATGTTTTAACCAACAGTGATGTTACATGTTTGTAGAATCTGATATTCATTGCTGAGAGGGGAAAGACAGTTTCATGCCTAAACCAAGGTTTTAGTCTCTATTCCTCACTACACTCGCCCTGCAAACTTTACACCTTTGTGCCTCAGTTTTTCTGTCCTTGGCAAATTGAGAGTAAAAGGCCCACTTCTACCTTTCTGGGAGTGTAGTTAGGATAAAATTAATTTTGATAAAGAATAAAGTCTGCAGTGTTTCATTTCACAGAGGAAAGACAGACAATCATTTATCACTTTGGTGACCATGCCCCTATGGGACCTACTATATTTCTGCAGGTGATTGGCCAGGGAGTAGGCAGTAGCTTTGGATGTCAGGAATTTCTCTGTGAGGTCTCGGAAGTTCTCTTTGCACTTTTCCAGTTCAGAGAGCAAGTACTGATTGGTTTCCAGGATGCTCATTTCTGCCCTTGGACCAAAACAAGTGGTGAGAGATACTGCCATGCTGAAGCTTGTGGAGAAAGTACAATCAGAGCCTAGGGAGAATAAACCCAGACAATTAATAAATTAAAAACAAATGCATGGATTGTGGTAATGGTTGCACTACTTGGGTAAATTACTAAAAATTATTGAACTGTACAATTATAATGGGTAAATTTTATAGTATGTAAATTATACCTCAATAAAGTTTCTTTACATTAAATGAAGGGTTTAAACAAGTCAAAAGAAAGCAGATCTGATTCATAAATTACCTTTGGGATAAACTTTGTCAGCATCCTACAACTCTGAGAATCCTTAGCCACAAAAACAAGGCACAAGGTGCCTAAGCTTAGAGTCTAAGGTACTGTCTGTGACTCAGGCTCTGATAGGAATGCCAGAAATCAGACCCGGTGCCAGGTAATGGTCTGGAGTCACAATAACAGAATTAGAAGGTGGGGGTGTCATGGAATGTTAGGATCTCTGCCTTCCAGGTGTCTAGGCCATGTGGAAACACAGGTCTCTTCTGAAGGTCACCACCAATGGAGAGCACTGCCTCAGCAGTCATTCTGAGTATTTGTATACCCTTGTGACAATACCACAGGCCTATCTCTTTCTAAAATTTAACCATATTTTCATTGTTTATTATTGCAAATGCATAGAAACATCAAGGAATACATATTTCCCCAAGTTCTATCATTGTCTTAAGAACTGTCATGAAGTCATTTTCTTTCTAATGAAAAATTTAACACTTTTAGATAGTCTTGGTGTTCTTCTTTGGTTCTCCAGTTTTCCACATCATTTATATTATAAGAAAAAAAATCCTGAATATTCTGCTCAGTGCGTGAATAATTGATTTATATGGATTTAGAGGCTAGGTGCAGTGGTTGACACCTGTAATCCCACCACTTTGGGAGACCAAGGTGGTTGGAGCACTTGAGCTCAGGAGTTTGAGACCAACCTGGGGAGCACGGCGAAACCCTGCTTCTACAAAAAATTTTTAAAAATTAGCCAGGCATAGGGCCAGGCACGGTGGCTCATGCCTGTAATCCCAACACTTTGGGAGGCCGAGGCAGGTGGATCATGAGGTCAGGAGATCGAGACCATCCTGGCTAACACGGTGAAACGTCGTCTCTACTGAAAATACAAAAAATTAGCCAGGCGTGGTGGCGGGTGCCTGTAGTCCCAGCTACTTGGGAGGCTGAGGCAGGAGAATGGCATGAACCTGGGAGGCAGAGCTTGCAGTGAGCCGTGATTGCGCCACTGCATTCCAGCCTGGGTGACAGAGCAAGACTCCTTCTCAAAAAGAAAAAAAAAGAGAGAGAAAAAAAACAGAAAATAAAGGTTTTGACTACCTGAGTGGCTTTATTTGTATAACAAGGCCACCTTTGCTAGCCAAACCAAACTAAAAAAGTGATGGTAGTCACCTCATACCCCAGGCTGCAGTTCGGTAGCTAAGGTTCTGCTCCTTTTTTCACCATGACAACCTGGGTTCGGTTCCTAAATCAATTTCTTTCCAGTTTGATATTTGTGTTACTTTTGAACATTTTTTTTCCAGGGAGCTTTCTTAGCAGGATCTTTGTTGGCTTTCACCCCAGCTGTTAGAGAACAGCTTGACTGAATTCAAAATCCAGAAGGTCAGAGGGTATCCTGGGAAGATGGTGGAATGAGAAGCACCTGGAATCTACACAACAACTGCATGGGCAGGATCTGTCAGATGTAAATATTTCAGAACTCTGGAGCCTACTGAAGGCTTGCAACTTCCAGAGGAAGGCCCAGATGGTAAATTGTAGGTAATTTCAGTCAATTTCGGCCCTTAGCACAATAGCAGCTACCCAACACTACCCCCAAGGCAGTCAGCTTGTGTTCCTACAGTAAGCTGCACACATCTTTCAGGATCCAGAATGGGCAAAAAGAATGCTGTCTCCAAACACTGGGGGTCTGGGCCAGGTGCAGTAGCTCATGCCTGTAATCCTAGCACTTTGGGAGACCGAGGTGGGTGGATTACTTGAGGTCAGGAGTTCAAGACCAGCCAGGCCCACATGGTAAAACTCTGTCTCTACTAAAATTAGTCAGGTGTGGTGGCAGGCACCTATAATCCCAGCCACTCAGGAGGCTGGGGCACAAGAATCACTTGACCCAGGAGGCGGAGGCTGCAGTGAGCTGAGATCATGCCACTGCACTCTAGCCTGGGTGACAGAGAAAGACTCCATCTCAAAACACACACACACACACACACACACACACACACACACACACACACACACACACACATTGGGGCTCTGTTCTCTAATGTCTGATTGCAGCACAGAGACAAAGAGGCTGGCAGCTACTGCTGTACCTTCCCCCATTGTAGCAAGCTCCTCACCCTAAGCTGAAGCAACTTCCAGAAAGTTTAAAGGGATGGTGCCCTTTTTTCACCCTCCCTCAATTTTTCTCTTTTTCCCCTTTTGGGAGCCAGACATTAAAGGATAAAATATTCAAGAATAACTGCATATATAGGTAAAATTAGGGAGTGACCACACACCCAGGGAAAGGTTCAGGCTCAGAAAACATCTGTGAAGACCATAAGTTTATACCTCAGGCTGATCCTTGGCATAGAGACAACCTACAATAATCAAAAAACAAAACAATAACAGAAAAACAGCAAACCCTGAGGAAGGAGGAGAATCTAATTTCTGGAATTAACCACACTAGTAGATTCAAATGTCCAGTTTTCAACAACAACAATAAAAATAAATAAAAAAAAATGAACCAACAGAAACTCTCACTGAAAAATGCCTGATAGTCAAGTTAAGATTTGGTCATGGGGGAAGAAAATGAAAAGAAAAATAATAAATAATTAAAGAGAGAGAGAAAAAAACAACCTCCTGGATGTGCTACTTGACAGACTTTGAAACAGGTGTCTTAAAGGTACCCAAAAACTAAAGGAAGATGTAGCACAAGACAAGAAAATAATGCATGAACAAAATGAAAATATAAATAAAGGATAGAAAATCAAAAAAGAAACAAAAAAGTGCTGGATCTGAAAAGTAAAATAGGTGAAATAAAAAATTAACTAGAGGGATTCAAAGTCAAATTTGAAGAAAGCTGAGCAGGCAGAAGAAACAATCAGTGAACCTGAAGATAAGGCAATGGAAATCATCCAGTTTGAGGAACAGAAATAAAAAAAAATTGAAGAAAAGTGAACAGAGCCTAAGTGACCATCAAGTGGACCAACATATTCATTGTGGAATTCCTTTTTTGTTGTTGTTGTTTTGGGGGTGGGGGGTGGGGGGATGGAGTTTCGCTCTTGCTGCCCAGACTGGAATGCAATGGCGTGATCTCGGCTCACCGCAAACTCTGCTTCTTGGGTTCAAGCGATTCTCCCACCTCAGCCTCCCGAGTAGCTGGGATTGCAGGCATGCACCACCATGCCTGGGTAATTTTGTATTTTTAGCAGAGACGGGGTTTCTCCATGTTGGTCAGGCTGGTCTCAAACTCCTGACCTCAGGTGATCCTCCCACCTCGACCTCCCAAAATGCTGAGATTCCAGGCATGAGCCACTATACCCAGCCTTGCATTGTGGAATTTATAAAGAAGAAGGAGAGAGGGGCAAGAGAGAATATTTGAAGAAATAATGGCTGAAAACTTCCCAAATTTGATGAAAGACCTGAATACAAACACAGTAGCCAGGCAAACTCCAAGTAAGATAAACTTAAAGAGACCGACACCAAAACACATTATAATCAAACTTTCAAAAGTCAAAAACAGAGAATCTTTAAATCGGTAAGAGAAAAGCAACTGATCACACGTAAGAAATCTTTAATAAGATTATCAACAGATTTCTCTTCATAAACTTTGGAAGTTGGGAGGACAGGAAATCAAAAGCTGCCAATGGCCAGGAGTGGTGGCTCACATCTATAATCCCAAGACTTTGGGAGGCCAAGGCGGGCAGATCACTTGAGGTCAGGAGCTCAAGACCAGCCTGGCCAAAATGGCAAAACCCTGTCTCTACTAATAATACAATACAAAACTTAGCCAGGCATGGTGGTGGGTGGCTGTAATCCCAGCTACTTGAGAGACTGAGGTGGGAGAATCACTTGAACCTGGGAGGCGGAGTTTGCAGTGAGCCGAGATTGCACCACTGCACTCCAGCCTGGGTAATAGAGTGAGAATCTGTCTTAATAAACAAACAAACAAAAAGAACAAAAAAAGCTGCCCATGAACGGGAAAAGGATCAATAAATGGGTATTCCAAAAAGTCAAAAGTCACACAAATATCAAGCCAAAATAAACTGGTTCCCTGACTGGAAATTGAACCCAGGCTATGGCAGCAAAAGCACAGAACTTTAAGTACTAAACTGCAAGGTAGAGCAGACTTTATTGTGAATCCTGGAAGGGATCCAGAGCAGGCAGTTTGAGCTTATGAAGAATTTTAACTTTGTTTTGGATCAAATTTTGCTCTTTAATTTAGTCAAGAGAATTTTTTCCCTACACAAGACAGATAATATTGTCAAGAGAATTTTTAAGGGTAGCTATCACACTAGTATGTGCCTTTCTTTTAATTTGATCTTCCTATCAACTGTTTCAAATAAGAGATCTCTAATTTTTTTTTTTTAATTCAGGTGTCTAATTTAAGGGATCCATCTTCAGGCCATTGGCAACTAGAATATCCAATGGTATAATTATTCCAATAGCAATTCAACCAAATAGCCTCTTTGTGGAAAGCCCAGGATGTCATTTTCCAGGTTAACTTCCTGGGAAGGGCATAGAAGAGGCAATCCCAAAGACTCCCCTCCAAGAAAAAAGTTCAATGTAAGGAGTAGGCCACAGATAGTTAAGGATGATGATTGCCTCCAGTAACCCACAAATTTGTGGAGGCTTCCAGTCACAGACCTGTGAATCTGTGATACCAGGTAGGCCCTCTTGGGACTGAGCTTTTCTAGGACTAATCAGGCAACAAGAGTTGAGACGGCAAAAGCCTCGAAGGGATGGGACTTCTTAAGACAAACCCCAAGAGCTTGACATAGTTAGAACAAAAAGTGTACTCGGGTTTCCAGCCATTTTCAGACAGGCCACCTAATATGACCTGAAAATTACCACCTCTTACCCGATAGCGGAAACCAAGAGAAAGTGCTCCCACTTTGTCACAAGTCAAGCTCTCAAGGACATAAAATAAGATAAGAAGGAACCTCAACCAGTACCCCCTTTTATGACAGAATAACACGTAGAGACAAAGACAAAGGAACAGACATTTTCTGGGAAGAAAGGGATTAAACAATATGAATTGGTACCACAAAGTACCAAAAAAGCACACCAGAGTCACTACACCCAAGACTAGTCAATCCTTTTCTCCCATTAATCAAGATTTTGGAGAGGGAAAAGAAGCAGTGATTTTTACTGTGCACTTGATCAGATTCCACACAGAGAAGGAGGCTGGGAGCCTGGCTGGTAAAAAATTCTTACCCTTATGACAGCTGATCAGATCCTGGGTTCTTCACTGCAGCTTCCAGAAGAGCAGAGCTTTACTATCCTGCTTACAGCTCCAAAACTGTAGGGGCCAATGGAAACCCTCCCTCTTAACCCTCTGAAGTTTCACTCAAAAATCAACTCGCAAAAGGCAGATTAATTGGAGAAAAGGCATAAAATGTACTAACATGTACTTGGGGAGGGCCACAGAGTGATTACCCTACCCTACCCACAATGGGATGCAGAAGCTTATACACCATCTCGAGGTAACAGAATGAATGAGGGCTCAAAGCATGGCCAAAACCAGGTACCATCAGAGTCAGATGTATATCCATTTATTGTGGGCAAGACAGGTTATAGGAGGGAGAGAAGAGGAGGCTTAGCTAGCAAAGGTGGTCTTAATATGTAAATGAAACCTTACAGGTAGCAGCTCTCAGAGACAGTAAACCCTAAAAGTTTCTTTGAGACCTTTACAGCTGTCAGACTCTCAGTTAATCTTTCCTAGATCTGGGCAAAGAAAGACTTGGCTGCATCAATGCAGATTCCCTACAGATGCAAATCTCCCCAACAAAATACAACTTTGCAGGGCTACTTCTGCAGCTGGCTTTCTGAACAGACATCTCAAAATGTGTCAAAGAAATGTATTTTGGGGTGAAATATTTTTAATTCCTTCACATCTACAGCCTGATGCACCTGCCGTTTCAACGCAACATTGTTGGTGGCAATTCCATTCTTCCCTACACTCAAGCCAAAAAAACAGATTCTCCTTGAGGCTAGTCTTTTTCTCAGAGCACACATACAATTTGTCAGAAAAATTACGTTTCCTGTTTGGGTTAATTACAGACTTTGATCTGCCCAATCTTTCTCTTTCTTGGTCTCTGAATTTTGGCAAAGGAGTCTCCGGTCTCCGGATACAGGCGGGATCGATTCTACAGACGAGTCTCAAAACCGTCAGACATTTAAGAGCCTTAATCTCGAGGTCAGGGTTTGGGCCGCCCTTGACACTTTTCTTTGGGCCTACGCGACAAAATCAGCCTGGCCAGGCCTGTTTTCAAGGCCCAGAGGCAGGGCCAGGTCCTCCCGATGCTTCTTGAAGCTTCTTCCGCGGGTCGACCCCTACCCTCCCCTTCCCTGTGACCTGCAGAGAAGCTTCAGGGATCATTTATTCAATTTGCTAGGAGCCCGCGAGGCGCAGGTGCGCGGTGACTCTGTGGTTCCCACCGCACCCGCCGCCCTCCTTGGTCCTCTCGCTGTCTCCGGAGGGCAGTAACCTTACAGGTGAGCTTGGGCTCCGAAGACACTCAGCCAGGGAGGGACCGTTAGGGAAGGGCATCGGCCCCTTAGGTCCTTCGCAGTAGGGATCCGAAAAAGGTCTTGAAGAAATAGAACGGGAGAGTTAGAAGTAGATCAAAGGGAAAGAAAGAAATTCTAGATTTCCTATCTGAAGGCACCAGGAAGAGAAAGTCCGCCTCCTCTGGGCCGGGTCCTCACGTCGCTGGTGAACCGAGTTCCGACCTCCACTGGAGACCAAATCAGTTGACTTTGGCTGGACTCCTAGTGAAGAAGCCACGCTTTGTCTTCCCTTGTTTAGCTCTTGATCCTGAACCACTTGACTGTCTCTCCCGGGCTTTCCACGGATTCCAGGGATGCAACTGAGAAGTTTGTTTTTAATGCACTTACTTGAAGTAAGAATATTTGAAAGTATTTTTGCAAAGACAAAGGTTTCCTTTTGTACTGAAGACATTCAGATGTGAGGAAAATCACTCAGCTAGGGAAAGCAAATGCTGTTGAGAATGTCTCACAAACACAAATTACACGTCAGCAGGTAGGTTTGACCCTCAGGTTGGGCACATTTTAAGTGCACTGTTGGTGGAATTTAAGATGAATCTAGGATGTTCATGATTAATATTTTTAGTTTTTTAGTAAAATTTAATATTTTAAATTTAAGTACACATTCTGAAAATTATATAACCACCGCAAGAAACCGGCTTTATGCCATTCTTACAAACACAGGAAAGAAAGATGATATTATAATGGCAATGCTTCATAAATGGTAACATTTTTAAAGTACCCAGAGAAAAAAAGTTAACCTGGAATTCTATGCAAAAATAAAATTTCAAAACTGTGAGTGAAATAAGGACATCGAAAAACATACAAAAGCTAAAACAATTCACCAACCCACGTTACAAGAAATCTTATTAAAAGTCCTCCAGGCAGAGGCAAAAGGATACCAGATAAAAATGTGGGCCTATACAAAGAAACGAATACTGGAAATGGCATTTAGAAAGCATGTACTACACATTTTCTTAGAATTTAAATCTTTTAAAAAATATTTGGTGTAATAAATAAAAGTAATAATAATGAATCACAAGGATTATAATGTATAAAGTAAAATTACATAACACTAGGATAAAGGCCAGAAAGGGAGACATAATGACACCTGAAAGCAGACTGTGATAAATTAAAGACATATCCCAGAAACCCTAAAGCAGCCACTGAAATAAGAAAAGGGTTATAGCTAATAAAGCAACAAAGGAAAGAAAACGGAATGAAATAAAATCTATGTAAGCACTATGCTGGAACAACTGCTCTCCAGGCCTCCACCCTATGGAAATATACCAGTGGCCAATGACAAGTGTAGAAGAATGATGACTGCAGCATTGTTTGTAATCATAAAATAATAGAACCAACGTACTTTTAAAGATATATGAAAAGAGTTTTATTTATTTAACAAACAGACAATTGAACAAACAAACAATGGAAGCAAGTCCTTTGCCAAAAGGAGCACAGAGGGTCAGGATGATGCTACTCCTCCAAGGATTTCAGGGTTTCCAGACGCTTAGTTTCTGTCTAGTTCTGGAAGATGTTATTCTTGGGGAGCAATAGGTCCTCGAGTTTGGGGCTCTTTCAGGTTCTCTCTCCATTTCCCCATTCTGCTACAATAGATAAACAAAAACAATTCTCACTTCCAGAAGATCCCGCCTGTGCGTCTGCACGAGCCTTTCAGGAGGTCTGGATGTCTGGTTCATGTCTCCCTGGCTTCTTTCCCAGCTTTTGCTTTTCCCTTCCCCCGCTCCCACCCTACGGCCCCAGGAACCGACCCCCGCCCAGCTGAGCCCCCGCAGCTCCACCCGGCAGAAAGCCCACCAGAGGCCCTGCCAGTTGCACGCCCCGCGGGGTGCCGAGAAATCAATGCTTTGTAAAAAGAACTTCCCCATGGAAAAAATCTCTTGATTTCCACTCTCAGTGCTCTTTAAAGGATTAAAAGCTAAAGGAGACGATGGATTCATTCGACAAGTCCTAGTCGTGCGCCTTAGTGAGTGCCAGACCCTGCTCCCCGCGAGGGGACCCAGGAGCGACCCTCACCACCATCCCTGCCCTGGTGGAGCCCCGGTGGGGAACACAGGATCCGAAGATGGCAGCGGAAGCTCCGCAGCAGCCCAAAAGCGACTGAGCAGGGTGGATACAGGCTCCTTCACTGGGTGAAGGCGGCACAAAGAACGGGAAGAACCATCCCGGGAGCCCACCAGGCGTTCAGCTTCCCCTTGGGACCTCAGGCGGCTCGGGCTGGGTCGCCGACCGCGGAGTTTCTGGGGGCTTCTGAAGCAAGAGAGGGGCAGGGCGGGCGAAGGCCATTCGGCTCTCCGTCTGGCTCCAGAATCTCCTAACGCGCAGGTATCCAATGTGACCAGCGCAACTCACCGCTCTAATCTCTCTGGTTTTCCAAAGCCTTGCTCAGTCGTCCTGCCAGGCGGGCGCTGAGAATAGAAGGGACGGAGGAAGTTTAGTGAGTGTGCCCTTCCTATATTGCCTATTAGAACTGGTAGTGCTTGTCTCTGTGGCGCAATGGGTTAGCGCGTTCGGCTGTTAACCGAAAGGTTGGTGGTTCGAGCCCATCCAGGGACGCTGATTGCAACTTTTAAAGCATTCACGCATTGTCAATCACTAGACAAATGGGGAAGATTTTATCTTCCCGGAGTACCAAGCCACTAATTTATGACTGATCCATGTTAAGGGCCAGCCCCAAACCCCTAATTTATGACTGATCCATGTCAAGGGCCAGCCCCCCTCCCCCATCCGATTCTTAACCGGGTATCTCCTGAAATGGCGGGTTTACACCTGTGTAACTCAGGATCCTGAAACAGATACCTAGGAACCCACTTTTGGTGTGATAAATTCTAATTCAGTCCCTTATGCGCTTAAACGAGTAATGTACGTGCCTCCATTTTTTCATATTTTAGTAATAGGAGTTCAGTACTATCTCCAGGATGTGCCTGGATTTACTGATTGTTCTATTAATAATGTGACCAGTGGAATCATTCATCATCATAGTGATCTTCTCCACCATTTTTGAAAACAGTATTTTTCCTCAGTTTGTGCATGATTTATTTAACCCTTTTCAAAATGTTTTAGCCAGGCGTGGTGGCATGCACCTGTAATCCCAGCTACTTGGGAGGCTGAGGCAGGAGAATCATTTGAACTTGGAAGGTGGAGGCTGCAGTGAGCTGAGATCACTACACTCCAGCCTGAGCAACAGAGTGTGACTCCATCTCAAAAAAAAAAAAAAAAAGAAAAAATGTTTTTGGGATGAAGTTGTTTTGGTTTTAGGATTACAAAGAATGCTGCAGTCACCATTCTTGTACACATATCTTTGGTCATTGTGGAAATGTCTACACTGCAGATATTTGTATAGTATAGACAACTGGGGGCTGGGCATGGTGGCTCATGCCTGTAATTCCAGCACTTTGGGAGGCCGAGGTGGGCGGATCACCTGAGGTCAGGAGTTCAAGGCCAGCCTGACCAACATGGAGAAGCCCCATCCTTACTAAAAATACAAAATTAGCCGGGTGTGGTGGCACATGCCTGTAATCCCAGCTACTCGGGAGGCTGAGGCAGGAGAATCAGTTGAACCCGGAGGCAGAGGTTGCGGTGAACTGAAATCATGCCAACAAGAGCAAAACTCTGTCTCAAAAAAAAAAAAAAAAAAAGAGAGAACTGGATGCACCACTGCTACATTATAGTGTTTATATAATGCTTCTAATTTGAGTACATTCTGCAAATGTGTCTTTCATGGAAGCAGTACCAAATAATATTCCAATATGAATATTTATAAGAGGAAAAATGTGCAGAAGTGCAGTTGAGCTTTGTGCCTCTCCATGGGGCCCATGTTCATAAAATGGTGGCATTAGCAATCATCTGAGAGTGGAGTTTGTGGCCCTCTGACATCAAAAGCTGAAGCAGAAGACATGAAAACTCTCACTGTACATCCTCTGTAGTCTGGCCAGAATCATTCCTAGGTCGGTGGTCTCTTATCAGGAGGGAATGCTGCTTGCTTGCTTTGTCAAAACCACAAAAGGGAGGGAAAGTATCAGGCTGTTGATTGATAACAGTAGTGAAGCAAGTCTTTCCAAAGAGTTGGTTTGTTAACCCGTAGGAAAAAAAAATCCTAATTCTTACCAGATGGTGCCATGCAGTTCCAGGCTCTTGGTGTCCCAAACGAAGAATGTACATGACACACACAAAGCAGCAAAGCAAAGCAAAAGTTTATTAAGCACAGTAACATTCTTGGAGTGGGGAGAGTGGGCTGACCTGTGGCAGATGAGATCAGTATTAGTTTGGTGTACTTTGGGTCTTTTTATGTGTGTTTTTTTTTCTTCTCTTCCCAAGGATGCCTAATCTTTAGCCAGTGTTTGCCTTTAGATTGATGGGTGGGTTGCTTAGTTACTTTGGCCCTCGTGTGCTTGCACATTGTCTCCACCCCATAATTTTAAGTACATGCAAGATATGTAGTCCATATGCATGAGTTTTAATGAGCTGATTATCATATGGAGTCATGTTAAGGATGCTTTTTTTCTTGAATGCACATGTCTGTCTCTGAGGAGCTGCCCCTTTACTGGTTTGGATCTTGCCAGCAATGGGGTCCTTGCTTGCTATTTTTTTTTTTTGAGACAGAGTCTCTCTCTGTTGCCCAGTCTGGAGTGTAGTGGTGCAATCTCAGCTCACTGCAACCTCTGCCTCCTGGGTTCAAGCAATGCTCCTGTCTCAGCCTCCTAAGTAGCCTGGAGTACAGGAGTGCACCACCATGCCCAGCTAATGTTTTGTATTTTTAGTAGAGATGGGGTTTCGCCATGTTGGCCAGGCTGATCTCAAACTCCTGACCTCAGGCGATCTGCCCGCCTTGGCCTCCCAAAATGCTGGGATTACAGGCGTGAGCCACCGTGCCCGGTCTTCCTTGCTTTTTTTAATCTTACTTTTTGTTTAGGTTGCTCAACTTCTGCCTTTTATTTTGCTTCTTGCTCTCCCGCCCCATCACCGTGCTTCTGTTTCTGCCTTTACTCATTCTGCCTTTTATCCAACTTCCAATTCCCTCTGCTATTCTCCTGCCTCATAATGGCAGTTAGTGAGGGAGGGGTTTTAAGGGGGCACGTCCGACCTCCTATCCTGTCACAGCCAGAAACAGCTTTCAAGGTTTCTCTGTGGTCCTGTCAGCCAAGAGGGAGTCTGTTCAGTTGGTTGTAGGGCCTAGGGCTTATTTTTATTTCTCAATCCTGACAAGGGAAGGCTGGATTAATGCAGATTCTCTGCAGGTGTAAATTTCCCCTACAAAAGACAGTTTTGCAGAGTTACTTCTGTTTGCTGGCTCTCTGACAGCCATCTTAAAATATACCAAAGAAATATATTCTGGGGTAAAATATTTTTATTTTCTTCATCTATCTACAGCGTCACCATACTGACAGCCTCCAGTCCAAGCATACCTGAAGCCTTTCTTTTTAAAAAGCTTTCTCACCCTTCTGACTGCCTTCAAGTCTCTGCCAAAACACAAGTAACAGTGGCTGACTCCCTGCCATAGCAAGCTCAGAATAAATAGCTTTTGCTTTTTTTCATTTGGTTGGTCTTCGTTTATTTGCAGAAGCTTCAATTTAGAGTTGACAAGGACTCCATCTTTGACCAAACCTTAGTAGTTTCCTCTGAGCCCTTTTCTCTATTAGTTCTTGGCCTGCTAAGTCCAGTTTTAGAAAAGAATACTGTTGAGTCTAGTTTAGCAAGAGTCCTCCCAACCACCTTTGATAGCTAATCAAGTTCCTCTTAGTAATTTTCCATCCACTGACTTTCTTATCTTGCCAATTGGCTATAATCTTCAACTCTTCCTGCTGTATTTGAGGTTGAGCTCGGTTCTCTGCTGGTCTCTCTTGCCTACTGTAGTACATACAATAAAATCCACCTCATGCTTTTAACAAGTGTCAGGGTAGTCCCTCAGAAACTACCTTTGCAAAATTATGACAATCAGAGAAATCTGACATGGCTGACTCCATCTTGGTTCTAGCCTCACAGGCTAGCTGTCTTTGCTCGTTCCTGTGCAATTTCTCCCAAGCTATCTTTGGGAAAAATTGAGTTTATAGTTTAAATCAGGGGTCCCCAACCCCCAGGGCCACAAGACAGGTACTGGTCCATGGCCTGTTAGGAACCCAGCTGAACAGCAGGAGGTGAGCTGCAGGCTTTGGAGCATTACCACCTGAGCTCCGCCTCTTGTCAGATCAGCATCGGCATTAGATTCTCATAGGAGCTCGGACCCTATTGGGAACTGCACATGTGAGGGATCCAGATTGCGCACTCCTTATGAGACTGTAACTAATGCCTGATGACCTGAGGTGGAACAGTTTCATCCAGAAACCATCCACCACCCCCTTCCATGGAAAAATTGTCTTCCGTGAAACCAGTCCCAGGTGCCAAAAAGGTTGGGGACAGCCAAAAATGTTGGTTAAAATGATAACCTTCCCCAAAACTAAATTACCCCATAAAACTAATGAAAGGCCACCAAGTTAGGAGGATGAAAGGGGCCTGAATTCTACTAAGATGTATGCCTCGTTAAATAATTACCAGCCATTATTCCAGAGGTCACAAGATTTGCAGCTTCCCCAATTACTGCTGTGAAGAACATCACTATTGTAGAACCTAAGATTGGCCTCTTGAGATGTCTTTTCAGGCTTTTGCATTTCTGACTACTGGATGGCACCATTTGGCCCAAAAATCAACCAGTCCCTTAGCTCCCACCCAGAAGCTGACTCAATGCAGGAGGGCATTTTCCACACCCCTGTGATTTCATCCCCAACAATCAGCACCGCCCAAACCCTAGCCCCCTCCCCACCAAACTGTCTTTGAAAACCCTTTACCTCCAAGTCTTCAGTGAGATCGATTTGAGTAATAACTCTGTCCCCCACATGTCGTGGCTGGCCTGTGTCAATTAAACTCTTTACCTCAATGCCATGGTCTCCATGAATTGATTTTGTATGTACAGTGGGCAGGAAGAACCCATCAGGCGGTTACATCTGCAGGATGGTGCCAGTTCTTTCCACAAAGGCTGGTCAGATACCCAGAAAGTATTTCTCCACTACTACCTGGACAATGTGTCTCCCTGTCAGTATCCAGGGAATGGGGCCTGGCTCAAATATTTAGTATTCAGCAGTTATTACTACACTGTCACCTAATCTCTCATTTTCAATATTTTGCCATGCCTTCCAGTGGCCTAACTGGCCACCATGCCACAGAATCTTTACTTTATGGTCTCCAAGGAGAACTCTCCACTCGATGTTTTGTGATTTGAGCAATGGAATAGAATCTGATACTGGTGGCCTGGGGAAAGTCCCCGGACACTAGTGGGATCTCGACCCCAGCTGTGGTGTCCAGGCTCTTGACACCATCTCAAGAACAAAGTCAAGGATGAGTCAGCAAACAGTGAAAGAAGAGATTTATTGCAAAGCAAAAAGTACACACTCAAGAAAGGGGAGTTCGGGCATACCCGACAGAGAACAATGGGTTCTGGGGTTTCATCTTGATTGGTTTCTCTAACCAAGGAGTGGAATAGTCATGAAAATTCCTGGGTAAAGGTGGAGATTTCTCGGAACTGTGGTGCCATCCATTTTTACATCACATATTGGTCTCAGAACTGTCATGGCACTGGTGGGTGTGTGATTTAGTATGTTAATGAGCATATAATGAGGGCCTCGGTAAAACCTACATCAAATCCAGCACCACATTGGGTCCAGTCAGTCTTAGCCAGCTTGGTCCACACCCTGGTTTTTCAGCGTCTTATCAGCCCATAGCCTCAAGTCATGTAAATCTGCTGCCTAGAATTTGTTACCCTGCGGCCACCCTGTATTATTCCTGCCTCAAATCTACTTGTAAATATTCAAATGGTCTTTGACTTGGGAATTCCAACTTTACTTACTTCACAGTGTTTCCTGCGTTATAATCCAATGTAAGAAAAGATGATCCAGACATTTGTTAAACATCTCAAATAAGATGTATCCCAGGTATTTGTGTCAAATTTGGATTATTTTGGTTTTGTCTTTGCAGAATATAAAAAACTAACGTGAGGTAAACACTAAGGTCTGGAGATGGCTGTGCAAGAGATGACAAAGTCCAACACCACGCTGGAGAGTGTCCAATCATCTCTTCTGGGGCAGCATATTTTTCTACAATACTGAAGTTGGAAAACAACAGCAACAACAACAACATCAAAAGCAAACAAATAAACAAACAAAAACCTACAAGATTCATGAAACTGGACAACTGTCTTTATAACATTACCAGTGATAAAACCAGTAAGGAAGGCTGGTTTGCAGTCATCTGAGAAGCCTCTTTCATTTCATAAATATGGTTTCTCTCTGACATTGAACGGCTTCCAATTTCAAGCGGAATGCTACATGACAAGGATAAGGATGTGAAGAGAACCGGTTTCTTTTGTAATCCTAAACGTTCTCGTCTGAGAATTAAAAGCCATTATTTGAAGAACGGTGCCCAGGCTCCAGCTGGCCACTGAAAGGTTGCTCCGCAGCGCAGGCTAAGGACCAGCTTCTTCGGGCGAGAACAGATGCCGGGGCGGGAGGGAAAAAAGGGAGAGACAGACGTCACTTCCCCCTGCCGGCTCCGGCAGCGGGTTGGTAGGCTGAGCGGCAGAAAGGCAGACGGGGACTGGGAAAGGCACTGTCGGTGACATCACGGATAGGGCGACTTCTATGTAGATGAGGCAGCGCAGGGGCTGCTGCTTCCCCACCTGCTGCTGCGCCACGAAGGATTTCCCGTGCCGTGGGAGCGGGTTCAGGACCGCTGGTCGGACCTGAGAGTCCCAGCTGTGTGTCAGGGCTAGGAGGGCTGGGGGTGGGGGGGGGGGGGGGGGGGGCTGCGCGGGGCAAGTGACCGTGCGTGTAAAGGGTGAAGCGTGTGAGGCTGTGGCGGGGCGGAGGTGCAAGATCTCATACTTACCTGGCAGGGGAGATACCATGATCACGAAGGTGGTTTTCCCAGGGCGAGGCTTATCCATTGCACTCCGGATGTGCTGACCCCTGCGATTTCCCCAAATGTGGGAAACTCGACTGCATAATTTGTGGTAGTGGGGGACTGCGTTCGCGCTTTCCCCTGATTTTTTGTAGTTTAAAGAATAGTCTACACAGCAAGGGTTACTTGTTTTTTTTACTGGCTTGTGTTTTAGTCTTAATCGTTACTCTCACAGTCGAAGGCTGAGAAATAGTAGTAATATGTCGCTTTCTCCCCGCCCCGGGAGAAATAAGAATCGTCGACCTTTACACAAGCTAGCTAGCGCGAAGGCCGCACAGCTCTTCCTTTATCTAGGCGGGGCTGCTTTTTGCAGAGATTTGTCTGCCCATGGTCTGCAGTCTCTTGGGTTCTCAGGGTCTGTGAAAATCTACGTGTTTTTCCCTAGCCCCCAGTCACATTTCACACAGCCTCTGCTTCTAGCTGCAGCCCCCTCAGGAGTCTGTAGGATTTCTGTGCTAGCGGGGAATGTGTTCTCACCTCATAGAGCCGGCTACAAACTACGCAGGCGGGGGCTGTTCTTTGGGATGAAAGCAGGGCCTTTAGGGCTCTTAGCGCGTCCCCGTTGGGTTGTAGACATAACACGCTTACTTTGCGGAGTGGAACGGCTCTCCCGGAGCCCAGGTGTCCTAACGCAATTCATCGAGGCCCGCAGGTCAAAACCGCAGTCTCACCTGTCTTGGCCGAAATGCGCTGCGATCCTCCCTGAAATATAAGGCGGGAAGTTTTATGAGGAGACGGGTCCAGTTTCCCTACTATCTCCTGCCGTTTACATATCTAGTCTTTCTTCAGACTTTATTTAAGCGACAGCTTCTTGTTTGATGTCTCGCTTCCGCATCCCACAGCCATTGCCAGGCAGCTTTCTAGATAGCACCCCGACCCATCCTTCCCACCCCCAAGCAGCCCTTTCCTATTTCTGGCGCCAGTGTCCTCCCCCCTTCCTCTTTCTTCAGGCCCTCGCTTATCACCTTCATGGACAGAAAATACTTAGCTCTCTCTCAACCTGCAGTTTGCACCTGACACGCGTCAGTACCCTGGCAAATTCCTTAATACCCCTTCTCAAATGACACTGTAAATTCATCTTTTTTTTTTTTTTTTTTTTTTTTGACGGAGTCTCGCTCTGTCGCTCAGGCTGGAGTGCAGTGGCACGATCTCGACTCTCTGCAAGCTCAGTCTCCCGGGTTCACGCCATTCTCCTGCCTCAGCCTCCTACCAGTAGCTGGGACTACAGGCGCCGGCCACCACGCCCGGCTAATTTTTTGTATTTTTAGTAGAGACGGGGTTTCACCGCGTTAGCCAGGATGGTCTCGATCTCCTGACCTCGTGAACCCTCCCAAAGTGCTGGGGTTACAGGCGTGAGACACCGCGCCCGGCAAATTAATCTCTTTTTAACTCCCAGAAGTATCTAATTGGTTTTGTCCCTGCACTACATGAATACTACAGAAGAAAACCCCAGGCCTAGCGATGGCGGATCTGGGCATTGTGCCAGCCTCTCCCAGGGTATGTTTTCTGACCTCACCTACTTCTGATCAACTGAGGTCAGGAGTTCGAGACCAGCCTGACCAACATGGCGAAACTCTGTCTCTGTTAAAAATACAAAACAAAACAAAACAAAACAAAAAAAATAGCCAGACGTGGTGGTGTGCGTCTGTAGTCCCAACTACTTGGGAGGCTGAGGCAGGAGAATCGCTTGAACCCGGGAGGCGGAGGTTGCCGTGAGCCGAGATCGTGCCGTTGCACCCCAGCCTGGGCGACAGAGGGAGACTCTCTCTCAAAAACAAAAAATAAAAAACAAAAACAAAACAGACAAAAAACAAAAAAACTAGTCCATCTGAGACATATTATTGGAGACAGTAGAATCCTGTATCCAACAGGCACTTGGTGCGTATCTGAACCCACTGAGCTATTGGCTCATGTTCCCTCTGTTCTATTAAGTATCATGAGCAGAAATTGAGCTCTTTGGCTTTTACCCACTAAGTATGGCTATAGGACAGGTCTCTCTCTCTCTCTCTCTCTGTCTCTCTCTCATTATTGCATCATTATTTTTTGCCATCAGTGTGAGTTTTTGGTTTTGATGTTATGAAGTGAATTTCTGGGGACAATCTCTGTTGGGTTGTGTTGATAAGGATCTACTCCCTGTTTGGACAGCTAATCTGGTCTGTGAGTCTTTTTTATTGCCTATTTATTGTCCTGAGAATAATGGTATTTCTTGATATTTGAGACTGCAGCAATAATAAGCTGTTCATATCTTGTCTTTCCAATATTTGGTAAAAGTTTTATGGGCCCAATAGTTGTCAAAATCTGCAAGAGTGGCATCTCTGTTACAAGGGTGATCTTACTACTCCACATCCCCCCTCCCATTCAACTTCATTCCATAGGAGCTCTTGGCTTTAACAAATTTACTATATCTAAAAGACATCTTAGTACAAGAAGAAAACTAAATCTGTAGCATGTAAGGAGCAGTTTTCTTTGATTGGTATATTCAGGTTTCTAACCAGCTGAAAAATTCAAATACACGTCCTTTAAGGATTAAGTTTAAACCACACTACAGAAAGGAGAGAAAAGATTTATATGATCACATATAAGCAATGGAATCAGCAATATGAGCACTTTTCACAACTATACAAATCAAATTTAATAATCTCCAGAACATTAAGGAAGTTCAGCCCTTAATGAAAATGAATGAAAAGAAATTATTCACCCATTGTTATATGCCCTGGAAAGAGAATGTCCTGCCGGACTCAAAAGGGTATCACAATATTACTCAGATTTTTCAGCAATGAAGGCCCTCCAAGGATCTAATGATGTTAATATTTTCAGTTTATTTCCTTCACTGATAAACATTGTTAATAGATACCATTGTCTCTGTTTTCACCTTAAGTGATGTTACTTAGCAAAATTTGTTTCTTTAGAATGCCCCCTAGTTTGGTGGAAGGAATTTTCCTGCTTTATGAATGTAGGGTATTTTCTCATGAAACAAATTGGCATACTCTTTCAGTGAAGTGAATAGATAAATTAGGTCTCTAAAATTTTAAAGGAGTCACTGCCCCAATTATCTTAGGAACAATAATAATCACTTACATAAGATTAAAATAAGAAAATTAAGCCAGGTATGGTGGCTCATGGCTGCAATCCCAGCACTTTAGGAGGCTGAGGAGGGAGAATCAATTGAGGTTAGGAGTTGAAGACCAGCCTGGGCAACATAGTGAAACCCCTGTCTCTACAAATTTTTAAGTATTAGCTAATTTTTTTAAAGTTGGCTGGGCATGATAATGCATGACTGTAATCTCAGCTACTAGGGAGACTGAGGCAGGCTGCAGTGAACTATTATTGCACCACTGCCCTGCAGCCTGGGTGAAAGAGTAAGACGCCCAACTCAAAAAAAAAAAAAAAAAAAAAAAAAAAAAGAAAAGAAAAAGAAAGAAAATTAAGAATTTGTTGAAAATTGTTTTACTACAATGCTAGGCTGCATGTCTTGCACCTGTACTCCCAGCAACTCAACAGGCTGAGGCAGAAGGATTGCTTTAGGCCAGCAGTTGGAGACCAGCCTGGGCAACAGGGCAAGACCCCATCTCTAAAAAAATGCAAGGCAAGCTGAACCAGGAGGATTGCCTGAGCCCAGAAGTTCCAAGTTGGTCTGCTATGATTGTCCTGCTGCACTCTAGCCTGGATAACAGAGCAAGACACTGTGCCTTATTTTTTATTTCATTTTACTTTTTTACTACTTATGATTATTTATTTATTTATTTTTGAGGCAGAGTCTTGCTCTGTAGCCCAGGCTAGAGTGCAGTAGTGCGATCTTAGCTCACTGCAAGCTCCGCCTCCCAGGTTGAAGCTATTTCCCTGCCTCAGCCTCTAGAGTAGCTGGGATTACAGGCGCATGCCACCATGCCCAGCTAATTTTTATAGCTTTAGTAGAGACAGGGTTTCACCATTTTTCCCAGGCTGGTCTCAAACTCCTGACCTCAAGTTATGCACCTGTCAGCATCCCAAAGTACTGGGATTACAGGTGTGAGCCACCTCGCCCAGCCTACTTAGGATGCTTGAAATGTGAGGTTTCATTAGGGAAAAATTTTCTTGTGGAATTTCTAACATGAAAAAATAATAGATTTAGCTGTAGATTAAATTAATGGTCTTGATAGTTTGGTACAATAAAATAAATGAAATGAAGTTGATAGAGAGGAATCTTTGATGCTTTTGAACAATTTAAATAATGTAAATATTTAATATATAAAGACATGAAAAAATTCATTATGTTATTATTTTTTTAATTTATTTTATTTTATTTTATTTTTGAGATGGACTCTCACTCTGTTGCCTAGGCTGAAGTGCAGTGGTGCAATTTCAGCTCACTGCAACCTCTGCCTCCCGGGTTCAAGTGATTCTCCTGCCTCAGCCTCCTGAGTAGCTGGGATTACAGGCACACACTACCACACCTGGCTAATTTTTGTATTTTTAGTAGACACGGGGTTTCACCATGTTGGTCCGGCTGGTCTCAAACTCCTGACCTTGTGATCTGCCCTCTACGGCTTCCCAAAGTGCTGGGATTACAGGCGTGAGCCACTGCACCCAGCCCATTACATTATTTTTCAAAAATCAGTGTGACTCTTTTGACAAATTAGAATGGTTTAATGATCTTAGTTAGGCTGGGCGCAGTGGCTCATGCCTGTAATCCCAGCACTTTGGGAGCCCAAGGTCAGGAGTTCGAGACCAGCCTGGCCAACATGGTGAAACCCTGTCTCTACTAAAAATACAAAAATTAGCCAGGCATGGTTGTGGGCTCCTGTAATCCCAGTTACTCAGAAGGCTGAGTCAGGAGAATTGCTTGAACCAGGGAGGCAGAAGTTGCAGTGAGCCAAGATCATGCCACTGCACTCCAGCCTGGGTGACAGAGTGAGACTCTGTCTCAAAAATATATATATATATATAAAATTAAAATTATGTGTTCAAGTAAATTAAATACATAGCAATGAAAAGGAGGCTTAGCATGACTAACTGCATTTTGCTCCTAACCCTTCCTGCCCTGTGGTGATATCTTTCAGGCCAACTGCTTTTCCTTATTTCTGCAGATAGGCCCCTCCCGAGCTATCTATGGGAGGGATTTAGCTTACAGTTTAACTTTAAAACACAGATGATCATAATCCCTTCCCCAAACTGACTCCTGAAAAGATAAAGAGGTTGTATGCACAAGTAACAGTGTTATGTTGAAGATTTATAAGAGCATTGTGACCTGACAAAAGACAAAGAATTTTCACCATCCCCTTTGGCTCTCACTGCAGCCCATAAGTCTGTCATTGTCAGACCTCTTCACCTCAACCACCTCCTTCTTCCTCCCTTCCCTAACGTACAAGGAGCCTGAAAATCATATTAATTTAAGATGGTTCTTTAGAATATTTGTTCACCATCTCTTCAGTTTGGTGGCTCTCTGGAATAAAGTCACCTTCCCTGCCCCTACACCTTGTCCCTGGACTTACTGGCTGTCATGCAGCAAGCAGTGAGTGCAGTGTGCAGTGAGCTGAGATCACACTACTGCACTCCAGTCTGGGTGACATAGTGAGACCATGTCTCAAAAAAAAAAAAAAAAAAAAAAAAGGGAGAGAAATTTGGTTTTACAACCAGACAAATTAAATGGGAGACTTACTTCCAATGAGACCTAGAAATTTCTAAATTTCTAAATTTCTAAATTTCTAAAAGAACTGAGAAAATTGCCTCCATTGAGGAAATAAGCTGAAGGAGGTAAACTGACATTTTCTGAATTGAGAAATATTGAGGAGGCTTTGTCTCTTTCGCCTCCAACTGCTCCTTTTCCTCCTGCCCCTGCACCTGCATAGTCTTTCTTACCTGAGCCTTCCTGTCCTGCCTTGCCTCTTCTTCCATTACCATCACCTGAGGAAAGTCCCCAGAGCTCTGGCCCCTTCCCTGAAACTTCTGTTCTGACAGCCCCTTTCAAGGTAAAACCCAAACCCACAGGAAGAGGGGAGCCTACCATTGTGTATACCGCTTCACCAAAACGTGAATTAAGATTATAAAGGACTTCCCTGATCTAAATTTAAATACATTTCGCTCTTCTGTTTCTAAAGCAGGCTCCAAGATCCCACAGGGTGTGGCAGAAAATTTGACTTAACTGTTGAAATCTTTGAGCCCAAATATTCTGACCTTTATCAATTAATTCACATGATGGTGAAGAAGGCAAGGCCACTAACTGGTTGCAAAAGGCAAATTGGAAGGATTTTCAAAAAGAGACTGAAGCAGAACATGAAAGGTTCACATTTTAGCCAAATATCTCCATGTTGCCATTCCCCAGGTCCTTCCTAAAAATATAGATTGGAGGCTAATTCAGCAACGTACTAAAAAGCCAGACATATCTGTCTTTGCTTACTCAAAATGGTTTGAGAGCCAGGCGTGGTAGCTCATGCCTGTAATCCCAGCACTTTGGGAGGCCGAGGCAGGTGGATCACTTGAGGTAAGGAGTTAGAGACTGGCCTGCCAACATGGTGAAACCCTGTCTCTACTAAAAATACAAAAATTAGCCGGGTGGCTACTCAGGAGGCTGAAGCAAAAGAATCACTTGAACCCAGGAGGTGGATGTTGCAGTGAGCTGAGATCCTGCCACTGCAATAGAGCCTGGGCAACACAGCAAGACTCCATCTTAAAAAGAAAAAAAAAAAAAAGAAAAAAATTAGCAGGGTAGTAGAAATATAATGCACACGAGAATGACAATCTGTATTCCAGAATAGTAAAGGAACCTATTCCATTAGGGAGCCAACTGAAAACATCAAATCCCAGTTCACACCCCAGGGTGTGGTGTCACGCACCTGTAGTCCCAGCTACTTGGGAGGATTAGTAAGGAGGTTTGCTTGAATTCGTGAGATCAAGGCAGAAGTAAACCCTGATCATGCCACCACACTCCAGCCTGGGTGACAGTGAGACCTTGTCTCAAAAACAAACAAACAAAAAACCCCACAAAACCAAGCAACAACAACAAATTGTCATATCACTCTGAAATGACAGTGGCAAACATCACTTTGCTATTGGAAAATTAAAAGGAAAACACTCCCTCTTGCTATCAACCTGGTCCCTTGCTCTAACATGTCTGACCCATGGTTTAAAATGCCCAAAAGCTGATGTACTCAAATTATAGTACACTTACCTGTTCTGCACCAGCATTTATTTTTGTCTGGAGGAGATCACCATCCATGGTCCTATAAATGTCTAACAGCATGGAATGATGAAGGGCAGTGTCTTTTAGGATATTTGGATATATATTTATATATATATATAAATATATATTTATGTAAATATATATATATTTCTGAAGAAACCCAACATTGGGCGAGTTCCCTCAAACTTTTCACTAGTCATGACCACTGCTCTATTTTAGATAGAGATTCTGTGGGGCAAAACCTGAGAATTATCTGCCTCGCTATCAAGAAGATAGCTCTTTGCATTTTTGGGGGAGAACACTTTGCTTCAGGGGACTGTTTCCTCCCAGGATTACAAATCTTTCTGTAACCTCAGGAAACATTGCTGATGAAAATCAGGCATGGTGGCTCTGGCCTGTAATCCCAGTGACTCTGTGGCTGAGGCAGGAGGATCACTTAAGCCCAGGAGTTCGAGGCTGCAGTGAGCTGTGCTGGCACAACTGCACTCCAGCCTGGGCCACAGAGCCAGACACTGTCTTCGAAAGAAAAAGAAAGAAAAACACTGCTGTTGAAACTGCAGCCTCTTTTGCAGCTCAATAAAAAGCTATTTATTCACTGGCTAAGGTTGTACTAGATAATCACATCACTTTAGATGACATATTTAGCTGAGCAGGGAGATGTATGTGTGGTGGCAAATACCTTTTGTTGCATATACATAAATATTTCCCATGCAGTAGAGACGGGGTTTCACCATGTTAGTCAGGCAGGTCTCGAATTCCTGACCTCAGGTGATCCACCCGCCTCGGCCTCCCAAAATGCTGGGATTACAGGCGTGAGCCACTGTCCGTCCCGGCGAAGAAGAGAACTTTTATGAGGAGTGTGAACCTTTTCAAATTCTCAGGCCCAGAGAGGCATTACATTAAGACTGCAACCACATTCCGCTTCCTTTTTGTACAGTACTGTATTTGAAAAACAAAAAACCAAACCTACAAGATTCATGAAATTGGACAACTTTCTTTATAACACTACTACTGGTAAAACCAGTAAGGATGGCTGGTTTGCCTCTCTAGTTTCATAGATATGATTTCTCCCTGATATTGAAGGGCTTCCAATTTTAAGCGGAATGCTATTTCACAAACATAACCAGATTTGAAAGGAACCAGTTTTCTTTGTAATCCTAAACGTTCTAGTCTGCGAATTAAAAGCCTTTATTTGAAGACGGGTGCACAGGCTTCCAGCTGGCCGCCAGAAGGTTCCTCCGCAGGGCACAGGTTAAGTAGTCACCTCTTTGGGAGAGACTAGATGCAGGGTCTTGGCGCACCTCCCCAAAGGACAAGGCGGGAAGGAAAGGAGGGACAGGCAGACGTCACTTCCCCCGCCTGCTCCGGCAGCGTGTTGGTCGGCTGAGTGGCAGAGGGTGGGGCGGAAGAACAGAAGGGGACTGGGAAAGGCACTGTCGGTGACATCACCGATAGGGCATTTCTGTGTAGATGAGGCAGCACAGGGTTGCTGCTTCGCCAGGGAGAATTCCCCGTGCTGTAGGAGCAAGTCCAGGACCGCTGGTGGATGTGAGAGTCCCAGCTGTGTGTTAGGGCTAGAAGGGCTTGGGGTGGTTGGGGATAGGCGGGGGTGGTTCTCAGGGCAAGTAACCGTGGGTGTAAAGGGTGAGGCATATGGAGCTGTGGCAGGGCGGAGGTATGTGGACTGCCACTTATCTGGCAGGGGAAATCCTATGGTTACCAAAGTGATTCGTCCTAAGTTTGAGGCTCATCCATTGCACTCCAGATGTGCTGTTCTCTTGTTGTTTCCCCTAATGTGTGAAGCTCAGCTGCATAACTGAGCTTCACAGTACTTGACTTACTCCAAGACCAGCAATAGATAGAGCCCTAGCAGATCCTTGATAACACTGTCTGAAAAGACAGAGCCCCAGGGAATGAGTTCCAGAGACTCTGTCTACACAGTCCGCCCCTAGCACGGATAAGGATAAGAGGAAAAAACAACAAATGCCTTTACTACCTTCTCTTTCCCCCTTACCATTTCTGGTTTTGTAAGTTCCTGACTTCCCTTCAGTGCAGCTGCAAGGTCACCAGCTATGCTTGCGTTGCAAGACCTGTCAGTTTGATTAACTGCCTTCTTTCTGCTTCTGTAAGCCCTCTAGCCTGCCCAGCGAGTTTTGCGCCAGCAAATTCCCGCGACGCAATTCAAACTAGCCAACCCCCCCTTTCAGAAGAGTGTATAAAAGTCAAACCTTGGCCATGCATGGTGGCTCACGCCTGTAATCCCAGCACTTTGGGAGGCTGAGGCGGGCGGATCAGGAGGTCAGGAGACCGAGACCATCCTGGCTAACACAGTGAAACCCCATCTCTACTAAAAATACAAAAGAATTAGCCGGGCATGGTGGCGGCAGCCTGTAGTCCCAGCTACTCCAGAGGCTGAGGCAGGAGAATCCTGTGAACGTGGGAAGTGGAAGTTGCAGTGAGCTGATCTCAAAAAAAAAAAAAGTATTTTAGAATCTTTTGGCAAAGGAAATGATTTCTGACAGGTTTTGCACTTAAGACATTCAGGTATGAGGAAAACACGAAAACCGCTATGCTAGGGAAAGCAAATGCTGTTGAGAATGTCTCACAAACACAGACTGCACATCAGCAGATAGGTTTGACCCTCAGGTTGGGCACATTTTACTTTAAGTGCACTGTTGGTGGAACTTAAGATGAATCTAGGACATTCACAATGTATGTACGTATGTGTGTGTGTGTGTGTGTGTGTGTGTGTGTGTGTGTGTGTATGAGAGACAGGGTCTTGCTATCTTGCCCACACTGGTCTCCAACTCTGGGCCTCAATTGATCTTCCTGTGTTCGCCTCCCAAAGTGCTGGGACTACAGGCATGAACAACCTCGTCCAGCCCATTTTAATGTTTTTAATTTAAATACACATTCCAAAAATTGTATAACAAGTACAGGAAGCCCACTTTATGCCAGTTTTACAAAAACAAAGTGGCAACATCCTAAAGTACTGAAAGAAATAAAGTTTTCCTAGAATTCTATGTCGAAATGAAAAATCTTTCCAGAATGTGACTGAAATGAGGACATTTAAAGACATACAAAAAATGAAAGAACTCAGCAACCCACACTGCAAGAAATGCAAAAGGAGTCCCCCAGGCCTAAGGATAAGGATACCAGACAGAAAACTGGATCTACATAAAGAAATGGAGAGTACTGGAAATTGGTATGTACATAGTTAAATATATATGTTCTTATTATATAAATCTTTTAAAATAATTTGACCGATTAAACAAAAGCAATAATAATGGATTCTGGGGTTTGTAACATGTCTAAAATCAAATTACATGACAACACTAGCATAATGGCCAGAAGGGGAGGTATAATGTCACTTGATGGCACTGATGAAGATGTATTCTGGAAACCCGAAAGCCATCACTGAAAAAGCAAAAGCAGGAAAAGAAGCTAGGGAGCGGTGGACCAGATGAAAGAAACAGTTATAGATAATAAGCCAAGAAAGGAAAGAAAATGGAATGATATAAAAACCATGTAAACACTATGCTGGAGCAACTGCTCTCCAGGCCTCTACACTATAGAAATACACCAGTGGCCAATGAGAAGTGTACAAGAATGATGACTGCAGCATTATTTGTAACCATAAAATAATAGAGCCAATGTACTTTCAAAGATACATGAAAAGGGTTTTATTTATTTAACAAACACAAACAATTGTACAAACGAAGCAAGTCCTTTGCCAAAAGGAACACAGAGGGTCATGATGATGCTACTTCTCCTGGGATTTCAGGGTTCCCAGATGCCTAGTTTTCTGTCTAGTTCTTCTGGAAGATGTTATTGTTTGGGAGTTATAGGTCCTCGCGTTTGGAGCTATTCCGTGTTCTCTCTCAATTTTCCCCTCAGTTCCTCCCTATTCTGCTTCAACAACAACAACAAAAAACAATTCTCACCTCCAGAAGATCCAGCCTGTGCCTCTGCAAGAGGCCTTCGGGAGGTCTGGATGTCTGGTCCACCGCTCCCCGGCTTCTTTCCCTGCTTTTACTTTTCCCTTCCCCCGCTCCTGCCCTTCTGCCTCAGGACCCTACCACCGCCCAGCTGAGCCCCCGCGGCTCCACCGCGGCAGAAAGGTGCACTGGAGGCCCTGCCCGTTGCCCGCCCCAGGGGATGCTGAGAAATCAACGTGAATAGACCCTTTGAAAAAATAACTTCCCCATGGAAAAATCTCATGATTTCTATTCTTGGGGTTCTTCAAGAGACTAAAAGCTAAAGGCGACGATGGCCCCCGGGAGGTCGAAGCTGCAGTGAGCAGTGTTTGCACCACTGCACTCCAGCCTGGGCGACCAAGCGAGACCCTATCTCAAAAGCAAAACAAAACTTCCCCGTGGAAAAATATTTCATGATTTCCATTTTCAGGGCCCTTCAAAGGACTAAAAGCTAAAGGGGCAATGGATTAATTCAACAAGTCCTAGTCGTGCGCGCTGGTAAGTGCCAGACCCTGCTCTCCGCGAGAGGACCCACGAGCCACCCTCACCACAATCCCTGCTCTGTGTCCCAGTGCGGGACACAGGATCGGAAGATGGCAGCGGAAGTTCCGCAGCGGCCTCGAAAGTGACTGGGCAGGGTGGGCACAGGCTCCCTCACTGGGTGAAGGCTGCGCAAAGAACGGGAAGAGCCATCCCGGGAGCCCACTGGGCATTCAGCTTCCCTTAGGCCCCCAGGTGGCTCAGGTCCGGGTCGGGGCCGGGGCGTTTCCGGGGGCTTCTAAAGCAGGCTAGGGGCAAGGTCGTCCTGGTTCCAGAATCTCCCAACCTGCGGGTCTCCAACGAGACCAACACAATTCACCGCTGTAATCTCTCCGGTTTTCCAAGGCCTTGCACAGTCCTACTGTCTGGTGGGCTCTGAGGATGGGAGGGTTGGGGAATGTTTGGTGAGTGCACCCTTCCTATAGCGCCCAGAAGAAGGTACACTACGTGTCTCTGTGGCACAATCGGTTAGAGCGTTCGGCTGTTAATCTAAAGGTTGGTGGCTAGAACCCACTGAGGGACGGCTGCTGCTCCAAGCCTGCTCCAGATTTTTTTTTTTTTTTTTTTTCTGAGACAGAGTCTTGCTCTGTCGCCAGGCTGGAGTGCAGTAGGGCGATCTCGGCTCACTGCAACCTCTGCCTCCCAGGTTCAGGCGATTCCCCTGCCTCAGCCTCCCGAGTAGCTGGGAATACAGGCGCACGCCACCCTGCCTGGCTAATGTTTTGTATTTTAGTAGAGAGGGAGGGTTCACCTTGTTGGCGAGGATGGTCTCGATCAGCTGACCTCGTGATCCGCCCGCCTCGGCCTCCCAAAGTTCTGGGATTACAGGTGTGAGCCACCGTGCCCAGCCGCCTGCTCCAGCTTTTAAAGCGTTCGTGCATTATCGATCACTAGATAAGTGGGGGAGATTATATCTTCCCAGAGTCCTAAGCCACTAGGGTTGTGTCTCTGTGGCACAATCAGTTGTCGCTTCCGAAAGGCCTAGCTAACTTTTGTATTTTTGTAGAGAAAGGATTTCATTATATTGCCCAGGCTGGTCCCCAAACTCCTGGGCTCAGGCACCTCCGAGGTCTCCCAAAGTGCTAGGATTACAAGCATGAGCCACTGCACCGGGTCTTATATAATGCTTCTAATTTCAGCACATTTAGCAAACTTATCTTCTGTGGGAAAGGTACCAAATCATATTCCAATTTATTTCTCAACTCTAATAACGTCCCTTTCTTCATTTACTTGCCGACACAACAGATTTTCTCCCCCCCCCTCCCTTTTTTTTTGAGACTACGTGTCGCTCTGTCACCCAGGATGGAGTGCAGTGGCGTGATCTCAGCTCACTGCAAACTCACCGCCCATCCCTGCCACCCCGGCTCTAGTGATCCTCCAGAATAGCTAGAACTACAGATGTGCACCATCAAATCCTACTTCTTTTTCTTTCTTTTTTTTTTAGATAGGGTCTTGCAATGTTGCCCAAGTTGGCCCCAGGAACCCCAACTTCTGGGCTCAGGAGATTCGCCTGCCTTGGCTTCCCAAAGTGCTGGGATTTCAGGTGTGAACCACCGTACCCGGCTTAACAAACTTTCTATATATGTGCCCATAATATTATTTTCTTTCTTTTTTTTTTTTTTTTTTTGAGACACAGTCTTGCTCTGTTGCCCAGGCTGGAGTGCATTGTAGTGATCTCAGCTTACAAGCCTGTACCATCACACCTGGCTAATTTTTGTATTTTTAGTAGAGACAAGGTTTCATCATGTTGGCCAGGCTGGTCTCAAACTCCTGACCAGCCTCCCAACATGCTGGTATTACAGTCATGAGCCAGCACGCCTGGCCATGTGCCAATGATATTCTAATAACGGGACAAGTGCCTTCCTGGCTTAAGTAAGGGGGAGGTACAACAGGAGGACATGGTGGACATCACACACAGGTATTCAGTTGCATAGGATGGACAGCTAAACTTCTAAGACATTTTACTTTTTGAGATAGGGTCTTTTTCTGTTGCCCAGGTTGCAGTGCAGTGGTATGGTCATAGTTTACTGTAAGCCTCAGCCTCCTGGGCTCAAGTGATCCTCTTGCCTCAGTCTCCCAAAGTGCTGGGATTACCAGCCTGAACCACTGCACCTGGCTGAGATATTTTAAACTCCTCCAACATCTGTAATTGTTTCTTTTTTATTTTATTGTATATATAATAAAATATATACATATTTTATTATAATTATCTGAAAGTAAATATATACAATTATATATTATGTATAATATGTATATATTTGATTATATATTATATTTTATTATACATATTTATTAATATATATATGTATGTAGTTTTTAGAGATGAGGTCTCACTATGTTGCCCAGGCTGGTCTCGAACTCCTGAGCTCAAGTGATACTCCCATCTTGGCCTCCCAGAGTACTGGGGTTATATGCATGAGCCACTGTGCCTGGCCTTGTTTCTTTTTCAAATTTAATTTATGTATTTTGAGACATGGTCTTACTCTGTCACCCAGGCTGGAGTGCAGTGGTGTAATCATGGCTCACTGCAGCCTCGACCTCCCTGGGCTCAGGGGATCCTCCCACCTCAGCCTCCTGAGTAGCTGGGACTACTAGCATGGACCACCATGCCCGGCTAAATTTTGTATTTTTTGTACAGACAGAGTTTCATCATGTTGCCCAGGCTGCTCTCCAAGACAGAGTTTCATCATGTTGCCCAGGCTGCTCTCCAACTCGTGAGCTCAAGTGGTCCGCCCACCTCAGCCTCCCAAAGTGTTGGTATTATAGGCATAAGCCACTGTGCCCAGCCTGTAATTGTTTCCTGTGGTGACCAAGTCACATTGGTCCAGAGAAGACAGGTCACAGTGACCTCTTTGACAGCCTTCTGCCAAGTCACTTATCCAAAGGGAGCAAAATCACAATGGTCCCAGACATTTTTTTCTCCTCTTTCCTCTTTTATTTATAAATCTTGATTTTACTTTTATTTGATGAAAACCATCTAATGCCAGTTTCCCTTCTATATTAATGGAGAATGGGCATGCAGATAAGTGTCTGTATATTATTTCTTGACTAATTTTTTTCAGAGGCTATGTCCATAAAAATTAGCCCATCTGAGACCCATCATGGGAGCCAACAGAATCCTGCAGGCCCCTGGTGCAGACTTGGATCCTTAGAGCTATTGGCTCTTGTTCCCTCAGTTCTTCTGTGTTCATGAGCAAAAATTGATCTCATTTGCTTTTATATACTAAGCATTGTAATTGGACAAATCCTTCCTCTATCTCTCTCTCTTTCTCTCTCTCTCATTTTTGCATCACTGATTTCTGCCATCAGTGGCATCAATGTGGGTTTCTGGTTTTGATGTTATGAAGTGAATTTCTGGGGACAATCTCTGTTGGGTGGTGTTTGACAAGGATCCAGTCCCTGTTTGATGATACATGACAGCTAATCTAGTCTGTGAGTCTTTTTTGATTGTGTATTCATTGTCCTGAGGATAACGGTATTTCTTGATATTTGAGACTGCAGCAATCAGAAGTTGCTCATATCTTGTCTTTCCAACATTTGGTTACAATTTTTTGGGCCCAATAGCTGTCAATATCTGCAAGAGTGGCATCTCTATTATAAGGATGACCTTACTACTCAATGCCCCCCTCCCATCTAACTTCATTCCATAGGAGCTCTTGGCTTTAACAAATTACTATACCTAAAATAAATCTTAGTACAGAAAGAAAGAAAGAAAGAAAGAAAGAAAGAAAGAAAGAAAGAAAGAAAGAAAGAAAGAAAACTAAGTCTGTGGCATGTAAGGAGCAGTTTTCTTTGATTCATATACTCAGGTTTCTACTAGCTAAAAAACTCTAACCAGCTGAAATACATGTTCTTTAAGGATTAAGTTTAAATCACACTAGAGAAAGAAGAAAAGAGATTTATATGATCACAAATAAGCAATGGAGTCAGCAATATAAGCACTTCTCACAACTATACAAATAAAAACTTTTTTTTGCTTAAGACAGAGTCGCGCTCTGTCACCAAGGCTGGAGTGCAGTGGCACGATCTTGGCTCACTGCAGCCTTGGCCTCCCGGGTTCAAGTGACTCTTGTGCATCAGCCTCCTGAGTAGCTGGGATTACAGACATGTAACACCATGCCTGGCTAATTTTTGTACTTTTAGTAGAGATGGGTTTTTGCCATGTTGGCCAGGCTGGTCTCAAACTCCTGAACTCAAGTGATCTGCCCACCTTGGCCTCCCAAAGTGCTAGGATTACATGCATAAGCCACTGCGCCTGGCCACAAATCAAATTTAATAATCTCCAGAACATCAAGGAAGTTCAGCTCTTAATGAAAATGGATGAAAAATGATTTACTCACTTTTATGTGCTCCGGAAAGAGAATGTCCTGGAAGACTCAAAAGGGTATCACAGAATTACTCAGATTTTCAGCAGTGAGGGTTTTCCAAGGATCTAATGATGTTCATTTTTTCAGTTTGTTTCCCACACTGAGAAGCATTATTAATAGATACCACTGCATCTGTTTTCACCTTAAATGATGTTACTTAAGGCAATTATTTGCTTTTGAATGACCCCTAGTTTGGTGGAAAGAATTTTTCTGATTTATAAATAAATCTTCTTATGAAACCAATTGGCATACTCTTCCAGTGGAGTGAACAGATAAATTAAGTCTCTAAAACTTTAAGGAGATTACTGCCCCAGTTATCTTAAGGACAGTAATAATTACGTATATAAAATTAAAATATGAAAATTAAGCAGGGCGTGGTGCTCACACCTGTAGTCTTAGCACTTTAGGCAGCTGAGGAGGGAAGAAGGATTGAAACCAGGAGTTCGATACCAGCCTGGGCAACATGGTGAGACGCCTGTCTCTACAAATTTTAAAAAATGAGCTGATTAAAAGAAAAACTAGTCAGCACAGTGGCTCACGTCTGTAGTCCCAGATGCTTGGGAGGCTGAGGCAGGAGGATCACTTGAGCCCAGGAGATCCAGGCTGCAGTGAACTATCATTGTACCACTGCACTCTAGCCTGGGTGACAGAGTAAGACCTCAACTCAAAATAAAATAAAATAAAGAATAAGAATAATTTCTTGACTTTTTTTTTTTTTTTTTTTGCAATGCCAGGCTGGTTGACTCACACCTGTAATCCCAGCAAATCAGGAGGCTGAGGTGGGAGGATTGCTTTAGGCAAGGAATTGGAGACCAGCCCGGGCAACAGGACAAGATGTCACGTCTAAAAAGTTAAAATTCAGGCTGAGCTGGGAGGACAGCCTGAGCCCAGAATTTCCAGGTTTGTCAGCTGTGGTTGCACCAGTGCACTCTCCCCTGGATGACAGCAACACCCTGTCTCTTACTTTTTTTTTTTTTTTTAACTACTTATGCTTTAAATGTGATGTTTCATTAGGGAAAACTTTTCTTGCTGAATTTGTAACATGAAAATATAATAGATTTAGCTGTAGATTAAATTAATGGTCTTGGCTGGGCATGGTGGCTCACACCTGTAATCCCAGCACTTTGGGAGGCTGAGGCGGGTGGATCATCTGAGGTCAGGAGTTCGAGACCAGCCTGGCCAACATGGTGAAACCCCATCTCTACTACAATACAAAAATTAGCCAGGCATGGTGGCTGGCACCTCTAATCCCAGCTACTCAGGAAGCTGAGGCATGAGAATCGCTTGATCCCTGGAGGTGGAGGTTGCAGTGAACAGAGATCATGCCACTTCACTTTAGCATGGGTGGCACAGTAAGTGAGAGTGTGTCTCCAAAAAAAAAAAAAAAAAAAGAAAAGAAAAGAAAGAAAAGAACTTTTTCATGTGAGGAAAATGGGCGCTTTCAAGTTACCATGCCTAGAGCTAGGCATTAAAATGAAACACCAACCACATCCTACTTCCCTGCTTTTTAAATTTTTTTAAAAAATAATTTATTGTATTGAGATGGAATCTCACTCTGTTGCCCAGGCTGGAGTGCAGTGACAGGATTTTGGCCCACTGCAACCTCCTCCAGTCGGGTTGAAGTGATTCTCCTGCCACAGCCTCCTGAGTTGCTGCGACTAAAGGCATGAACCACAATGCCTGCCTATTTTTTTTTTTTTTTTTTCTGTATATTTAGTAGAGACAGTGTTTCATCATGTTGGCCAGGCTGGTCTCAAACTCCTAACCTCAGGTGATCTGCCCACCTCGGCCTCCCAAAGTGTTGGAATTATAGGCATGGGCCAGTGCCACTGGCCACTTCCCTACTTTTGAGCTATGTATTCATCCACTGAAACTGCTTGCTATTGCCACAGTTAGCTATAAAGTAACCTAATCACATGCACTGGACACCATCTCTCACTCCCTGTAGCTGAACAATGTATAGCTAATCCCTAATCAATGTTATTTCTGTAAACCAGTGGGAGTTCCTGATAAGCAACTTTCTACCAGCCAACTCCCTGTCTCCCTTTTTGGTCTTTACAAACCTGCTTGTAACAAAGGCCAAACAGAACCCATATCCAAGATTGCTTGGGTCTCAGCCTTCCAGGCAACTATCCTCACATTGGCTCAAATAAACTCTTTAAATCATATTTTGTGCTTAAGCCCCTTCCTTCTAGGTTGACGTTTTTGGCCCTGGGAGCAGGATTCAGAGCAACTCATCTCTGACCATCTGACTATCCTCTCAAAGGCCTCCAGGGTGGCTACATAGTAGTAAGAATTTCATTGGTGAGATCAGTTTGCAGTCCAGGAAGAGACAGTCTCTGGTGTGTGTCTTTGAAAAGGTGCTTTCTCTTCAGAGAGAGAGAGAGGGCAGTTTGGTTTTAGTGCCTCACAGGGTGTGTATCACACAATGGAGTTATACATATTCAGCAGGTTTGGAGAAACGCCATTTCTGAGGGGTATTGAGCTCATGTGCAAAGGGTAAACATATATGTAACATGCACCCCATCTTCACATTGGGAAGGGATTTTAGCATTAAAATAAGGTGGAAATTGGCTTTTTATGTCAAAAGGTGAACTGCTGGACACCAAGTCGGTTTGTGTGCAGTCCCTGTAACATGGCTGAAACTGGCTTGATATCCGCAGTTGCTTATCAGGAGAGAATGGAAGGCCACTCTTCTGTCCCATCAGAGGTCTAGTGATCTGGGTTGTAAATCCAGTTGAGAAGGGCTGGGAAGGTTTTGACAATTTGCTTGCTAGTTCTATTGTTAAGGAGTTTAGCAAGAGTGTGGTTTTTCCTGTAGCCATAGGAATTCAGGAAGTTGCCATGCCAGATGAGCCCTGAACCCTGGACAAGTAGCTAACTTTTGTTTCCTTAACTTTCGAGTCTGCCTTAGTCTCTAAGGGGGCATGTATTTTCATCTCTCAGATCACACCACATTCCTCCTGGACTGGGTGCCTGGCCAGATCTGAAGCCCTTGAGTTCTGACTCTGAGAGAAAGAGTTGGGCAGTAGTAAGTGGTGAATCCTCCTGAAATCTGGACCTTCCCACTCTTTGGTTGAAGGCCTGGAGTTTGCTTGAGTGTCCTTTCCAGCTCTCCCTTTCTAGAACGGAGGTTTTCTGTCTTTACCCTGTGAGTAAGAGATTTGAGTTTCAGGGGGAAATAACTGCCTTTTCCACCTCTGCGTCAGGACAGAAAGTTTGGGTCACAGTCAGGCAAAGAGCTCCCCAGAGAGCTTCTGCCTTTTCTGCCTCTGTTCCTCAGCAGGAAGATCTGGGCCAAGGTATTGGCAGGTATGCTCTGGTGGTTTCGTTTTATGTAGCATGTTGTTTTGAACATTCGGACTTAGCTTTTCATTTGTGACTAGTTCCTGTTCTTAACTGGAAAGTGCACGGAGGTGTGTTCCCTTGCCCTGAAGAAAAGAAGTGATCTGCTCCCGCTGATCCATTCAGGTGCTCCAAGTGATCGGGGATGTTGCAGAGGTGTCGGGGTCATTACTCACCATGTGAAGGTGGCCTCATAGGGCACTCCCTATCAGAAGAACATCTTTATGAACCCCCTTTCCTGCTCTTCTGGGAGGGCATATGTGGGATGGGTCCCTCATAGCACATGCACTCTGTGGCCACCTGGTGGTTAGAAACAGTGGGAACCACTGAGACAGCAATACACAACTCCGGTGTTATCTGTAGGAGTGACTTCATAAGCACCACACTGTGACCCAAAACACATCGCAGGCCTTGGTCATCTGAAAAGCTCCTGAATTATGGGAAATCAAGCTTCAAAATTTAGCACACTGCGAAGAAACAACCACCTTTAGAAACATCAGCTGGGTTTATGTATAACACTTATGAGGCATTCTCTTGTAAATATCCAAGAAACTGGACCCACCTAACCAGGAAAAATCATAAGCAGAATGAAGAAAATGGGGATATTTTGAAATGCTTAAAATAATTTATTAGTGTGCACAATTGGAAAAATTTGGTTTTAGAACCAAATTAAATGGGAGACTTACTTCCAATTATACCTAGAAATTTCTAAAAGAACTGAGAAAATTATCTCCAGTGAGGAAGTAAGCTGAAGGAGCTAAACTGACATGTTTTCTGAACTGAGAAATATTGAGGAGGCTTTGTCTCTTTCGCCCCCAACTGCTCCTTCTTCTCCTGCCCCTGTACCTGCATAGTCTCCCTTACCTGAGCCCTCCTTTCCTGCCTTGCCTCTTCTTCCATCACCATCACCTAAGGAAAGTCCCCAGGGCTCTGGTCCCTTCCCTGAAACTTCTGTTCTGACAGCCCCTTTCAAGGTAAAATCCACAGGAAGAAGGGAGCCTACCATTCTGTATACTGCTTCACCAAAATGTGAATTAAGAATATCATAAAAGACTTCCCTGGGCCGGGTGCAGTGGCTCACGCCTGTTATCCCAGCAGTTTGGGAGGACTAGGTGGGCAGATCATGAGTTCAGGAGTTCAAGACCAGCCTGGACAACATGGTGAAACCCCATCTATACTAAAAATACAAAAATTAGCCGGTCATGGTGGCACATGACTGTAATCCCAGCTACTCAGGATGCTGAGGCAGGAGAATCACTTGAACTTGGGAAATGGAGGTTGCAGTGAGCCAAGATTGCACCATTGCACTCCAGCCTGGGTGACAGAGCAGGACTCTATATCAAAAAAAAAAAAAAAAAAAAAAAGATTTCCCTGATTGAAATTTAAATACATTTTCCCCTTCTAATTCTAAAGCAGCCTCCAAGATCCTATAGTGTTTGGGAGGTAATTTGACTTAATTGCCCAAACTTTTGAGCCTGGACATTCTGATCTTTATCAATTAATTCACATGCTGGGGTAAGAAGGCAGGGCCATTAAATGGTTGAAAAGGGCAAATTGGAATAATCCTTTAGAGGATTCTTAAAAACAGACTGAAGCAGACAATGAAAGGGTCTGCATTTTGGCCAAATACCTCCATGTTGCCATTCCCCAGGTTGTTCCTAAAAATGTAGATTGGAGAATTCAGCAATGCACTTAAAAGGCCAAGCAAATCTGTCATTGATATTTTAAACGGTTGAGATTTATTTATTGATTGTTTGTGACAGATTCTCACTCTGTCACCCAGGCTAGAGTGCAGTGGCTCCATCATGGCCCACCACAGCCTCAATCTCTCAGCTCTAGCAATCCTCCCACCTCAGCCTCCCAAGTAGCTGAGGTGCGTGCCACAATGCCCAGCTAATTCTTTGTTTTTTTTCTAGAGATGAGGTCTCGCTGTGTTTTCCAGGCTGGACCTAAATGAACTCCTGGGCTCAGTCAATCCTCTCACCTCAGCCTAACATTTACACTGGCAGCAGAGGTGCATTTGGAGTAGGTGATGATTTTGGAATGCTTTAGAAGCAACATAGGTTTCTGATTTCATCAGTTCAAGCCATGAAAAATGACCAGTAAGTCTCTGACCTCTTAGAAGCAATTTGAAAACCTGAATCTTTGGCCATCATCAAAGGAGTTCCTGGTCATTCAAAATTAGATATTCCGGAGAGCAAGGGCAACCATTTTGCTGACGCTGCAGCTAAGAATGCAGCTCTGAAGGTGACATCAGACACAGAACTTCTCAAAATGACCTTGCTGACTTATGACCCATTGAAGACTTCTTTAGAAGTACAAGTGGGCTGAGCATGGTGGCTCATGCCTGTAATCCCAGCACTTTGGGAGGCCGAGGCGGGCAGATCACCTGAGGTCAGGAGTTTGAGACCAGCCTGGCCAACATGGTGAAACCCTGTCTCTACTAAAAATACAAAAATTAGCCGGTGTGGTGACACATGCCTATAATCCCTGCTACTTGGGAGGCAGAGGCATGAGAATCACTTGAACCTGGGAGGCAGAGGTTGCAGTGAGCAGAGATTGCACCACTGCACTACAGCCTGGGTGACAGACCGAGACTCTGGCTCAAAAAAAAAAAAAAAAAAAAAAAACAGAAGAAGAAGCATAAGTGGGAGCTCCCAAGCAGGAGAGGGATCTCTGGAAGGATAAAGGAAACAAGTTTCTTCCAGAAACAGGCATATGGTATGGGCCCAATGATACACTGATCCACCCTTTAGGCTTCAGTTACCCTTTTTACAGTACTTCATAAGCTGACTTATTGGAATTCAGACAAAATGTTAGCATGGGGAAAGCAATGGTATTGAAAATCATTGCCTATGATAGTAGAAAAGGTTTATTTTTGCTATACTGTCTGTCCCAAACATAACCCTGGAAAACCACTTCATGGGTCACAGGAACATTTTACCTTTAGGACCCTTTGAGACATAGCACTTAGACTTTATCCAGCTGTCTCCATCTGAGGGTTACAGATACCTTCTGGTGCTAATTTGTATGTGCTCACTGGGGTGAGCATTTCCATGCCGATGAGCCACAGCCCAAGTAGTAGGTTAGTAGATTGTGATTAGAAAAGGTAATTCTTCATGGAGAGTGCCATCTGAATTCCATAGCAACCAAGGAACACACTTCATCGGTCAGGTAATTGGATCCATTTGTACAGTTTTGTCTATGTCCCAACAATTCCATTGTGCCTATCACTCCTAATCCTCTGGGCTGATGGAATGCACTGATGATACAATAAAAACTCCATAGGCAAAGCTAACAGAAGTTTTTAACCTTTCTTGGCCAAGGATCTCCCACTAGTTCTGGAAAATGTCCACACTCTCTCTCTTTGAAATAATAACAGGAAGACCCATGCAGTGGTTAGGTGAAGACACTTATGAATATGCACTTCTCAAAGGTGACATTCTCCATTACTGCTAAGATCTCACAAAACTTACTAAAAACTCTACATTAACACAGGATTCCTTTCATAATGAATTCTTGGGAGATGAAAATATCAAAAATCTTGGCCTATAACCTGGAGATGTTGTTGTTTACTGGAAACAACATCAAATAAAATACTCCTCCCAAGACTGTTAGAAGGGACCGCATCAGGTATTATTATTTTATGTTATTTTTTTGAGATGGGATCTCACTCTGTTCCCCAAGCCAGAATGCAGTGGCACAATCATGACTCACTGTAGATTTGAACTCTTGGGCTTAAGCCATCCTTCTGCCTCAATCTTCCAAATAGTTGGGACCACAGGCATGGGCCAATGTACCCAACTCACAACAGGTATTACTGAACAATCTGTGCCAGTAAACTTAAGGGCGTTGACACACGGATTCATGTTTCTTTTGTAAAAGGCAGCACTGCCAGAGTGGACATCTGTTAGTGGAGATTTTCACTTAAAGGTAACTCAGTCTTCCTGACCGAGATGGCAAGTAGCTGACATCTGTTGTAGTCCGCTTTTGCCCAAGATACTGGCCTGTATCAACAATACAGTTCCAGTGCTCACTGCACCTGAGTCTCTTTTTCTGTTGACTGGAATAATACACCACTAGGGCTCCCTTAAGTTGTAGGGGTCCTCTCTTGGTGGTTTTGGTAAAATCATCCTATATGTGTATTCTCTTAAGATATGACACACTAGTCCTATTGCGTGTATGTGTATATACATATACATACCTACATAGCAAAATGCCTATGATCAGATTTCTGTTTCACTGTCCCTAATTAATTTGATTATAGCAGGGAGGGATAATTCTCTGATCAGAATCTCACAAACCATTGCACTGTGGGAAATTTAACAAGGTGCTGGGTTTGCCACCTTAAACCACCAACCACTTTTGGCCATAATGGCCCGTTGGTACATCCTGTGCTAAATTTCACCTGTATTCCTCCTGATTGCACTCACGATGCAACTCAGGGTCATATCAAGCAAAACCTGCTTATCGAATCTATGTGACTCACCCTAACCTTCCTGCCTCACATCTCAGTTTAACCCATCATAATCGTATTGTCAAAATAACGGCCTGTAATCCCAGCACTCTGGGAGGCCAAGGCAGGAGGATCACTGGAGCCCAGGGGTTTGAGACTAGCCTGGGCAAAATGGTGAAACACTGACTCTGTAAAATATATACAAATTAGCTGGGTGTGGTGGTGCCCACCTGTAGTCCAGCTACTGAGGAGCATGAGGTGAGAGGATGACTTGAGCTCAGGAGTTCAAGCCTGCAGTGAACCCTGATGATGCCACTGCACTCCAGCCTGGACAACAGAGTGAGACCCTGTCTCAAAAAATAAATAAATAAGCTGGGTGTGGTGGTGTGTGCCTGTAATCCCAGCTGCTTAGGAGGCTGAGCCATTGAGCCTTGGAGGTCAAGAGGTCAAGGCTGTACTGAGCTGTGATCTTGCACTGAACTCCAGCCTGGGAGACAGAGTGAGTCCCTGTCTCAAAAAGTAATTATAATAAAAATAAAAAGTACAAAATCAAACAAAAAATTGTCACGTCACTCTGAAATGACAGTGGTAAACACCATGATGCTACTGGAAAGTTAAAAGAAAAACACTCCTGCTATCAGGATCCAACCTGCCCTCTTGCTCTAAATTTCTGATGCATGATTTAAATGCTCAAAAGCTGATGTACTCAAATTATAGCGCACTTACCTGTTCTGCACCAGCATTTATTTTTGTCTCTTGAAAAGATCACCATCCATGGCCCTATAAATGTCTAAGAGCATGGAATGATGAAGTGCAATGTCATTATTGTTATGTATTTCTCATCGTTTTACTTCTGAGAAAACTAATTTCATGGTATTCTGAAGACTAGAGATGATTCAACAGGTGACAACAGCTATAGACTTAACTGAGGCCTCTCTCTCTCTCTCTCTCTCTTTTTTTTTTTTTTTGCCATTCTATGATGCCCTTTTTCTTTCTTTTCTTTCTGGTTTTTTTTTTTTTTTTTTTTTTATTGAGACTGAGTCTCACTCTGTCACCTGGGCTGGAGTGCAGTGGTGTGATCTTAGCTCAGTGCAGCCTTGAACTTCCAGGCTCAAGCAATCCTCCCACCTCAGCCTCCTGAGTAGCTGGGACTAAGGTGTGTGCCACTACACCTGGCTAATTTGTGTATTTTTTGTGGAGATGGGGTTTCGCCATATTGCCCAGGCTGGTCTCGAACTCCTCGACTCAAGCAATCCACCCACCTTGGCCTCCTGAAGTTCTGGGATTACAGGTGTGAGTCACCGTGTCTGGCTGTAATGCCCTTTCAATTGGACTTGTGGTCATTCTTAAAAATTCCTTGGTGAGGTGGCTCCTTTCCTTCCCTGTCCCCTGCCTGGGATAGGACTATCTGGGAATGAGCCTTTCTGGCAAAGAGGGACACCTTGACTGAGCTTTTGATCATCAATGCTTTCAAGAAGAAAGATTTTTAAAATTTTTTTTTTTTTTTTTTTTTTTATTGATCATTCTTGGGTGTTTCTCGCAGAGGGGGATTTGGCAGGGTCACAGGACAATAGTGGAGGGAAGGTCAGCAGATAAGTGAACAAAGGTCTCTGGTTTTCCTAGGCAGAGGACCCTGCGGCCTTCCGCAGTGTTTGTGTCCCTGGGTACTTGAGATTAGGGAGTGGTGATGACTCTTAACGAGCATGCTGCCTTCAAGCATCTGTTTAACAAAGCACATCTTGCACCACCCTTAATCCATTCAACCCTGAGTGGACACAGCACATGTTTCAGAGAGCACAGGGTTGGGGGTAAGGTCACAGATCAACAGGATCCCAAGGCAGAAGAATTTTTCTTAGTACAGAACAAAATGAAAAGTCTCCCATGTCTACCTCTTTCTACACAGACATGGCAACCATCCGATTTCTCAATCTTTTCCCCACCTTACCCCCCTTTCTATTCCACAAAACGGCCATTGTCATCATGGCCCGTTCTCAATGAGCTGTTGAGTACACCTCCCAGACGGGGTGGTGGCCGGGCAGAGGGGCTCCTCAATTCCCAGTAGGGGCGGCCGGGCAGAGGCGCCCCTCACCTCCCGGACGGGGCGGCTGGCCGGGCGGGGGGCTGACACCCCCGCCTCCCTCCCGGACAGGGCGGCTGGCCGGGCGGGGGGCTGACCTCCCCACCTCCCTCCCGGATGGGGCGGCTGGCCGGGTGGGGGGCTGACCCTCCCACCTCCCTCCCGGATGGGGCGGCTGGCCGGGCAGAGGGGCTCCTCTCTTCCCAGTAGGGGCGGCCGGGCAGAGGCGCCCCTCACCTCCCGGATGGGGCGGCTGGCCGGGCGGGGTCTGACCCCCCCACCTCCCTCCTGGACGGGGCGGCTGGCCGGGCAGAGGGGCTCCTCACGTCCCAGTAGGGGCGGCCAGGCATAGGCGCCCCTCACCTCCCGGATGGGGCGGCTGGCCGGGCCCGGGGCTGACCCCCCCACATCCTTCCTGGACGGGGCGGCTGGCCGGGCAGAGGGGCTCCTCACTTCCCAGTAGGGGCGGCCGGGCAGAGGCGCCCCTCACCTCCCGGACGGGGCGGCTGGCCGGGTGGGGGGCTGACCCCCCCACCTCCCTCCCGGACGGGCAGCTGGCCGGGCAGAGGGATGACCCCCCAAACTCCCTCCCGGATGGGGCGGCTGGCCGGGAGGGGGGCTAACCCCCCCACCTCCCTTCCGGACGGGGCGGCTGGCCGGGCGGGGGGCTGACCCCCACCTCCCTCCCAGACGGGGTGGCTGCCAGGCAGAGACGCTCCTCACTTCCCAGACGGAGTGGCTGCCGGGCGGAGGGGCTCCTCACTTCTCAGAGGGTGTGGCTGCTGGGCGGAGGGGCTCCTCACTTCTCAGACGGGGCGGTTGCCAGGCAGAGGGTCTCCTCACTTCTCAGACGGGGCGGCCGGGCAGAGACGCTCCTCACATCCCAGACGGGGCGGCAGGGCAGAGGCGCTCCCCACATCGCAGAAGATGGGCGGCCTGGCAGAGACGCTCCTCACTTCCTAGATGGGATGGCGGCCGGGCAGAGACACTCCTCACTTTCCAGACTGGGCAGCCAGGCAGAGAGGCTCCTCACATCCCAGACGATGGGCGGCCAGGCAGAGACGCTCCTCACTTCCCAGACGGGGTGGCGGCCGGGCAGAGGCTGCAATCTCGGCACTTTGCGGGGCCAAGGCAGGCAGCTGGGAAGTGGAGGTTGTAGCGAGCCGAGATCACGCCACTGCACTCCAGCCTGGGCACCATTGAGCACTGAGTGAACGCGACTCCGTCTGCCATCCCGGCACCTCGGGAGGCCGAGGCTGGCGGATCACTCGTGGTTAGGAGCTGGAGACCAGCCCGGCCAACACAGCGAAACCCCGTCTCCACCAAAAAAATACGAAAACCAGTCAGGCGTGGCGGCGCGCGCCTGCAATCGCAGGCACTCAGCAGGCTGAGGCAGGAGAATCAGGCAGGGAGGTTGCAGTGAGCCGAGATGGCAGCAGTACAGTCCAGCTTTGGCTCGGCATCAGGGGGAGACCGTGGAAAGAGAGGGAGAGGGAGACCGTGGGGAGAGGGAGAGGAGGGAGAGGGAGACGAGGGAGAGGGAGAGGAGGACTTAAAAAAATTTTTATCTGAGGAATGTGAGCCCTTTCAAATGATCAGGCCCAGAGAGATGTTAAATCGAGAGAGAAACCCCTTTCCATTCCTTCCTTTTGAGCTATGTATTCATCTGTTGAAACTGCTTGATATCGCCTCAAGTCGCTGTAAATTATCCTAATAATGCCACACCAAACACTATACCCCATAGCCTATAACTTAACAACATAAAGCCAATCACCAATCAATGTTATTTCTGTAAACCAATGAGAATTCCTGACAGGCACCTTTCTATCAGCCTACTGTCTGTCCCTGCTTTTGACCTTAAAAACCTGCTTGTGACAAAAGCCAAAGGGAGCTCAGATCCAAGGTTCCTTGGGTGTGAGTCTTCCAGGCAGCTGTCTTCATGTTGGCTCAAGTAAACTCTATATTATGTTTTGTGCTTCAGCCTCTTTCTTTTAGGTCAACATGTTCAACAACAGTCAAATGAATAAATAAGTTAATGTATATTCATACAAAGTAAGACACACAGAAACAAATAACCATATGAATAAGGTGAAAAATTCATAGACATAAGACTGAGTGAAAGAAGTCAAACCTATGCCTCTGCTTCTGAAACTGCCTTTGAAAAATTAGAACTGGGACAATTATCACGGTGAAAGAGATCTGATCTGATTCCATCTTGTTTCTAACATCCAAGCTGTCCTTGTTCATTCCTGGGCTCAGACCAAAATAACTTTGGGAGGAACTTAGTTTATGGTTTAGCTGTGAAACAAAGATGATAATATCCCCTTTCCTGCCTGGGGACTAGACTGCATTTGCAGGACTAACAAATTAGCCACGAGATTAGAAATTATGGTTTAGGAGTCATGTAGCCTCTGGCTGCAAGATTCTAAACCTCCCCAAATTGTTCCTGGAGATCACATCATTATTGGAAAACCTAAGATCAGTGCTTGAGGTATTTTGCCGACCCTGCACTCAGTGGATCAGCTGGCACCAGCTAGACTGATAACCTGGCTCATCTGGTCTTGTGTCCCCCACACATGAACTGACCCAGGACAAGACGACAGCTTCAGCTCCCTGTGATTTCATCTCTGACCTGACCAATCAGAACTCCCAACTCACTGGCCCCCATCCACCAAATTATCCTTAAAAACTGGTCCCGGAATGCTTGAGGAGGCTGATTTGAGTAAAAATAAAAGTCTGGTCTCCCACACAGCCAGCTCTGTTTAAATAACTCTTTATTGCAATTCCCCTGTGTCAAAAAATTGGCTCTGTCTAGGCAGCAGGCAAGGTGAACCTGTTGGGCAGTAACACTCCCCCCAAAACTCACTACACAGTGTATGACTCAGTTTATATGAAAGTAAAGGGCGGGAAAAACTTGCCTGATAGATTTGCAGAGACGGGGGTGGAAACCATTAATAAGTCTGCGGAGTATTGTCAGAGTTTGGTGTTGTTGCCTACATATTAAAAGTAATCAGTTAAATACCTGAAATAAAATTTCCCCAAAATATTTTTGCCACATTTGGATGACTTTGTTTCTGTCTTTGCAGCATATAAAGTGTTAACATGAGGTAAGCGCTAAGGTCTAGAGAAGGCAGTGAAGAGATGGCAAAACGACTCCAGCACCATGCCTGAGTGTCCAGTGTGCTCTGCTGGGGCAGCACATTTTTGTACATTGCTGTATTTGAAAAAAACCCTACAAGATTGATGAAACTGGACAGCCGTCTTTATAATATTCCTAGTGATAAAACAAGTAAGGATGGCTGGTTTGCAGTCATCTGAGCAGCCTCTCTAGTTTCATAGATACTGTTTCTCTCTGATATTGAACGACTTCCACTGTCAAGCGGAATGGTACATCACAAGGATAACCGTATGTGAAAAGAACCGGTTTTCTTTGTAATCCTAAACTTTCTAGTTTGCGCATTAAAAGCCATTACTCAAAGAAGAGCGCCCAGGCTCCAGCTGGCCGCCAAAGGGGTCCTTGGCATCACAGGCTAAGAACCTACTTCTTTGGGAGAGACCAGGGGTGGGGAAGGGAGGGAAAGGAGATAGAGGTAGACTTCACTTCCTCCGCCGGCTCCCGCAGCGGGTTGGTCGGCTGAGTGGCGGAGGGTCGGGCGGAAGAGCAGATGGGGACCGGGAAAGGCGCTGTCGGTGACATCACGGATAGGGCGATTCCTACGTAGATGAGGCAGCTTAGGGGCTGCTGCTTCCCACGAAGGATTTCTCCTGCTTTGGGAGCAAGTCCAGGACCGCTGGTTGGACGTGAGAGTCCCAGCTGTGTGTCAGGGCTAGGAGGGCTCCGGGTGGCATGGGGCGGGGTGGGGGTGGGGGTGCGGGTGCGCGGGGCAAGTGACCGTGTCTGTAAAGGTTGAGGCGTATGGAGCTGTCGCAGGGCGGAGATGTGTGAACTCACACTTACCTGGCAGGGGAGATAGTATGATCATGAAAGTGGTTTTTCCAGAGCGAGGCTTATCCATTGCACTCCGGATGTGTTGACCTCTGCGATTTCCCCAACTGTGGGAAACTCGACTGCGTAATTTGTGGTAGTGGGGGACTGCGTTCGCGCTTTCCCCTGAATTTTCCAGTGCAAAAAGCAGTTGGTATGCAAAGGTCTACTTCTCGCTTTTTTTTGCTGTATAATCTTGGTGGTGGTGTGTTATTCTTATAGCCGGATGGCAGGGAAACAGGAAGTAACATGTCGCCGTCGTTCCTGCCGGAAAAATAAGCGTCAGGCGTTGTGTTCCTGTTTAACACAAGCTAAGTAGCGCGAAGGCCGCACAGCTCCTTCCTTTCAACATGAGGCTGCTTTTTGCAGAGATTGGTCCATAGTCTCCATTCTCTTGGGGTCTCACGCTCTGTAAAAATCTTCTTGTTTTTCCCTAGCCCCCAATCACCTTTTACACAGCCTCTGCTTCTAAGCGCAGCCCCCTCAGGAGTTTGTAGGATTTCTGTGCTAGCGGGGAATGTGTTCTCACTTGGTAGAGCCAGGTACAAACTACGCAGACGGGCGCTGTTCTTTGGGAAGAAATCAGGGCCTTTGGGGCTCTTAGTGTTCCCGTTGGGTTGTAGACATAACACGCTTACTTTGCGGAGGGGAAGGGGTCTACCGGCGCCCAGGTGCCCTAACGCAATTCATCCCGAGACACGCAGGTCAGAACCGCAGTCTCACCTGTCTTGGCGAAAATGCGCTGCGATCCTCCCTGAAATATAAAGCGGGAAATTTTATGAGGAGCCGGATCCACTATCTCCTGCCGTTTACATATCTAGTCTTTCTTCAGATTTCATTTAAGTGACAGCTTCTTGTTTGATGTCTCGCTTCCACATCCCACATCCATTGCCAGGCAACTTTCTAAATAGCACCCCGACCCATGCTTCCCACCCCCAAGCCGCCTCTTTCTATCTCTGGCGCCAGTGTCCTCCCCCGTCCCTCTTCAGGCCCTCGCTTATCACCTTCATGGACAGGAAGTACTTAGCTCTCTCTCAACCTGCGTTTTGCACCAGACACGCATCAGTACCCTGGCAAATTCGGACGTTTCCTTAATACCCCTTCTCAAATGGCATTGTAAATTCATCTCTTTTTAACTCCCAGAAGTATCTAATTGGTTTTGTCCCTGCACTACATGAGCACAAGAATTCCACTACAGAAGAAAACCCCAGGCCTAGTGATGGAGGTTCTGGGCATTTCGCCAGCCTCTCCCAGGGTGTGTTTTCTGACCCCACCCACTTCTGATCTCTAATGTCCTGGTCAATAGAAACTACCTGGCCCAAACGAAAAAGGCAAAGAGGACCACGGAAGGAAGGCCTATGGCGTCCCCTGGTGGCTACCCTGGGGACGGCACTCATAGATCCGCACGTCCCGAGAAGCCTCTGCCATCCCAACCCGGGCGCGGTGCAGAAACCCGCGGCTCCAAAGAAAACCGGCTAGAACGCACAGGACGCCCAGCGAGTGTTCAGGACACTGCGAGTGGAAGCCGTACTTCTTACGGACTGATCTAGTTTGATGAAGACGAGCCATTTACTTCTAACCCCAACAGCGGACATTGCCTTGCTCAAATATAAAATATATGAAGCAAGACCGAAAACAACTTTCATTGCGTTACCGATGAGCAAAAGGGTTTTTAGAATGTTTAAGAAATGTCCCTTGTTTCGGGACCGTCATCACTAACGTATGCTTGGGATTCCTCATCGAGGAGTTTCTGAGCAAAAGGACCCACCAATCCGGTGGCTGAGAACGGCTTGGATATTGGCTTCCAGGCGCATCAGAAATACCGAGGTTCTGACAAAGACATGAGCTTCTGTCTGCCTTTGGGAAGGCCTTCTTCCAGTCCTGGCGCTGCCCCTTGCCTTCTGTTTGACCTTGGGCCAGGTCCTTCAATTTGCTAGGCTTCAAGTTGGAAAGTGTTACAGGAAAATAATAATATGAAGTACTTCTTGGAGTTATTGCACAGATTACAGAAGATAGTCTAATAGTACAGCTAGCATCGTGTGTGGCTTACATTAAGGATTTGCTGATAGGAAATAATATCCCAGATAAAGTTTCTTCCCCTTAATTATGAAATATAAGAAAGGAAATTGTGTAGACTGCTGCTTCAGGCCTCAACTTTTTTCAAAAAACATTTGAATGAATTTTGCACTTGTGAAGGTGACATCCTTTTACAAAATAAGTTAATACTAAAGAATGACAAATGGAATTTACAAAACATATATTCACAAAAAGAACTTGTTCTTAGCAGCTTTGTTTACAATAGTCCCGAAACTGGAAACCGTTCATATGCATCAAGAGGTGAATGGACCTATTGTGATATATTCTTCCAGGGGAAGATGGGACAAATTATGGAAACATGAGATAGCATTGGTGAATCTCAAAAACCTCATGCTGAGTGATGAAAAGAGTGCATCCTCTGTGGCGCCATCAAGCTGAATTTCTAGAACAGGTGAAACTAACCTGTATAGTGACAGAAACTACATCATTGATTGCTGGGTTCAGGGAGTCGAGGGGACTGACTACAAAGGGTACAAAAGGACATTTTGGAGTAATAGACATGTCATCAAACTTGAAATGGATGCATTGTACCATATTCAACCAATGCCTTAATCAATTTGATTGTAAAAAGTAATAAGAAAACCACTACAGGCTGCAGGCTGGGTGCGGTGGCTCACGCCTGTAATCCTAGCACTCTGGGAGGCTGAGGCAGGCGGATCACCTGAGGTAAGGAGTTTGAAACCAGCGGGCCAACATGGTGAAACCTCATCTCTACTAAAAATACAAAAAAAAAAATTAGCTGGGCGTGGTGGCGGGCGCCTGTAATCCCAGCTACTTGGGAGGCTAAGGCAGGAGAATCTCTTGAACCTGGGAGGTGGAAGTTGCAGTAAGCTGAGCTGGCGCCACCACACTCCAGTCTGGGTGACAGAGTGAGTGATGCCATGCTAAAAAAAAAAAAAAAGAAAAGAAAAGAAAAAGAAGGCCGGGTGCAGTGGCCTACGCCTGTAATCCCGGCTCTTTGGGAGGCCGAGGCAGACGGATTGCGAGGGCAAGAGATCGAGACCATCCTAGCCAACATAGTGAAACCCCATCTCTACTAAAAATACAAAAATTAGCTGGATGTGGTGGTGCACACCTGTAGTCCCAGCTACTTGGGAGGCTGAGGCAGGAGAATTGCTTGAACCTGGGAGGCAGAGGTTGCAGTGAGCCGAGATCGTGCCACTGCACTCCAGCCTGGGCGACAGAGAAGACTCGGTCTCAAAAAACAAAACAAAACAAAACAAAACAAAACAAAAAACAAAAAAAAGGAAAACCACTGCAAATCATAATGCCTTCTACTTAATTTAATGTACGTTTAGCTTTAGAAGATTCCTTTAGAAAATGTCTCTCTAAATGTGATTGAGAGTTCAGGAATTCCTTCATTTGTGTTTCTGTCTCTGTCTTCAGTTAAATTCATGCACTATTAAATGGAATATTTGTAAAATAAAAATACAGTCTAAGCTCAATTTTACAAAAGCATATATGTATGTGGATATATATATATAAAATATATAACTCATATATATATATATATATATATATATATATATATATAGCTTTCTTTATTGTTCTATTTTTTCTTTTATGGGTGCATGGGGCGGGGGCCAGTCTACCTAAAATATACACTGTCTCTGTAGATATACCAGAAGAACATGACTCAATGAGTGTTGCCCTAATGTTAACAAAAATTATTTTGAACTTAACGTGATCAGAAATTTTATGTATCTGTACTTTTTCTGTATTGGTGGTATGGTCTATGCTAAGCATGTATAATTTTTTTTTAAATGAGAGTAACTTTAAAATTGTTTGGAAGAAAAATATGTACATATGTGAACAGTACTTTGCTAATATGGATAACTGGTTATCTTCTTCTTTCCGTATCTTTCATATTTTTAAATGGAAAAACTCAATGACTTGGAAGTGAAAGGACAGATTAGATATGGAAGGGGTGTGGGGCAGGTGAGAGGAAAATGTAAAGGGAAGGACAAACCCAGTTCTGGCAGGACCATGTTTAAGTTGAAGGTTTCTGGGGAGCAGTTATTGGGATAAGAAGGAAATGCGGGAGGCAGGAGAATCATGAAAATATTTAGGACAGTGTATTGCCTATCTTATCATTCCTCCTCCTTTTGTGTTTCTTCAAAAGAAATATACAGACTTACATTTCTTTTCAAGCATGCTTACCATTTGTGTTTTTCTTTTATTAGTGTAATTGCCTGCTAGGTTTATCTTGCTGGTTGCCCAGAAAAGCCAATGGAGCTGAGCACAGCAGGCTTTCTACAATAGAGAAAAAATTTAATAAATGCAAAGGCAGCTGAGGGACCAGGACAGGGGTTTATTATTACTCAAATCTGCCTCCCCCCAAATTCGGAGACTAGGGTTTTTTTTTTTTTTTTTTTGGATAGTTTGGCAGGCAGGGGGCTAGGAAATGGGCAAAGCTGATTGGTTGCGTTGGGGATGAAATCACAGTGTCAGAGCTTGTTTATGGCACTGAGTCAGTCCCTGGGTGAGGGCCACAGGACAAGATGAGACAGTTTACCGGTCTGGGTGTGCCAGCTAGTCCATCATAAGGCAGGGTCTGAAAAATACCTTGAACACCCTGTCAAATCTTAGGTTTGACACTAATACTGTTATATAAGGCACAGTTGGGGAGCTTAGGAATCATGTGGCTTCTGGCTGCATGGCTCCTGAGCCATAATTTCCAATCTCGTACCTGATCTGTTAGCTTTGCTAAGGAGGTCTGATCCCCAAGAAAGGAAGGGGTTTGTCTCAGGAATGGGCAATCATCTCTGTTTCAGACTTAGACTTGGAACTAAACTCCTCTCATAGTTAGCCTGGCCTATGCCCAGGAATGGACAAGGGCAGCTCAGAGGTTAGAAGCAAGATGCAGTCAGTTAGGTCAGATTTCTTTCACAGTCATAGTTTTCCTATGTCAGGTTTTTCTCACTGTCATAATTTTTGCAAGGCTGGTTTTGTTAGGAGCAGTATAAACACAGTGGTTCTGAGAATGTCTTCTGGAGACAGGCTGCCTTCACTTCAAATTCCCACTTTCAAATCCTCCTTTGCTGGCTGAGTGACCCTGGGCAGGTCACTTAACATCTTTGTGCATCTCAGTTTTCTCATATGGAAGATGAAGGTGATGGCGTGACCTCTGCCTGAGGTAAGGACTAAATGAGTAAACATACGCACACTCATCAACTGTGTGTGACATGTAGCACTTTGGGTTGCAGGCACAGTTGATGATGTGCATGTGTTACTCATGTGCATGTTAGCTCTTGTATTTTGCCTGTAACACTGCACAAAGAGCAGATGTGATGAAAACCGGTTGTATTGAAGTTATAGCAGTGATACTTTCCAGTGACCATGCACCCTCCCAGGGAGACTGCAGCAATCCTCTCACCAGCAGCAACCTCCTGGGCTGGGAGATCCCAGGAAGGCCCCTCAATCTCCAACAAGTTTGACCCTCAAGGAGCTTCGGGGAATGAGCTAGAGAAGTATTTCTATCTGGGGGGAACTGGGAGTTTATTAGCTCATCTGTTCAACTCATCCAAAGGGGAATAATGATTCAATTTTTTGCTTCACATCTGCCCCAATAAAATTTTTATAGCTTTACAGTGGAAGACATTTGTACATGTCGGGGAGGAAATATGACTTTTCCTCACCCAGCCTAGGTTCACTGCTGAGACCCTCACAGCAAAACACAGACTAATAAGAGAAGAACATATGTATTTGTTTAATGTAAGTTTTATGTGACAGGAGCGCCTTCCAAAGAAAATGAAGGCCCATGGAAACAGCTAAACCTCAGTTTTTTGTTTATTTGTTTTTTAACAGTAGTTTTATTGAAGAATGGATAGTCATGGAGAAGTATGATAAGACAATAAAAGTATGATCTAACAGTAACAAACTGGGGAAAATGTGGCCAGGCCTCTGTGTTCAGGCTCTTCTCTGTGTCCCTGTGTCTTCACACTCCAGGATGCACCTTTCCTCTGGGTACAGAGAGGGCACCTCTCACATAAGAGTCTTACAATCGACTTCAGGGAAGAAGGGCAGGGGGAGGGTGACAGTGACCTTCCTGCTTCTGTGGTTTACTCATATTCCTTTAGCATAAAATATTCAATACCCCAAGATGTTATACTTTGGAGTAGCATGTCCTGAATCCCATCATGCACATGCAACAAAACCCAGAATCTTTGAAGAGTGATGACTACAAAATATTTAAATTCAAAATACAAATGATGGCCAAGTGGGGTGGCTCATGCCTGTAATCCCAGCAGAGAGGTTCAGGGAGGCCCAGGCAGGCGGATCACCTGAGTTCTTAAGTTCGAGAGCTGCCTGGCCAAAATGGCGTAACCCTGTCTCTACTAAAAATACAAAAATTAGCACACCTGTTATTCCAGCTACTTTCAGGGGGTGGGGAACGGGCGGGCTGAGGATCAACTGAAACAATATCATATTTACAAATGATTTTTTTTTTTCCTGTAAGGCTAGTCAAGTGAAGCAGTGGAAGTGGAGAAGGAACAAAGAAACCTGTAACTGGTTGTGATCAATTATTTGTGAACAGGAATGAATTTTTTATGCACTATACACTGTTTTCATAGTTACATATGCTGCAAAGCTGGTGGTGAACCGCAGTGCCGTGGTCCCTTCCTACACTTATCTGTAGGGATAACAATTTTTAATGCATGCAGCCAACCTCTACATAAATATTGTTACTCTTTGACTGTCCAATTGTCCATCCCAGGCCCTGCAGTGTAGCCTGCAAGGGGAAACGGAGTTTATTTTTCCTTACCTGCCAGTCCACTCCAAGGAGCCAAGAAGGCGTCTTCTCACCGCCCCCCTCCCCCAGCTCGTCCTCCAAACTGAGCCCCTCAAAGACTGCGGTGTTTTTCAGTCCTTCGTAACCGCTCTCAGCCCCAAAATATGAAAATCAGAGCGATGGTCCTGAGCGCCTGGAGTGACATCTTAGTTCACTCCCAAGACCCATCAGGAACCTCATCCCAAGTGCTCTGAAGCGCAGGAGAAAACATTTTTAACTCTGGTAGCGTTCTAAGGCGTCTTCTCCTTGGGGCAGGGTCCTGACGGGACGAGGGGGAGCCCCACCGTCAGAGACTGGCCCCTCAGAGCTGCTCAGGCTCCTCTTCCCCGTGGTCCTGCGGGAGTTCAGCCGGGGCGGCCGAGGAACAGAACCCGCGCTCCCAGCCCGCGCGGATCTCTCTTTCCGGCTGAGATCTTGGGAGGAAAGAATGAAATTTCCCGGAGTCAGGTTCCAAAGCTTAGTGAAACAGCGACTTTTAGGGCCCGCAATAGAGACGTAGGAGCTAGAAATTCGGCATAAAAATCTGAATATGAAGAACAGAATAAATTAACATTCGGAATTGGATGGGCCATGCGAATAAAAAAGTGCTACTCCCAAGTTAGGTCTCCAACCACCGATCCTAAACTGAGACACAATCTCCAGTGACTGAGCTAACCCCATCAAAATTTCTCACGCCACCGTTTACTTACCAAAATGACAAAGGATGCGATTAAGAGATTTCCCGGGTGAAAGGAATCTCGGGGTCTAGGATCGAGAGGTGGCAGCCTTTTTAGTGGAGACCTCTCCCCGAGGCCTAGGGTCGCCCTGAGAGGGGGTGAGGACTTGCTGGGTCGCTGGGTCCCTGGCGGGGCGAGTCCGGGCCTCCGATTGCTGGGTGCCAGGAGGCTGGCCCTGAAAGGGGATCCTCCAGGCTCTTTGACCCCGAATGGATGATTCGGCGATTTCCCTGTGGTCCGGGCCACTGTGAGAACCCGGTTTCTGGGACCCCGAACACCGAAGAGGGGATGAGGAGAGCGGCGTGCATCCCGAGGCTCAGACAGCGGGAGCAGAAGGGACACGGAGGCCCGCAGCGCAGAGCTTCTGAACGTCAGCAGAATCCCCATTCCATTTAGGGAGTAAAACACGGCATTGCCTTCCTAATTAAACAGAAAGGTTCCACCGAGACTCGAACTCGGATCGCTGGATTCAGAGTCCAGAGTGCTTACCATTACACCATGGAACCTCACAATGCGAATTTGCCAGAAGCGTCTGAATTCCTAATAAGTAGCAATAGTTCCCACCCACCCATGTCAAGGCATTTCTATTATCCCACAAGCAACACTCCAGGAAGGTGGACCTGCAGGAAGGAGCCATCCTTCTTGCTTTCTCTCTGCCCTCTCCTTTGATCGACTTCTATCATTTCATTTGCACCTCGGAAAATGAGGCAAAAATCCACTGCGAGTTTAGGGCCAGAGAAGAGCCCCTGAAGCCTCTGTCATAGAGTTTCCTGTGCCTAGGTGAAATTTCTTTCTTCCTTTCTTCGTTTCTTCCTCTTTTCTTTTCTTTTCTCTCTCTCTCTCCCTTTCTTTCTTTCCTTCCTTCCTTCTTTCTTTCTTTCTTTCTTTCTTTCTTTCTTTCTTTCTTTCTTTCTTTCTTTTCTTCCTTCCTTCCCTTCCTTCCTTCCTTTCTTTCTTTCTTTCTTTCTTTCTTTCTTTCTTTCTTTCTTTCTTTCTTTCTTTCCATTGAGACAGAGTTTCCTTCTGTTGCTCAGGCTGGAGTGCAGTGCAGTGGCAGTGGGTGATCTCTCCTCACTGCCACCTCCATCTGCTGGGTTCAAGTGATTGTAATCCCCAGTAGCTGGGATTACAAGCGTGGGCCACCATGCCTGGTTAAATTTTGTATATTTAGTAGAGATGAGGTTTTGCCATGTTGGCCAGGCTGGTATTGAACTCTTGACCTCAAGTGATTTGCCCACCTTGGCCTCCCAAAGTGCTGGGATTACAGGTGTGAGCCACTGCGCCCAGACCGGAGATGAAATTTCTGCAAAATTTCTGTTATTTTCTTGATGCTTTCCTTCTTTTCTGTTTGCCCAAGGAGGCCAGATGATTGTCAAAACAGGACATGGGACATCCTGGGTGCCTTGCCCCCTTCTTCCCTGTAGTATATAACAGAAGACAGCAATCAAATGAGATTGGGAGGCAGGGAATCATTCATTGTCTTGTTCATATACTTCTATGTTTGTTTGTTTGGTTGGTTTTAACAAAATTTGCTCACCAGAAATGGAAATTTTTTGGATTTAAAATAAATGCAATCAGCCATATTATATATTTCTATAAAACACTCAAACCAGGCCATACTCACCTGCTATGACTCAAAATCAACCATATACTGTCAAGGTCAGGAGGCGGGGCCCTGACATTTAAGCACAGTGTATTTTCTCAGAATTGGCCAAGTTGATGTCATTCCAATTTCTCAATATCTCATGACCCATTAATTGCAGGCTTTAAAAGTGTACATGTATTGTTACTGAAAGCCCAGGTGTTTGGTCTAGGCCCGCGGCTCAGCTCACAGAAAGCCAATCATTGAGACATTGAGTATTGCCAAGGAAGAAGGCTTTAACTGTGTGCTGCAGCTGAGGAGACGGGAGATCAGTCTCAAATCAATCTCCCTGATCAACTAAAGTGAGGAGTTTATGTAGCAGGGAAGAAACGTAACTGTGAGTAGGAAAAGAGGAACTGGAGGGGTGAGGAAGCACTTATGATGAGTGAGGGGTCTGGCATCTCATTGTCTGGATGCTGTGATCTGCTGAGTTTCAGGTCTATGATGCTTTTTGAGAGGCTGAGGGTCCTTTCCTGAGGAATGAACTCAGATAAAACAAATGTAAGTTTCAAGCTTTAAGACTAGAAGGGTCCATTTCTACATCTATCCAAAAACACTGTCTGTGGGACTATTGCATCGATTTCAGTCCCCACTTTCTATTTGTCAGTTCCTCAATCATGGGGAATCTGGTCATCCATCTTTCTGGCTGTGTCATGTGGAGAAGGGGCATCCTGGGCAGCTCCACACCATGGGTGACCGCATGGCCACCCAGGAATCAAACATTCATCTAATACCATGGTTTCTCCTGAAACACAACCTTCCTCTCTCCAGTTCCCCATTTCCACTAAGATAAAACACAGCAGGACCAACCTACCTGCAAAAGAAGCTTCAGTCCCATATACTTGGCCTGATTACCCACACAAAGTGCAGCAAGAATCATTGTTCACATAGGCTCTCCTAAATGGGCTTTGCTGGAACATTTCACAATGACATTTCAGGCAAAGCCCTGGGAAAATTACCAATTCCTCCACCTGTGTCAGGTTATAAAAGAAAACAGAATCTTATTGAACTTATGCAAATAAACACATTGTCATGAATTAAGAATATTCAGTTTACAAATTCTGGAGAAATTCAGCAGAGAGAGAAAAATATGCCTCAAATTCTGTTTAGAAGACTATTCTACTCAATTGTTTCAGGCTATAAATAGCTCAAAAGGAAAAAAGTTCTCCAGACTCTGAAGAATAAACCATGTTTCAAACAAACAAACAAACAAAGGCCATAAAAACTTATTTCAGTCCTCCATTAGTTTAATCCATGCAATCATCTCCTGCTTTGCTTCATACTGGGCTAGCAATCTCTATGAACACATCAGCCTTTCTGTTAGTGCCCTGGAAATTTTCTCTTTAGTTAATGGCACGATCTCCAGAGTTATCAGAAACCTGCATCCAAGAGTCCTTTTCATGGACTTCCCCAAAAAACCAAGGCCTGGACTGTGACTGATTATAAGTCACTTTTTGAGAAGAATCAAAGCAAAACAACAATTGTGGATGACAAAAGCCTTAAGACAGCCATAGTTAAAGATACAGTTGACAAGGGAATTTGGTTGGTTCTGTGGCACACAACAATTTAACGTAATAATCATAATTATTACCAACAGCATATCAGAACTCTAGGAATCTCATACAATCCTGGAACACACATTAACAACACATCTGTGTCAATAGAACCCAAAGGAAGTGAAACACCACCTCAGATTTGACAATGCTTCATGCATAATTCTACATAACAAATAAGCCTAAGAAGCCTAATATATCTCTCTTGGACTTCAAGAACCTAATATCCAAAAAGTTAATTTGAGGTCCAAAGGGCTGAATTTAGAAATTTTACTCTTAGAAAGTTTGCCAGATATCAAAGTTTTGAGACACTTGATATCACAAAATAGGGTCACAGGTCACCTTATAATAGTCAATCATTTAGCCAAAAGGTAAACAAAAATATTTTATCTATTATTAATATTACACAAACATTTTGATCAAAAGAGAAAACTAAATTTTACCTTTGTGTGGTGTATTAAAATGTTAAAGATAATTTTAATAAAACCTTATACACAAATTTAATTACAATTAGTTTGACCATAAGGTAAGAGTTTCAAAAACCTTTCATGACCTTTTATACTTTTCTATGAAAAATCAGATGAACGCTCTAGAAAACCCTGTTATTCTGATACACGGGGCCAGTTGCTGGCCTTGCATCAGTGTGCTCCTGAGTGTAATGTCTAATTTATAGAAAATCTCTGAATTTGAGAGGCCAGGGTGGGTGGATCACTTGAACTTAGGAGTTTGAGTCTAGCCTGGGCAATATGGTGAAACATTGTGTCTACCAAAAATGCAAAAAAAAAAAAAAAAAAAAGAAAGAAAGAAAGGAAAAAGGAAGGAAGGAAGGAAAGAAAAGAAAAGAGAAAGAAAAGAAAGTCTCTGAACTAAACTTATCCCTCAGACTCCGGCCTTACCATTGTCATGTGCCCATCTCTTCTGTCCAGAGGAAGAGGGGGCATGAGGTGGAAAAGGGGGCAGGTGGGATTGTTGGGTCTAGAGAGATTAAATTGTTTCAATTTCTTGTTCTGTTTCTCATGAAAGCAGTTCATTTGGATTGTCGTCTTCCTCAGGGTCTGAAGATGAGGCATTGAATGGTGTCAATATTCAAGATTTAGCAGGAGTAGGTGCCTTTTTCAGACCCAGGAGTCAAAGTCCTGTAAGCTAATAGCACAAGGATTTGTTAATAGGACATTTGTACTGCAGAAAGTTCTATTTCTCTCTAACATGTCACCAATAAAAACACTGTGATTTGGTGTCCAGTAGTTACTGCCTGCAGCACTTCAAACCATTGTATTAAAGTGGTTAGGATACTCCTTGCATGTAACTAGTTGCCAGCATTCTAATGACAGACTGCGATTGAAAGCATCAAAAATGTGACAGAACCTATGCCAAACTTTTCAAAGTAAGACAATTAAATTTTCTCTCCATCATTTAACAAAATGTTAAATGCAAATATCAGTTTTGGAAATTCAGTATGAGGATAAATAATCTGCTTTTATTTAAATACTATACAACAAAACAAGAACAAAGTGAGAATAAACACAGAGTCATTTCTTTTCAGCTATTTTATTTATTTATTTATTTTGAGACAGAATCTCCCTCTGTCACCTAGGTTGGGGTACAGTAGCAGGATCTCAGCTGACTGCAACCTCCACCTTCGAGTCCCATGTTCAAGGGATTTTCCTGCCTCAGCCTCCTGAGTAACTGGAATTACAGGTGTGCACCACCACCCCCAGCTGATTTTTGTGTTTTTAGTAAAGACAGGGTTTCATCATCTTGGCCAGGCTTCTGGCCTTGAACTCCTGGCCTTCAGTGATCTGCCCAACTCGGCCCCTCAAAGTGCTGGGATTGTAGGAATGAGCCAGAACACCCGGCCTTCTTTTCAGCTATTTTAAAAGAGCATAATCACATATTTCCAAGATTGGTTTCTAGATAGAGTACTGATTACTGATTAGGTTGCTTTCACCATTAAAATCTTCAAACCAGTGCGACAATTGTACATGTTTTGTTTTCAAGTACACACATGAAGGCCCAACAGTGATACATGGCTTGGGATCAAAAATCACTAGAAATTCTCACAACTTGTTTTTATTACCACCTCATCCAAGTGAATGTCACTGAATTTTAATAACGGTAAACACAACTAAAGGAGGTTGAGAGAAATCCAATCAATATAATATCCTGAAGGACGGGCCAATCTTTCCTAAACGTGGAAACTTTGTACCCACATCACAGTTTTTCCTCACTAAAGGAAAGGGTCTGCAACCAACTCAAATGATCGATTGAAACCAACTCATATTACTGATAGCACTGAATGTGTACCAAACCTCAGGCCATGGGTGCCTGAGTCCTAGTGTTCCTATGACATCCCCTGGGAGTGGTGGAACTCTACCTTTCAATGATGGGAAGTCTTGGGCAAGAGCAGGTCTCCTCCCCTTGTCCAGTATAGACAGCTTTTGTGTCTAACTCTGCCTCAGCAGCTGGCCTATACCTGGGGGCAAGGGTTGGACAGGTTTCTAGCTCCAACATCAGTGGTAGATGCCTTTTGTTTTATGTGAGAGAAGCAACCACGTTTTGTGCCTGTGCTCTGGTGGTGCTCTATCATGCATTCATGACTTATATGCCTACACCACTGTGGCAAGCTCGAGAAATTCTCTTTCCCTGCTACATGTGTCTTATCAGCACTAAGTACGTGGGAGGAAAGACCCAGTAAATGGGCAAAACAGGCTATGTGTCTGGGACTCTCAGAGATTCTAAGCTGTCACAATAGTTCACACTTGGCCTTTAAGAAATGATGAAGCCTGTAATCCCAGCACTTTGGGAGGCTGAGGCGGGTGGTTCACGAGGTCAGGAGATCGAGACCATCCTGGCTAACACGGTGAAACCGCGTCTCTACTAAAAATACAAAAAATTAGCCGGGCGGGGTGGCGGGTACCTGTAGTCCCAGCTACTAGGGAGGCTGAAGCAGGAGAATGGCGTGAACCCCGGGGGGTGCAGCCTGCAGTGAGCCAAGATCGCGCCACTGCACTCCAGCCTGGGCAACAGTGAGACTCCGTATCAAAAAAAAAAAAAAAAAAAACTAAAGAAATGATGAAAACTTCAGTGATTTTTCTCCAACCAACATTTATGGCTTCCATCTTTTCCTTCCATTATCTGTTAAAGATGAACTGCTTCATCTGTTTGTCCTTCTGTAGGGGGGTTTCTCATGCTTTGGACTTCAGCTGACTCAGGGGCCTTGCAACTTCAGCTCTCTGGTGGGATCAAAACACATATGATTTTGCAGACCATACAGCTTTTTCTTGTCATTAGAGTGGGAACAACTGTCTCTTGCAGCTTTCTACATCTTAAACAACTGTTGAATCACATGTCTGTTTTATAAAATCCTTATCTTGTCCTCTATTTCTGGACTAATTTCCCTTCAGGATACTACACAAATTCTTTTAGCCGATCACTTCTTTTGAGGCTGTGAGAGAGACATAGTGAACACCTTGACGATCTCTGCAAATGAGCCTATTCATTAGGTGCTCATGGGAAACCTGGGCCCAGACCAGCACTGAAACACACAACTGTCACCCACAGCTCTAGTTGAATTTTTGTCATGAAGCTCTTTCTCCTCAATAAGCATACTAGTCTTAGAACAAGTTTGAGATTGGGAATATCTTAAAATAGGCTTCCTAAGTGGCTACTAAGATTTGCTGGGACTCCAGTTTCTGGTCAAATGTGAGCTAGAGAGTAAAGGCAACATTCTTCACCCAGAAGAAGACAACAGTAAATGGATACACCACATTTTTCATCAACCTGAGAACAATTATCTCAATGAATATTAAATTAGTGATGAAATACTTGTTTCCTCAAGCGCGTGATGCTGAAAATTGGAAAAGTTGCCTTGGTTGTTTAAATGATTGTGTGCTCAGATTGAATTTGAGTGTACACAAGGTGCAGCCTCCAGCAGAAAAGATTCTAAGAACTGGATGTGGGTAGAGGATGCAATTATGGAACTTGGTATCTTTCCCACCTTCTTTTCTTTCTTCCCATTTTGACTGGTCTTGTAATGCTAGGCCCAGGCATCAATATACATACAACTAAAAAAGCAATATCAGTGCAAAAGACATAATATCTATACAATGAAATTACATGGTGCCTATTGCTAAAGTTACTTTAACTTCACATCATGTAGCCCAGTAAGGTGACTGCCACCCACCTACCAAGGGTATTAGTCAGCTCAGGCTGCCATAGAAAGATACCATAGGTTGGGTGGCTTAACAACAGACTTTTATTTTCTCAATATTCTGGAGGCCAAAAGTCAAAGATCGATGTGCTCACAGAGTTGGTTTCTGGGGAGGCCTTTCTTCCTGGCTTGCAGAAGTCCACTTTCTTGCTTTGTGCTCCCATAGCCTTTCCTCTGTGCCTGTGTGGAGAAAGAGACAGATTCTTTGATGCCCTTCCTCTTCTTATATGGACACCATTCTGACCAGATTAGGACCCCAACTGTATGGCCTAATTAACCTTAATTACCTCCTTAAAGACTCTATCTCTAAATACAGTCAAGTTGGGGGTTAAGCTTTCAACATATGAATTCAGGGGAAAACAATTCATTTTATAAAACCGAGTAATAGGCACGATCCTATGATTCTTTTTTTTTTTTTTTTTTTTTGAAATGGAGTTTAGTTCTTGTTGCCCAGGCTGGAGTGCAGTGGCGCAATCTAGGCTCACTGCAACCTCCGCCTCGCAGATTCAAGCAATATTCCTGCCTCAGCCTCTCAAGTAGCTGGGATTACAGGCATGCGTCACCATGCCTGGCTAATTTTGTATTTTTAGTAGAGACGGGGTTTCTCCATGTTGGTCAGGCTGGTCTCAAACTCTGACCTCAAGTGATCCACCCACCTCAGCCTCCCAAAGACCTGGATTACAGGCATGAGCCACCATGCTCAGCGATCCTACGATTCTTTACCTATTAAATCCTGTGACATTTGCCTGGTGGTGGGGCCAGGAAGAAGTTGTTAGCAAGGCTGCTATTGCTAATTCTATGATTAGGAAAGCACACCTGAGCTGAAGTGCCTGGCTTATGGGAAAGAATGCAGGTCAAACAGGTATGAAATAAAAATAGGGGGAAATGGTAGCAAACAATAGCAGAGCTCTTACATGAGTCATGTATCCAGGAAGGATAAAAATTGTGCAATTTCATGGAAATCCTATTGTCTTTATCAGGAGAATGACTTTACAAGTTTTATAAACTGGGGGAAAAGGATGGTGTGGATTAAGGAGCACACCTGATGCTCAGCATAATGTGAATTCTTGACTAAACAGCTATAGGGTGTGAAGGAAAGATCAGCAGTCAAAGAAAACTCAAAGATTTTTGGACTGAGCATATGGAAGGATGCAGTTTCCATCCACAGAGGTGAGAAAATAGCCTGTGCGGCAGGTTGTAGGAGGAAAAATAGAGATCAGCTCAGGACCCCAAAACCCTGCTTGAAAGAGTTTTCCATTCGCCCTGTTCCCATTTCTACATCCCCTTGAGATTTTTGTGAGGCTGAATGCAGAGTTGTTTGGCCACTTCTCCCCCTGGGCACCAGTCCTTTCATCCTTCTGACAGCATCTTCCATGTCCCTGGCTCTGATGACAATCTCCCAACAAGATGTCATCCTGCAAAGGTGATCTGAGCCATAGCTGGGACAAGGCCATCCACTTCTTGACTCGTGTGCTTTGGTGGGCCCCAGGAGTACTTCACTGTTTCTCAGAGTAGTAGGTCTTTTGTATGGAACTCTTCTGAGGAAAACAGGGAGGAAACAGCCTAAGGGGTGGAAAGGGAGGGCTGTACCAGGGATTCTAGGAAAGCTGAGCCTAGGCTCTCAATGCAGCGAACATTTACCACCTGAGAAGTTCTACTCAGTTGCTATTGTTAGTTTAGAATCTCATCAATAAAAATGGCTTAGAAATTTGTTTTCTTCCTGGTTATATGTGCACCTACATAATATCCTTAATTTTGCCTCTTGGCTCAGAAGCCTACAATACTTCCTATCTCCCTGGCCCTTTACAGAAAATGTGAACTCTGCAGACAACAATGCCCCAGGCTTTACAGAAAAAGACACCCAGGAATCTCTTTTACTAATTTTCATTTGTTGGACATTTTTCCTGGTCACCAATAAGTTCCCTTTCTTGGCTTGTAATGATTAGTTTCTGGTTGGTTGTCATTTGCAATGACACAATATATACTGGGACCTCAAAGCAGAAAAACCGTAGAAGAAAACCTAGGAAATATCATTCTCAACATCAGCCGTGGCAAAGAATTTACGGCCAAGTCCACAAAAGCAATTGTAGCAAAGACAAAAATTCACAAGTAAGACCTAATTCAATGAAAGAGCTTCTGCACAGCAAAAGAAACCATCAACAGAGTCAACAGACCACCGACAGAATGGGAGAAAATATTCACAAACTGTGAATCTGACAAAGGTCTAATGTCCAAAATCTATAAGGAACTTTAAAAAAATCAACAAGAAAAAAAATCCCATTAAAAAGTGGGCAAAGAGACATGAACAGACACTTCATAAAAGAAGACATCCAAGCAGCCAGCAAACACAGGAATAAATGCTCATCATCACTAATAATCAGAGAAATGCAAATCAAAGCTACAATGAGATACCATCTCACATCACTCAGAATGGCCATTATTAAAAAGTCAAAAACCAACAGATGCTAATAAGGCTCTGGAGAGAAAGTTTATAAATGCTTGGAGTGAATGTAAATTAGTTCAGTCACTGTGGAAAGCAGTTTGGAGATTTCTCAAAGAACCTACAACAGAGCTGTTATTCAACCAGTAATCTCGTTACTGGGTATATACTCAAAGAAATGTAAATCATTAAAAGAAAAAGACACATGCACTCCTATGATTATCACCAGGCTATTCACAATAGCGAAGACATGGAATCAAGCTAGATGCCCATCAGTGGTGGATTAAATAAAGAAAATGTGGTATATATACAACATGGAATACTATACACCCATAAAACAGAATGAAATCATGTCTTTTGCAATAACATGGAGAGAGGAGGAGGCCATACTCTGGAGGAAACTAATGCAGAATCAGAAAATGAAATACCGAATGTTCTCACTTAGGAGCGGAACCTAAATATTGAGTTCACACAGACATAAACCTGGGAACCGTAGACACTGTGGACTACCATGAGGTAGGGAGGGAGGGAGGGAGAGTGGGTTGAAAAACTAGCTATTGGGTACTATGTGAACTACCTGGGTCCAATATATCCATGTAACAATCCTATACATGTACACTTGGTACATAAAATAAAACTGAAATTTTTACCAGAACAAAATTATATTACACTAAAAGAATTACTGTACAAAAAGTAAAATAATAATGGATTTTAAAAGATTAAATATTACAAATAAAAATCTAAAATCAATAATCCAAACTTGCACTTTAGGAAACTCAAAGAAAACAAGAGCAAATCAAGTCCAAAGTGAGTAGAAGACAAGAAACAATAAACACTAAAGCAGAAATCAAGGAAATTGAAAACCAGAAATCATTAGAAAAATGTCAACAAAACCTAAAGAGTGTTCTTTGAAAGGACCAATAAAATTGATAAACCTTTAGCTGGTGAGCCAAGAAACAATGAGAAAAGGTACAAATTACTAATATGAAAAAGAAAACAATGACCCTCACTACAGATCTCGTGGACATTAAAAGGATAGTAGAGGACTATTATGCACAATTCTCTGCTCACAAATTTGATAACTTCAATGAATTGGACCAAGTCCTTGAAAGATAAAGTTGACCAAAACTCATACAAGGAGAAATAGACAACCTAGATAGGTCTCTATCTATTAATGCAATTGAAGCAACAATTAACAACCTTCCAGAACAAAGCACCAGGTCTAGATGGTTTCACTACCAAACATTTAAGGAAGAAACTATGCCAATTCTCTCTAGAAAACAGAAGCCGAGGGAACACGTCTTAACTCTGGTCTAGGAGGCAAGCTTTACCCTAGTAGCGAAACGAGACAAATGGTTTTGAACCAGGATGTTGAACTAGTCTGGACTGCTGACCAGCTCCTGAAACTCAACCCTGGAAGAACTGTAGAAACGAGAAGAAAACATGGCTTACGGGAACTGTAAAAATTGGTAAACCTCCTGTAGAGACCAAGGCAGTATTGAACCGGTTTGTGTGGAAGGTTGATGTTCACCAATAGCAGAGAGAGAACAAGAAGGAGGAAAGTATTTTCGGTTCTGCTCTTGCGTCTCTCTCCATGGCTCTGGGCCAGCTGCGCTTCTTACCCCTTCCCGAAAGAGACTTGTCAGCGGCTCTTAATCCGCCAGTGCAGCAGCTGTGATGTAACATAGAGGACCCAATATAAACTTCGCTGAGGCAAAGAGTAGATGAAAACAGGGTGAAACCGGATAATCGCAGGGCTTTCTTCTTCAGAGTGTCCTCCCCAGGCCTCCAGAGCTAATGATCGCCATGGCCTCCCCACCACGCTGCTTAAAGAGAAGCATTAAAAAGAATCCCGTGGACAGAAGATTTGCCTGGTGGAGTGTAAAACAAACAGGGCTGATAGAAATGAGTTTTGGGGATATGCTGCTCTCCACTCGGGGCCAATCCTTTAATTTGCCGAGACCACTAAAGACTGGGCTTTCCTCAACAGGAAGGTCCGAGGCCCCTCTCTGCAGCTCCCCTCATCTGCACGTGGGTTCCTTCTCACAAGCCTCCCCTCTCCCTGGGTCCCAGTTCCCCAACATTGCGTGTGTCCGCCCAACCCCACAGCTTCTCTCCTTTCAGGAATGTCATTGCTTGAGTCGCACTCCATCGCAAGATGTGTCCCAATGGTCTATCCAAGGTCCAGGCAGAGAATCAGTGACCAGGTGACTCTTTGTACTGCAGAGATCCAACAACAGAGACGATAAAAGTCGTGCCGGTTTTAGGGCCAAATATGTAGAAACGCGGAGACCAACCAGACCCACAGGCTGCTTCAAAGAGAGTCTCTGCTTAGGTAAATTCCGCTCCGGGGCGGAGTTCACACCTGTAATCCCAGCACTTTGGGAGGCCGAGGCTGATGGATCATGTGAGGTCAGTAGTTCAAGATCAGCCTAGCCAACATGGTGAAACCCCGTCTCTACTAAAAATACAAAAATTAGCAGGAAATGGTGGCATGTGCCTGTAATCCCAGCTACTTGGGAGGCTGAGGCATGAGAATCACTTGAGCCCGGAAGGTGGAGGTTGCAGTGAGCCAGGATAGTGCAAGTGCACTCCAATCTGGGCCACAGACCGAGACTCTGTCTCAAACAAACAAACAAACAAAAATAAATAAATAAAAGAAAAATAAATTCCGCTACGGAAAGAACCTGAGGAGTACACAGTGGTTCCCCCGACCCCCCGCTCCTTTTTTTTTCTTCATTAGCGTGGCACAGTAAGTAAATGTGAAAACCACAGGGCACAAAGACAGGACGCTGCATTTGCCGGAAATGGAATCCAGGTCTCCCGTGTGGGAGGCGAGAATTCTGCCACTGTACCGCCAATGCCTCCTGACCCCCGAGCTCTGCAGCCTTGGAAACAGTTAAGACACAGACTTGGGGAAAGGAGTCAAGATTTTCACCATGTTCTCTTTGGAAGATGTGACTAACAAAAAAGACACCCAGAGCAAAGGCTCACAGTGGAGATTTGCATCAGGCAACACCACAAAATTATGGCTTCACATTAAAAGGGTTGACTTGAAAAAGCCTTATTCTGAGTAGGCTGTGTGCAACTGGATAAAAAACCTCTGTAGGAAAACATCAGAAATTCACCCAGCTTTTTGTCTCTGGTCTTGTATCCAGTGTCAGCCTGTGGAAAGTTCTTGCCTCGCTTGTTGATGTCTTCTCTTTGCCTCCCCATTGCCTGGTACCTCCCAAACCCTTTCCTCCCAACCTTGACGCAAACATCAGCACTTTCCTCAAAAAAGGCCGTCAGAACCCAGGAACTCGAGTGTGAGGTGAAGGGAAGAAATCTTGGCATGAAATGTCCATTTCTTCCCTCTTGTTTAGGTCTCTGTAAAGTATAAGAAGTTAAAAGCAAGATCTGATCGCTGGCGTTTTCCAGGAACTCGATAGAGGTGTAGGAGGAGGGAAGTTCAATTATCACCCTGGTCTCCTGGAGCATCCCAGGCACAGTCCCAAGAGTTCAGCTTGGGAGGCCAGTTCAGGGAAAAACAGTTTCATTTCATTCTAGGTAGATGCTAGGGTATTACTCCTAACATAAAGTGTTCTTTTGCTGTTTACTTTTGTCAGATATTCATGTTTTCACTCTCATTCTTTTGTTTGGTGGTACAAACAAAAGAGTCGTACAAATGAGCATGGTACAGATTTGCACTACTCTTTTTGTTGTTTGTTTTCTTGACTTTAAAAAATTTTTTATTTCCAACTTTTACTTTAAGTTCAGGGGTACATGTGCAGTATGTGCAGGTTTGTCTCATAGGTAAATGTGTGCCATGGTGGTTTGCTGCACTGACCTTCCCATCACCCAGGTACTAAGCCCAGCATCCATTAGCTACTCTTCCTGATGCTCTCCCTCCTCCCAACCCCCACCTTCCAACAGGCTCCAGTGTGTGTTGTCCTCACCCCCGAAACCTATGTATCCAAGCATTCTCATATTCGGCTCCAACTTATAAGTCAGAACACACGGTGTTTGGTTTTCTCTTTCTGGGCTAGCTTGCTAATGATAATGTGCACTGCTTTTGACCTGGTGCGGTGGTTCACATCTGTAATCTCAGCACTTTGGGAGGTCGAGGCGGGTGGGTCACCAGGTCAGGAGTTTGAGACCAGCCTGGCCGATATGAAATCTCTACTAAAATCTCTACTAAAAATACAAAAATTAGCTGGGCATGGTGGCGCGCGACCTATAGTCCCAGCTACTCAGGAGCCTGAGGCAGAAGAATCGCTTGAACACAGGAGGTAGAGGTTGCAGTGAGCCGAGATCGAGCCACTGCACTCCAGTCTGGCAAGAGTGAGACTCTATCTCAAAATACTACTACTACTACTAACAATAATAATGTGCACTGCTTTGAATATTTAACCCTTTTCCACCATTAAAGCATTAGAGCTGGCATTTCCTTTTCTATCCAATATGAGATACTTAAATCCATTATAATTAGCAGTAATTAGTGTTATATTGGAGACGATGCGCATAGTCTCATTCCCACCACCTCACTGTATGATTTCTGTGTTTTTGCTTTGTTTATAAAATCTCTTCCTGCCTTTCTTAACTAGACTGTTCTGTTTTGGTAAATTTTTTGATTTCCTGTAGTGTTTTTGAAATTCCATATCCCTGATAAGTCAATACATTCTGTTAGATCTCAGGTGCACAGGAAGAAGGTAATCATGTACCTTAGCTCAGGGCACATTATGGTGGCTGCTCTCAGCAAGGCCCTTACTGTCTTTCCTTCTTTTCTCTGTTCATCCCACTCCCATTCCCCTGTCCACTTCCAGACACACGTTCTGAGAAGTTTACTACATGCTCTTTTATCCCACACTTTCTCTGCATATTTTAAGAAAGGGATGTCTTTGGAGAATATACATTTTTCTTTGGGGATTAGGGGTGTTAAAACAACTTTAAATTGTGAATTGGTTTCCAAAAACCCATTCCATCCTCTTTACTCCATTCTGTGTACTATCTTCTCAACTTTTCTATTCTGATACAGAAGTTTGCATATAGGCCAGGTGTGATGGCTCACGCCTGTAATCCCAGCACTTTGGTAGGCTGAGGTGGGCAGATCATGAGGTCAGGATTTCGAGACCAGCCTGGCCAACATGGTGAAACCCTGTCTCTACTAAAAATACAAAAATTAGCCAGGCATGGTGGTGCACTCCTGTAATCCCAAGTACTCAGGAGGAGGCTGAGGCAGGAGAATTGCTTGAACCCGTGAGGTGGAGGTTGTAGTGAGTGGAGATCCTGCAATTGCACTCCAACCTGGGTGACAAAGCGAGACTCTGTCTCAAAAAAAAAAAAAAAAAAAAAAAGAGAGAGAGAGAAAATACAATAGTGCCACCATTCTAAAATACTGTCTGATAGTTTCTAATACAGTTAAAAATACACCTATTTATGACCCAGCCATTCCATTACTAGATTTATACTCAATAGAAATGAAGGCACAGGTCCATAAAAAGACCCATAGTAGAATATTTGTAAACACCTTATTCACAATAGCCAAAACTAGAAATAGCCCAATTGTCCATCAACTGTAGTATATTCACATGTTGGAATAACACTCATCAATAACACCAAAGAGCTGAGATACATGTCATAAAATGGAAGCATCACATATCATTGTTGCATTAAAAGAAAACAGGTAAAATCAATGTAGTCCTTTACGTGATTTCTACAAGAAGCAAGAGTAAATCACGGAGATAGAAGTCAGAATGGTGATTGCCTAAATGGGGATGGGGTGAGGATTGACTGGAAAGGGGCTCTAATGACTTCTTGGTCTGTTGAAAATGTACCATAACTTGACATAGGTGATGGTTTCTTTTGTCAAAATGCACTGGCTCACACACTTAAGATTGGTGCACTTTGGTCTCTGTGGATTATACTTCAATCATTTACTGATAGCAAAATAAATAAATAAATAAATAAAAACAAAATTAAAAATTGGGGTTGGAGAAAGTCACAAACTTTAGATTTTATTGTATTCTTTAGGTTTTGCTTAAAATACCCAGTTGGAGTGCGAACTCTCATCTTCTCTTGTTCATTTCTGATTTGGCCTGAAAAAGGCCCCACGGATTTTTGAAATATCTGAGCCAGAAAAACGGGTACGGCCACATCATGTTAACATTAAAGATTCCAATAAGGCTGACTGAGAGGGGGCACCTCATCTTTTGGGTGTTGTACTTGCTCAGAGAGGAGGAAAAGTCTTTCAAGATAACCGGACCCCTAGGCATTCAGGGTAGGGTTTCCTTCTATTCTCGACACCACAGAGAGTTCCGAAGTCACAGGAAAGTTGTGACCTCTCTAGCCGCAGGTCAACAGCGCAGCCTAGGCTGAGGTTAGAGGCTAAAGGGAAAGAAGAGCGCTACACCCTAGAATGGACGTTGCCACGACTGGGATTCGAGCCCAGGCTGCTGCGGCCACCGCGTAAAGTACTAACCACAATAAGATCACGGCAAGCCACAGGAGCTGAAGCGCGCCGCGCTCCTTCTTTAAACTTAATGCAGGACTGCTTCCCTTTTGGAGACCCAAGGGTCCGCGTAGATTTCGTTCTTTCTTGGTGTCTCTCCGTTTTTCCCCCCTTTCTTCCCCATTCTGATACAATAAGAAAACACTTCTCATCTCTCCCTTGTGCAGTCCTTATCGCTGCACAAAGCTACTGGGAAGTTTCCCTGGTGCATGCCTCTACCGACTTCCTTGCCCTCCTCCTCGCAGTTCCCTGTTGGATTCACCCCTTGCCCGGCCCCGGCCTCCTGCCCCAGACACGCACCCAAAAACAACGCAGCTGAGCCCCCACAGCTCCCTGGTTCAGAGTGGCAAGAGAGGCCACGGGAGGCCTTGCCCCTTGCGCGCCCCACAGGATGCGGAGAAATCAATCGGAATAAATGCTTTTTAAAAAGAACTTACTTCCCCTTCGCGACGAGCCTCAGCAACATGTCGAAATCTTGTCTCTACAAAAAATACAAAAATTAGCCTGTCGTCTCAGCTACTTGGGGGCTGAGGCAAGAATATCACTTGGCCCCAGGAGGTCGAGGCTGCAGTGAGCCTTGTTTGCACCAGTACACTCCAGCCTGGGCGACCAAGTGAGACCCTGTCGCAAAACAAAACAAAACAAAACTTCCCCATAGAAAAATAGTTCATGATTTGATTTTTGTTGTTTCTGTTGATATACAATCAACTCCAGCCTAATCAGGAGACACACATGTCCTCCTCCCCATCTTCTAGGGCTGAGGCTTGGCAAGGCCCATGGTGCCTTGTATCTGTCAAACTCAGGAATCCCAGAGACCTTAGAGAGGAACTCACTTCTAGTGTGATAAAAATGTTCTTTGCTCCCATGGAAGGCTTGTGGGAGTAAAGTGCCTCGAGTTTTTCATGTTTAGTAATAGGAGAGCTATTACAGTAGTATCCTATTCTCAGGATGTGCCTGGGTTTACTGATTGCTCTATCAATAATGTGACCAGTGGAATCACTCATCCTCATGGTGATCCTCGCCATTGTTTGTGAAAACAGCATTTCTTCCTCTGTTTGTGCATGATTTAACCCTTTTCAAGATGTTTTTGAAATGAGGTGGGTTTCATGACTTTAGGATTACAAATGATGCTGCAATCTCCACCATTCTTGTACACATATCTTTGGTCACTCATGCAGATATTTCTATAGTGTAGAGAACAGGATGTGCCATTTTTACATTACAGCATTTATATAATGCTTCTAATTTGAGTACATTCTGCAAATTTATCTTCCGTGGGAGCAGTAGCAAATCATACTCCAATGTGTTTCCCAATTCTATCAATGTCCCTTTTGTCATTTACTTGCTGGCACAACCAACTTTCTACACATCGACGTATGATATTCCACTGAGGGAAGAGGCGTCCTCCTGGCTTAACTGAGGGGGTGTACAACCGAAGGACATGGTGGACATTACTCACAGATATTCTGTGGCATAGGATGAGCTGCTAAACTTCTAGGATGTTTTAAAGTCCTCCAACATCTGTAATTGTTTTCTGTGGTGACCAAGTCATGTGGGTATGGAGAAGATGGGTCACAATGACCTCTTTGACAGCTTTCTGTCAAGTCGCTTATCCAAGGGGAGCAAAATCACAAAGTTCCCAGATGACTTTTTTCCTCTCCCCTTTCCTCTTTTCTTCATAAATCTCGGTTTTGCTTTTATTTGACCAAACCAATCTAAGGCCCGTTCTCCCTCCTATACAATGGTAAATTAACATGCAAATAGCTATCCCTTTATTATTCTTTGATAGATTTCTGCAGTGGCTATGTCCATAAAAATTAGCCCATTTGAGATACAACACTGGAGCCAACAGAACCCTGCACCCAACAGGCACCTTGTGCAGACCTGGACCCTTAGAGCTATTGGCTCATGTTCCTTCTGTTCTTCTATCGAATATCATGAATAGAAACTGAGCTCTTTGGCTTTTACCCACTACTATGGTTATAGCACATTTTCTGTCTCTCGTCTCTCTTATTTTTGTATCAAGATTTTCTGCCATCAGTGGCATCAGTGTGGGTTCCTGGGTTTGATGTTATGCAGCGAACTTCTGGGATCGTTTTATGACTATATAACAGTCCGTATTAAATTCTTCTGTTGATGAAGGTTTGTGTTGTTCCCAGTTTTTCCTTAGTATACAAATGAGGTTAATAAGAACATTTTTGGTAGAAGCCTTGTTGGATGTATTGTTCATTTAACGGGGGTGATCAATAAAGGTAAGTGTGCTTCCCTTTCAGGTAGGCTTAACTCGATGAGAAACTGCCAATTATTAGAACAGCTGTTGTGCTAAATTGCAGTCCAACTAACATCACACAGCAATATCATACACACTCTGAATGAGGAAGCAGGAGAGGCAACAACTTTCAAAATCAGTTTCTCTATGTTTCCTTTCATTTTCTTGTGAACCCTTAATGGCATCTTTGAAGGTGGCTGTGGTCACACCAAGTGCCACCACCAGCCTACTCAAGTCTTGCCCCAGAGCCATGGAGTGATACACCAGGGCAGCCCAGCCAAGTCTCAGGCTCATAAACACCAGGCAGGAATAGATGCCTGTGAAATGAGAAGGGTCAGATGATTCCTCCCTCTCCCGACATGTCTGTGCCTCTCTTTGTGGCTGCTGTGTTGCTCAAAACAATTGCTTGCACTTATTTTGTCAAAGATAAAGTCAGACATTAGTCAAAGCTGTGAAAACAGATTTTATTCAGTAACTACTGACCAAAGCAGAGGGGGCTGAATTCCATCCCGTTTGTGCAGAGGTGATGGCATTCTAATGAGAGAGTGAGGCAGGGGAGAGGGCAGGGTCAGGGCACAAGTGAAACATTATGAAAGATTGATCATTGTAAGCTTCTGCCTCATCAGGACAGCTGTTTCTGCCAGCTGGCAATATTAGATGTTAGGATCCTAACCTCCCACAGAGACCGGAAGACAGAGATTCTGTCCTTCCTGAGGACTACACCTAAAAGGAATGGCTTTCAAATCCTGTGGAAAGACACACTGGAGTCCCTAGGAGATACATACATATCTCAAAGGGATGGAGGAGGGATTCCCTTCTTAGTAAATGCTATAAGAAAGAACCTACCATCATCAGCAGGTATTGGCTAGAACTAAAGTAAGTTCCCCTGGTAGCCTTGAGCTTTCTTAGGTAGGCATTGTCATGGGAGCCTAGGGTCATCCATGGGACATGGTCTTATGCTATTAGGAGCCATGATAGAGTCTGGTCATCTCTTAGCGCAGAGGTTTAAACTGAGTCTTTGTGTGCTGAGTTTGGTGGTTCTCACTTTCCATCCCCCCATTCCATGGCCAGGATTTTACTGGACTCTGATAGATGGACAAGGCCACAGGCCATTTTCAGTGATGTTCAAGCAGCCTAGGCATATCTATTGAGAGCTGAATGAAAATAAAGAAAACCATGAGATTGAGAGTGGGCCCCACAATAGGTATGTGTTACCAATATACAGGAGATAAACAAAAATATTTCTAGGCTTTGTCAAAATGGAAAGTGACTTATGCAGCCAGGATGAAATTCAAACTTACATTAGCAAAGTATACAGCTTATTGATATTATGAATAAGAAAGCCATGGCAAAATGACAATCCACAAGTGGCAATGGTAGGTACGGGTAGGGAGAGACTCCATAAGGTAAAAGTTATCCTCACTTTAAATGAAACTCCTATGTGTTCCTACAGTAAGGGAACAGAAGCCAATGTTATGCTGGAATATATTAATTGTCACGGGATAAACAGGCAGTACATGATGCTACATTTATTAATCACTTCTATTGAGAGCATTTGTGAAGGTTAATTTTTGTGTCAATTTGACTGGGCCAGGGAGTGCCCAGATGTTTGGTTAGACATGATTTCTCACTGTGTCTCTGAGGGTGTTTCTGGAAGAGATTGACATTTGAATCAGTAAACTGATTGAAGCAGATTTCCCTCCTGAGTGTGAGTGGGCCTCATCCAACCCATGGACGGCTTGACTAGGATGAAGGGTTAAGAAAGAAGTTTTTCTGCTGCACTGTCTTTGAGCTGGGACATCAGTCTTCTGCCTTAAGCCTTGGACTTTGTCTTGAACTATATTTGACTCTCCTAGGTCTAGAGCTTACTCAGAGTAGAACTTGGGCTTCTCTGCTTCTGTGTGTGTATGTGTGTGTATCCTGCTCATTTTCTTTCTCTGGAGAACTAAGACTAATATAGTATTATATGCCAGTTGCCAGTTTTTGTCTTTATTCTTTTGGAAAACAAAACCCTGGAGGGTTCTCAAAGAAGAACAGTAAGGATTACTGGAAGTTTTAAACTTTTAGGAAAAGCCCTAAGAACAGCTTTTGTTAAAACTGTCTTCAAGAAAATAAAGGGTGTTGGGAAAAATATTGTTGCCTTAATGTTTTTAAGCAAAGGCATGATCAGTAAAGGAGAAATATACTTAGGTTTTCTTAAGTTAATTTTTACATTTTAATAATTCACATACAATCTTAGGAACTCAGAGAGAAAAAGAGAGGTCCCTTGTATCCTTTACTCAGTTTCCTCCAATGGTAACATCTTAGTAATATTTGCAAATATTGCAAATGTATTGCAAATGCCACTGTACCAGGAGATTGACATTGATACAAGCAAGGTACAGAACATTTCCATCAATACTAGGATTCATCATGTTGCCTTTTTATAGCCATGACCCTGTCTCTTCAGTGCTGCTCCTCCTTCCCTCCTTAATCCCTGGCAACTACTAATCTATTCCCTATTTTTATAATTTATTTATTTCAAGAATAATTTGCATAAATGGACTCCTACATGTCACCTTTGGGATTACCCTTTGTCCACTCAGCATAATTCTGTGGAGATTCATCCAGGTTATTGTGGGTATCAATAGTTTGTTGTTTTTTAAAAAATTATTGAGGACTCTTCAGTGCTATGGATATATATCACAGTTTGTTTAACCATTCACCTCATGAAAGTCGTCTATACATTTTTCCCCCAGTTTTGGCTATTAAAAACAAGGCTGCTATAAACTTTAAGTACATGGATTTTGTGTGAACATAAGATTCTATTTCTCTGTGATAAATGCAGAGAATGCAATTCCTAGGTGGTATGGTAGTTGCACATATAGTTTAAAAAGTAAAAACTATACAGATATTCTCCAGAGTGGGCTGTCACTTTTTACATTTCCACCAGCAATGTATGAGTGATCCAGCTTTCTCTGAATCCTTGACAGCACTTGATGTGGTCATGCTTTTCTTTTGGCCATTCTGATAGGTATGTTAGCAATTTCTCATTGTGATTTTAACTAGTATATTACTAGTTGCCACTAATGTTCTGATTTCAACATATGAATCTGGGGGGGCCGGGCACAATGCATCCCTTAACAATGTGTATTCTGACGTGGTTGGGTGTTCTAAAATTGTCAATTTAAGCCCCGCTGGTTGATCATGCTGTTGGGTTCTTCTATATTCTTGTTGATTTTCTGTCTGGTTTTTGTATAAATTGTTAAGAAAGGGGAACTTCGAAGCATATAGCTATATTTGTGGATTTGCCTAGTTCTCTGTTCAGTACTTTCAGTTGTTGTTGCATAGACATTTATGACTTTTGTCAGGAGAGGAGTTCGTGGATTGGTTGTTTCCTCATTATATAATGTCCCTCTCTGTCTCTGATTAGTTTCTTTGTTCTGAAATATACTATATCTGGCATTAATATAGCCAGTCTTGCTTTCCTTTGTCTAAGGTTTGCATGATGTATCTTTTTCCATCCTTTTGATTTCAACTTTCCTGTATCATCATATTTGAAGGTAGTCTCTTTGCAGCCAGGATGTAGTTGGGTCATGTCCATTAACCTACTCTGCCAATCTCTGTCTTGTAATTGGTGTACTTAGGCCATTTATATTTAATATGATGATTGATATGGTAGGGCTTAAGTCTGCCATTATATTTTTCTTTTTGTGTTTGTTCTCTCTGGTGTCGTTTTCTGGATATGCTTTCTTTTTCTTACCTTCCTGTGGTGACTTGAACGTCTTTGAGAATGGTGTTTTGCCTTATCCATAGTGTTTTTGCATATATCTGTTTGGATAGCCCTCTTGGTTTTCCCTGATATTCATATGTCTGTGCATCTATGTCTTACCACACAGTATACTGGTGTCATTGTTGTACCAGTATGAGTGAATGATAGATGAGTTACCTTCCTTACCGGTCTCTTCACCCTCCCAGTTTATAATTGTTTCAAACATTTTCTTTTTGGAGAGTTAGAACCACTTTGAATGATGCTATGATTTTTTTCTGAAGCCGTCAATCATAGTTTAGAAAACTCAAGAGAAGAAGGAAGGCCTATTTTGCTTACTTTTTTTTTTTTTTTTTAAATTTTCTTCCTGATGTCCCAAGGTTCCTTCTTTAATCACTTCCTTTCTGTCTAGAGAACTCCCTTTAGCCTTTTGTTTTAAGGTAGAACTGGTGGTCAGAGATTCCCTTAGCTCTTCTTAATCTGAAACAGTTTTGATCTTCCTCTTAATCCCTGAAAGATGTTTCTGCTGGACAGAGGAGTCTGGGCTGACAATTGTTTTCTTTCATGGCTTGAAAAGCACTGCACAACTTCTTTCTGCCTCCTTGGTTTCTGATGAGAAATCCATCATCACCAGAATTGTTTTTCCTTTCTAGGTAAAGTGTCACCTTTCTCTGTTGCTTTCAAGATATTTTCTTTGTCTTTCATTTCCTACATTTTATTTTTTCATGTATCTTGCCATAGACGTCTTTGGGTTTTCTCCTATTTGGGGTCTTCACAGCTTCTTGAACCTGTAGGTTTCTGTCTCTTGCCAACTCTGGCAAGCTTTTAGCCATTGACTTCTTTATGTTTTCAGCCTCTTCCTCTTCTTCTTCCCCTTCCAGACATAGATAACAACATGAAAGTGAGACCTTGTGAGGCAGTTCCACAAGTCCCTGAGGTTCTATTCACTTTCTCACCCAGTCTATTTTTTGCTTGTTAAGATTGTGTAATTTCTATTTTTTCATCTGCAGTGGATGGATTTCTTTGCTCTGCACCATCCATTCTGCTGTTGAGCCTATGTGCCGGACTTTTTACTTTGGTTGTTGTATTTTCCACTTCTAATACTTCCATTTGTTTCTCCTGTAAGTCTTGTATTTATTTGCTAAGGCTTTCTATTTGTCCATTTGTTTCGAATGTGCTCATAATTACTGCATCATTTTCATCAGGCTTGCTTGCTTTAAAATCTTTGTCAGACAATCCCGACCCCTCTCTCATCTTATTGCCGGTGTGTATTTGCTGTCTATTTTCAATCAGAATAAGATTTTCTGGTTCTTAGTGTAATGAATGATTTTCAATAGAAACTTGGACTTTTGGGTATTATGTTATCAGACTCTCGATTTTATTGAAACCTTCTGTTTTAATTACCTTTTTTCTGAGTCTGCTTCTGCAGGAGAAGGGGAGTGGTGCCATCTCCTTGTAGCCAGGTGTGTGTGGAAATCCAGGTTTCTCACCTGACCTACCTCTGTTGACACCCTGAGTGGAGAGCCCAAAGCGAGGAAAGAGCACAGGGATGAGGCCCCTTGACTTGAGTGAAGGGCGGGCAGGCAGGGTCCTGCAGCTCCTGGAAGGACCACGAAAGTCGGTACCCTGTCAAAGCCAAGAGCCCTGAAGGCCGGACGCCAGGGATAAGGTCCCGAGGCGGGGCCCATAGACCTGGAGGGGCGGGGTCCACACTACTGCCGCCCGGAACTCCGGCGCTCAAACCCCGCCGGCTGCAGCAGCTTCTGGAAGCACGGGAGGAGTTCCATTACTACCTGAAACCCTTCGCTGAGCATTAGGAACCAGGCCTGGTTTGCCCGCCGTGAATTGGATCGGGAGACGAGGGCGCCGGATGAGGCGGACTTCATGTTAGCTTTAGATCCAGAAATTTCCAGTCTTCTCATCTATCGCCGAAATCTTCTTTCTGAAGATTTCAAGCTGACAGCTACAATGTCTCTGAAACCAAGGAGGTCTTTCCTGTGAAGCCCACTTGGCTTCCTCGCGACCCGAGCTCAGTTGCGGAACCGGTCGAATTGTGTGGCGGAACAAAAGAAAATGAACCTAAATCTGCACCTGGAGCTCGAGCCAAAGACCCATCCATTCAGAGTTTCATGCTCTACTAATTGAGCTAGTTGGGGGCGAAAGGGGACCCCTACACATGTCTTTATCGGTAGAGCCCCTTGAGCCAGTTCAGAGATCGGGAACTAGAAGGACTCGGCTCATCACCCTCTGAGAGCCACGTCCGCACTTTGGTGGCAAGGAAACTGAGGCTCGGAAAGAGAGCAAGTGCCTGGCTCTGCCTCACACCATGCTACAGCAAGGCTAGAATGGAACACCGCTCAGTTTCCTTGTGGCCTGTCCTCAATACAGCCCAAAGCAGTGGCCAGGCTAGCAGAGGTGAGAGGTGTTGAGCAGCTGGGCAGTGACTGCTTGGAGCCCTGCAGTCCTGCAGCCCGCTTGGGTCACAGAGAGCCATTTTCAGTGGGGCTCTCCTCCTCTTAGAAAGTTAATCTTTACCTTCTCTTGTTTCCTCTGACAAGGAGATTTCTGTGTCTGGTGGTCAAGTGGCTAGGATTTGGCGCTTTCACTGCCGCGGCCCGCGTTCGATTCCCGGTCAGGGAATGACTTTTGCAACATCCCCAAATTGTGTGAGAAGATTTGATAGAGAAACACACAGGTGATGATTAAAATACAGAAATATGTTCCCAGCAGCAATATTTGTAATAAGAAATGTTCATCAGTTAGGATTTGTTATATGTTGCAATCCCTCCATACCCTAAAAGGATATACAATTATTTCAAAGATGGATGTAGATAACGATAATAGCCGTCATGAAGCCACCGATGATAATGATAGTAATAATGGCTACTGCTCTTGGAGCGTTTACTATGCATCAGGGTGTGTGTTCAATGTTTTACTGCCGTGTCTTATTTAAACTTGGAACAACCCATTCAGAAACTCATTCCTATTGGGCCCATTTTACAATGTGGAAATGGAGGCACAGAAAACCTGAGTGACTTCAGAGTCACACCGCCATGGAATGAGGCTATCTGCTCGCGTCTATGGCTTCATGGACAGAAGTGTCCAAGGTTCTCTTGTTCTTCTGCTAGGGATTGTCATCTTCTCAGAGATGTGCAGCCTGAAGAATCAGCGAAGGCAGGTGCGATGAGCAGGGAGGGAGAGAAAGGAGGTGTGTATTGGGCTTGGGATAGGTAGGTTCTGGAGCTCCAGAACTGAGCTTTTGCCTAAAATGCACCTTTTCTGAACAGCATTTATTTTTCTAACAAACCCTTAAGCCTTCAGGCAGGATTTTCTTCATCTAACTTGAAGCAGATGGGCAACAAAGACCCCCATATATCTGGACGTGGAAGAATGAAGGTCAGAAAAGAATAGTTACAAGGTTAACTACGCCTCTGCATGGAACAGGACGAGTAGTCTTTAGTTTTTTGCCGATGATTGCCCTGATTGCTCCACAAAGAGGCAAGTGGTGCCTGGAAATCTGAGGACATCTGCCTCAGACACCTGTCTATTATTAAATGCCCCCATCCCCAGGCTGCACATCCTCACTTCTTTGTGCTATTGCATGGGTTCTAGATGTCTTCTAGGTGACACGGAGGCCAGAAGTTGTGTGGTTGGGCACATTTCTGAGTTGACACCAGGCCATGTGAGTGAGGGCAAGATGCAGGAATGCCAGATCCACGACATTCTCCCTGGCCCACACTGTCCCCCTGCACTTCCCCTGTCGGAAGTGGCCCCACTGCACATGACCACAGTAGCCTCTTGGTCTGAAGTCACCCACTTCCCCATCCTTCGCTATGCTTTATCTGTCATGCTTACCGCTTGTGTTCCCTGTGCCCGAATGGGGAAACACTTGTGGGGAGGACACGAGCTGGTTGTGTTCCCACTGCCCGGTCCCTTTTGATTCCTCCAGATGTGGGCTCGGTGGGGCAGGACTTGCTCACCATGCAGCTACTCACCTAGAGCAAGGCTTCACACCTTGTGAGCACCCAACATATGCTCGGTGAATGAAGGCATTCCAATGCAGGCTTCTGAGAGACATCAAGAATTCTACTGGACTCCCCACTTTTAGTCCTTTGAATAATGCAGGTAATGGGAAGACAGAAAAAGCTTTTCAAACCTGGGTGTTGTTTGTAGGGTTAATTCCAAGTCTAGAGGGCACCTTCTGGAATGAGCTCCCCTCTCTGTAAGGGGACGCACCCTCAGCCTGTGGGACTCTGTAGGCAGAGAAGAAGGTGTACCCTGAACACTGAAGAGGGGGAGAAGAAAGTGGGTAATACTGGGGGCAGCCTGGGGTATGAGAGACAGACAGACAGACACAGGCACACAGATACAGATGGAGAGGTTGGAAAGGCAGGGCTGGGTTGAGGAGGAGTCAGAAAGCAAAAGGACCTATATGTCCAAGAGCCAGATTTAGGGTGTAAAAGTTGGAGTTCAGTTTTGCTGAAGAGAGTCAACAAAATAAACAAGGCAAAGGGAGCCAATAACTCCAAGGATCCAGGTCTGCATAAGAAGCATGGTGAGGTGCAGGATCCAGAGATTTGTCTCCAGTGAGATGAGTTTTACAGAAAAACAAAACAAAACAAACACCATCAAGGAAGGAATAACACAGAGGTAGTTATTAGCATGCCAATTCACCCTTGTCTAGGAGGGAGAACAGTCTGTAGATCGTTTGCATTCAACAAAAGCAGAATGCAATTCATAAAGAAAAGAGAAAAGGAACAAATTTCTAGAAGGAGCCATTCTTTCCCCTCCTATTTGATAAGCCTCTTGACAGGAAGCAGTTCAGGGTCTCTCCAGCCAGTTTTCTCTGGGCTTAGGTAGATCACCAGAGAAAACAATTACAATTACTGGAAGACTTTCTAAACATCTTGGAGGTTTAGCTGTGGAACACGTGCCAGAGAGTATCTCTGGGAACTGTCCACCATGTCTTTCTGCTGCACCTCCTGCTTAGGTAAGTCAGGCAGGGCACCACCCCCTCACTGGTACATCAGACTGATATATGGAAACTGCTGTGCTGGCAAGAGCACGAAGGAAAAGGCTCTCTCATTGAGTTGGAAAAATATGTTGGAAGATAAACTGACACACCTCCTGTTGAAGTCAAACTAAGAACATGTAAAGAGATGCCTTAGGCTCCCGGCAAAGTTTGAGTAACGGATGCCCGATTTACTCTCCTGCCTGAAATCTGCTCACTGCTCCTCTCTGCAAACAAACAGGCACCTGTAATCCCAGCAGTTTGGGAGGCTGAGGTGGGCTGATCCCTTGAGCTCAGGAGTTTCAGACCAGACTGGGCAACATAAGGAAACCTCATCTCTACCAAAAAAATTCAAATAATTAGCCAGGCATGGTGGTGTGTGCCTGTAGTCCCGGCTACTCAGGAGGTTGCAGTGGGAGGATTGTTTGAGCCTGGGAGGCAGAAGTTGCGTGAGCCAAGATTACACCACTGAAGTCCAGCTTGGGCTACAGGGTGAGACCCTGTCTCAAGGAAGGAAGGAAGGAGGGAAGGAAGGAAGGAAGGGAGGGGGCTGGGTGCGGTGGCTTACGACTGTAATCCCAGCACTTTGGGAGTCTGAGTCAGGTGGATCACAAAGTCAGGAGATGAAGACGATCCTGGCTAACACGGTGAAACCTCCATCTCTACTCAAAATACAAAAAGTTAGCCTGGTATCGTGGTACATGCCTGTAGTCCCAGCTACTTGGGAGGCTGAAGCCGGAGGATCACTTGAACCTGGGAGGAGGAGGTTGCAGTGAGCCGATATCACGCCAAAACCACAATATCAGAGATGATAAATTCACTGGATGGGATCAACAGCAGATTAGACGTTGCAGAAGAAATGATCAGGGAACATGGAACCATGAATAATTGAAAATATGCAAAATGAAACTCACAGACAAAAGAGATTTTTTTAAAATAAAAGATTATCAGTGAACTGTAGGGCAGACTTAAGAGGTTTAAATTATGAGTAATGGAAGTCCCTGAGAAGGAGCAGGGGGGAAAGGAAACATTTATTTCTTTCTTTGTTACTTTTATTAGGAATGGGGTCTCAGTACATTGCCCAGGCTGGTCTTAAATTTCAGGCCTCACTCAACACCTCCCGACTTGGCCTCCTGAAGTTGTGAACCACTGTGTCCGGCCAATTTTTGAAGAAACAATAGCTGAAAAGTCCCCAATCATAACAAAAATTATAAATCCAGTGACCCAAGGAGCTGAGGAAACCAAAGCACAAGAAACATGAAGAAAACCACTCCTAGATACCTCATAATAATATTGCTCAAATCCGGCCAGAAGAAAAATACATTGTACATACACAGGAACAAAGATGAGGATTGCATCAGCTTCCTTTCTGCTCTTGCCGGCCTCTACCAGGAGCAGCAATGCACATGAGCAGACATAGAAGCAACATCTTTAAGGTACTGAGGGCAGGGGAAGTTAACCTAGAATACTATACCACAAAAAATAAATTATCAAAACTGGAAGTAAAATAAGGACATTTAGAGATGTACAAAAGCTGAAAGAATTCACTACCAGCCAACCCACACTACAAGAAACGTCAAAGGAGTCTTCCAGGCAGAAGGAATCCAATACCAGATGAAAATCCAGATCTACACGAGGAAATGAACACCAGAAATGGGTAACTATACTAGTTTTTTTTTTATTCTGTAAATTTCTTTTGTAAAAATTTGACCATTTAAACAAAAGCAATAACAATGTGTTGTGGGGTTTGTAACATGCGTAAAAGCAAAGTGCATGTCAGCTACAGCATCAGCATCAAGGCCAGAAGGCGAGGTATAATATCACTTGAAGGTTGACTGTGATAAGTTAAAATGGTTTGCTATAAGCCCTAAGGCAATTACTAAAATAACAAAAGAAAGAGTTATATCTAATAAGCAAACAGAGGAGAGAGAATGGAATGATATAAAAACCGTGTGAACACTATGATAGAGTAATTGCTTTCCACATAGTAATTGCACCTCTACCCTATAGAAATACTTACACCAGTGGCTGAAAGTGCCCATACAAGAATGACTAGAGCATTATATGTAATAGTAAAATCACAGAACCAATTTAACCTCAAAAGCGTATGGAAAGGGCTAAATGAATGACAGAGAGTGTCAGGCGCGGTGGTTCACGCCTGTAATCCCAGCACTCTGGGGAGGCTAAGCGGGCGGATCATCAGGTCAGGAGATCCACACCACCCTGGCCAACATGGTGAAACCCCGTCTCTACTAAAAAATACAAAAATTAGCTGGGCGTGGTAGCTTGTGCCTATAAGCCTAGCTACTCTGGAGGCTGAGGAAGGAGAATTGCTTGAACCAGAGAGTCGGAGGTTGCAGTGAGCCGAGATCGCGCCACTGCACTCCATCCTGGCAACAGAGCGAGACTCCGTCTGGAGAGGGAGAGGGAGGGGGAGGGGGAGGGGGAGGGGGAGGGGGAGGGGCAGAGGGGGAGGGAGAGGGAGAGGGATGAGAGGAGGGTAAAGTTGGTCTCGCTCTGCCTTTCCATGAGTGCATGTGCTGGATAGAAGAAAGTTGCCAGCGGTTTAAGCATTTTTAAAATGCAGGAAACGTTCCATAGAACGAGCTCGAACCACCCGCCTCCAGACTTGGAAGCAAGCACACCACCCGACTGCGACACAGGAACAGTCGACTCTCGCTCTGGTATCACCACGCAGAGCAAGCGTCCATCTAACGTTAGGCGGAGCCACCGCCTTTTGTAGAACAATTGTGCAGGCTCCAAAGCCTCGGAAAACCGGAGAGGGGCAGCTTGCCGGCTACGGTTGAAACCCGTGCATTGGGTGATTCTGAAGCTGGAAGGGCAGCGGAATGGCCTTCGCCTCGTCCTGCCCCTCGCAGGCATCAGACCCAGCATCCTGGAAACGCCCGGGTCCGCGACTCCCTGAGCCTGAATCGCGTGGGTCCGAAGGGAAGCAAGCAGAACGCCCGGTGGGCTCTAGTGACAGCTCTCGCAGTTCTTGGCTCCGCCTTCACCTGACTCGCTACGCTGCTTGCGCTACCCTCGCTCACCTCTGCTTCGGTCGGTCCGGCGGGAGAGAGGAAGGGTGAAAAGCAGAAATACGGAGAGGCCGGAGAGAAGTAGAGGAGGTGCGAATGAGGACAGAGAGACCTCGCGAGAGAGGCCCAGGCTGGAGTGGAGGAGATAAGAATTTTTCTCATCACATATGAGGATTGGGAGGAAGGGAGGGAAAAGCAGAGCGGGTATGAAAGAATAGCGCGATCCCCCTGTAGCTGTCTGGGAACAAAGCCGCCTAATAATCGAAATCTATTGATGTCAAAATTAGTAGAGCAAGCTCAGCTATCATCGCTTGGCCTGTGGCTCGCCATGATCGTATAGTGGTTAGTACTCTGCGCTGTGGCCGCAGCAACCTCGATTCGAATCCGAGTCACGGCAATGTCGTTCTTCCAGGCCGTCAGCTATCCACTTTCGCTCCCTGCAACCAGGCGCCTCAGGGAAAGGAAAAGAGACCTCACAGCCCACTAACCTGGCGAGGAATCCAAGGGAAGCGCTGGACGTGCTCCGTCCATTTCCGAGCCTCACACAGCAAATAACCCAGTCAGCCCTGTTGGTGGCTTACACGAAGGCAATGGTGCCCTCAGAACCTGTTTTCCAGTCACTGGGGCTGTTACACACGAAACGACAAGCTTTTAATGACTTTAAACTTCAAACTCTTTGTTGTGGCCTACAATGGCTTGTCTCCCAGCTCGTCGCCAAGTTTGTATGCCAACAGGAAAGTGTGGGGAAAGGCAATCTCGTGCCAGGGGTCTTTCCACTTCCACTCTGCCGGGTAGGAATGGGCCTTGGGCCTGGAGCACTTCCTTCCCAAGAGATAAGGAGTCCTCACAGCCTGTGCTGGACTCACCTCCTTGTGTGGGAGTATCTTTCCCCCGATCAGACTGTGTACCCCTTTGTTCCACTTAAACATGTGCATCAACTGGCACCTGGCCAGCTGCTGTATCTGCTCCCCGCTGAGGGGAGGGGGAGGGGCCCTTTCTTCTGCTTCTCAAGAGGCTGTGTGTGCAGGCCAAATGGAGGGACCGGATGGCCATGGGGGACCAACGCCCACTACTGAAGCGGAGCCCACACCCGGCTGTGTCTCCTCTCTGTGTGAATAATGTGTTGTTTTTCCGTCCAGTGCTTGACTGCGTTGTATTTTCCTTGGCGACTCTGATACCAAGAGGCCAAGAGAAATGATACCAAGAGAAATGTTCAGACTTCTACTCCTGCTGGTAAGAAACAGATTCCACTAGCTGGACAAGGCGAATGAAGATTCTTCTTGTGTGGGGTCTTTTTGTGGACACGTGCATTCATTTCCTTTGAGGAATACCAAGTACTGGAATTGTTCAATCATATGGTAGGTGTAATGTTAACTTTATTAGAAACGGCCAAATGGTTTCTTCCAGAATGCTTTCTCACCAGCAAGGAGAGTTCCACTGGCTGAACATCCTTGACAGCACGTGGTGTTTACTGTCTTTTAAATACACCCATTCTGGTGGATGTAAAACGGTACCACATCATGGCTTCAATTTGTGTTTCCTTTAATGAGTAATGCTGTTGAGCATATTTACTAATGCGTTTTCACCATTTAGCAATCCTTTGAGAAGAGAGGCTATTGAAGCATTTTCCCTAATTCAATTGGCTTTGCCTTTTATTACTGATTTGTAAAAAGTACTCTCTATATTCAAGATTTGAGTTATTTTTTTTTTCAGGTAAACACGGGGCAATTATCTTCTCCCAGTCTGTGGCTCACCTTCTCCCTTTTCATGGTGATTCTTGATGAGCAGAAGTTGATAACTTTGGTTAAATTCTACTTTGCTTTATTTTTTCCTGTTATCTCTTAAGGCAGAAATGTATTCTGCTACATTCTCTTCCAATAACTTTAGGGTTTCGTTTTAATTTCTAAATCTATGGCATATCAAATTCATCTCCTGACCACAGCAAGCTTAGCATCTGCTAATGTCCTGATCGCCAGAAAACTTTTCTATACTGTAAATACACTGGCAAGAGTTACTTCTCTGCTCTTCAACAGCTACAGGCCCTGTGCCTCCCTCCATTTCTTCCCTACTCCTCTCTCCCTCTGTCTCCTTCTCTGTCCTTCTCTCTCTCCTCTGGTGCAGCTGAGAATCCCAGAGACACCTGAAACAGAGAAGTGGACAGGTCCAGTCTAATCTATGTCCAAGAACCCAGGTTCTGTGTTGGAAATCTGTGTCAGTCCTTGCCTGACCTTGGTTAAGTATCTTACATTTTATGTGCCTCAACATTTTTTCTATGGAAGGTTGTGCCACTTCGCAAACTCTGCCTTACACCGTTGTTGTCAGATGTGCCTGGATTTAGTGACTACTCAATCAACAACGTAATCACTAGAATTATAAAAATCATTGTCGTTGTCCTCTGCCTTATTTGTGAACAATCACTCTCCAGATTGTTTTCACTTTACCTTTGCTTCTAGAACTTCACGCAGATGGAATCACGGTGCATCTACTCTGTTCTACATGCTTCTTTCTCTCTGCATAATGTCTCTGGCTCTATCCATTGCTGAGTGTAGCAGAAGTTCATTCCTCTTTCATTGCTGAGTAGTATTCCATTGCAAAGAAACAGCACAGTTTGTTTGCCATTCCCGCCCCACCCCCACCCTCATAATGAGAGTCTGGATATTGGCTATTCTGAATAAACTGGTATTGGCTATTCTGAATAAGCCTGCTTTGAACTTTCTTCTCACAAGAGATTTTGAGGGCATCTGTTTTCGTGTCTCTTGGGAAAACCTGGGTGCCGAATTGCTGGTACCAAAGAGTGGGATATGGGCAAGTTCATAAAAAATGACAAAACGTCCCAAAGTAGTTGTGTCATTTTACATTTCCACCAATGACGTGTGAGAGTTGTGGTTGTTCTTCATCTTCTCCAAGATTGGGTGTTTCCTCTCCCTATAAATTTAGCCATGCTACTGGGAGTTATAGTGGTGTCTCAGTGTGGTCTTAATTTCCATTTTCCTGATAACTAAACATATTGTATGTGCTTTATTGACCATGTGTGTACCTTTTATTCTTATGTATCTGTTCAAGTCTTTTACCCTTCTAGCATACTTGGGTTGATTATTTTTTGTTTTTGTTTTGTTGTTGTTGTTTTCGTTACCAGGTAAGAAGATCTCACCATACATTATAGTTACAGGGTTTGGGGGTCAGATAGGTTTTGTGACTATTTTCTCCCTGAGGCTGATTCATTTTTTCAAGTTCTTTGTGGCATCTTTTGATGAGAAGATATGGCTAATATTGATGAAGTCTAATTTATCAAGTCTTTCCTTTATACATTTTTTTTCTGTGCCCTGTTTAATAAATCTCTGTCTACCAACAAGTCACAAAGTATCCTTGAAATGCTTTATATCTTTAGCTTTTAAGTTTTGGTCTATAATGTGCCTCAAGTTACTTTCAAGTGTAGTGTGAGGGAGAAATAACCTTGTTCATCTCCCCTTTCTTCTTTGTGAAAGTCAATTAATTGAAACTATTTCCTTTGCCCCATTGAACTGCTTTTATTGAAAACCTGTGACTGGTCATGGTGGTTCATGCCTGTAATCCCAGCACTGTGAGAGACAGAGGCTGGTGGATCACTTGAGCCCAGGAGTTGGAGACCAGTCTGGACAACATGGCAAAACCTCATGTCTACTAAAATGCACATGTAGTATGAACTACCTGGGAGGCTGAGGCAGGAGGATTGCATTAGCATGGGAAGCAGAGTTTGCAGTGAGCTGAGATCAGGCCACTGCACTCCAGCCTGGGTGACAGAGTGAGACCCTGTCTCAGAAAACAAAAAGAAATTAACAAACAAACAAAAAACCTATGGACCTTACAGCTGTGGTCAGTTTCAGATCTCCCAAGTCAGTCTGTTGATGTATTTGTGTCTTCCAATGCCGCTTGCATACTGCCTTGTTTATAACAGCTTAGAGTGAGTCTGAATGTCAGGTTGTGCAAGTCCTCTGGTTTTGTTCTTTTTCACACAGCATAATAAGCTTTGAAATAGGTCATAACTTATGTAACCATCACATAGATCAAGATATGCTGTCACTTCATCCCTCTCATTTCAGTGTGGGACACAAGTCTTTGCTCATCTATGCTGATTGCCCCCTTGGGGCCAAGGATCCTTGTTACAGGAAGTAAGGGAACCCAAACAGAGGGACAAGCTGCAGCTGCAGCAGAGGAACATACATTGTGAAGATTTCATCTTAATATACACATTTATCAGTTCTCAAATAATACTTTTATAATTTCTTATGCCTGTCTTTAATCTCTTAATCCTGTTATCTTCATAAGCTGAGGATGTACGTCACATCAGGACCACTGTGATAATTGTGTTAATTGTACAAATTGATTGTAAAACATGTGTGTTTGAACAATATGAAATCAGTGCACCTTGAAAAAGAACAGAATAATAACAATTTTTATGGAACAAGGGAAGACAACCAGAAGGTCTGACTGCCTGTGGGGTCGGGCAAAAAGAGCCATAATTTTCTTCTTGCAGGGGGCCTACTTGGACGTGCAAGTAGGAAACTTATTGCTAAATTCTTTCCCTAGCAAGGAATATTAATATTAATACCCTGGGAAAAGAATGCATCCCTGGGGGGAGGTCTATGAACAGCCACTCTGGGAATGTCTGTCTTGTGCAGTGAGATAAGGACTGAGATAAGCCCTGGTCTCCTGCAGAACCCTCAGGCTTACTAGGGTTAGGAAAACTCAGCTCTGGTAAATTTGTGGTCAGACCGGTTCTCTGCTCTGGAACCCTTTTTTCTGTTGTTTAAGATGTTTATCAAGACAATATGTGCACCACTGAACACAGACCCTTATCAGTGGTTCTGCTTTTGCCCTTTGCCCCGTGATCTTTGTTGGACCCTTATCAGTGGTTCTGCTTTTGCCCTTTGCCCTGTTCCCTCAGAAGCATGTGATCTTTGTTAGACCCTTATCAGTGGTTCTGCTTTTTGCTCTTTGAAGCATGTGATCTTTGTACCTACTCTCTGTTCTTACACACCCTCCCCTTTTGAAACCCTTAATGAAAACTTGGTGGTCTGAGACTCAGGCAGGCATCATGGTCCTACTGATATGTGATGCCACCCCTGGTGGCCCAGCTGCAAAATTCCTCTCTTTGTACTGTCTCTTTATTTTTCAGCCAGCTGACACTTACGGAAAATAGAAAGAACCTACTTTGAAATATTGGGGGTGGGTTCTCCCAATACATCTTCTCTTCTACCCTCTGGAGAGAATGAATCTTCAGTTGTCTGCAGGGAGGATGAACACGCAAAAAGTCCACAACAATCAGCACAGAGTCCAGATTTTAGTGATGGGGTTGGTTGGCCTCACGTTTCAGGCCTTTCAAAATCTTAGAAAAAGTTTTCTTTATTTCTAACTGTGAAATGTACAAAACTTTGGGTCATGTATAATTTCTTCTTCTAGAAAGATCACGGGAGACCTAATGTTTGTGTCCCCCCAAAATACCTTGATTGGAACCCTAACCTTCCCCTGCCCACCCCAGGAAATGTGTTAAAATTATTAGGAGGGGCCTTTGGGAGGTAATTAGATCCAGAGAGTGGAGTCCTCCTGAGTGGGATTAGTGCCCCCATAAAAGGGACACTAGAGAGCTCTTTCCCCCTCTTTCAGCCACCTGAAGACACAGTGGGAAGACGGCAGTCTACGACCAGGAAGAGGTTCCTCACCATAACCCTACCATGCTGGCACCTTGATCTTAGACTTGAAAACTCCAGAACTGTGAGAAATGTCTGTTTAGGATGAGTCACCCAATTTATGGTACATTGTTATAGAAGCTCCAACTAAGAGAGAGACGGAGTCCCATGGAAGGTGTCTAATTTTTGATGCTGGTCATTGCATTCTTCGAATGGGATGTTGCAAATTGGAAACTGAGGGAGAGCTGAACTTTCCTGCATATGAAAGAAGAGAGTGGAGGGGCAGAGATACAGAATGGGGAAGAACAAGTTGGAACCAGAAAACTGATTTCAGGGTCTGGCACTTGAATGTCTGGTTTTGGAGAAAGAGAAGACACTGGTAGGTGTATCCAGAGAAGAAGACCTTCAGTGGAAACAGCAGACATTTAAAAGCCGTTTGATTACATCTTTCACTTGTTTGTATGTAGCCCCTCTTTTCGCGTCTTTGTAAGTGTGGCACAGGTGAACTGGATGTGTTTGTCCAATGTGTTTTTGGAATGCACGTGCAAATAAAAATGACTGTGTCATACTTCAAATATTCATCCCGGAACCTCCTAGAGTTACCTTAGGTTCTGCCAACTGTACATTGAAAGTACAACAGGCCGATCGTGGGGATTAATTTTCATTGCACATTTCTAGGAAGAGGAAGGAGGAGGAGGGAGAATGTGACAGTCTCAACAACAGTAGCTACACTCTTATGGAAGTGGTTTTCCTATGTGATTCTCAACAGATCGGCCCTTTCTTCAAATAAGAGCAGTTGGAACAACAAAAGCTGTTTAGTTGTACCCTTGGAATCCACGGAAATCCTGGGTAGGGACCTCCAGTACCACCAACTGGAAAGACTGCGGATGCCTAGTAGCTGGTACTGGCAGTTGTCGTAGGCTTTGTCCACTTTGACAAACTGAAGACGGAGACTCGACTCACCTTCGCCAGCCACGGGAGGACCTCCAGACGAGGTTAGGTCGACTTCATGGTAACTTTAGATCCTGAAACCTCACAGGATTTTTCTTCTCTTCCCTTTGATCTCTCTTCCGCTTACTCAACAGAACGGGACTCGCCACCTTTCTTTCCCGTCAGAAAGGGATCCCTTGCGGACAGGACCGAAGTGAATAGCTGCTTTCCCTTACGTGTCCTTCTGGGCCTGGGTGTCTCGGGAGCTGAGGCTGACCGGAGACCTAATTACCGGCGAGTGGGACCAGCAGGAGCCTGGAGGGGCGCGCACCGGGGTGGAGGTTTGGCGCTGGGGGTCGAGAACAGCAGTCAAACCCTCTTCTTCCCCGCGCAGCGAGCACCTGTTCCCCCTCCCCATGCCGAAGGAAGTGGCCCCTAAGGCTTCTCTGCAGACCCAACGGAAACAGGCCTGAAGCTCCAGGAGGGCGAGGGGATCCTCTTTGAGCGAAACCAGCCTTCTGCCTGGCTGGCCCTGGTCAACAAACTCGGAAGAGGCCGATTTGGCGGACAGAACGGAAGAAAAGACCTAAAGGTAGAATCTCATGATGTCGAGATGTTAAAACCCTCCAATTTTAAGGTCCGACTGTGCGGGGGGAGCGAGGGGGTCTCGAGCTGGATCGACCCCTGAGCCTTCATCTGGAGAGTCCTCTGCACAAGCTCAGAGGGCAGGACTATGAGCACCAGTGGTTCTCAATAGGCGGCAACTTCACCCTCAGACTACTCCCCCATCCCCGCTGGGACACTAGGCCAGACTAGGGGAAGCCCGGAGGGAGAATGTTAACCCCTGGCATCTATCTAGTCAGCGGAGGCGAGGGATGCTGCTAAACACCTTACAATCCACCGGAGGGCCCCTCCCCCACCCCTAAGTGGCCATTCCGCCGAGGTGGAGAAATTCGCGTGTAGATCAATGCCCACGCACTTGGCCGACGGGAAATCACGAATTGGTGACCAATTGGATTTTGGATTTGAGGAAAAAACTCCAGCGTCAGAGGGAACTCTAGGAGTTTTGCCTGGAGCATAAGGAAGGGTAGCGTTGCCGTCGCCTAAGATGGGAAAATGGCAGGTGTCGCAGGTTGCAGGGGAAGGTCAGAGAGCAGTTGAGGGCCCCGGAGCCCCCCTGGAAAGTTTTCCATCCAGCTCGTCTCGGTTTCCACATCCGTGTGAGTCCTTTATGATGTCGGGGTTGCCAAGGTCTGAGTCCTTTATGATGTGCGGGGTGCCCCGTTCTCACCCCGGGAGCCTCCTCGCTCCTGCCTGTTCTGGCTACCCGGTGCGCGACTCTGGCCCTGGCCACCAGCGACTGTTTCTCCATGCGCTGCCGCTTCGCAAAGGCACATTTCTAGGTCAGTGGTCAGGTGCAGCCTGGACGCTGCAACTCGCTCCAGGACTCGGGACTCGTGGCCTTGGTGGGCCTCGCAGAGTACTGGGTGCGTCGCCTCCGGGCTCCTCTTTTGGAGAAAGGAGGGAGGGAAAGGCCTTGTGAGACGACTCCAGGAGCGACCAACGACCCCCACAAGGCCCAAGTCCTCCCAGCGCACAGGGAAACAGTCACTTATATGGCAAGAAGGTTGAGAAAGACCCTCCCGTGCCCCCGTGCTGGTCTAGTGGCTATGATTCAGCTCTTTCACCACCGCATCCCGGGTTCAATTATCGGTCAGAGAATTGTTTTGCACTGACTGCACACCCGCAGTAATTTTTCTTTACTCCGCTGTCAGCCAGCCTGCTCCAAGGGCCAGAGGCAGAACAGTCTCTCTGCTAGGTGCAAACCCTGGCAAAGGAGGGCAAGTCCTGGTGGACGGCCTCTCATGACACACTGCTCTTATTTATCTCCGTGTCATCCGCAGAAGTTGCTTTAGAGAGAGACTGAGCGTCTCCCTCAGGTGTTCACCGCTGTGCAGGGATGCCAGCCTTCGTGGAGCTGCACCCAAGAAGCCCACCGTCTCCGCCGTCCCGGAGGCGCCGATTGGGCAGAGCTGCAAATAACTAAGAGAGAGGCCAAGCCAAGTCCTGGCGTTTGTGCGTGTCACACGTTGTCAGCTGACACAGGCGGTCAGCTGAGCCTCCTCACCTCCGTTCGCAGCTAACGTGCTTCTTAGGCCTTACGAAGAGGCGACCGGAGGCGATGTCCGCAAGGTTGGGAGGGGGGTGAGCAGCAGGTGAGCGGCGGGTGAGGTCCTCCAGGACCGCCCTTTTGTTGATTGAGTGGTAGAGGGGGACGATGTTCACTTATCCAACAAAGACAGCAGGTGGAGTAGACACAAATGGAAAACTGTGGCCGGTGTTCTAAGCAGAAGGCAGGTGTAAAAATCACTAGGACGTCAAAGCGATGGTACCACAGTCAAATCCCACAATGTCCGTCTACACACTACCAAGGAATTGCGCACGCTCCTCCCTTTTCTATTCAGTATTCCCAAGAAGGGTTGGGGACGAACCCCCTGTCCACTGTAAGCTCAGAGGGGAGCCGGGGCGAGGGAGGTGAAGTGCACAGACTGGGCAGAGGCGGTGGGTAGAAGCGCTGGGGTGAGAGGGCGCGGTGGCTGCGGGGCGGGATCCGCTGCTGAAAGGACGGCTGGGTTGTCTTGTAGGTGACTGTCCGTGGAATCTTTGGCGGAGAGTGGTTTGGAAGAATGGCGCCGGCCAAGCAGAGGGGAAGGTGGTGACCCTGAGCCTGCGGCTACGGGACAGGAGGCTGTACTGTCCCTCCTCTCCTCTTACCTGGCGGGGGACAGACCGTGGTCAGGAAGGGGGTTCTCCCTGGATGAGGCTAGTCCACCGCACTGCGGCTGCACTGGCTCTGCGATTTCCCCACAAGCGGGGCCCTTGTCTGCGGTGGTGTTCGTGCTACCCGGGGGCTGGGTTCGCACTCTCTCCTGACATACCTTGGCTCACCGCCGACGCGGTGACCCTTCGCCAGAGACCCTTCGCCGCCCTCCTAGGGATCTTGAGGGCCTTCCTTGTTGTTCTCACCGAAGCTTACAAACAGACAGATGTGAGCTCTCTGTTTTACACGCTGAATTTGGCAATTGGCAAAAAAGCCTGACCCGTAGCTTGAGTCTCCTCCGGGCCTGCACACGACTTCCCGACTCCTGCCTCCTAGCGTGGCTCTTGGCTCGCGGGCAGGCAGCCTCCACCCAGCTTGGAACCGTTGCAGCCGCAGCCCCCGCAGGCTGGCGGTCAGACACTAGCAGGAAAAGGGACATAAGGCGTCCGTGGTGGGAAAGCATGGGAGACGTCGCTTTCCCACCGGGTGAGAAGGTCTCCCTACATTCTTTGGAGACAGGATGGAGGGAGGCATCCCTTCCAGGACCAAGGCGGCTGCTCCTGAGGCCTGGCTCCGCACGGAGGCTCTTGGGTCCCGCGCGCCCTCTCCTACCCGCGGTAGCAAGAGCTGCTTCACAAATCTCAGCCGGCTTCCTCTTCCGCCTCTGCCTCCTCTTCCGCCTCTGCCTCCTCTTCCTCCCCAGCCGTCCTTGGGACAGCAAAGCCCCCAGCCCATGGGAAAGACTTAGCCTCCTCTCCAGCACTTGGAGAGGGAGTTGGATGCGCTTCTCCTAACCCCAGGAGGACAGAGACCCTGAGGCAGGAGGGGACCCCTTCCCTTGCCAGGAGAGGGTAAGGAAGGGAGTCAAGGACATGATTTTCTTCAGCAAATAGTATAAGGGGAAATCTGAGGACACTAAGAGTTTTTAAAACCTTTGCCCCATCACATAAGTAATCTATGATTTTTCCGTTACACAAATCAGCACTCCCACTCCTCCCTCCTTCCCCACCCCCAATCCTGATTCCTGTTTACAAAGAATGCTCAAAAACACAGAATTATGTATAACAGTTCCCAGTTTACTCAAGAAATTCTGAGATTACAAAGAGACTGTACAAATAAACAAGTGAAGAGAAGAACCTTGGTGGGTCCAACATTGTATGGCCATGGTTTTATACTCAAAATATAGAAAGACAACCTCAGAATAAAGAAATTTTTGGAATTGAATAAATCAAGTTTATCATCAGAATGCAGAGAAAAAAAAAACTCTCCAAATGTTGCTGATCTTCTGTTTTAAACTACTGTTAGACTGGGGAGCGGGAGAGCAAGGGAATCCGCCAAAGATTTTTGGATGAAAATTCACCACTCCTTGTCTACCATAGTCACACCCCAATGCCCCTCAGATCGGAATCCTTTGGAAGGAGAATCCAAGAGGTATAAAGCAAAACCAGAAAAAAAACAAAACTCGCAAATTCTGTAGTTCGTTTTCTCTCATTAAAAATATAACTATCAGGCTAACACCTGTTGACACACAATACCAGGGACACAGAATCCCTCCCGGAAGACCCACTGGCCCACGGAAGGCGCAGATGCCAAGGTGGCATACCTCTGCGTGAGACTGTCTCCGCCGAGGCCCTCATCTCTATGCGGATACCTCCCCACACGCTTCCCTTTTCCTTGGGCAGCTGAAGCCTCTCCGACCAACCACCAAAAAGTCTCCCTGGACCCCGCAGCTTCTCTCCTTCCGGGACCTTCTTGATCTTCGCTCCATAGTGACACGTGGCCTAAGGTAGTGGAAAGCCCAGCACGCGAATCCGTCTGATGGCCTTTGGGTTACCCAGGGGTTTGCCCCGGAGACTAGATGAAAGTAGCAAAGGTTTTAATTCCCAGTATTGAAAACTACAGCAACCTACTGGAAACACTCCTCACTTTCAAGGACAGGCTTCGAGCACAGGAACTGTAAATCCCGGGATTAGTTCGAGCACAGAGAATGCTCCAGAGGTGGCACGCCCCTCAGGTTAACTTGTAGCTGCCACGACCAAGGTCCATAAATGCAGTACAGCCTGGGTAATATAATAACTTTGTTGGGTAGAAAGGTAGTAGCCCTTCCTGCCTGAAGGGTAAGAAGGCCTGCATGGCCGCGAGTCGGACCGAGTCTCCCGCGTGGGAGAAAAAAATTCTGCTGCTGAACTACCAATCCACCACCAGCAGCGGTTTCACCAGATCTAATTTTGAAGAGTCTCTGGAAGAACTCTGAAACAGAGGTTCTAAAAAAGGTTTGCATAGGAAATTCATCCAGGCCTTTGTCTCTGGTCCCAGATCTGGTGAAAACTTCTGGAAATTTCATTTCTTCACTGATGAGGTAACCTTTTTGCCAACTCCTGCCTTGGTGCTTTCCAAACACTTGCCTCCCAACCCTGAGACAAACTGGCTTTCAAAGACCCAGGAGCTGGAGATTTAGGGATGTGTCCAGGTTACTCCAAAAGATCTGTGGGATGATCGAGCTTCTCTTCATCTACACCTCTTTTGAGTCATTTGAAAAAGCCCAGTATCTTGTTTCTAAACTCATGTTTTTAAGAAACCTACAAAAGTGGGAGTGAGTGAAAGTTCACTCCAATATTTCTTTTTTCAACCACACTCTCTTTGGCCACTCCAGGAGGCTATGTCGAGTGGCACAGTCATCCCAGGGACCCAGAGCTTTTCTCCTCAGATGCGTCTTTGGAGTCTCTAGTAAAGTCCAAGAATCAAAATGACTGTCATCCAAACTTTTATGTCTTACAGAGATCTACACAAGAGAGAAAGTGAAAATTTGACTCCAAAATTTCTTCCCTTGGCAAACAGTGGAAGGTTTAGGGCAAGCCTTTGCTTCAAGTGCCTGTTGCTTTGTTAGCTCTGTTTTCCAAAAATATCTGTGTCAGCCTATTATAGAACTTTCCCACCTCCATCCTCCCTGACCCCTCATGCCTGCCTATACCACCAGAGATTCTCTTTTTGAAAAAACAAAGCAAAACAAAACAAAACAAACAAACAAAAATCATGAGAGGTTATACCACATGGAGCATTGATGGTTCAGTAATAGAATTGCCAACTCCCACGCTGGAGACTGGGGTTCAACTCATAGGGTGAATGCATCTCATGTCTGAATCTCCTCTTGCTCCCTTCTTTCTTTCCTCCCTCCCAAGCTTACATATCTTTGTTACTGGCTGGTGTTGTGAAGTCCCAGGTTCTTGGTGTCTCAAACAAAGAATTGGCTGTGACACACACACACACATGTAGCAAAGCAGCAAAAGACTTATTAAGCACAGTAACACTCTCAGAGAGGGGAGAACAGGCTAACTTCTGCAAAATGAGATCAGCATCAGTTTGGTGAACTTTGGGCTTTGGGTCTTTTTATATATATATTTTTTCTCCTTTTCCTGGGGCTGCCTAATCTCTACCCAGCATGTGCCTTCTGATTGATAGGTGGGTTGCTTAGTTATTTGGCCCCAGTGTGCTTCCCGGTCACCTCCATCCCATAATTTTAAGTACACCCATGATATGCAGTCCATATGCATTAGCTTTAATGAGCTGATTATCATACGGGGTCATTTTAAGCCTACTTTTTCTCTCCCATACCCATGCCTATCTCTGAGGAGCTGCCTCTTACTGGTTTGCTCTGGATCCTGCCAGCCATAAGCTTTTACTCACTACTCCATCTCACTTTTGTTTTCGCTGCTCAACTTCTGCTTATCTTGCTTCTTGCTCACCCACCTTTTTTTTTTTAATGAAGTTCTAGGGTACATGTTCACAATGTACAGGTTTGTCACATATGTATACATGTGCCATGTTCGTGTGCTGCACCCATTAACTCGTCATTTACTTAGGTATATCTCCTAATGCTATCCCTCCCCCCTCCCCCCACCTCATGACAGGCCCCGGCGTGTGATGTTCCCCTTCCTGTGTCCAAGGGTTCTTAGTGCTCAATTCCCACCTGTGAGTGAGAACATGCGGTGTTTGGTTTTTTGTGAGAATGATGGTTTCCAGCTTCATCCATGTCCCTACGAAGGACATGAAATCATCCTTTTTTATGGCTGCATAGTATTCCATGGTGTATATGTGCCACATTTTCTTAATCCAGTCTATCACTGATGGACATTTAGGTTGGTTCCAAGTCTTTGCTATTGTGAATAGTACCACAATAAACATACGTGTGCATGTGTCTTTATAGCAGGATGATTTATAATCCTTTGGGTATATACCCAGTAATGGGTTGGCTGGGTCAAATAGTATTTCTAGTTCTAGATCCTTGAGGAATTGCCACACTGTCTTTCACAATGGTTGAACTAGTTTACAGTCCCACCAACAGTGCAAAAGTATTCCTATTTCTCCACATCCTCTCCGGCACCTGTTGTTTCCTGACTTTTTAATGATTGCCATTCTAACTGGTGTGAGATGGTATCTCATTGTGGTTTTGATTTGTGTTTCTCTGATGACAAGTGATGATGAGCATTTTTTCATGTGTCTGTTGGCTGCATAAATGTCTTCTTTTGAGAAGTGTCTGTTCATATCCTTTGCCCAGTTTTTGATGGGGTTGTTTGTTTTTTTCTTGTAAGTTTGTTGAGTTCTTTCTAGATTCTGGATATTAGCCCTTTGTCAGATGAGTAGATTGCAAAAGTTTTCTCCCATTCTGTAGGTTGCCTGTTCACTCTGATGATATATATATATATATTTTTTTTTTTTGCTGTGCAGAAAGTCTTTGTTTTAATTAGATCTCAGTTGTCTATTTTGGCTTTTGTTGCCATTGCTTTTGGTGTTTTAGACATGAAGTCCTTGCCCATGCCTATGTCCTGAATGGTATTGCCTAGGTTTTCTTCTAGGCTCACCCACCTTTTTAACCTGCTTCTGCTCCTACTCAGTTCACTCTTTATCCAACTTCCACTTCCCTCTGCTGCTCTCCTGCCTCACCTTGACTCTTCGTTGCTTTGCCTATTGCACACTGAATTTACTGCAAATAAAACTCTCTCTGAAGAGGATGCTGCTGTGTACTGCATCGTGCATCCTCCATCTTCTACTCCACCTGTGGAGTTCCATGGTATGAGCAGTAGAGTAGCAGGAGCTGGAGCAGAGGTGGTGTTGGGTGAAACTCACACAGTGAAATTTCACTTATGCAAATGCTCAAGCACTTGTGAGAGGTTAGAATTAGCTCTTTCTTTGGAATGAGCTATTTCAGTGCGATGTTAAAGTGTAAGCTCTTTCACCAAATAAATATTTATGTGCTCAGGGTGAGTGAAAGAAAGGGGTAAATAAGGATTAGTGCTGCAGGGTCAGAGCTAATGACACAAGCTTCTCTCCTCAGGCCTATTCATTTGAGATACATCTCAGGCACTTAAGCACAGCAATGCTAAGTTGGTGCCAATTATATACATACACACATATAAATATATAGAAAGCATATAATATAAATATTACATATGTAAATATAAATTGTAGCAATAAAATCAACACCAAGCTTGTTTTTAAACATTCACTCAAAATACATTGAACAGCTACTGTGCAGTGTTGGGACTGCTTAGAAACTTAAGACAAAATACTGGGCGTGATAGTGTGTGCCTGTAGTCCCAGCTACTCAAGACGCCTAGGCAAGAGGATAGCTTGAATTCAAGAGTCCAAGTGCAGCCTGGGCAACATAGTGAGATTCAGTCTTTTTTTTTTTTTTTTTCTGAAATGGAGTCTCACTCTGTGGCCCAGGCTGGAGGGCAGTGGCACAATCTTGCCTCACTGCAACCTCCACCTCCTGGGTTCAAATGATTCTCCTGCCTCATCCTCCTGAGTAACTAGGATTACAGGCATGCACCACCACACTCAGCTGATTTCATATTTTTAGTAGAGATGGGGTTTCACCATGTTGGCCAGGCTGGTCTCGAATTCCTGACCTCAAGTGATCCACCCACCTTGGCCTCCCAAAGTGCCGGGATCACAGGCATGAGCCACCATGCCCAGCCAAGACCCAGTCTTTAAAATAATGACATAAAATAAACACATAAACCTCAAACAAACAAAACACAAACTATGATTTCAATCATTCTGAAGCTCTTGATCTAGTAGATGAGTTATATATATATATATATATATGCCAAAAATATTACAATTTCAGAGAAGTGTTATAGGGTCTAATGTTTAATAACTTCTGGCATTTGACTGATGGTTTTCAAAGCTCTTTCCCCATTTTCCAGGTGGCATAAAGTAAGGCAAGTTATTTAGTATTTACTAAATTTGGGCTTCTTCATATGCAAGGGGATTATGATAATAATACTTACCTTGAGAGGACAGTATGAGGACTAAACAAAATTGTGTATTTATAGCTTTGGCCAATCCCCATACACACTGAGCGCTCAACCAGGTGTTAGCGACCAGATTTTAAATTTTTAATTATGTTTATAGTTTTTAAGGTAACATTTACATTCATTGAATGTTAACTGAATGTTTTTGATGAAAGAATACACTTAAGTAATTCATACCCCTATCAAGACAGACCATTTTTAGCACCCAGAAATTTCTCTTGTGTACCTTCCCAGTGAATCCCCTGCTAGAAGGAACTGCTGTTATGATTTTCTCACCACAGATTAATTTTGCCTTTTCTGGAATTTCAAATAAATGGGATGGTATGCACTCTTTTGTGTCATTTATTTATCTTCAGATACTTTAAAATAAAAAGGTCCAATTGGGGATGTAGTAAAAACCTCCTTCCCACCAGTAGCCACCAGTCAAGATTCTTTCCCTCTCTCTCTTTTTTTTTTTGACAGGATCTTGCTCTGTCATCCAGGCTGGAGTGCAGTGGCATGATCATGGCTCACTGCAGCCTCTCAACCTTCTGGGCTCAAGCAATCCTCCCACCTCAACCTCCCAAATAGCTGGGACTACAGGTGTCCACCAAGCCCAGCTAATTTTGCTTATATTTTGTGTAGAGACAGGGACTCACGAAGTTGCCCAGGCTAATGTCAAACTCCTGAGCTCAAATGATCTGTCGGCCTTGGCCTCCCAAAGTGCTTGGATTACAGGCATGAGCCACTGTTCCTGGCTTGGTCTTCCTCCCTTGAAGCAACCAATATTATTAGTTTTATGTGGACCATCCCATGGCTATCATTATTAATTCAGGTGTTTATACAATGCTCTCTGAGAACTCAGTTTTAAAGATTACCCAAAGAATCCCTGCGACAACCCAGCCTAAAATGATACAAAATCAGTTTTAATATAACTGAAGTTTTTAGATTCTGACTCTAAATATTAGATTGTGACATTTTACCTTTCTCTGACTTTATGCCAAATTTACTTCAACTTCTAACATCGATCGTTCTCATTTATGAACAAATATGTATTTCACAAATGTGGAAATACAAGCATGAGCCAAACAAAACCAAATCCTGGACTTATGGAGCTGATGGTAAAAAATTCCCCAACATAACCACTCGATTACAGTTTTATGCAATGTGATAAGAGTAAGGGACCACTGTAGGGAGGTCAGAAGTTGCCTCTCAGAGGTGGAGACTACAGCTGTTGTCAGAATGATGAGGGTTGGAAGAATCTTCAGGCACAGAGCAAAGCATGAGCAAAAGCTCTGTGGAGTCCAGGAAGCTGGGTAAATAGGCAATAAAAGAGGCCAGTTTGGCTGGAGCAGAGAGAAAAGAATGGAATTGGTCTGACCTGTGAGAAGAGGTGGAGAGGTGGGCAAGGTGCCTGGCCATTCAGGGCTTGGTTAGTTAGGAGGTTTTGTCTAAGAGAATGGGAAGGTGCTTAAGTGGTTTGGGCTGGGAAGTGACAGGGTTCACATTATATTTTGAAAAAGCCACTCTGCCTGTTGTGTTGAGATTAGAGAGGCGATAAAGGGGATATGGGTAAACCACAGGGAGACTAGGTCAGTAGTCCCTCCACCCCCACTCCCCAGGTGAAGGTAGCCTAGACTAGGGTGGTGATGGAGGAGACAGAAGAGGACAGATTCAAGGAAAATTTGGAAGGTAAAAACCAGTAGGATTTGCTGATGGATGGAATACAGGAGGGGAGAGGTAGATTATCAGGGATGTATCTTAGTTTTCTTATAGAAGATGGATTCAATTGCAAAAGATATTGTTAATTGAAATTTACTTTAAATAATGGCACGACCTAAAGTTATGCAAACATTTGCCTTAGATAAAATTTCAAGTTTTCAAAGTTTTTAGCTGGGTGGACGGCATGGCTTTACTTCGTATGTCTTGGTATTTCCTAATCTTGTTGAAAAAAAAAAGTTTTTCTTTTTCTCAAAGGCTTATTTCAGTGGAAGCCCATCTGCGAAATGTGTTATAAATTTAAATTAGAAAATACAAGTGCCATCGACACGTTGGTTACTGTTTTTGCGAGTGACCTAAGGCCACCTCTCGGGGGAGCTGGGGCTGCCTTCTGAAGCCTGCGGGTCTGCGGCCCGAGCCTGCAAGTCAGACTTTGGGGCGGTGCGGAAGGGCGAGGCCTGGAGTCCTAAACGCCCGGTAGCTCCCGGCTCCAGAGGGGGTGTGTCTCCCGCCTCTTTAACCTGGCAGGGGCGCTTCCAGTGGCCGGGGAAATCAGCGAATTGCAGGGTCAAGGGCTGGTGCTTTGAAAAAGAGGGGGAGGAGAGGGATTTCCCCGTCCCCACTGCACTCTGTCCTCCGTTACTCGTTTTCTCAGCCCCTGCGGCCCCTAACCTGCTCCAACCCGTTGTGCGGTAGAGGCGGCCGTGTCCTTTTAAGTCTCTGCTACGCCTGCGCTGGGCGGCGGTAGAGACAGCGGCGGTGCTGGGAGGGGTAGGTGAGGGTCGCGAGGCTGCCTGAGCTTCTAAGTGAGCCTGATGCTTTTGGGAACGCGGAACGGGCGACCTGCGGTGCCAGGAGCGAAGCCGAGGCACCGCGCCGCTGCCGCCTGGATGGGAAGTTAAGGTTTACTGCGAAGTCCACCCAGCGTTCCGAGGTGAGGGCGCCGCGCCAGGTCAGGCGGGCGGCGAGTCTGGGACCTGCGGGCGCACAGCTGGGCTGAGGCGCGGCACGCGGGGGCCCCCGCAAGTTTTGCCACGCGAGTGGGGCTGACGCGCCGGGCCCCACCGGGGCTACTTTCCCTGCGCTGGATTCCTCGCTTGCGGCTGCCGCCCGCAGCCTCCTCTCATGGGCGCTGGGGAAGAAACTCGCTGGCGGGTGTTCTGTGGCATCCCAGGGGGTGGAGGAACGGAGCAGCTTGGGGGGCACGTCCTCGGAAGTCCTGTGGAGCACACTGACCCCGCACCCCACCCTCGTGGCGGTTTCTTCTGGGAACCTGAGGGGCAAGAGTGCTCGCGCCCCTGACTTGCAAAGCTGGGGTCTTTATTGGCCTCAGGGATTGTGCTCCTGGCGGTGTCTCCAGGCTGGTGATGGGCAAGCCAGGTGTACCAGGTCCAGGATGCACGTAAGGAGCGTTTGTAGCCATCACTGAATCACCTCATGACTAGCGGGACAAGCCTCAAATTCACAGCAGGATTTCTGGTAGGTTGGACTGTGGTGTTGGTGTTTGCAGTCCAAAGAGTTGCTGTGATTTTCCTGTGCCTGTCTGTCTGTCTTTCTTTCCTTGAGGCTTCTTAGATCATCTCATTTGGCGTCCTTTCACCCAAGAGTTAACCAAGACTTTTGGAATGGTTTCCTCGCTTTCCTCCTACCTTTTGCTGGTGGAGCTGCTTTCGAAAAGAAGCACTTTAAGAGGCTGACGTGGCGGATCATGAGGTCAGGAGATTGAGACCATCCTGGCTAACACAGTGAAAACCCGTCTCTACTAAAAATACGAAAAATTAGCAAGGCGTGGTGGCGGGCGCGTGTAGTCCGAGCTACTCGGGAGGCTGAAGCACAAGAATCGCTTGAACCCGGGAGGCGGAGGTTGCAGTGAGCCGAGGTATCTTGTCACTGCACTCCAGCCTGGGCGACAGAGCGAGACTCCCTCTAAAAAAAAAAAAAAAAAAGAAAAAAGAAAAAAAAAAAAGGCCTTTTCTTGCAGTGGTATCTTTTCTTTGAGTTACAGTGTTGTTCATCCTTTCTTTGCCGAAAGAATGAATCCCAGTGCTTCACGAAGTTAAAGAAAACTGATGTGCTCGTAGTTTTTAATCTTTGTTCTGAGGTGATATGCATTAATAACTTTCTTTTTGTTTTTAAATTTAATTAGTAAAATTTCACCAGTGAACCAAAAGCTTTTTTTTTCTATTCTAAAATCCTAGCTTTAAGATTTCTGAGAACTTCGTGTCAAAGAAATCTTCGAAAAGTTACTGAAGAATACAGAGGAAGTTCACAATTTTAAATGTGCAGGTGGTCTGGGTGTGGTAGATCACACCTGTAATTCCAGCATTTCGGGAGGCCAAGGTGGGCGGATGACTTGAGCCCAGGAGTTCCAGACCAGCCTGGGTAAAATGCCATCTCTACTAAATATACAAAAATTAACTGCGTGGTCAAAAGAGCCCGGGAGGTTGATATTGCAGTGAGCGGTGATCACGTCAGTGCACTCTGGCCTGGATGGCAGAGTGCGACCCTGTCTCAAAAAAAAAAAAAAAAAAAAGTACAGGTCATGAGTTTTTACTAAATGAACCACCACAGATTAAGAAATAGAACATTACTGTATTGGGGTGTATATGTAGGAGTGGCATTGTTGGTTTTAGAGCTATATGAATGATAAAACTTTAGTATTACGTATTGCCGAACATTTTCCCAAAGTAGTTTTACCAATTAGCAGGGAATATTCCAGTTACCCCACATCCTTGCTGATGCTTGTCAGTTAAAAATTATTTTGTTATTCTAGTAGAGGTACAGTAATATATCAATGTGGGTTCAACTTCCATTTTCCTGGTATTGAGATTGAGTATCTTTTATTGCCATTTATGTGTCCTCTTTTATGAAGTGACTGTTTAATCTTTTTATCCAGTTTTCATTGATATGATTTTCTGTTGATTTGTAATACTTTATTCTGGATATGCCTCCTTTCTAGGATATATATGAATCGCATTTCTCTTTTTTCAAATTGCAGCTTGTGTTTTCACTCTTTTAATGGTGTTTTCTCATGAATGGAGATTCTCTAAATTGTTTTTCTTTTTGAGACAAGATCTCACTCTATTGCCCAGGCTGGAGTGCAGTGGTACAATCACAGCTCAGTGCAACCTCGACCTCCCAAGGCTCAGGTGATCCTCCTGCCTCAGGCCCTAAGTAGCTGGGACCTACAGGAGACCACCACCATGCTTAGCTGTTTTTTGTATTTTTAGTAGACATGGGGTTTTGCCATGTTGCATAGGCTGGTCTGGAATTCCTGGGCTCAAGTGATACACCTGGCTCGGCCTCCCAAAGTGTTGAGATTACAGGCATGAGCCACTGCACCTGGCGGAGTTTCTTAATTTTAATGAAATTATGCTTTATCAATATTTTCCTTTACGGTTACTGCTTTTTGTGTCCTGTTTAAGAAATCAGTGCCTAGTCTAAGAGTATGAACACATTTTTCTGTTAGCCTTAATGAAATATACTCTTATTAATCTTTTCCTTTATGGTTACTGCTTATTGTGTCCTGTTTAAGAAATCAATGCCCGGCCAGGCGCGGTGGCTCACACCTGTAATCCCAGCACTTTGGGAGGCCTAGGCAGGTGGATCACGAGGTCAGGAGTATGAAACCAGCCTGGCCAACATGGTGAAACCCCGTCTCTACTAAAAATACAATAATTAGCCAGGTGTGGTGATGGGCACCTGTAATCCCAGCTACTCAGGAGGCTGAGGCAGGAGAATTGCTTGAACCCGGGAAGCGGAGTTTGCAGTGAGCCAAGATTGTGCTACTGCACTCCGGCCTGGTTGACAGAGCAAGACTCTGTCTTGTACAAAAAAGAGACAGACAGACAGAAAGAAAGAAAGAAAGAAAAAGAAAGAAAAAAGAAATCAATGCCTAGCCTAAGAATATGAACTCATTTTTATATATTAATCTTGTAGCAATTTTATTTTAGTTTTTGCATTTTTTTTTTGAGACAGGGTCTCACTCTATTGCCCAGGCTGGAATGTGGTGGCATAATCTCAGCTCACTGCAACCTCCACCTCCTGGCTTAAGCAATCCTCCCACCTCAGCCTCCTGAGTAGCTGTGACTATAGGCATGTGCTGTCATGCCTGGCTAATTTTTGTATTTTTTGTAGCGATGGGGATTCAACATGTTTCCCAGGTTGGTCTTGAACTCTTGGGCTCAAGTAGTCTGCTTGCTTCAGCCTCCCAGAGTGCTGGGATTATAGGCATACACAACCGTGCCCAGCTAATTTTTTATTTTTTGTAGACGTGGTCTTCCTATCGTGCCCAGACTAGATTCAAACTCCTGGGCTCAGTTGATTCTCCCACCTTGGCATCCTAAAGTGTTGGGATTACAGGTGTGAGCCATCACATCTGGCCATTTTAGTTTTAATAATTTCTATATTTTTTCTAATTTAAAACAGGTGCTAAAATGTCTTACAGCTATTATTTGTAAATATAGTATTCATTATTATTTTTTTTTTTTTTATTAAGAAAAATCCTTTTACTTACAATCTTTCCATATCTTTTTTTTTTTTTTTTTTTTTTTATTGATCATTCTTGGGTGTTTCTCGCAGAAGGGGATTTGGCAGGGTCATAGGACAATAGTGGAGGGAAGGTCAGCAGACAAACAAGTGAACAAAGGTCTCTGGTTTTCCTAGGCAGAGGACCCTGCAGCCTTCCGCAGTGTTTGTGTCCCTGGGTACTTAAGATTAGGGAGTGGTGCTGACTCTTAAGGAGCATGCTGCCTTCAAGCATCTGTTTAACAAAGCACATCTTGCACCGCCCTTAATCCATTTAACCCTGAGTGGACACAGCACATGTTTCAGAGAGCACAGGGTTGGGGATAAGGTCACAGATCAACAGGATCCCAAGGCAGAAGAATTTTTCTTAGTACAGAACAAAATGAAAAGTCTCCCATGTCTACTTCTATCCACACAGACCCGGCAACCATCCGATTTCTCAATTTTTTCCCCACCCTTCCCGCCTTTCTATTCCACAAAACCGCCATTGTCATCATGGCCCATCCCCAATGAGCCGCTGGGCACACCTCCCAGACGGGGTCGTGGCCGGGCAGAGGGGCTCCTCACTTCCCAGTAGGGGCGGCCGGGCAGAAGCGCCCCTCACCTCCCGGATGGGGCGGCTGGCCGGGCGGGGGGCTGACCCCCCCACCTCCCTCCCGGACGGGGCGGCTGGCCGGGCGGGGGGCTGACCCCTCCACCTCCCTCCCGGACGGGGCGGCTGGCCGACCCCCCCCCCGCCGCCTCCCTCCCGGACGGGGCGGCTGGCCGGGCAGAGGGGCTCCTCACTTCCCAGTAGGGGCGGCCGGGCAGAGGCGCCCCTCACCTCCCGGACGGGGCGGCTGGCCAGGCGGGGGGCTGATCCCCCCACCTCCCTCCCGGACGGGGCGGCTGGCCGGGCGGGGGGCTGACCCCCCCACCTCCCTCCCGGACAGGGCGGCTGGCCGGGCAGGGGGCTGACTCCCCCTCCCCCCTCCCGGACGGGGCGGCTGGCCGGGCGGGGGGCTGACCCCCCCCCACCTCCCTCCCGGACGGGGCGGCTGGCCGGGCGAGGGGCTGACCCCCCACCTCCCTCCCGGACTGGGCGGCTGGCCGGGCGGGGGGCTGATCCCCCCACCTCCCTCCCGGACTGGGCGGCTGGCCGGGCAGAGGGGCTCCTCACTTCCCAGTAGGGGCGGCCGGGCAGAGGCGCCCCTCACCTCCCGGACGGGGCGGCCGGCCGGGCGGGGGGCTGACCCCTCCACCTCCCTCCCGGACGGGGCGGCTGGCCGGGCAGAGGGGTCCTCACTTCCCAGTAGGGGCGGCCAGGCAGAGGCGCCCCTCACCTCCCGGACGGGGCGGCCGGCCGGGCGGGGGGCTGACCCCCCCACCTCCCTCCCGGACGGGGCGGCTGGCCGGGCAGAGGGGCTCCTCACTTCCCAGTAGGGGCGGCCGGGCAGAGGCGCCCCTCACCTCCCGGACGGGGCGGCTGGCCAGGCGGGGGGCTGATCCCCCCACCTCCCTCCCGGACGGGGCGGCTGGCCGGGCAGGGGGCTGACCCCCCCTCCCCCCTCCCGGACTGGGCGGCTGGCCGGGCGGGGGGCTGACCCCCCCACCTCCCTCCTGGACGGGGCGACCGGCCGGGCAGAGGGTCTCCTCACTTCCCAGTAGGGGCGGCCGGGCAGAGGAGCCCCTCACCTCCCGGACGGGGCGGCTGGCCGGGCGGGGGGCTGACCCCCCCCACCTCCCTCCCGGACGGGGTGGCTGCCGGGCGGAGACGCTCCTCACTTCCCAGACGGGGTGGCTGCTGGACGGAGGGGCTCCTCACTTCTCAGACGGGGCGGTTGCCAGGCAGAGGGTTTCCTCACTTCTCAGACGGGGCGGCCGGGCAGAGGCGCTCCTCACATCCCAGACAGGGCGGCGGGGCAGAGGTGCTCCCCACCTCTCAGACGATGGGCGGCCGGGCAGAGACGCTCCTCACTTCCTAGATGGGATGGCGGCGGGGAAGTGGCGCTCCTCGCTTCCTAGATGGGATGGCGGACGGGCAGAGACGCTCCTCACTTTCCAGACTGGGCAGCCAGGCAGAGGGGCTCCTCATATCCCAGACGATGGGCGGCCAGGCAGAGACGCTCCCCACTTCCCAGACGGGGTGGCGGCCGGGCAGAGGCTGCAATCTCGGCTCTTTGGGAGGCCAAGGCAGGCGGCTGGGAGGTGGTTGTAGCGAGCCGAGATCACGCCACTGCACTCCAGCCTTGGCACCATTGAGCACTGAGTGAACGAGACCCCGTCTGCCATCCCGGCACCTCGGGAGGCCGAGGCTGGCGGATCACTCGCGGTTAGGAGCTGGAGACCAGCCCGGCCAACACAGCGAAACCCCGTCTCCACCAAAAAAAAACGAAAACCAGTCAGGCGTGGCGACGCGCGCCTGCAATCGCAGGCACTCGGCAGGCTGAGGCAGGAGAATCAGGCATGGAGGTTGCAGTGAGCCGAGATCGCAGCAGTACAGTCCAGCTTCGGCTCGGCATCAGAGGGAGACCGTGGAGAGGGAGAGGGAGAGGGAGAGGGAGAGGGAGAGGGAGAGGGAGAGGGAGAGGGAGAGGGAGAAGGAGAGGGAGAGGGAGAGGGAGAGGGAGAGGGCTCATTATTGTTATTATGATTATTTTGTATGTGTTCAATCTCATTTTCAACATAAGCTCCTGGAAATTAGAGATTTTGTCTCTTTTATTCACCACTGTATTCTCAGTACTTGACCTTGCCTGGCATGAAACAGATATCGAATAAATATCTGTTAAATGAATGAATGAATAACATACTAATACCGTATTCAACAATCTCCAAGTATGACAGTTTTCAACCGTCTAACAAATAAAATAGCTTGTATAGAGCAGAATCATAGTCAACCTGCCAAAAAGGTATATGTCAATGAAAAATAAACCTTTGTATGTGTAGCTGCTAAGATTTTGGGGCTTTTGTTACTGTAGCATAACCTAGTGAAAATTCAGTGAGACAGTGTATAGAATATACATGTACAGATAGACCAGATAGACCAATAGATGAGATTCCAAAGATAGTTCAATAAGCATTAAGCAACTACACCCACACTCTCTTAATTCCCTAACAGAAATAATCAAATTCTTGTTCACTAAGATCTGCCTCAAATACTTTGTGAAAACTTCCCTGGCTACTCAAGTATTTAGTCAGGACTCTATTTTTTCCCCGCAGGCTGGAGTGCAGTGGTGTCATCATAGCTCAGTAACCTCTAACTCAAGGCTCAAGAAATCCTCCTGCCTCAGACTCCCGAGTAGCTGAGACTACAAGTGTGCACCACCATGCTCGGCTAATTTTTCATTTTTTATTTTCAGAGACGGGGTCTTACTATGTTGCCCAGGCTGGTCAGGACTGGTTTTTTTTTTTTTTTTTTTTTTTGAGATGGAATCTCACTCTGTCACCCAGCCTGGAGTGCAGTAACAAGATATCTCGTCTCACTGCAACCTCCGCCTCCTGGGTTCATGCCATTCTCCTGCCTCAGCCTCCCAAGTAGGTGGGACTACAGGCACCTGCCAACACACCCGGCTAATTTTTTATATTTTTAGTAGATACGGGGTTTCACTGTGTTAGGCAGGATGGTCTCGATCTCCTGACTTCATGATCCACCCGTCTTGGCTTCCCAAAGTGCTAGGATTACAGGTGGTCAGGACTGTTGATTACATATGACAGAAACCCAACCAACTCTAGTTCCCCACCACCTTTCAACCTGCTCCTCCCTGGGTCTTCCCAGTCTCTGTAAATGGCAGCTCCATCCTTCAAGTTGCTGAAGCCCCAAATCTCAATGTTAACCTTGATTTCTTTCTTTTATTTCATAGGCAATCTGAAGGCAAATCCTATTTAGACCCAGGCAAAGGTTCCTGGTGACCCAGGCTCTCACCAGCTGATAGTCCCTTACCGTCCTCCTGAGGGTGTCTGGAGCTTCAGTGCTGTGTGCTCTTGGCCTCCACCCTTGGGGTGCCACCGACTCCCACTGTCCAGGGCTTCCAGTGGACTCTCCGAGGCACTGACGTAGAAACTTCCCCATTCAGTGCACCAAGAGCAGCCTCACATGGTGTGGGCCGACATGAAGAGCTGCTAGATCCAACAGGTAAAAATCCTGAGGCATTGCCAGCTTGATGGGGTCAGAGGGCCCTCTTTCTATTATGACTCAGATGTAAAGGGAAGATGCCAAGGTCCCTAAACATCTCAGGGCCTTGCCTGGCATGAAACTGATATTAAATAAATATTTGTTAAATGAATGAACAAATATTCACAGCCTGTGCCACCCTCAACCTGAAGTGCTGTGGTCAGGTGAAAGTGATTTTACTTCAGGAGAGGACAGTGTTCTCTCCAGGACTTTTCCTTAGTAGCTAGATCTGCATCCCTCTCCTGTCTCTTCCCCTCTCAACCCCCATTCTCTGCCTCCATTCCTCTGTGTTTCCACCCTGCTGTACCCTTTCACCTGCTTTCTCCTCTTCAGCTTTTGTGGCTCACCCCCTCCCTGTCCACCCGCATCCCCCAGACTAAGGCCCCTGCTCTGTCCTGGGTGGGGAGATGTGTCTGGTTTTAGGCAGTGCCCTCTAGATGTGTCCAGGATGGGGAAACATGGCTCAGTTGCCAGTATAATAGGTTAAAAGAGTGGCCACTTTTGAAGGCCTTTCCCATCTCCAATTCCAGAATCCTGTAGGACTTAGAATTTATGGGCCACGGTGGAATTCTTGGTTCCCCAGGACCTTGTGGTGGACACCTTCTTTCACTGGGCATTCATGGGGTGACTATTAGGTACCAGGCCCTGGTCTGGGCTAGAGGCCCCATAATGAGTAAATCTCAGGTCACTACCCAATGGAACCCACCACTGCAGGCATTGAGAGGGGGAGAAAGAAAGGGACATGGCCTGTTTGTGTCCTTCTCATGTGGTCACCCACTGGGTCCTGGGGGAGTGGGAACCAGTGCAAGGAGAGAAGTCCATTGAGAATGGCAAATGGATTATGTCAGACCCAGGGGCTGAGGCCCCCACCTGCAGCTGGATAGCTTCTGGAGTGGACAAGGAGCAGCAGGAAAGGTCATGGCCTGATGTTCTGGAGTCCACCATCTCATCTCATTCCTGTGGGCACCAGAACTTATCCAAAGATAAGACTCAGTGTCTCTGGCAACAGTGGGCCAGAGACAGAATGTGTTTCAGAGGAGGAGGAAGGTGTTGTACCCCATGGAAACAGTATATGGTTTCACAGTAGTGTGTCTCTCTCTAATAACTAGTTAGCATGTTCCTGTTAATGGAAAATATTGGTGGTGTAAGTTCCCCTGGATGTTCTCATCTTCATGTAAATTTGTTAATTTCCTTCCTTCCTTCCTTCTTTCCTTCCTTCCTTCCTTCCCTACTTCCCTCCAACTCTCTCTCTCTTTATTCTTTCCCTCCATCCTGCCCACCCGCCCTCCCTCCCTCCCTTCCTTCCTTCTTCCTTTCCTTCCTCCCTCTATTCTTTCCTTTCTTCCTTTCTTCTTTCCTTTTTCTTTCTCTCTCTCTCATGCTGTCTCTTTTTCTTTCCTTTTTGTTCTACTTTTTTGAATAGACCACACGGTACTGAAACCTACATTATTTACCAAAATCTCTGGAGCTGCTTCTGTCTTGCAGGCAGGGAGCTCATCGTGTAGCCCTGAGCTCCTTCCAGCCCCCTCCTTTGATTTGTGGGTGCCACTGGGGCAGCTGCTGAGTCTCAGTGGTTCCTAGTCTTCATCAAGTTCTGCCCACCCAGATGGTTTGTACCTGTCCTTACCAGAAGCCTGCACTGTCTAGATTGCTGAGGCTGCTTCTACCTAACTGATCTGCTAGCTGTATTCCGGGGGCACCCCAGGGTTAGAGGTAAATGGCACAGGCATTGAAATCTCCAACTGCTCTGACTCCAGGTTGGTGCACTTCAATGCCAAGTACTAACCACACAATAACAGGATGCCACCAAAACCTTGATATGGGGCTGCTGCATCCTAATTAAAAAAATTAATAGACATTATTTTTTAGAACAGTTCTAGGTTTACAGAAAGATGGAGTGGATAGTACAGAGAGTTCTCCTAGGCTCCCCTGTCCTCCAGCACACAATTTCCCCTATTAGTATGTTGTATTAGTGTAGCCCATTCGTTACAATTGATGAACCACTGTTGATACATCATTATCAACTAAAGTCCATAGTTTACGTTAGAGTTCATTCTTTGAGTTTCACAGATTATGGGTTTTGGCAATTACATAATGTCCTAAATCCCCAATACAGCATCATGCAAAATAGTTTCACTGCTGAAAATTCCCTGTGCTTCACCATTTCGTGCCTCCTCCTCTCCTCCACCCCTGACAACCACTCATCATTTTACTATTTCTATCTTTTTGACTTTCCAAGAATGTCCTAGAGTTGGAATCATAGAGTATGCAGGTTTCCAGACTGACTTCTTTCTAGCATTATGTACTTTAAGTTCCTCCATGTCTTTTCATGGCTTGATAGCTTGTGTTTTAAAAATCACTGAATCAGATTTCATTGTATGGCTACAACACAGTTTGTTTATTAATTCACTTGGTGGAAGACATCTTGGGTACTTCCAAGTTCTGGCAATTATGAATAAAATTGCTCTAAGTACTTATGTGCAGGATTTTGAGAGAACTTAACTTTTCCAGAGTGACTGTACTCTTTTGATTTCCACTAGCTATGGAGAGTTCTGGTTGCTCCTCATCTTTGACAGCATTTGGTGTGTTCACCTTTTTGCATTTTAGCCATTCTAATAGGTTTACAGTGATATCTCATTGCTGTTTTAATGTGCAGTTCCCTCACGACAAATGATTTTGAGCATCTTTTTCATATGCTTATTTGCCATCTGTATATCTTATGAATGAGGTGTTCAGATCTTTCACCTACTTTTTTTTTTTTTTTTTTTTGCTTTGTGTTGTTTAGTTCTCAGAATTCTTCATATATTTTGGACAGCAGTTTTTCCATCAGATTATTTTGTAAATATTTTCTGCCAGTCTGTGACTTGCTTTTTCCATTCTCTTAACAGTGTCTTTCACAGAGCAGAAGTTTTTAATTTTAATGAGGCTCAACTTAATTTTTTTTCATTAGTAGATTGTGCTTTTGGTTTTGTATCTAAGAAGCCATCATCGAACCCAAGATCCCCGAGATTTTTCTCCTATGTTATCTCCTAGGATTCTTATGGTTTTGCACCTTACATTTACATGTAAGATTTATTTTATAAAGGGTAGAACATGCACACCTGGATCTATCTATCTATATACATTTGCATGTGGTTGTCCAGCTGTTCTAGCACCACTAGTTGGAAAGGCTATCTTTGCTGTTTTAAATTGTCTCTAAACCTTCATGGAAGATCAGTGGACTGTGTGTAGGTCTGTTTCTGGGCTCTGTATTCTTTTCCATGGATCTATTTGTGTGTGTTTTCTCTTTTCACCAACTTCACCCTATTTGGGCTACTGTAGCTTAATATAAGCCCTGAAGTTGGTAGTGCCAAACTTCAGGGAGTTTTTCTGAACTTCATCATGAGAACCTAGTTGAGATCATTGTAGTAAAACTTGGAAATGTGTGATATTCCCCCTTAGTTGGTTTTCAAGGAGTTTTCAGTGCTCTAGCCAGGCCACCCTGAGCTTCTAGTAATCTGTCAATACCATTTAAGTGCTCCTCCCACTTGCTGTCCCCAGTAGCTTCTCTTCCCTGTGAGCTGTGACTCCTTGTGTGTTAGCCTGTGTTTCTCATTTTTCAGATGGCAGTTTTCCCTGTGACCTCAATTCTCTGGTCTACCCTAGAAGGGTTGACTTTCAGTTCCTTCAGCTTTTTTCTAGCTGTGAGGACAAGTCATGACCGCCTAGCTCTTTCCATGTTGGAATAGAAATCCAAAAGTTCATTTAAAGAATTACTTGTTATAAAAGTCACCCATTGTCAATGTACAACTCAATGATGTAAGTTGATTTATCGAATTGTGCAGCCATCAGCAGAGTTCTACTTCAGCATATTTTGTCACTTCCCAAATTCCCTTGAACCTGTTTGTAGTCATTTCCTAATCCCTGGTCCCCATGACTGGGTCTGAATAGAATAAACATTTGGAAAGCAGATTTCATTATATTTACACTTTCCTGTGTTTGGGACTTTATATAGTGGACTATTGTGTTCGTTTTGTGACAAGTAGAGAAGAGATTGCATTCTAGGGATGATTTTTGGGGGAACATAATATTAGTCCTGTTTATGGCTCTCCTTGAATTGGTTCATCTGTGCTGGTGACTGGTATTTGCTACCAAACCTTGTCTGGTGAGCACAAGAAAAGGAATTTTAAAAAATCTGCTATTAAAATTGAGGTGATACATTTTCATATAATAATATGTGGAGTTAAGTAATGAACCATCTTTATTTTTTATTTATTCATTTATTTATTTTGAGATGGAGTTTTTGCTCTGTTCCTCAGGATGGAATACAATGGCGCGATCTCAGCTCACTGCAACCTCCACCTCCTGGGTTCAAGTGATTCTCCTGCCTCAGCCTCTTGAGTAGCTGGGATTACAGGCACCTGCCACCACACCGGGGTAATTTTTGTATTTTTGTAGAGACAAGGTTTCTCCAATTGGCCAATTTGGTCTCTAACTCTAGACCTCAAGTGATCCACTTGCCTTGGCCTCCCAAAGTGCTAGGATTACAGACATGAGCCATGGCTTGAACTGAACCATTTTTATTCTTTCAGAAATGTGATTGATAACAGTAAAGCCACACTCTTCACATGCCTGAAATAGCCCTCATTGTCTTCTTCAGGTGGCAAGGGCTCTGGAACAGCCACATAAAGGTGAGGGCAATATTTTTATGGTAGTTCTTTCATTGATTGATTTATTGATTGAATTTTTTTCTCTTAGAGGGGTTAGCATCCATGTATCTAAAATTGAAATTCAAGAGGAGAGACAGGCACCTGTACTAGTTTTCTCTTGCTGCCTATTATCACATTACCACAAACCAGTGGTTTGAAACCACAGAAGTCTGGAATGAAGCAGCTGGATTCTCTGATGAGAGTCATGTGAGGCTAAAATCCAGGAATGGGCTGGCTGTATTTTTTTCTAGAGCTCAAGCTATTTTTCCAAGTTCACTACAGATACTGAAGGCCTTCCTATTCTTGTTTCTGGGGGACTGAGGGCCCTTTGTCTTTGCTGACTGTCAGCTGGGAGACACTCTGACTCCAGAGGCCACCTGCTTTCCTCCTTACCTCTCTTTTCCATCATCAACCAATAATAACTCATGGAGTCCTTCTCAAGCTCCTACCTTCTCTGAGTACAGATCCTTGACATAATTCCCTTACCTCCTTTGACCTGTGAAACTGAACAAACAGCTTATCTGCCCCTCATTTGAAATGATGGGACAGACATAGAATAACAACTACAGTGATTCTAGTTCAAAATGAGGGAACATGGAGGGGATAAAGAAGTCACTGACCTAAAATAGTTTGGAAATGGAGCTGGACAAAATCCAGCAGGAGTTTCTTAATTAGGATCCACAGCCTGGGACTGACCTGCCATCCTGTGGGTCTTTGCCTCTGGGCTCTCTGCTCTGCATTTCTTGAAACCATTATTGTTTATCTTTTTTCTCACACTCTTTTGTGTGTGGCTCCTGTTGCACTCAAAATGTTTTTGAGATTCATCCATGTTGTTTTGTGTGTCAACAGTTTGTTCCTTTAGCCATTCCATGGAATGAATGTGTCAAAGTTTATTGATCCATTCTTGTATTGACAGATACTTGAATGTTTCCAGTTTTTCCTATTGTGAATAAAACTGCTATGAACATTCTTGTATAAATCATTTTCTGGGCATATGTTTTAATTTCTCTTGGATAAATGCTTAGGAATTACTGAGTCATAGAATAGGTAGTTGTTTAGTTCTGTAAGAATATGCCAGACATTTTTTCCCAAAGTGTTTATACTATTGTACATTCCAACCATTAATGTATGAAGGTGAGAAAGCTTTTGCTACTTCCAAAGAGACCTCGCTATATACATGTAATTTTTTCTAACTGGAGACAGGCTGATGACTTCAGGGACATGAGCCTGGGATACAGGACACCTGTCATCACCACCACCATGAAGTTGGGATTCAGGAAGGAGGTTAATTATGTAACAAATCCTGTGACCAGCATGAGCTTCTGTCAGGCCACACAGGGCACTCAAGTGAACAGGGCATAGGGGGCCCTGGGGTCATGGTAAGAAAGTGTCTCATTGGTAAAACCTTTTCCCTTGGGGAGGTAAATAAAATCTTTGTTCCTTTTTGGTAGCCTTTGAAGATAAGGATGGTCAAAAAAAATAATATCATATCTGCAGAAACTCAGATCTTGGAAGGATTTACTAGTTGGGAATGCAATGTCAATGCCAAGAAGTAGCTGCCGGTTGCAATCAAATGTGAGCCTATGGATCAAGGTGCATCCTCAATCACAGAGAGCTTTTTGAAAGATGCTATCAGTAGTTTTTCCAGGGAAGAGATGGGTCCTTTATTTTCTCTCTAATCTAGCCCATATGCTTAGCTAAGAAGGTTTCTTCATATCACTTTAAATGATGATGTCCCTTGTTCAACAATTTTCTAAGCATTCTTTAGATAAGAATTTTATGGGCATTCTTTATTGCATTAGGCTTAAATTTAATGCATCTTAAGGTTTTATTGCAAAGTGTTGCCTTGTTTCCTTTTTAAGATGATACAATTTGTAACATGCAAGTTTGCTGTCTGTCCCCTCCCTTTATGAACACACAAAATGAGCAAACATGTAGCCATGAAATGGATGGTCATAGAATTGTTTCAGTGGTTGTGAGTGCAGCAATCCCAGAGAGTCTTGTCTGAAATACCACCAGGAATGCCTGGACACAGTAGACAAAGGTTGTTCAGCTGGATGCCTTAGGATACATGCTTCCAAAAACAAAGTAGCTGAAAAGAAACCAGAATCACAGAATATCAGAGCGAGAGGAACATTTGGAGGTAATTCAGTACCTCCTCCTTTTCAACCTACAGGGGAGGTAGTGGAACAGAAGCAGGGATGCACCTGCCTGCTGTGCCCACAATTCACTGGAGATTGTTGTGGTGAAAAATTTCATTTATGATGAAGGAGAAATAAACCCCTATCAGCTTAAATTCAGGCAGGTTTATTGAAAAGGTGAAGAAGCATCTTGCAGAAGCAAAGCATGGCTGAGGCTTGTGGGCTCTGTCTGGGAAATGAGCAGCCAACAGTGGCTGATGCTGCCCCTGACTCTGGGGCCGTGTGGTCTCTTGTTCCCTGAGAGCGTCTCTTCTATTCTTTTGCATCTTCCCTCAGCCTGGCAGTCTCTGTGTACTCTTCAACACATAATTGAGCAAGGCTGTGCCAGCCCCAATGCCACCTGGCACTTTAGGTCAAATTAGAAAGGCATGAAATAAACTGTTCCTTTATAATATGGCTGTTGGAACAACAGTTGAAAATATAATATCTTGACTCCTAGTTTAGTGCTTTCTGCTGAACTTTCTTTTCTGAATATGAGCACAGACTTTGGAATATTAGTGTCACCTAGCATTATTAGCTAGTATTCTCCTTTTGTTTCCCAATAACATCCCCTCCTTCTTCCCACAGATCCACTCTCCACTCATTTCCATCCTGTCTTATGCCACTCAGGGCTTACCCTTCTAAAATGCATCCCTGGCTCCCCTGCATGCACACTTCTAGTTAGGTTTAGCAATGAGGGGCACCTGATGGAGCCTGGAAGTGAGAGGCAGGTGAGGTCTGTATTTCTTTCCTCTCCCTCCCTGCTCTGGCACTGAGTATCTGACAATAGCTTCATCTGTCTTACTTCAGTGGCCACTTTTCCACAGCCCCAATTTTCAGTGGATCCCATAGCATTATTTACCTTTGTTCCTTTAGCTCCCACTAATGAAGATCCAGGGACATTCTCCTCGCCAAGGCATTAAGAAATGCACAGGTGAGGGGAACAGTGGCATGCGTGTAAAGGTCCTGTGGCACCTCTCCTCTGCAGGCTGGAGGTCATGGCGGGAGATGCTGCATGGATTTGCCCTCCCTGCTGTCAGGGAGAACAATAGGGTTCTGGAAGAGTAGAGGACAGGCAGTGGTACGCGGCCATCTAGAAACAAGGTGGGAGGAATTTCCTTGAGAGGCAGGGATCTGTGGTGATTACTAATCATCGTGAGGTGTCTGGGAATGTAATGGATGGGAAATCTACTAAGAAATCAATGTATGTAATAATTAGAAAAGCTCTAGTTCTGAGGACAGAGACCATAGTAGGAATTTATGACCTGGCATCCAGTTCAGATACCTGGAGATTCTTGACAGAGAGGAGATTGGATCCCTTGAGAAAGAGTGAAGCCTTCAATGCTGCCACAAGTGTATGCTGTAAATCTTCCTCCAGGCCTTCCCCAGAAGGACCTGAAGCCATTTATGTGGGTGACCGAGGAAAGGGAAATACTCAGAGCTTCTGTGGCTTTTTGGATTCTGGCTCTGAAGAATGCTAGCCTAAGGGCACATGTGGTGGCCCTGAAAATGCACTACTTGCATCTCCAGCTGCAGGAGGCCTAACGAATCAACAGCCTCAGCTGCTACACTCTGAATCGAGTACTTGATGACATTTCCCCCAGATCTGTACTAACCCATGAGGAGGAAAGCCTCATATCAAGTCCTCCCAATGGAACACCCATGACGACTCATGAGGATGTCGAAGCTGTTTTCCTGTGGTAACTGTGACTTTCTTTCTTCAAAGTCTGTTTTGTTCATGCACATTAGCTGATTTATATAAAATAAGATAATAAATGCCTAGACTCCCATGAGTCTATCTTTTACTGATAAACTCTAGTTCTGAGGACAGAAGCTTGATGGAGTCGGTATAGTGGGAATTTATAACCTGGCATCCAGTTCAGAGACTTGGAACGTCTTGACTGAGGGGAGGTTGGTTCCCTTTGGGGAAGAAAGAAGCCTTCAATGTTGTCACTAGTGTATCCTGTAAATCTTCCTCTGGCCTTCCCAGAGGGACCTGATATATGACATATGATACGGTGACCACCAATTCAGGGTGTTCTCATCTACTCTCAAGAATGCAATATCTTATTCCTCTGGATTCACCTAGTACCAATATTCATGTATAGCTATGCACCTTAATAGACCATAGCTAATTAGATGAGGAATGGTAGACCCAATTCAACCATACAGGCATCAACCATCTCAGCATACAGGCATCCCTCTACCACCATTTCATTCTTGTCCCCACTCCAAAGTCTTCTCCATTTTACTTTTATTAATTTTCTATTGCTGCATACTAAATTACTGCAAGCTTTAGAGGGTTACAATAACAATGATTTACTTTCTTGCAGTGTCCACAGATCAGAAGTTCAGGCCTGGATTAGCTGGGTCTTCTTCTCAGGGCCTCACAGGCTGAAACTAGGCTGGGTTTCTTTCTGGAGGGTCTGGGGAAGAACTTCCTCTCAAGTTTCCTCAGGTTGTCAGCTGAGTTCAGTTCCTTGTGACTGCAGGACTGAGATCTCTGTTTTCTTGCTGGCTGTCAGCCAGGGGCCTCTTGCTGCTCCTAGAGGCCTCCCACGTTCCCACTGCATGCTTTCTCCATCCAGCAGAGGAGAATCACCCTGCCTGGAAACCCTCCTGCACTTCACATTTCTCCAGGAAGACCTCAGTCCCTCCAAGGAATTCACCTTCTTTAGGTCAAGCTCATAAGATAATCTCTCTGTCTTAGATTCGACTGATTTGGGATCTCGATTACATCTGCTAACTTTTTTGCCATAAATTGTAACACAATCACAGGAGTGATATCTCATCGCTGGCTTTGTCTACACTCAGGAAGAAGTGATTATATAAGAGCAAAGATCACTGCAGCTCATCTTAGGATTCTGTCTACCATAATACTATAAAGACACAGTAATTAAAAGACTATAACAGATTTCTACTTCTATCTGTTAGAATAAGTCATATCAGACTGCCTCCATAAACAAACATAAAATTGTTTTCAGACAGTGGACAACAGGCAGTACAACAGGAAACTTAAGGTGGAAGCCCCATGATTTCCTAGTTTTTGTCTGGGGAGAATTTCTCAGCAGCTGCACAGTAGGCTAGAGTCCTCTCAGAGCAGGGCATCCCCACTGAGCTGAGAAGGCAGAGATCAGAGTTCAAGGTCACTGAAGAAATTCCAATCTGCAGGGCAGGGCACCAATAGGAGACAGCTGTTCAGAGGGGCAGCTCTCGAAGTCCATGTGGGGTTCCATGTGCATACTTATCAAGGAATGGACTGTACCTGCACAAGAAAAAGACTAACAGATTTAACATAGGAGTGGCTGCTATAAAGTTGAGTTTGGACCAGAAGTACTTGTGGTGGAAGAGGGTTGGGGAATGGATGATGGAGTTCCTGCCATCCAGGGTGGGAAGAACTCATGCACACCTCATTAGCATCCAGGTATCCAATTGAGACACTGGAAAGGCTGTGCTTTAGGAATAAGTGTCACCCTTTACAATAAGGCCTATTCTAGACCAGCCCTAGTAAAGGCTAAAACGAAACCCTGACACCATCCACAAAGGGGTGGATTGGTGATTGAGTCCTACCAAATTAGAGAGTCTTGGGAAATGCTGTTGGCTTTCCATGAATCCACTGTAATAAAACATAAACCAAGTCCACATAAGTCCAATGTGATCAGACAGTAATTTTAATGCCCACTAGAACAAAATTAATTCACACAATCAATGACACAAGTTAGCCAAGTCGACATTTAAGCAAAATACATCTAAGAACAGCTAACAAATAACTCTTCTCAAACTCACATAGAACATTCACCAAGATAGACCACATATGCTGAGACATACTTAGTATTTTCTGTCCTTTCTCTTTGGCTCATGCATACTGTGCTCAAACTCTTAAAATTATACACTTTAATTATACACTTTAGTGATTACACACTTTAATGCATCTCAATTGCATGTAAGTTATATTTCAATATATTTGTTAAAAGTTTATAATTAAAAAAACTGTCCTAGCTTGATTCAAGAAATCTTTTTTATATTTAAAAAGTATAATTTTATATATTATCAGGGCAAAAGAGAAAAACTGTATGATTGCCTCATCATACACAGTAAAAGCATTTGGCAAAATTGAAAACTTTTTTCATGATTTATAAAAACAAACCCCAGAAAACTCTCAGCATGATAAGAACGGAAGGCAACACTTCCAACCCCATTAAGGGCAGATTTGAAAAACCCACAGGTAACATTATATTAAATGGCATAAGATTGAATGCTTTTCCATTAAATCAGAGAAAAAAGTAGAATATCTGTTGTTACTCTTTCAATTCAGCATTATACTAGAGCTCTAAATCAATGCAATAAAGTAAGAAAAATAAATAAAAGTATTGAAAAGGTTGAAAATAAAGAATTGAAGCTGTCTTTATTCACGGATAATGTCTATATGTGTTAACAATCCTAGAAATCTACAAAAATCTACCAAAACTAATTAGTGAGTTTGGTAGTGTTGCAAAATATAAGCTCAATATAAGTAGTCTTTTGTATTTCTGTATATTAGCAGTGAGCATTTGGAAAATGAAATAAAAATACAATTTCATTTAAAGTAACATCTAAATACATGTTGTGGTTATAAATAAATTCAACAGGCTGGGTGTGGTGGCTCACACCTGTAATCTCAGCACTTTGGGAAGCCGAGGTGGGCAGATCATGAGGTCAGGAGATTGAGACCATCATGCCTAACACAGTGAAACCCTGTCTCTACTAAAACTACAAAAAATTAGCTGGGCATGGTGGCATGTGCCTGTAGTCCCAGCTACTTGGGAGGCTGAGGTAGGAGGATCACTTGAACCTGGGAGACAGAGGTTACAGTGAACCAAGATCACATCACTGCACTCCAGCTTGGGTAACAGAGTGAGATTCTGTCTCAAAAAAAAAAAAAAGAAAAAAGAAAGTCAACAAAATCTATGTAAGGCCAGTACACCAAAAACTACAAAAAAATTGCTTTGAGAAATTATGAAAGAACTAAATTAGTGGGGAGATAAGCCTTGTCATGGATCAGAAGAGTTGTTATGTTTAAAAAGTCAGTTCTTCATGAATTGATCTCCAGATCCAATGCAATTCTAGTAAAAATTCCAAGCAGCATTTTGGTAGAAATTTACAAGCTGATTCTAGCATTTATATGGTAATGTCAATGATCAAGAGTAATAAAAGAGCAATATTATAAAAGAATAATGGTGAATGAATTCACTACCTATTTCCAGAATTACTCTACAGCTATGAAAATCAAGATCATGTGTTTTGTTGAAAAAAAAAATACAATATATACCAGTGGAAGAGAAGAGAGAATCCAGAAATAGATACTCACATATATGTCTAATTAATGATTCTTAGGACATATATATATGTGTACATACCCACCCACCCACCCACACACACTCACACATATATGTGTGTGTATATATATATATATTCACCTTTTTGAAGATTATCTATTGTTCTCCTAATAGGGAACATTAAGAGAACATAAAAAGAAGCCACAATATAGGAGATATATATATCTCCAACAAAGGTTTTTTAAAAGTGTATATATATAATATACACACACACATATATTTACTATATATATACACTATATATATACTATATATATACACTATATATATACTATATATATACACTATATATATACTATATATACACTATATATATACTATATATACACTATATATATATACTATATATATACACTATATATATACTATATATATACACTATATATATACTATATATACACTATATATATACTATATATATACACTATATATATAGTATATATATGCTATACATATATACTATATATATTGCAGTCTGATAAGATAAACAGCACAATGAAATAATTTCTCAAAAGACTTGAATAGATACTTCAGAAAAGAAGATACATGAATGGTCAATTAACATAGAAAAAGATGCTCTACTGTTTAGTCATCAGGGAGATCAATCAATACAACAATGAGATACCAGTACATATCCATGAGAATGGCTAAAATTAAAAATGCTGAAAATAGCACATATTGGTGAGGATTAAAGCACTTGGAAGTTTTATACTTGTAAGAATGAAAAATGGTATGACTGAAAATCTAACAGTTTCTTAAAGGTTAAACATGTACCAATGAGATGGACAGTCATTCCATTCCTAGGAATTTACACGCTGTGTCTGCACAATGATCTGTATGTCTGTTTCCAGACCAAACTGAGGGGCGGGCTGCTATTTCTTGTGTGTCAGTAACAAGATGCTGATGAACTGGGGAGGAAGAGAATTTTTACTTCTGCAACTGGTTACAGGGAAAAGGCCTGGAAATTATCACCAGACCAACTCAAAATTACAAAGTTTTCCTGAGCTTATATACCTTCTAAGCTATATGTGCATGTGGAAGTGTGCATTCCTGTAAATACATAAGTGATTAACTTCTTTTAATCTATAACTAAGGTCTGAGTCCTGAAGACCTTCCTCTGGAGCCTCAGTAAATTCACTTAATCTAAATGGGTCTAGGTGCTGGGGACCCTTGTCTTGTCTCCTGCTAAATCACAGAGGTTTGGGGAGTTTCTTCAGACCTCCAATAAACTTGTTTCTGGAGGCCTGGGGAGTTTCTTCAGACCCCCAATAAAACTTGTTTCATACTAAACGACTCCTGTTAAGAATGCCCTCATTATTTTGTCATGCTTTAAGGTCCAGGAAAAGCCTAGGCAAAACTCTTGGTGGGCTTTTGTTACATTCCAGCCTTTGTATAAGGGCACTGGTTTTTTTTTCTCCTTCCTCTTAATATTTAACTGAACCACTCAGTCGGTACGGAAATAATTGTTAGGGAGGCCTGTGTTAGTGAGACCTGGCCTGCCACGTATGGATGCTCATGATAGTTTCTTCATAATAGCCCAAACATGGAATGATAGAAATGTCCAATAACAAGTGAAAGTACAAACATACATGGTATAGCCACATGAAGGAATACTACTCAGCAATTACAAGGCATTAACTATTGATGAAAATACTCATCTGGATGGATTTTAAAATTACGTTGATGCATGAAAGAAGGCAGATACAAAAGAACGCAGGTATTAGTTCATTTATAGAAAATGGTTAAAAATGGAAACGGACCTGAAGTGACAGCGGTTACTTGGGCACGAGGGTTGAAAGACTGATGAACTGCAAAGGGGTACAAGAAACTTTGGGGCATAAATTCCTCTATCTTGGTTGTGGCAGTAGTTCCATTAGTGTATACGTTTGTAAACATGCATTGAATTATGCATTTTAAAGTGGTGCAGTCTGTTGTACCTAAATTAAACCTTTATAAAGTTGATTTCATCATCTTAATTTCTCCATACTAGCAATTAGCAGCTAGAAAATGAAATTCAATAAAACATAATAGAGATTAATAGCCGGAATCATTCCATGCTTAAGAATACATGCAATGAAGCAGGCACAAGGCCCCTAAAAGCAATTGGTTAGAAAAATTAAAGAAGACTAAATAGAGAAATGGATATCATGTTCATTGATTGGAAGACTCAATTTTGTTAGCATATTACATCAACACAATTCTGATTAATATTTCTAGTAGGAGATTTTAGAGAAATTTAAAAGCTAATTTCAAAATGTATTTGAAAATCAAAGAACCTATAATAGGCAAGTTGGTCTTAAAGAAGCAATATGTTGGAGCACTTTCTCTGCTAGATTTCAAACCTGATTTTAAAGTAATTTAAAAATGGTAGTACTGTTGTAAGTATTCATAAATATATCAAAGGAAAAGAATACAGATTCAAACTATACATTCAAACATATGTATAGTTATTTATTTTTTTAGTAGAATCTTTTTTATTCCTAAAAAATTCCTCAAAAGAAAAAAGTTTTCCAACCACACACAAGAGGGGTATAGGTAGGGGAAGGTGTCTGTCCATCTATCCCTGGCCCCCAGCCCATGTTGTTTTGGCAGCAATAAGGTGTGTGGAGTAATGGTCCCTGAAATTAAAATGGTGTATGTATGAGAAGGAAAGTGGGGCAAAGCTGTGGGAAGCAGTGGAGGGGAAGGAACAAAGGAGGTCAGTATTGGGAACGCTGAAGGTGGGAGGCCATTTCATAACATTCCTTTGTTATGAAATGGTGAAACTACCGTGGACTCCTTCTTTGCCCATCAGCAGGCCTGGCGTCTTGGCAGTCATGGTGATAGTGACACTGAAGGTGGGGCTCCACTGATGCTCTTCATATGATGATCCACGGTCAATTCCCCATCCTGCAGCAGTGAGTCCGGGACAACAGTATATTTCTGGCCCCCAAGTGTCAGCCCATTCACGAAAAAGCTTGACAAGTCTTTGCCAAACAGGACACCAACCTCAGCTGGGGTGATGTTGGCGAAGGTTTTCCCTGAGATGGCAGCCCAGTTCAAGTCCTTGTTGCCCATGATGGTGATGTCCTAACAGGTCCCATCCGCCACAGGGCTGTAGATGGAGGCATCCACCTGGCCATTGCGTTGCTGCAGGGGCTCCTCTGGTCACTGCTGCTGGGGCCGCCTGGGCTGGCGGGCAGGGGAGGCGGAGAGCTCGGGACAGGCGCTGCCGTCCTCACCACGGCTCTGCTAGCTGTGCAGCAGCCCTCGCACTGCCACTCTTTTAAAAAAATATATATATTTATTCATTTATTTATTATACTTTAAGTTCTAGGGTACATGTGCACAACGTGCAGGTTTGTTACATAGGTGTACATTTGCCATGTTAGTTTGCTGCACCCATTAACTCATCATTTACATTAAGTATTTCTCCTAATGCTATCCCTCCCCCAGCCCCACATCCCATGACAGGCCCTGGTGTGTGATGTTCCCCGCCCTGTGTCCGAGTGTTCTCATTGTTCAATTCCCACTCATGAGTGAGAACATGCTCGCACTGCCACTTCTAAATGTTTTAAAAACAAAGACACCAATGCCTTTCATTGGGGAAATGAAAGACTTTTAAGTAAAATGGTTTTGAGTGAAATAATATTTGTTGTTTTAAAAAGTTAATATTAACAACCATTCTCCATCATACATTGAAATTAACTTAAGATGTGAAAGTTAAAATTAGAAATCCTGTAAAGGAAAAATAGGAAATAGTTTCATGAACTTGACATAGGAAAATATTTCTTAGACTAGATACTGTAGCACTCACCACAATAAGAAATCAAGTGAATTGCACTTCATTTTTAAAAACCTTCTACTTACTATGTTGTTGATTAACAACTTAAAAGCTATCTGTAGACCAGGAATAATTATTTGCAATGTAATATAGCAAAAAAAAAAAATGTATATATAAATGGACTCATTCAAAATATATAAAGAATGGCTATAGATTACAAAGAAAATGACAAACACCCCAGTATATCAACGAACATAAAAATTTGAGAAGATATTTTCCATAAGAAGATATCTAAATGAACATTAGGCCTGAGAAAACCAAAACAGGATATCACTACACAATTGTAGAATGGCTATATATAAAAGGCTGAAAATATTAAGTGTGTGGGAATGTAGAGCAATGGGAAATGGCCTACATCTTTCATAGAAATGTAAAATAATACAATTACTTTGCAAAACTCTGTGCCCATTTTCTACACATTCACCAAGCAACTCTATCCCTAGCTATAGATACCCTGGAAAATAAGTATGTATCTTCACAGAAATAATTGTATGAGAATATTCATAGTTACTTATGCACAGCAGCCAACAAGTAAACCTGTCTCCCATCAGAAAAATGGATATCAAATTGTGTGACAATCATACAATCAATAGGATATTACTTGGCCAAAACAAAATGAAACGAGGGAAAAACACAATCAAACAAACTAGTGGCATACAAAACCACCTGAGTAAGAGAAGTCAGAACAAGAGAACATACTCAACGATTCCATTTTTTAATTTTTTTGAGATGGAGTCTCACTCTGTCCCCCAGGCTGGAGTGCAGTGTCACGATCTTGGCTCCGCCTCCCAGGTTCAACAAACTTTCCCTGCCTCAGCCTCCCAAGTAGCAGGGATTAAAGATACCTGCCACCACGCCTGGCTAATTTTTGTATTTTCAGTAGAGACAGGGTTTTGCCATGTTGGCCATGCTGGTCTTGAACTCCTGACCTCAGGTGATCCGCCCGCCTCAGCCTCGCAGTCTTGGGATTACAGGCGTGAACCACCAGGACTGGCCAAAATGATTCATTTTCATGAAGCACATGAATAAGCAAAATTAATCTCTGGCGGCTTCTATAGTTTAAATATTGGTCCCTTCCAAATCACATGTTTAAATGTGGTCCCCAGTGTTGGAGGTGGGGGTTAATGGGAGGTGTTTAGGTCACGGGAGTGGATCCCTCATGAATAGATTAATCCCCACCCTGGGAGAAGGTAGTGAGTGAATTCTCACTCTCTTAGTTCCTGTAGGAGCTGGTTATTAAAAAGTGCCTCTCACCTTATTCACTTTCTTTTGCTTCCTCTCTCACCATATGATCTCTGCACACACTGGTTCCTTTTCACCTGCTGCAAGTGGAAGCAGCCTCAGGCCCTCATCAGGAGCAGATGCAGGTTCCATGCTTCTTGTGCAGCCTGTAGAGCCATGAGAAAAATGTACCTCTTTTCTTTATAAATTACCCAGCCACTGGTGTTCCTTTCCAGCAACACAAAGGGACTAAGGCAGTGACAACATTCAGAATATATTCTTCATTTGGGGGATGAGTATTGACTGGCAAGGACCACATAAGAGCCTTGTGGCATGGGGGAAAATGTTCTCTGTCTTTAACTGGGTGTTATTATACAATGTATAATTATATTAAAATTTATAAAGCTGTACCTTTAGGTTTTTTGCAGTATTCTCTATGCAAATTGTATCTCAATGAAGAACTGTTAGCATACAACAGAGAGAAAACAAACACTCAAAAATGTGAAAATTGACAGAAAATAGGTAACAAATATTTAGCATATAAATAAGAGGGATTCGTTGAGAAGAAATCAAAAGAAATGGAACAGAACAAAGACAAAAAAGTATAATAAAAAAGAGTTTAAATTTCAAAGTTTGAAATGATATTAAAGTGGCACAGTTTCCTTGGGAAAATCAAGCGAGAACCATGAACTCTGAGACTAATTCCAGCAAAAGTATGTAAATCAGTTTGATCTAATGGTATATGGTTAGCTTTGAAGGCCAAAAGGAACTGGTTTCTAATTCTTATTCCTCTCCTCACTGGTTTTGTGACCTAGGGAAATTTTGCAATCTTTCTGAGTTTGTTTTCTCATCAGGAGCAGGATAATACCTAAGTAACAGGATAGTTCATAGATTTAAATATGATCGCATGGTAGTGGACATGAACCATAATTAGTTTTTAAGAATATATTTACACTGAGCTCTCCTTTATCCACGTTAAAATTGTAGACAAACAATTGATAAAGAATAGATAAAATGTTCTAACATAAATATTCTTCCTTTGTTTGTAGAAAGAAGTCACACATACAGTAAAAACAAAGAGGACTTAGTTTAATTGAACAATCTTCCCCAAACCCTGAAACAGCTCTACTTTCTAACACCAGAGATGTCTTGACTGACTCCTACCCCTGCAGTCCCCTCTGTCTGGAATAGATGGAGGAAGTTTGCTCCAGCCTTAAAACAGCATGGGCTGGCAAGCGTTCTCAGAGAGCCTCTCGACTTCAACTCTGAAGGCCCTGAGGAATATGTGCAACTGGGTCGGGTTAAGGCTAAGCTGAATCACATGACCAGGGCTCTCACCAGCTCCAAAGTCAGTGGAAGGATATCAGTCCCCAGAGCTCTGTTACAGGCCGTGGGATGCTCCATGGAGGGGTGGTGAGCATATGAATAACAATCAGGAGAAACATCGGTAATGGACAGGAGGCATAAACAATGTCTGCCCTCCACTAAAACCAAGGAAATTTCTCATTCTAAAAATGATGTCTTGTAAGAAAACATAGGTACAAATCTTTGTGACTTTGGATTAGACATTTTTTAAGTAGGCACAAACAACCCAAAAATAGATGAATGGACTTCATTAAAATAAAAATCTTATATGCTTCAAAGGACACTGTCAAGGAAGTGAAAAGATAATCCACAGAATGGGAGAACTATTTCCAAATTATGTATTTAACACGGGTCTAGTACCTAGAGTATATAAGAAATTCATATAACTGAGCAATAAATGACAACCAAATTTAACAATGGGAAAAAAGCTGTGAGTAGAGGTTTCTCTAAAGGAAACACACAAATGGCCAAGAAGCACGTGCAAAGATGTTCAACGTTTTTCATTAGGAAAATGTAATTTTAAACCAAAATGAGATACCACTTCACACCTACTAGTATGACTTAGGAAAAAAATAAAGAAAACACATGTTTGGAAAGTTATGGAGAATATGGAATTCTCATATGTTACTATTGGGAATGTAAAATGGCATAGCTACTGAAGTTGGTAAACAGTGTGTGAGTTCCTCAAAAAGTTAAACATAAAATAAGTTAAACATAAAGTGACATATGATGTAGCAATTGCACTCCTAGGTTTACAACCAAGAAAATGAAAAACAGGTGTTCCCTCAAAAACATGTACAAAGGTGTTGATGGCAGCATTATTCATAAGAGTTAAAAAGTGGAAACATCTTAAAGCACTATCAGTTGATGAATAAACAAAATGTCGTATAACCATATAGTGGAATATTATTTGGCCATAAAAAAGTTAAAGTACTAATGCAGGCTAAAAAAACTTGAGAACAATATGCTAAGAACCAGATGCAAAATGCCACACTTTGTTATTCCATATAGAAGAAGTGCCCAGAACAAGTGCATCTGTATATTGAAAAAGTAGATTAGTGGTTGTCTGAGACCGCAAGAAGGGGGGAATTGGAGAGTGACTGCCCATACAGGCATGCTTTTGGCATTATGAAAATATTCTGGAATTAGGTAGTGGTGATGGTTGTGAGACTTTGAAATATGGTAAAAGACACTGAAATGTATGCTTAAAAATGGTGAATTTTGTGATATATGAATTATACTGTAGAAATAATAATAATAACAACAGTAATAAAGCAAGGTGTCTTTCCACATCTCCATGTCCTGTATTTTCATTAAAAAAAAAAATTAAAAAAAAAAGCATTTCAGGGGCCAGGCTTGGTGACTCACTCCTGTAATCCCAGCACTTTTGGAGGCCTAGGTGGGAGGATCACTTGAGGCCAGAAGTTCAAAACCAGCCTGAGCAACATAGCAAGACCTTGTCTCTATGAAAAATAAAAAATTAGCCAGAAATGGTGATGTGTGCCTAGAGTTCCAACTACTTGGAAAGCTGAGGCAGGAGGATCGCTTGAGCCCAGGAGTTCGAGGTTGCAGTGATCTATAATCACCAACTCCAACCTGGACGACAGAGCAAGACCCTGTCTCAAAAAAAAAAAAAAAAAAAAAAGGCATCTCACTTTAATAATAAGTGGCCAGAATATGATGCTGGCAGCAAGTTTTGAGGAAATGTATTAGATGAAAGAAGTTACATTCTAGAAGTTTTCCTTTTTTCAGAAATGAGGTATAGGGGAGAGAAACACGTACTTGGAAAGAACTGACCCAGCTGAAAATGTGGGAAGGTGATGGGGAAGAGGCTGCTCCACCTGATATCTGGCTCCAGGACTTACAGCAAGGGGAACTTGGGAAAGTTACAGACTCTCTGTGCCTCAGTTTTTTCATCAGCAAAACAGAAAGAATCATCCCATAAACTGTAAGGTCGATGCTATCAGTGGGTCCCCAAATTGACTGCACATCTGAGTCATGTTAACAGACACATTCCAGGCCTCACCTGAGCCCTCTGATTCCAAATCCCTGCAAGGAGGACAATGAACTTGTATTTGCACTGACTTTCCCAGGTGTTTCTTACTCTGATCAACTTGGGGGTAGGACCCACTGAGCTGCATCACATCATTCCAAAGCCAAAACACAACAGCAGAACAAGAATATTTTCAATGCAGTCTCTAAAGCAGAGGAGAAACTGTTGTGGGAACCTAGAACTAAAGGAGATCTGGCTTGCTGGGCTCCATTTAAACTTTATTTTGAGTACAGCAGAGACACAAGCCCTTCGGAACACATGCCTGAGGCAGTGACAGTCCAACTTTGGAAGAATGGAAGCCCTAGCTTCAAATTCAAGCATGCTTTGAGTAGAAATTAAGTTTACCTCTTTTTGCACAGCAACATGGCCTATCTTTCCTAAACTGCTCATCTTACAAGAAAAAGAATCATACTGTTAAGAATTCAAACTTCAGCAGTCATGGGTAAGTAAGGAAGTCTTATAAACCTATTCTAGCCACCTAACAAGAAACCAGAAATTTAGCAAGTTCTTTCACTTACAGAACAGTTGTGTTAACTAGACCAGAGGCATTGAGACATGAAGAACAGACCCCTAAAAAGGGAAAGTGTTCCTTTCAGTTTTAGGACATCACTGGAACATTAGGGTAGTGGGAACACAGCTGCCTGCTCTACAGTCTGGGTTGCCTTTGTGTCTGGAATGTGTCTGATGTCCTGATCCCTGCATCCATTTCAGGGAGCCTTGGGAGGAGCCAGAATCACTGACGGAATTGGACAGTGCTTGGAGATGGCTCAGCAGGATGAGGTTAAGTGCAGGGGCAAGTCCAGGTCATACTGATAGACAATGAGTGGCGCTGATGGGGACAGACAAAGATAAAATCAAAAGTTTGTGCTTCATTTTTGAAAACTCAAACTAATAACAAACTTGGCCTTATAAGAAATAATAAGTATTTTTCTATTTACATGAGAATTTAATCTCAAAACAGAAATCAGAAAAATATTAAGTCCAGGACCTAAAACCTAAACCATTGCTCATATTTATTCTTTCTAAATAGAGCAAAGTATAAAATCTTCTCCATAACATACATTGTGGTTATAAAAAGGCAGAAGTCTTAGTGAGAATCATTGGTATTCCATAGAAGAGTGAATTAAACACAGCCAAAGGAAGACCCAAATCTCATACTTCTCTTGTATATTCCAAAGTTCCAGGGAAATTCCAGGTGATAGAGGTTATTTCCCATACTGTTAAAGCAAGGTTGCGGACACTTCTGAATTTTGGCCCCAGTACTCTAGGAGAGCACACCTCTGTCCTGGAGAATAATACAGGAATGAATATTCTTCCCGTGACTCATTCTGGTCATTCTTCCAGCATCACAAAAACCAAAAAATGGAAATATGGCCAAATACATGATTTGCTATTCCTCTTCTTCAGGTTTCTTACCTGTTACTTACGGATAATAGCGTTACCTTAAGGATTATGATGAAGATACAATGTCCAAATATGAGCACAGTTTTGAGCAAAATGCCTTGTATGAATTGGTCAATGAATAATTACTAAATAATTATGTGAATGTTTACGAATTATATGGATTCTATGAATAATTACTGAATAATTATTGTGATTGCTTTTATTGGCAGTGCTGAAAACTCATCTTTGTGTGACCTCATGTAAGCCATGTAACTTTGTGAACTTGCAGTTTTATCATTTGTAAAATGAATAAACCTGACAGATTTTCATTCTGAAACAGAATGTCAGGTCTCCCAGACCCCAGAAAATACATTGACTTAAAGCCTTTGATACATCTCAAAGCAGTGTCCTCATAGTGTCATTGGAGGATGGTGCGGGCTGCAGGGAGGGATGCTTTCAAATGGGATTGATCCAGTCCTCCTTCCTTCACTTCCACATGAATGCTGGGCAGCCCAGGTTCACACCCACTGCATCCTCAACTCAGGCAAGTCCAGCAGCCAATCTTAGGAGACCTGGGCTACAGAACATTCTCCCAAGTTCCAGGCTCACAAAACCTAGGTGGGATGAAAGCTGAGAAAGTGAGGAGGTGGTTCAGGGGATCACTCTTTCCTACTCACGCCTTTCACCTCAAACTCACCTTCTACTGCACAGCAACAGTGAGGATCAGCAAGCAACCCTGACCATAACCTTGATCTTGTCATGTTCTGTTAGTGGAATGCAACCAAAAATCAATGGTATTAGTCCAACTCAACAAAATATATCAAACCATATTCCATAAGAACTGCTCGTGGTCCTGTTCTTTTCAGTATATGGGAAAACAAAATGGAAACAACAAAATAGCATCAGTTTACAAAAATTCCCAAGATAGATGGTCACACATGTTTTCAGGAGATCCCTATGTAAATGATTTTGATCACTTGATACCTTGAAAAGAGCTCTTGTAGCACTAGAATGACATCCATAAGTGACAAGTATAAAATGTAGTGTTCAGTGACATTAAAAAACAAATCACCCCACACAGAGGAAGAGTTTTGGATGTAGGGATGTCATACTTGTCTAGAGTGTAATGAAAAGCCAAGATGGTGCCCCAGTAAGAAAAAAAGGAATCAACATAACAATGGGATGCAGCAAGAAGAATACCGAGACAGGAAAGAAAACATTTTTAAAAAATGGATTATTCATTCACTTTCTAGTGGATACAGAAAAAACTGCAGAAGACCCAGAGGACATCAGGGCAAGCTAAAAGTTTGATACCTTAGACTTGTGGAAAAGCCTTAAGTTCTGTTTTAACTTAGAGCAGGTGGGGTGACTTCATGACTACGATTAAGAAAATATAACCTGTTGGGAAACTGTTTGCCTTGATGATGTTGTACAGACAAGAGATAAACAGTGAGGAATATGCTTAGATGTATTGGGAAAGAGATGGGTCTGTGGCATTGTCACAGGGGTACACGAATACTGAGAGTGAATGCTGAAGGAATAATCTTCATTGGTGGTGACCCTCAGGTGAGACCAGGGTGCCTGAGTTTCAGCAAAGCCTGGGCAATTGCAACGCAGAGCTCCTAAGATTCCATGACACCCCTATCTTCTAATTCTGTTATTGCAACTGCAGACGGTTACCTGGCACGCTGGCCACAATCTTCCTTACTTTTGTCAGAGTCTGAGCTACTGGTAGTGAGTGCCTTCAGCTCTGAGTTCAGGCACCTCAAACCTTGTTTTTGTGGTGAAGGATCCTAAAGTGCTGTGGGGAGTGATCACATTTTTCTCAATAGTAAGTTAAGAATTTCAGTTACTGACATCCCTCAGTCCTGATTAAACCTATTGGATTTCACCAGTTTTTAACCCATCATGTGTTTGGGTTTCTTCTCCCCAGTCCCTGGCTCCACCTCTTCTGCCACAAACTTCAGCATGGTGTTGTCTGCCAGCCCTTGATCCAGTGAGAAGGCAGAAAAGAACATTCTAGAAATCAATGAGAAATTGCGCCCCCAGCTGGCAGAGAACAAACAGCAGTTCAGAATCATCAAAGAGAAATTTCTTGTAACTCAAGTGGCCTACTCCTGGCCAACCGGCAGAACAAATACCATAAGTTCTATAGGCTCACCATCACAAAAGTGATGAATAATGCCCTATCTTCTCTCTGAGAAACTAAATGCTGTCTCCAACAAAAATAATTTCATCCTTCCCGTACATCTAAGAAAATAGAAATGGGTATTTTAACATTTTGTTAAATTTGGAAGACAGAGGTACCAAAGTATTTAGCAACTTTCCATGTTAGCAGTCAGCTGGGGGTGGGACTAGAGTTAAAATCCCAGTTATTGATTTCTGACACAGGCACAGAATGACCTGTTTTCTCCAAGAGGCTAAATCATGTTTTCAAGAATCCTCTCTGTACTATATAAGATCCTGCAGACAAATAACATCTAGTCTGTTGTTCTAAATGTCTGGACAAGTGAACTTTTATTCAGTTCAAGCTTCTGTTGAGGCCCAATAGGCAAAGCTCTGTTCTAGTGACCCTGAGGGAAACTTGGTGATAGTACCCAGTACCCGCTCTGAAGGGCTTCAAGAGCAGTCTGCTCCTAATAGAACATGTGGTATATATAAGTGACAGCATCAAGAGCAGGGAGTAGGGGCCATGCACTGTGGCTCACTCCTGTAATCCCAGCACTTTCGGAGGCTGACTTGGGCAGATCACGAGGTCAGGAGTTTGAGACTAGCCTAGGCAAGTTGGAGAAACCCCGTCTCTACTAAAAATTCAAAAATTAGCTGGGCGTGGTTGCGGCGCCTGTAATCCCCGCTACTCGGGAGGCTGAGGCAGGAGAATTCTTTGAACCTAGGAGGCAGAGGTTGCAATGAGCCAAGATCACGCCATTGCACTTGAGCCTGGGTGACAAGGCAAGACTCGTCGAAATAAATAAATAAATAAATAAATAAATAAATAAATAAATAATTAATTAAAAAAAAGTAGAGAGTACCCTGTTGAGAGGGAAGTCCTTCTTCCTGAGGCACAGGCTCTTGCTCCCAAAGAAGAAGAAAGGTCGCACCTGAGAATGTGTGGAAGTAGAAGTACAGCGTTCAGAGCAGGGACCCTAGGCCTGTCTCCTGGGCTCTATCCAAGTTACTTGTCTTGTCTGTCCCTCAGTCTGTTCCTCAGTTTCCTCATCTGTTCACAGGGTACGACAATAATACCTACCTCTGTAAATTGCTGCAATGAATTACATGAGCTATTTCTTGCCAATCTCCTAGAACATTTATTGGCACAGAGTAAACACTATCAATTACTTCTTCATTCTACTGTTTCTAAATTAACACAAACTTTATTAGCATTTGGGCGTATTCCCTTCATGGCCTTATGGTCTTATGCCTCATACTTTATGCTTCAGATATGATTCTTAAAATCATATCTGAAGATATGATTTAAAAATCTTTGACATATTTGTCCTTGAAATTCCCAGTAAAAGGGAAACCATCATTCCCATAGTCCTGGGGGGCCTTCCTGACTGTACAAGAAATCACTACTTCATGCCCCAGTGCAGTGTTTTAGAGGAGAGGCTGCAAGGCTTGGGAAAGTGGCCCCGCATTCAGAGTCAAACCTCAGGGGCTGTGAATTCTGACTCCACTTCATTGTGGTTGAATCATCTTGTCAACTTTCTTGATGTGCCCTTGAGTTTCTCTTTCTTCGTCCCTAAATTTTGGAGGATCAGATGCCAGAAAGTCAGGAGACTGAAGAATAAAGATGTGGAAATCCCTTCCTAGGGCCTGGTACTGGGGACAGTTTTGTCCTTGGGATGGACCTGGCTCCTGCCCTGTGGGCAGTGACCACAGCAGCATGTCCAGCCTTCCACTGAGGCAGGCGTGTCTGTCTTTTCTCAGAGTGTGAAGAGTGCAAAGACCTCATAAAATCTTTGCTGAGGAATGAGCTGCAGTTCAAGGAGAAGCTTGCAGAGCAGCTCAGGCAAGCTGAGGAGCTCAGGTGAGGGGTCCCCGTGGGGGCAGGCAAGTGGGGGCAGGCAGGCCCCATGGGGCAGGCAGGCTCTGAAGTACAGCAGCTCGGTGGGGAGAAGTAAGAGCTAAGCTGGGCCAGGGGAAAGGCAGGAATTGCCATGGTAGGGCTCTTGACACACAAATATTTATCAAACAGAGAACAAGGATAATAATAAATTATGGGTTGCAGTTGTTTCTCAGAGCCTTGTTTTCTCTTTTTCAAACAAGTAATTGTTGAGGTGAAATTTGAATAACACAAAATTAACCAAAGGAGTGGGAACAACCCAGCAGCATTCAGTATACTCAAAATGGTGTGCCATCACCTCCCTACTTACCCTAAGTGAGAATCACCTCCTGACTGCTGCTTCTCATTCTTTCACTCAATCAATGTTGCCTTCTCGACCCTGTCATTCTTTACTTCTTTTGTCTTTTCAATTCTCCCCATCTTCACCTGGCCTCATTTCTGTACATGGCTTTGTATCTAGTCGCCGCAAGATGCACTATGTGTATTTTCACATGGAGATTTCCCTGGTCAGAGTGAGGAACTGAAGGGATGTTGTTTTGAAACTGAATTAGGAAGACACCTACTTTTGTTTACAGAAGAGAAAGATGAATGGAACATCATCGAGGATCTTACAGGAGCCCTCTCTGATATAGAGGAAGCCTGTAAACCATTTTTTATTCTTTTTCTTGGCCACAGACATTTCTTTAAACGTATGTTGACCTTCTGCGTGGAGGTCTCCTTGAGGACATTCTCTCAGAAATCTGTCATAATATTAGAACTGATCACTCATCCAGTTCCACTGTTAAATTTTCTCTACTATCTAACCTTAGGTGATATAAAGTCCCAGTCCACTCTCAGGAATGAGAGCTGACCCAGTTACAGGAGAAGTTACAGGAAGGGAGAGATGCCTCCCACTCATTGAATCAGCATCTCCAGGCCCTCCTCACTCTGGATGAGTGGGACAAGTCCTAGGGGCAGGACCTCCAAGAACAGCTGGCTGAGGGGTGTAGGCTGGCACAGCACCTTGTCCAAAAGCTCAGCCCAGGTAAGGTGACCGTAGGCCCTGATGACCCAAAACCCCAGGCTTATGAGAGACTCCAGACCTCCATACTTTCAATGACAGTTGTATCGGTGGTGTTTTTTTCCACTAAACATATGTGGCCATGACATGACCAGGACTTCCTGGGTAAGAACAGAGATGGGAAACCCATGGGGTTGGAGGTCACAGTATTGCAAGTGTCCCTTCTTCCTTGATGGAAGGTGATCTTTGGAGCAAGAGGCAGCATCTGTCTAGTTTTAAAGGACAGGAAGGAGGCTGTGACTGGAGGGCGCTTGTTAGAGTGAAAAGAGCTCTGGACTAAGAATGAAGGTTCCCATGCTGTTTCTTCAGCAATGTTCTTAGTAACTGTCGGTAAGTGAGTGATTTATCCTTCCTGAGTTTGTCTCTCACCATCTGCAAAGGCAGACAGATTGTTTCTTGCAAGGGACTGAAGTATCCAAATGTGGGAACACTTACTACTGCTTTTCAAAATGAGATGAAGCTCCTCGCCTTGTCATGTTGGAGAAGGCACTTGATGTAGGGGCTTTTGGTGGTAAGAAGTGCTTCAGACTGGAGCACTCCCCATGGAGAGAATGTCACACAGCAGAAGCCACATGGAGGGCCTGTGAAGTCTCCTGATTCATAGAGCACTGTGGGACAAGCTTGTCCTCTCCTAAGAGAAAGAATTAGGTTCAAAATGCGAACTGTGACAAGACACCAAGCCTGTGCCTGGGAATCAGATCTGTGATGGGATGGGGGAGACAGTTGCCAAAGTCCAGAGAGAGGCTGCACAAGCCTCCAGTGATATGGGGAGCAAAAAGTCTTTTCAGTATTTGGCCACATCTTGATGGTGGCCCTCCAGATCAGAAATGCATTGCCTGATGGATCAGAAAACCGTTCCAGGGCATTTTGTTAAAGACAAAACATGAGAGCTTTCAGTTTAACGGTAACCCATGACTAGATGTTCATGTCTCTGTGTACATTGGGCTGACTGTCTTGCAGAGTGTGAAGTGGGAAATAGCTGAACAAACACTTCTGTATTTACAGAAAATGATGAAGATGAGGATAAAGATGTTGAAGTTGAGGAGGCTGAGAAAGTACAGGAATCATGTGCCCCCAGGTAACACTGAATACTCAGGAGTAAGTAATGGGTGGTAACACATGAAAAAGGTTTAAAAGGCACACCCTCTCTGGCATCTACAGTGGGCCAAAAGCCTGCATTCCCTTGGCCACAGTATGTGAAATTCAACCCAGCTGAGACACAGAGTGTGGCATCTGTCGTGTTTCTCTATGTGTGCCAAGTGTCATGTCTGTACCATACAGGGATAGCTGAGTCTTCATCCACCTCAGCTCCTATCTGTCCAGTGCAATGAACACCAGCTGCTCTCTTCCTCTCTGGCTCCTTTGGCGGCCATGTTCTCTTGCAGAGAGAAGAGGATTGCCTGTTCCCTCTTAAAGGGAACCTCCTGGTTGCTTTCTGGGACCACTCTCATGCCTCCTGTCAAAACCAGCTAGGACTCCCTGGGGTCCAATCTCTCTGTGTTTAATCTTCTGTCATCTCGATCCCACCTGGCTCATCAGGGAGGTGCAGAAGGCTGAAGAAAAGGAAGTCCCTGAGGACTCACTGGAGGAACGTGCCGTCACTTGTTCAAATAGCCACGGCCCTTGTGACTCCAACCAGCCTCACAGGAACACCAAAATCACATTTGAGGAAGATAAAGTCGATCCAACTCTCATTGACTCATCCTCTCATGATGAATGAGAGGATGCTGTACACATTATCCCAGGTAGCCTCTATTTTCCTTGTGTCTCATACCTCTTTCTAGGCTGAGGAAGATAAACTCTGAAGACAGGCTCTATATACACAAATTGGTTTGAATAAAAAACTACGATTGGATTCTAAACACAGATATCAGGGAGTTTGTGTGTCCTTCTCATCTCATGTCATGCCTTTGTCTGCCAGTCCCCAGTATCAAGTTACTGGACCCCAAGCAAGTGTGACAATCTCATAGTCACCTGAGTGCAGGAGGTGCACAGGAAGTATCTGTCAGGCCTCCTAGCTTTGACTCAGTATCTCTTGTCCCCTGTGATTAGGCCATCTGTCCCTAAACAATGTCCATGGAGTTTCTATGCCTTTTAAAGGAAGCTGGCAGCTTTTCCTGTGTATTTGGAAATATTGTTCCCCAGGCTTCACTGCTCTCAGCTTTAATCTCGATCTCCTTTAAGTCAGCTTACCTAGCTACTTTGCACAGTCACCTTGAAATCGGGAAGGAAACTTTCTTCTTTACTTTGCTGATATATTTCCATAAAGCAAGGCTGGACCCTGGTTCTCCACCCCATCAATGCAATGGCTGATCCAATGTTTCTTTGTAGCATCATAGATTATTATTATTATTATTATTATTTTTTTTTTTTTTTGCATTGGAGTCTTACTCTATCACCCAGGCTGGAGTGCAGTGGCACCATCTTGGCTTGGTGCAAACTCCGCCTCCCAGATTCAAGTGATTCTCCTGCCTCAGCCTCCTGAGTAGCTGGGACCGCAGGTGCACACCACCACATATGGCTAGTTTTTGTATTTTTAGTAGAGATGGGGTTTTCCCATATTGGCCAGGCTGGTCTTGAACTCATGACCTCAAATGATTCACCTGCCTCAGCCTCCCAAATCACAGATCCTTTTTAAAGCAAGAGCTGTTCAAATTTATCTATCAGTCAAGTTTCATGTATAGATGCCTCTAAACATTTAATGTCCGTGTTACCTGGGGATATAAGTCAGTATTGCAGCAACACTCCTAGAAAATTGTTTGAGCAATTTTTGGAGATTTTTTTGGGAAAAATTTTGTTTAACTTTGCATAGACTCAGGCAGGGAATATGGCATTATGGTCTACTCATAGAGGGAGATTTTGGCCTGTGGGTCTGGAAAGCAGGGTCATCTACTTCTCATCAGACTTAATCTAGGGCACCCTAGAATATTCCTATCAGAATCCATATTCTTGCACTGAGAATAGTTATGTCCTTGTGCTATGACTGAACACTGATTTGGTCATATGTGAAGTGTGAATTGCTTAATGTGACCTGCTTCTCTGAATTTATTTACAGAAAATGAAAGTGATGATGAGGAAGAGGAAGAGGAAGAAAAAGGGCCAGTGTTTCCCAGGTAATGCTATGGAATTGTGGGCTGTTAATTCAATAGTGACACCAGGAGATTGTAGATTTAGGGAAAAAGGGGAAGTGATGTATAGAACTATTTCTTCTTTTCACCCAACTACAAATTGTCCTTATTAACAATGTTGTGCATTATTTGTGGCCCTTGTATTGGTTTTAATTTTGTAGTCCTGTCAAGATAGGAACTTGCAATCAGATGAGCCAGGTGAACTAGCTAAACAGGAATTTCTTGCTGATCTTTTCACAAAACAAGCTCCTGGATTCACTGATTTTTTTGAAGGGTTTTTTGTGCCTCTATCACCTTCAGTTCTGCTCTGATCTTAGTTATTTCTTGTCTTCTGCTAGTTTTTGAATTTGTTTGCCCTTGCTTCTCTAGTTCTTTTAATTGTGATGTTAGGGTGTCGATTTTAGATCTTTCCTGCTTTCTCTTATGGGCATTTAGTGCGATACATTTCCCTCTACACACTGCTTTAAATGTGTCCCAGAGATTCTGATACGTTGTGTCTTTGTTCTCATTGGTTTCAAAGAACATCTTTGTTTCCACCTTCATTTCGTTATTTACCCAGTAGTCATTCAGGAGCTGATTGTTCAGTTTCCATGTAGTTGCACAGTTTTGAGTGAGTTTCTTAATCCTGAGTTCTAATTTGATTGCACTGTGGTCTGAGAGACAGTTTGTTATGATTTCTATTCTTTTACATTTGCTGAAGAGTGCTTTACTTCCATCTATGTGGTCAATTTTGGAATAAGTGTGATGTTGTGCTGAGAAGAATGTATATTCTGTTGATGTGGGGTGGAGAATTCTGTAGGTGTCAATTAGGTCTGCTTGGTGCGGAGCTGAGTTCAAGTCCTGGATATCTTTTTTAAGCTTCTGTCTCATTGATCTGTCTAATATTGACAGTGGGGTGTTAAAGTCTCCCATTATGATTGTATGGGAGTCTAAGTCTCTTTTTAGGTCTCTAAGAACTCGCTTTATGAATCTGGGTGCTCCTGTATTGGGTACATATGTATTTAGGATAGTTAGCTCTTCTTGTTGAATTGATCCCTTTGCCATTATGTAATGGCCTTCTTTGTCTCTTTTGATCTTTGTTGGTTTAAAGTCTGTTTTATCAGAGACTAGGATTGCAACCCCTGCTTTTCTTTGCTTTCTATTTGCTTGGTAGATCTTCCTCCATCCTTTTATTTTCAGCCTATGTGTGTCTTTGCACATGCGATGGGTCTCCTGAATACAGCACACTGATGGGTCTTGACTCTTTATCCAATTTGCCAGTCTGTGTTTTTTAATTGGGGCATTTAGCCCATTTACATTTCAGGTTAATATTGTTATGTGTGAATCTGATCCTGTCATTTTGATGTTAGCTGGTTATTTTGCCTGTTAGTTGATGCACTTTCTTCCTAGCATTGATGGTCTTTACAATTTGTCATGTTTTTGCAGTGGCTGGTACTGGTTGTTCTTTTCCATGTTTAGTACTTCCTTCAGGAGCTCTTGTAAGGCAGGCCTGGTGGTGACAAAATCTCTCAGCATTTGCTTGTCTGTAAAGGATTTTATTTCTCCTTCACTTATGAAGCTTCCTTTGGCTGGATATGAAATTCTGGGTTGAAAATTCTTTTCTTTAAGAATGTTGAATATTGGCCTCTTACTCTCTTCTAGCTTGTAGGGTTTCTGCCAAGAGATCTGCTGTTAGTCTGATGGGCTTCCTTTGTGGGTAACCCGACCTTTCTCTCTGGCTGCCCTTAACATTTTTTCCTTCATTTCAACTTTGGTGAATCTGACAATTATGTGTCTTGGAGTTGCTTTTCTCGAGGAGTATCTTTGTGGTTTTCTCTGTTTTTCCTGAATTTGAATGTTGGCCTGCCTTGCTAGGTTGGAGAAGTTCTCCTGGATAATATCCTGAAAAGTGTTTTCCAGCTTGGTTCCATTCTCCCTGTCACTTTCAGGTATACCAATCAAACATAGATTTGGTCTTTTCACATAGTCCCATATTTCTTGGAGGTTTTGTTCATTTCTTTTTACTCTTTTTTTCTCTAAAATTCTCTTCTCATTTCATTTCATTAATTTGATCTTCAATCACTGATGCCCTTTCTTCCACTTCATCGAATTGGCTACCGATCCTGTGCATGCATCACGTAGTTCTCATGCTATGGTTTGATGACCAGCTCCATCAAGTCATTTAAGGTCTTCTCTACACAGTTTATTCTAGTTAGCCATCTGTCTAATTTTTTTTTCAAGGTTTTAACTACCTTGCAATGCGTTCGCACATCCTCCTTTAGCTCAGAGAGGTTTGTTATTACTGACTTTTTGAATCCTACTTCTGTCACTAGTCAAAGTCATTCTCCATCCTGCTTTGTTCCATTGCTGGCAAGGAGCTGCAATCCTTTGGAGGAGAAGTGGCGCTCTGGTTTTTAGAATTTTCAGCTTTTCTGCTCTGGTTTCTCCAGATCTTTGTCATTTTATCTACCTTTGGTCTTTGATGATGGTGACCTACAGATGGGGTTTTGGTGTGGGTGTTCTTTTTGTTGATGTTGATACTATTCCTTTCTGTTTGTTAGTTTTCCTTCTAACAGTCAGGTCCCTCAGCTGCAGGTCTGTTGGAGTTTCCTGGGAGTCTACTCTAGACCCTCAAACAGGGATTTCTTGGTGTTGCCTGTTCTCTCCCATGTGTTTAAATCCAGGGAGAGATGTATATATGCTTTCTGCCCATTTTTTGTTAGTATGTTTGCTAGTATTTGTGCAAGAAAAGAAATTGAAAAAATAAACGTATTATATCAAAATATTGGAAAAATGGGGCCCTTAATACCCAAGATCTGTGTCTGCACTGCCTCAAGAGCTCTGTTCACTTGAATGCTGCATGTAAAATTCAATTTAATTTATGCAAAGTAGTTGAAGCCCAGTGTTAGTTCTCTGTGCTGCAAGTCATGATGGTAGTTTACAGGGAGAGTCTTGGTGCCCTACATTGGCTCATCTGTGGCAAATGTACTGAGCACGTGCTGCCCATTTTTGCTCTGTCCCCAGAGCAGACACCCTCTACCTTGCATTTAGAAGGATAATTTTATTTCTCTTGAAGGAAAAATGCCTTTGGTTTCTGTGACCACTCCATTCTGTCTCCCATCAGAACATCTGGGAGGTTTTGTTGTCTAATCTCTGTTGGTTAAATCTTCTGTCATCCCTGTCCTGCCTGCCTCGTCAGGAATCTGCAGGAGTCTGAAGAGGAGGAAGCCCCTCAGGAGTCCTGGGATGAAGGTTATTCGACTCTCTCAATTCCTCCTGACAAGTCAGCCTCGTACCAGTCTTACAGGAGCACCTTTCACTCATTAGAGGAACAGCAAGTCGGCTTGGCTCTTGTCATAGGCAGTGAATACTCCATTGTGAAGGTGATAAAGCTCCCGTTCGTGTCCCAGGTAGACCCCATAATCTCCGGGCCTTGTGCCCCTGGTTGGGCTGAGAGTTGCCATCACTGTGGGCTGAACCTATATATCAATGTAGATTTCAATCACTCTGGAGTCGAGTCTGAAGCACAGGCATGGGGTGGGTCAGTGAGCTTGGCTTTCTCCTAGTCTCAGGCCATGCCCGTGGCACGCTGGTTCAACTGTCAGGACATTGAACTCAAGGCTGGTGTGGCAAACTCACACCAAGCTATGCAGCACATGCCCAGGAGTTGTCTGTCAGATCAGCTCATCTGAATTAAATGTCTCTTGCCAGCTACGAAGTTCGTTATGAGTTTTGTTCCCAAAGCATGTCTGTGCAGTTCTTTACCTGCCTAAGGCCAGTATTACCCTTGTCTACCTCTCAGTGGAAAATGTGACCCAGGTTTCACTGAATTTATCCCCATTTTCTGTGTCTTCTAAGTTGGCTTGTTTTAGCTCATCTGTCCATCATCTTGCTGGCATGTTTTCTAGATAAATGGCTGACTTTTTACCCAAAAAAGCCATAGTAGCTGATGCTTCCGTGTCGAACCAAGTCTCATTTTGACTCAAGAGCTGGTACATTGCACCCCTCCATCAAATCTCAGTGTCCACAATCTCGTAAGCTATCAAATCCTGGGTATTTTATGAGAGAAGCCTGAATATTGCAGTATCTCTCCTACAAGGTGTTAGAACTATTTGCTTAAACTCTATTGGGAGAAATATTGCTCATTTGTGTACACAAACCTAGGACAGAGCATATTGGGAAGATAACGTTCCAAAACAGGGGAATTTTGCCGAAAGCTCAAGAAAGGAACCAAGTCAGTTCTCTCAAGACTTAACCTCAGGCCTCCTGGTATACTTCTCTCAAAGTCTCCTGTTCTCACACTGAGAAGACTGATGTCCCTGTGTTCGGATTGGACAGAGGAAGGTTTCTGTGTGCAAGGAAGAACTGCTTAATGTAAGAGGCCCCATTTGAATTTATTTGCATGCAGGACATCGATGTGATCAAGTGAAAAAGGAGGACCAAGAGGCAACAGATCCCAGATGAGTCTGAGAAATTGTGGACAGTTAATTTGGTGTTGACACCTGGAGACGCCAAGTCCAGGGAAAAGAGTACATGCTGAAAATAATGATTTCATCTTGTCAGACAAGTCTGAATTATGCCTACTAACATTGCTTTTGGTTCTCATTACATTAAATGTTTAGGTTTTCATTTCTTCCTACCTTATCATTTACTAACCTAGTGAAGGTTGACCATACCTCAAAAGCTGTATTCTCATAGTGACTGCAGGGAAACTTGAGCACATTTTGTGCAAAGTTATTAAGACCACTCTTTTCATGATCACTGTTTGCTGTGTGTCCTGACAGCACAAATACAGAGTGTCCTTTGATTCCCTCATCAGTGTGTCACCTGGCCAATTCACTGAGCTCACTATCTCTCTGTCTCTGTGTGTGCGTGTGTGTGTGCATGTGTGTGCGTGTGTGTGTGTCTCTCTCTTCCTCTTTCATCCGTTTATACCTGACCCTGGTCTATCCCAACATAAAGGCAATAATTTGTTACCTCATTACTGGATCCGTTCTTTTTCTTTTAAAACACTTCCTTATGTTACCCATGAAATCTAGCTGGGGCTGTGTGGTTTCTGATTTCCCCTGCCTTATTCTTTACTTTTTCCTACTTTTCCAGGCTCAGCAGGGAGCTGCTGGACAAGAAGGAGCCTGAAGTCTTGCGGGACTCACTGGATAGATGTTATTCAACTCCTTCTGGTTATCTTGAACTGTCTGACTCATGCCAGCTCTACATAAGTGCCTTTTACTCATTGGAGGAACAGCACCTTGGCTTGGCTCTTGATGTGGATAGTGAGTACCTTACTATGAAAGTGATAAGCCTCCACCTGGTCTTCCAGATAGGGGTGATATTCCTGTTCCAAGTGGCCCTTACTGACCCGAGAGGTGTCATTGCCACAGGCAGGACCTGTGGGTGCATATAGCTTGTAATGAGACTGTAGTTTCAGTTGGAAGCCCAGACATGAAATGGGTCAGTGAGCATGGCTCTATTCCTAGTCTCCAGCCATGCCTGTGACCACCTCAGCCCACTCTCAGCACATTGGACCCAGGCAGATGTGAAAAATTCACAGAACTATTATTTGGACTCAAGGGTTTGTAGATTTCCTCCTTCATTCTAGTTTCAGTATCTTGCAACCATGAACGAGCTGGGCATTTGAGGAGACAGGGCTGAATACTGCAGTCTTCCTCCTAGAAATCATCTGGGGCATTTTCTTTGAATTGATGGGAACAATAAGGCATAACTGTTTCCACAATCTTGGGATAAATGATTTTAGGATAACGATCTACCAGAATAGTGGTATTTCACCCTTGGTTCTGAGATGCAACTAAAGAATCTCTATCATGACCTGCTTTCAGGCCTCCTGAAGTATATCTCTCTCATTGTCCTGTTCTCATGCTGAGGAGCCTGAAGTCCTCATGTGGGGATTAGACAGTGGACTGTTATGGGTGTAGGTGAATTGGCTTATTTTGTCTGTCCCTGTCTGAATTTATTGTAGGAATTAAAAAGGACCAAGAAGAGGAAGAAGACCAAGGCCCATCATGCCCTAGGTAACTTTGAACAATTGTGAACAGCTACTTCTGTGTTGACACCTGGAGACTCTTGGTTCAGGGAAAACAGAGTGGGCTGACAATATCGATTACATCTTTCAACCAAGCCTGAATTATTCCTACTAACATTGCTGTTTGTTTTCATTGCAGTAGATATTTAGGTTTCCATTTCTTCCTCCCCTTATCATTTATGAACCTACGGTACATCGACCATATTTCAAAAGCTGTATTCTCATGGTGACTGCATGGAAAGTTGAGTACATTTTATGGAAAATTATTGAGCGCATTCTTTTCATGATCACTGTATGCTGTGTGTCCTGAGGACACTAACTCAGAGTGTTCTGTTACTCCCTCATCAGTGTGTCACCTGGACAATTCATTGAGCTGTCTCTCTCTCTCTCTGACTGTCTTTCTCTTTCATCCTTTTCCATTTGGCCCTGTTCAGTCCCAACATGAAGGCAATAGTTTGTTACCTCATTAATGGATCTATCCTTTTTCTTTTTTAACCACTTCCTTATGCTACCCATGAAATCTAGCTGGGGCTCTGAGGTTTCTGATTTTCCCTGGCTTATTCTTTACTTTTTCTACTCTTCTAGGCTCAGCAGGGAGCTGCTGGAAGGGGAAGAGCCTGAAGTCTTGCAGGACTCACTGGATAGATATTTGACTCCTTCTAGTTATCTTGAACTGCCTGACTCATGCCAGCCCTACAGAAGTGCATTTTACTCATTGGAGCAACAGCATGTTAGCTTGGCTCTTGATGTGGGTGGTGAGTACCTTTCTATGAAGGTGATAAGGATCCACTGAGTCTTCTGGATAGGGTCATATTCCTGCTGCTAGTGGCCATTACTGAGCTGAGAGATATCATTGCCACAGGGAGGACCTATAAGCACATGTAGATTTAAATGAAACTCTAGTTCTACTTGGAAGCCCAGACACGGGATGGATCAGTGAGCGTGGCTCTCTTTGTAGTCTCAGGCCATGCTTGTGGCACCCTGATCTTACTCTCAATACATTGGATTCGGGCAGATGTGACAAATTCACACAACTCTGATTTTGTCTCAGTTTTGTAGATTTCCTCCTTCACTCTAATTTCAGTGTCTAATATCCTCACAACCATGAACAATCTGAATATTTGATGAGACAGGGCTGAATAGTGCAGTTTTTCTCCTAGAAACCAGTTGGGGGCATTTGCTTTAAATTGATTGGAAAAATACGGCATAATCATTTGCACAAACTTGGGACAAATGACATTGGGATAACAATCTACCAGAATAGGGACATTTTACCCACAGTTTCTGGGACAAAAGCCAAGGAATCTCTATCATGATCAGCCTTCGGACCTCCTGAAGAATATCTCTCACAGTGTCCTATTCTCATGCTGAGGAGCCTGAGGTCCCTGTGTGAGGATTAGACAGTGGATTGTTATGTGTGTAGGGGAATCAGCTTAATGTGTCTGTCCATATCTGAACTTATTACAGAAATTGAAAAGTACCAAGAAGTAGAAGAAGACCAAAACCCATCATGCCCCAGGTAACTTTGAGCAATTATAGATGCTTAATTCTGTGTTGACACCCGGAGACGACAGGTCCAGGGAAAACAAGAGTGTGTTCGATTTCATGTTTTCAACGAAGGTTGAATTACTCCTACTGACATTGCTGTTGGTTTTCATTACAGTAGATGTTTAAGTTTCCATTTCTTCCTCCCCTTATCATTTACTAACCTACTGTAGGTTGACCAGACTTCAAAAGTTGTATTCTTATGGCAACTGCATGGAATCTTGATCACATTTTATGGAAAATTATTGAGCACAGTCTTTTCATGATCACTGTATGCTGTGTGTTCTGAGGGCACTAACTCAGAGTGTCCTGTTACTCCCTCATCAGTGTGTCACCTGGACAATTCACTGAGCTCTCTCTCTCTCTTTCTCTGTGTCTATCTCTCTGTCTGTCTTTCTCTTTCATTCTTTTCCATTTGGCCCTGTTCTGACCCAACATGAAGGCAATAATTTGTTACCTCATTAATGGATCTATCCTTTTTCTTTTTTAACCACTTCCTTATGCTACCCATGACATCTAGTTGGGGCTGTGTTGTGTCTGATTTCCCCTGGCTTATCCTTTACTTTTTCTACTTTTGCAGGCGCAGCAGAGAGCTGCTGGAGGTAGTAGAGTCTGAAGTTTTGCAGGACTCACTGGATAGATGTTATTTGACTCCTTCCAGTTATCTTGAACTGCCTGACTCATGCCAGCCCTATGGAAGTTCCTTTTCCTCATTGGAGGAACAACACGTTGGCTTTTCTCTTGATGTGGATGGTGAGTATCTTTCTATGAAGGCAATAAGGATCCACTGAGTCTTCCATATAGAGATCATATTCCTGCTCCAATTGGCCTTTGCTGAGCTGAGAGATGTCATTGCTGCAGTGAGGACCTATAGGCACATAGGTTGAATGAAACTCTAGTTCTACCTGGAAGCCCAGACATGAGATGGGTCAGTGAGCGTGGCTCTCTTCCTCATCTCAGGCCATGCCTGTGGCACTCAGATTCTACTCTCAAGACATTGGACCTGGGCAGATGTGACAAATTCAGAGAACTATGATTTCGACTCAAGGGTTTGTAGTTTTCCTTTTTCAGTCAAAATCCTCACAACCATGAACAACCTGAGTATTTGATGAAACAGGGCTGATTATTGCAGTTTTTCTCCTAGAAATCATTTGAGGGCATTTGCTTTAAATTGATCGGAAAAATATGGCATAACCATTTGCACAAACTTGGGACAAATGATATTGGGATAACAATCTACCAGAATAGGGACATTTTACCCTTAGTTTCTGGGACAAAAACCAAGGAATCTCTATCATGAGCAGCCTTCAGGCCTCCTGAAATATATCTCCCACAGTGTCCTATTCTTATGCTGAGGAGCCTGAGGTCCCTGTTTGAGGATTAGACAGTGGATTGTTATGTGTGTAGGGGAATCAGCTTATTGTGTCTGTCCATGTCTGAATTTATTTCAGAAATTGAAAAGTACCAAGAAGGGGAAGAAGATCAGAACCCACCATGCCCCAGGTAACTTTCAGCAATTGTAGATGCTTAATTCTGTGTTAACACCTGGAGATGACAGATCCAGGGAAAACAGGGTGTGTTTAATTTCATGTTTTCAACGAAGGCTGAATCACTCCTACTGACATTGCTGTTGGTTTTCATTGTAGTAGACATTTAGGTTTTCATTTCTTCCTCCCCTTATCATTTACTAATGTACCATGGGTTGACTGTACCTCAAAAGCTGTACTTTCATGGTGACTGCATCGAATTTTGAGCAAGTTTTATGGAAAACTGAAGAGCTCACTCTTTTGCTGTGTGTCATGAGGGCACTAACTCAAAATGTCTTTTTACTCCTTTATCAGTGTGTCACCTGGCCAATTCACTGAGCTCACTTTCTCTCCTCTCTCTCTCTCTGTCTGTCTGTCTCTCTCTCTGTCTTTCTCTTTCATTGTTTTCTACCTGGCCCTGTTCTATCCCAACATAAAGGCAATAATTTTTTGCCTCATTAATGGATCTATCCTTTTTCTTTTTTAACCACTTCCTTATTTTACCCCGGAAATCTAGTTGGGGCTCTGTGGTGTCTGATTTTCCCTGGCTACTTCTTTAGTTTAGTCTCCTTTCCCAGGCTCAACGGGGTGCTGATGGAAGTGGAAGAGCCTGAAGTCTTGCAGGATTCACTGGATAGATGTTATTCGACTCCTCCAACTTACTTTGAACTGCCTGACTCATTCCAGCACTACAGAAGTGCCTTTTACTCATTTAAGGAACAGCACAGCAGCTTGGCCCTTGAAGTGGACAATAGGTTTTTTACTTTGATGGTGATAAGTCTCCACCTGGTCTTCCAGATGGGAGTCATATTCCCACACTAAGCAGCCCTTACTAAACTGAGAGATGTCATTGCTGCAGGCAGGACCTATAGGCACATGTAGGTTTGAATGAAACTATAGTTCCATTTCGAAGCCCAGGCATAGGATGGGTCAGTGGGCATGGCTCTATTCCTATTCTCAGACCATGCCAGTGGCAACCTGTGCTAAGTCTGAAGACATTGGACCAAAGTTAGGTGTGACACGTTCACATAACTATGCAGCACATGCCAGGAGTGATCTGTCAGACATTCTAAATTGAACCACATATCTCTGGGTAGCTACAAAGTTCCGCAGGGATTTCATTTTGCAGGCATGTCTCTGACCTTCTATGCCTGCTCAAGGTCAGTGTCATCTTTGTGTTTAGCTCATGCAAAGGTGTTACCCTAGTTTCAGTGAACCTAACCCCATTCTTTGTATCTTCAGTGTTGGTTTGTTTTAGCTGATCCATCTGTAACCCAGGAGGGATCCTTCGCTGAGAATTGTATTTCAGAACCACTGACTGCTCTTGACAATTGTAACCCACTAGGCTCCTTTGGTGACAGAAGCTACAGTCCTTCAGCCTCCAATTGATATCAATACTTAGGAAGACCACATCTAGATGGACAAACAGCATTGAGAGGCTGTAGCCATGCTCCTCTCAATTCTTATCCTGTAGAGAACAGGAGTCAGGAGCCACTGGCAGGAGACAGCATGTCACCTCGGAATCTGCCGGTGCAGAATGTGAACAATGCCATGTTCTTGCAGAAAGTGCTTGGCCTGAGTTTCATATTAGGTTAATCACCAGACAACTGCATAATGTAGAGCACTGAGCAGGACAGCTGACCTGTCTCCTTCACACAGTCCATGTCACCACGAATCACTCAACAAAAAGGAGAAGAGACATTTTGGGTTCAAAAAAACGTAAAAAGATAATGTAGCTACATTTCTTTAGTTATTTTGAACCCCAAATATTTCCTCATCTTTTTGTTGTTGTCATTGATTGTGGTGATATGGACTTGTTTGTAGAGGACAGGTCAGCTGTCTGGTTCAATGATCTATATTCTGAAGTTGCCTGAAAATGTCTTCATGATTAAATTCAGCCTAAACGTTTTGCCAGGAACACTGCAGAGTCAATGCTGTGAGCTTCCAACCTCAGCCCATCTGCGCGCAGAGAAGGTCTAGTTTGTCCATCACCATTATCATGACATCAGGACTAGTTACTTGGTTAAGGAGGGGTCTAGAAGATCTGTCCCTTTTAGAGACAACTTACTTATAATGAAGTATTTGGGAAAGTGGTTTTTAAAAGTATAAATGTCCTGTATTCTAGTGATCATCCTCTAAACATTTTATCATTTATTAATCATCCATGCCTGTGTCTATCATTAGATTCATACCTCTACACTGCAAATTTTCTGTCTCAATTTTTACTGTGCCTTTGTTTTTGTTAGTGTCTGTTGTTGAAAAAAAAATTCTCTGCCTGAGTTTTAACTTTTGTCCAAAGTTAATTTGAATCTATACAATTAAAAACTTTTGCCTATCACTCTGAACTGCTGGATTGTTTTTTACATTCAGTGTTATAATCTTTTATTATGCTGACTATTTTTCATGGATACTGATGCGAATTAATAAAAACATTTTCATTTCCCTGTTTATTTTCTAATCTCTTCCACATTGTAGGCTATGTTTACCATATGTAGCAGAATGTATTTACTACTTTTCTGGGTTCCAATTATTTGTATTCTTTGTGAGTGAGTGTGTGTGTGTGTCTGTGTGTGCCTCTGACATTTAGGAAGCGTTGTAGAGCTCATGCTAAATATTGCACTAAAAATGTTTTTGATGGTTTCCCCCCTTTGAACTAGACACACTTCTAATATTTGGTTTATACGTTTTAAATTATAACTTTCAGCATCAAATATTTCCATATGACAGTCAGTTACATAATGTGTTTTCTTTTTCCCACCTCCTTTACCTGTTACTTCTCATAATAGTATTTGAAGCTAAACATATACCAGTGACATTCTGTGATTGTCATCTTGTCTCCACCTTGGTTTTTAGTTTAGATCCACAATTAAATATATTAATGCTCATGAGCTGTCCAAAAGTGAATGTCACAGTCATCACTTGCTGAGTGGTACTCATCCTTAACAGAGTCCTCCTGAGGGAATTGGATCTCACTGAGTTTAGCATGTTTAATAATCTTTTCTCACAGTCTTAAAACATGGATCGCATTACTGGATATAAGGTGCTTGCCCAAAATGATTTTCTTGAGTTTTTAGGAGACATTGTCTTCCTTGGGGGACATACATGGTGTATGTTCTCATTGTGGGATTGTATTTTGTTCTACCAGGAACTCTAATTTCTGCCAGTTACTTCATTCATTTGTTCTCTTCACCACGAGTCTCCAGAGGATACTTCCATGGTCCACGCCTCCCCATCTCCCAGGAATTCTGCGTTTCCAAGATTGGCACTTCTGGTCCTCTGCATGGTGAAGCCCCTTCCTTTCAATTCCCCAGTAGCCAGTGCTTTAATCCACCAGGTCTCAGGCATCATCTGTGTTTCTCCACACTTGCTTCTGAGGATAGTTTTACCTGTGTTCTGTCATTAACAGGCTCTCCCTGCTGTCCTGGCCTCTATTTGCATAGTGTTTCCTGCTCCGTCTGCTGTTGTGTGGCTCCCAGACCTGGCTAAATAAAATCACCTGAGAGCCACAGTGTTCCCTAGCCCTAGTGTGTAGGGGCAGGATTATGGGTGGAATTTTTGACTCTCTAAGTTAACCTCTAGGGCTTTGAAGTGTATGTTGAGAAATTCAACTGTTATCATCCTAGGTGGACTTACTCTCTCCCATCCTCCTACTTCAAATGCAGAACTTAAATCGTGTACAAAAGAAGACTGAATCATATAATAGAACACACCCTTATTCATTGACTGGCTTCACCAATCATCTCATGGCTGAACTTTTAAAAATACAATCTTAGCCACATAACTATGAAATGTATATGTGTGTGTGTATATATATATATATATATATATATATATGAATTTGCTTCTGAGGTTATAGAGGCTGAAATTCCGAAGATGGAAGGAAAGCTGGATACCCAGGAAAGCATTTGTTTTCCATTAGGCCTCTTAATTGTCTCCTGGCATTTGATTGTACGTATGAGTCCCACCCCCATTAAGGAGGGCAATCTGCTTCACTTAGTCTGCCCATCCCAATGTTAATTGTATCCGAAACACTCTCTGGAACACAACCAGAATCATGTTTGGCCAAATGTCCCAGTACCATGGTGCTCGGTCACAGTGACAAGTACAAGTAACTATCACACATGCCGTTTGTCATATTTGTGATTTCCACTGTTTTTCTCCCAATCTGCAGCTTATATTTGTTCTCTTATTACTGTCTTGTGTTGAGCAAAAACTTTTAATTTTTATAAAGTTGAAGTTATCAATGTTTTCTTTAATGGTTTGTGTTTATTGAAAACAAAGAACACCTTGCCTAACTCTGTGTCATGAAGATTTTGTCTTACATTTTCTGCTATACTTTTTCTAGTTTTATAGTTTATATTTAGTTGCATAATCCTTTTTGAGTTAGTTTTTGAGTCAGTATTGAGGTTCAGGTGAATTTTTTTCCTTTGGGAATATGCATGTCCAGTTGTTTCTACACAATTTGTTGACAAGAGAATGCCTTCTCCACTGAATCATATTTGGACATTTGTCAATCCATTGGGTGGTTGAGACTGGTGAGAGGACTGTCCTGGTGTTTGGACAGAGAGACAGGGCATGAAGTAGGGTGGTTCTTATGGGAAAAATTAAGGAAAACACATTTTTCTATGAAACATAGGAAAGCCCCAAGCAAAATTGAGGTGCCCTCTACCAGCATGTTGTAGCACACTCATCTCTGCCCTCTCTACCTGTCCTGTTGCAAAAGCTTGGGTGTGCATAGACACTGAGGTCAAGTGGTGTCTTTGGGCACTTTTGAGCATTGACACCAAAGCTGCAGCATCAAATCTTAGAATATCAAGCAGCCAGGTGGATCACCTGAGGTCAGGAGTTCACGACCAGCCTTACTAGCATGGTGAAACCCCATGTCTACTAAATCAAAAAAATTAGCCGGGCATGGTGGTGCGTGCCTGTAATCTGAGCTACTTGGGAGACTGAGACAGGAGAATCGCTTGTGTACCTGGGAGGCAGAGGTTGCTGTGAGCCAAGATCACACCATTGCACTCCAGCCTGGGCAATGAGAGTGAAACTCCATCCTCCCCCCTCCCAAAAAAAAAACAAAAATAAAAGAATATCAAGCAGCCAAAGAAGCAGGAAAACTTAACACACAATGAAGAATCTAATAATCTAGTTGAAATTGACACACGTTGGAAATAGAAGAAAAGGATATTAGAGCAGTTAGTATAATTGTATTTTAATTAAATGGAGAGGTTGAAGATTTTTTAAATATTAAATTCTGTAGATAAGAACTATGATTTACAGTATGAAATGGAAGAAGACACTGGATTAAACATTGCAGAAGAGAAGATTATTGAACTAGCTGGAATAGAAGTTGAAACTAACATAAGTGAAACACACTGTAACAAATGACTTGAAAACATAAAAAGACCATCAGCATAAAAACGTTAAACATCCTGGTATAAGGATAAATGGAAACCCTGAAGGGCGTGTAGTGGAGAAGGGAAACAAAGATATTTAAAACATACTGGATGAAAGATTTAGAAGCTCCATGGAAACTATAAACTTCAAATATTACAGAAATACGATTATTCTAAGAAGAAGAAACATGAAGAAAACTTCACCAAGGAACACTTTAATCAAATCCATCAAAACCAGTGATAAAAAGGAAATCTTAAAAGGAATAAAAGGGGAAAGAACATGTTACATACAGAGCACTAAATATAAGGATGGCATAAGATTTCTCATAGGAAACTTTACAAACAAGAAGTTTGCAATAAAGTACTTAAAAAAAGAAAAACTGAAGTCTACAGTTCTACACTTGGCCAAATTATCTTTCAAAAATAAACATGAGAAAAATATTTTTGAACAGAAAACAAAATGATCTCAATTTGCAGATGGTGTGATCCTATATATAGAAAATCCCAAATAATACATACAAATGTAAACACACTTACATGCACACAGAGACCACACACACACACACACACACACACACACACACTACTAGAGTTAGTAAGTGAATTCAGCAAACTTTCAGCAAACAATCAGTTGTGTTAGCAATGAACAATCTGAGAAGAAAATTGACACAATTTCATTTGTAATAGCACCTGTAAGGATAATAAGCCTGGGAATAATTTTTATCAAGGAGGTGCAGTACTTGTACACAGACAGCTACAGAACACTGCTCATGGAGATTAAGGAAGAGCTAAATAAATGGAAAGATATCTTGTGTCCATGGGTTGGAAGTTGTAACATGGTTAAGATAAAAATACAACTAAAAGCAATCCACAGATTCAATACAATCCTATCAAAAAGTGGCCTTTTTTACAGGAATGCCTAAGAAGAACTTCATATTCTCAAAAAATAGCAAGTGTCCCCCCAAAACAAAAGCAATCTTGAAATGTAAGAAGGAGCATTCTCTATTCCAAATGTCTTTAACTGCTCTCAGCAATACTTGGTAGTCTTCAATATATAGGCTTTCACATCTTTTCTTTTTCTTCTTTTGTTTCTAGACACGATCTTACTCACTCAGGCTGGAGTACAGTGGCATGATCACAGCTCACTGTAGCATGGAATTCTCAGGCCTATGACATCCTAGGGCCTCATCCACTGAGTTCCTGGGACTACAGGCTCACACCACCACACCGGGATAATTTTTCTGATTTTCAATACAAATGAGTTCTCACTATGTTGCCTAGGATAGTTTCAAGCTTCTGAGCTCAAGTGACCATCCTGCCACAGCCTTCCAAAGTGTTGGGATTTGAAGCCAAGCCTGGCTGGCTTTCATGTCTTTCCTATGTAGTTTATATTTCTTGATGCTATTGAGAGCCTGGCTGGCTTTCACATCTTTGCTATATAGTTTATATTTCTTGATGTTATTGTAAATGTTTATTAAAGGAACCTTTTTAAAATTTCATATTAAAATTATATATTTAAGGAATTACATATATATATTTAAGGAATACAACCTGAGGACATATACATACACACATACACATATATACATATACATATACATATACATATACATATACATATACATATACATATACACATACATACACATAATGAGCTAATGCATACTAGGTGAGGGGCTGTCTTGTGAGCAAACCCAAGGTCCCTGGCTCATGAAGCCTTTGTCTAGAAGGATGGAGGGATCAGCAAGATGGGCACATGGCAGGTTCTGTCTTTGGTGGGGGCACCTGTCCACTCGGGTCTCTGGCAATACTAACCAGGCTTCACAATGGGCGAGGTGAGCTAGGAATGGGAAAGTGGATGACCTCAGATCCAGAGACTGCAGTTGTCACCTGGGGACCTGGCATATGCATGGAGGAGTCTACCACTGATTTGGCCCTGGGTCAATGCCCAAACATGCACAAGGACAGGACTCTTAGCCTCAATGTTTTAGGAGCCCCCAGTCTTCTAAAGAGGGTTTGTGGTGGGGAAGAATGTTCAACAAAACAGAAGAGTTACGGGTACTCTAGCCTGGCAACAGAGAATACTTCCTTATGCTACTAAATGGCAATATTTGACAATTATGGATGACACAATTGAGCAACAGCTTTCACTGTTTAACAAGCAGTGTCTCTGAAACATTAGGTTAGTGCTGTCAGATGTTGACTGAAAAGTCAGTGGTTTGAGCCCATCCAGTCACATTAATGTTTCTAGCTGACATGACCTTCCATCTGAAGAGTCTCTTCCTTGGACCAAATATCTCTTAAATCTCTTCTTCTTGTCTCTTGTCTATTTTCCGACGTGCCTCTTTGTTGTTTGAGGCAAAAAAAAGTCCATTTTTAATCCACACCCAACAAACATCTACCCTTACTTATCCTGGCTTTTAGGGTTTTGAGTTGGTTTGTTTGTTTTCTCAGCTTCTCATATTTGGAATACTGGAAATTCCTGAAGTGGAAAATGACAGAACCTGAATCACAACTATGGTGAAGCCACAGGCTCTGGGTGAAAAACCTAATCTACCAGAGTTTGAAGTTAAACACATTAATTTTCTGTGCCTCCATTTCTGTCAAATTTGCTGTCCAATAGGCTAAATCAGAACACGTAGGTTGTCCAAAATTTAAATGAGCGTGGAGCCAATGCCTGTCACGTAGTAATTGGTCAACACGCATGAGCTCCTATCAGTGTCATGGCCTCCAGCATTTCCATCAGGCTTAGATCTTCGAAATATCCTTCTTGATATGAATGGATCATTCTTCAAACATTCTGTAACCAATGGCCATGAAATTGCTCCAATGTGTATTATTACAAATACAACTGCAGGGACCAGACTGACACATGTATCTGTCATGCATCGCTTGTCTATTTCTCCGTAGACACCTGGAGATGGAACTGTCAGACCAAAGTATGTATACCTTTCTGATTTTGCTAATTTCTGTCTAAATTACTGTGAAAAGAAGATATAACAAGTCATACTTTTAACATTTTATGAGAATTCTTTTTTTCTCCATCTTCTGGCCAAAACTGGGAAGTATTTTCCTACCATGTCTTCTGAACTTACTTTGCTAACATTTCTGTAGTCATACAGTGGGATCACATTGTATGCATGACATCAAACTCAAATCCTTAAAAGAAAAGAGGGATTAACATGACTGTATAAAAATTTATATTCAAAATGCAAAGAATGCAAATATGTGTGTGTGTGTGTGTGTGTGTATATATATATATATATATATATATATATACACACACACACATACATATATGAGAAAGGATTTTTTTATTTGGATACTTTGTCAAAGTTATTTATACTAGAAAATTTGTTTAGTACAACAGCAGTCCCTTTGTATACTCCCAGAGTTTCATCACATAGAAACAATTATTAGTTATTTATCTCCTTATGTCTAAATATATATTATTACTTTTTGATTTTCAAGTTTAGGCACTATCTCTCCTTCACATACTTGCTCATCACCACCACCCCCAAACATGCCTCTCACTACCTTACCCTCTAACATGTTTATGTCCTAGTTTGCTGGGTCAATTACTACATTGTTATAACTTGTATATTTTATTCAGAGTTCAGTCACATTGGATATACATAGCAGGAATGAAAGGCCAGTATCTTCAGGGACTCTTTCTCAAGTGGATAAGCTTCAGAGATTTTTGTAATCTTTGGTCACCCTCCCCGTCTTTTTCCTATTCCAGGTAAGTACTGGATCTGATGGGCCCAGCTTAGGTCAGGCACTCTCTTCTTGAGCAGGGGAGAGTGGGACATCTTCATGTGTATACCAGAAAAACACTGTCCAAAGAGGGAAAGGTAGTTCTAAGACAGAAAAGTCAATCTGGGATGCGGGTAGGCAAAAAAAGGATAGGCCAAAAAAAAACAAAAAACAAAAAAAAAGTGTCTGTTCTGTGAGGGGAGCATGCAGTAGAGGGTGGATTCAGAGTGGGAGGGGAGAGTTTTGAGAGATATGGGCCATGGATATCCCTCTGTGGGCTGGAGCCACACAAGACTCTTGGGGTCTCTCAGGGGCAGGGAGCTGAGGAGAATCTGCCCTCCCCAACCTGCGAGACTGGTGAGGGGACTGTCCTGGTCACCAGACAGAAATGGGGTCTGAGCTAGGGCAGTTCTTGTGGGAAAGAAAGAACAGGACATCTTCTCCTTAAGGTAAGGTCCTGAGTCAGGTCTTGGTAGGGAGGGAGGTTACCCTGGGCATTGGCAGCTGAAGATGGTTGGCCAGATGAGGGCACTGAAATCTATGTCCTATAAACTTGTAGTTCTAGTAAAAGAATAGCTGCAGTAAAGGGTCTTTAGGAAGAGGAGGTGGAAGACCTGATTTGGGTTGGGGGCTCCAAGAAGAATGTCTGCCTTGCTGTGCAGAAGCCTCTGCATAACCTCCCTGGTCCCCTTGCTCAGTCTCCTGGCCAGACCCCTGTGAGCCCTGGAAGTGCACAGTCAGCTCAGCCAAGGCATCTCCTGCCGGGACTCATCCCAGGGCATTTCTGTGGCCTTGGGTGCCCTGGCCTCCTCCAGGCCCTGTCTTGCAGGCAATCATCCTTCAGGGGAAGGGGGAAAGGAGGCTGCTTGACAGTTAACTCTGAGCAGCTTCACAAGGTCCTGACTTAGCTCCTTGTCACTTGCAAACCTATATACCCCCATCTGATCCCCCAAAAGATGAAAAGAAACTGCCAGGACTCATGCCAGACAAATAGGGTGGGACTGTTCCGTAGGACCAAGTTCTTAGGATATCAATAAGAGATGGAAACCACCTGCTGGAAGGTGCCACAGTGGGAACCTTGGGGGCAGGGAGCAGTCACTGAACTGTCAGGTTGAATCCTGGCTCCTGGCCCTCACACACCCTTTCTCCCCCTCCCTCCTTCTCTCCTCCCTTCTGTCTGCTTTTTCCCCTCTCTCCCCTGCATCCCTCAGGTACCTTCCGTGGGCCCTCACCCCTCCTTTTCAGAGGCTCCAAAGTGAGCCCTCAAAACACTTGGTAAACTTGGACATTTCCAAAACTGGAGAGATTTGGCCACACCATTTGTATAAGCTAGGAAGGTCCTCCAGAGTTCTTGTCTAAATTTTTCTGTTGATGAGAAGAGAACAAAAGAGTTTCCATCTGATCTGGTCCTAAGGCAACTTCTCCTTGGAGCAGAGTCTGGGCAGGAAGAAGGGGGTTGCCCAGGGCCCCAGACTTGCACCTTACAGCTGCTCTCTTCCTCCCCCCTTCACTGAGGGAGAGCTGGCCAGGGATCAGGAACCTCTGTTCTCCACAGATGCTGGGATTCCAGGCTCAAATCTAAATGTTGACTGATTTAGGAGGCTAAGGGAGGCAATTCCCTGCAGAGAGGTGTCAGGAGTTCAGACAAGAGCAGCATCTAGTTGCCATCCACAGAGACCCCAAGACAGAAATCCACTGGTAGCTGGTTGGAAGGGATCCCATGAAAACAAAAAGCAATGTGCGCATTAGAACTTGACCCAATATCAGGAATTAAAAACTTCACCATCCTATGGGATGAAGGAATTAGGGAATCCTGAAAGTAAAGTTTTTCACGTAGGTAATTTCTTCCAAAGAGACACAGGGCAGCGGCCCGATGACATGAGTAAAAGAAAACTCGGGGTCTAGGATTGAGGGAAGGCAGCCTTTTTAGTGGAGGAGACCTCTGACCTGGAAGCCCAGGGTCACCCTGAGAGGGGAGGGGTCTTGCTGGGTCACTGGGTCCAGGACTCCAATTGCATATAGCCAGTGGCCTGGAGGGTCCATGACCACGATTGCGGCAATTTCCCCCATTCCACTCGGGAGCAATAGAGAGGAACCTCACTGGAATTATACAGAAAGGTCCCACTGAGACTTGAACTCTGATCACTGTAGTCAGAGTCCAAAGCCCTCACCATTACACCATGGAACCTCACACTAGCTTGTAACTGGAGGTAACTAAGTTCATATTTAGCAGCCATAGTTCTCATGCACCTATGTTAAGGCATTTCTTCTGATCCCTCAAGCAGCACCAAGGAAGGTGGACCTGCGAGAGAGGAGTTGTCCTCTTTCTTTCTCTCTGCCCTCTCCTTTGATCAACTTTTATCATTTCATTTGCACCTCAGAAAATGAGGCAAAATCCAGTTTGGGCTTAGGGCCAGAGAAGAGCCCTTTGAGGCCTCCCTCCTGGAAAACATACTCTCTCAGCTTACCAGTGTTTCCTCTACCAAAGGGAAATTTCTGCAAACTGTAGTGTTACATTCTTTTTGCCTTCCCTCTTTTCCCTTTGTCCAGTGAGGCCACATGATTGTCAGAACAGGACTTGGGACTTCCTGGGTGCCTTGTCCCCTTCCTCCATGTAATAAATAATGGCTGACACCAAGCAAGTGGGATTGGGAGGCAAGGAGTCTTTTATTTTCTTCTTCATATACGTCTATGCCTTTGTTTAGTTGGTTTTGGCAAGATTTTCTCACCAGAAATGGAGATTTGTTGAATTTAAAATACAAATAAATCAGTCATATTTTACATTTCTATAAAACACTCAAACCAGGCCACACACCCCTGCTGTGCCTCAAAATCAACCATAAACTGCCAAGGTCAGGAGGCAGGGCCCTGACACTTAAGCACAGTGTGTTTTCTCAGAATCGGCCAAGTTGACGCCATTCCAATTCCTCAATATGCCACAACCCATTAATTGCGGTTTTTGAAAGGGTACATGTATTTTTACCAAAACCCCAGGGGTTCAGTGTAGGCCCTGCTGCTCAGCACACAGAAAGCCAATCATTGAGACATTGAGTATTGCTGAGGAAGAAGGCTTTGATCGGTGCTGTGGCTGCGGAGATGGGAGGTTAGTCTCAAATCTATCTCCCTGATTGACTAAAGTTGGGGGCTTATATAGCAGGGAAGAAATGTAACTGTGTGTGGGAAAAGAGGAACTAGGGAGTGGTGAGGAAGCACTCATGTTGAGTGAGGGTTCTGGCATCTAGTTGTCTAGAGGCTGTGATCAGCTGAGTTTCAGGTCTATGATGCTTTCTGAGAGGCCTGAGGGTCCTTTCCTGAGGAAGGAACTCAGATAAAACAAATATAGGTTTGTTTTAATGAATGGCTTGACCTCAGGAGTTTGAAACGCAGCCTGGGCAATATGGTGAAACCCTGTCACTACCAAAAATACAAAAAAAAAAAAAAAAAAAAAAGACGGTTGCTTCAAAGATGGTGGAATAGGAACAGCTCCAGTCTACAGCTTCCAGTGAGAGTGAAGCTGAAGATGGATGATTTCTGCATTTCCAACTGAGGTACCAGGTTCATCTCATTGGGACTGGTTGGACAGTGGGTGCAACCCATGGAGGACAAACCAAAGTAGGGTGGGGCATTGCCTCACCTGGGAAGCACAAGGGATTGGCAGATTTCTTCTTCCTAGCCAAAGGAAACTGTGAGTGACTGTACCTGGAGGAGCAGTACATTTCTGCCCAAATACTGCACATTTTCTACTGTCTTCACAACTGACAGACCAGGAGATTCCCTCCCATGCCTGGCTCGGTGGGTCCCGCACCCATGGAGCCTTGCCTACTGCTAGTGCAGCAGTCTGAGATCAACCTGATACACTGAAGCATGGCAGGGGGAGGGGTTCTGCCACTGCTGAGGCTTGAGTAGGTGGTTGTATGGTCACAGTGTAAACAAAGTGGTAGGGAAGCTTGAACTGGGCAGAGCCCACCACAGCTCAGCAAGGCATACTGCCTCTTTAGATTCCACCTCTGGGGGCAAAGCATATCTGAATAAAAGGTAGCAGACAGCTTCTACAGACGTAAACATCCTTGCCTGACAACTCTGAAGAGAGCAGTGGTTATCCCAGCATGACATTCGAGCTCTGATAACAGACAGACAGCCTCCTCAAGTGGGTCCCTGACCACCATATAGCCTGACTGGGAGACACCTCCCAGTAGGGGCCAACAGACACCCCACACAGGTGGGTGTCCCTCTGAGATGAAGCTTCTAGAGGAAGGATCAGGCAGCAATATTTGCTATTCTGCAGCCTCTGCTGGTGACGCCCAGGCAAACAGGGTCTGGAGTGGACCTCCAGCAAACTCCAACAGACCTGCAGCTGAGGGGCCTGCCTGTTAGAAAAAAAATTAACCAATAGAAAGGAATAGCATCAACATCAACAAAAAGGACATCCACACCAAAACCCCATCGATAGGTCACCAACATCAAAGACCAAAGTAGTAGATAAAACCATAAAGATGGGGAGAAACCAGAGCAGAAAGGCTGAAAATTCCAAAAATCAGAATACCTCTTCTCCTCCAAAGGAACACAAATCCTCACCAGCAAGGGAACAAAACTGGATGGAGAATGAGTTTGACAAGGTGACAGAAGTAGGCTTCAGAAGGTCGGTATTAACAAACTTCTCTGGGCTAAAGGAGCATGTTTTAATCCATTGCAAGGAAGCTGAAAACATTGAAAAAAGGTTAGATGAATGGCTAACTAGAATAAACAGTGTAGAGAAGAGCTTAAATGACCTGAAGGAGCTGAAAACCACAGTACAAGAACCTAGTGAAGCATACACAAGTTTCAATAGCCAATTCGATCAAGCAGAATAAAGGATATCAGTGATTGAAGATCAAATTAATGAAATAAAGCCAGAAGACAAGATTCAAGAAAAAAGAGTACAAAGAAATGAACAAAGCCTCCAAGAAATATGGGACTATATGAAAAGACCAAATCCACATTTGATTGGTGTATCTGAAAGTGATCAGGAGAATGGAACCAAGTTAGAAAACACTCTTCAGGATATTATTCAGGAGTACTTCCCAAACCTAGCAAGGCAGGCCAACATTCAAATTCAGGAAATACAGGGAACACCACAAAGATACTCATTGAGAAAAGCAACCCCAAGACACATAATTGTCAGATTCACCAAGGTTGAAATGAACAACAAAAAAAAGAATGTTAAGGGCAGCCAGAGAGAAATGTAGGGTTACCCACAAAGGGAAGCTCATCAGACTAACAGCGGATGTCTCAGCAGAAACTGTACAAGCCAGAAGAAAGTGGGGGCCAATATTCAACATTCTTAAAGAAAAGAATTTTCAATCCAGAATTTCATATCCAGCCAAACGAAACTTCATAAATGAAGGAAAAATAAGATACTTTACAGACAAGCAAATGCTAAGAGATTTTGTCACCACCAGGCCTACCTTACAAGAGCTCCTGAAGGGAGCACTAAACATGGAAAGGAACAACCAGTACCAGCCACTGCAAAAACATGCCAAATTGTAAAGACCATCAATGCTAGGAAGAAAGTGCATCAACTAATGGGTGAAATAAACAGCTAGCATCATAATGACAGGATCAAATTCACCCATAACAATATTAACCTGAAATGTAAATGGGCTAAATGCCCCAATTAAAAGGCACAGACTGGCAAATTGGATAAAGAGTCAAGACCCATCAGTGTGCTATATTCAGGAGACCCATCTCACGTGCAAAGACACACATAGCCTCAAAATAAAGGGATGGAGGAAGATCTACCAAGCAAATGGAAAGCAAAAAGAAAAGCAGGGGTTGCAATCCTGGTCTCTGATAAAATAGACTTTAAAAAACAAAGATCAAAAGAGACAAAGAAGGCCATTACATAATGGTAAAGGGATCAATTCAACAAGGAGAGCTAACTATCCTAAATATATATGCACCCAATACAGAAGCACCCAGATTCATAAAGCAAGTTCTTAGAGACCTAAAAAGAGACTTAGACTCCCACACAATCATAATGGGAGATTTTAACACCCCACTGACAATGTTAGACAGATCAATGAGACAGAAGCTTAACAAGGATATCCAGGACTTGAACTCAGCTCTGGACCAAGTGTACCTAATAGACATCTACAGAACTCTCCACCCCTAATCAGCAGAATATAAATTCTTCTCAGCACCACATCACACTTATTCTAAAATTGACCACATAATTGGAAGTAAAACACTCCTCAGTGAATGTAAAAGAATAGAAATCACAACAATGTGTCTCTCAGACCACAGCACAATCAAATTAGAACTCAGGATTAAGAAACTCACTCAAAACTGCACAACTACATGGAAACTGAACAACCTGCTCCTGAATGACTACTGGGTAAATAGCGAAATGAAGGGAGAAATAAAGATGTTTTTTGGAACCAATGAGAACAAAAACACAACATACCAGAATCTCTGGGACACATTTGAAGCAGTGTGTAGAGGGAAATTTATAGCACTAAATGCCCCCAAGAGAAAGCAGGAAAGATCTAAAATCAGCACACTAACATCACAATTAAAAGAACTAGAGAAGCAAGAGCAAACACATTCAAAAGCTAGCAGAAAACAGAAATAACTAAGATCAGAGCAGAACTGAAGGAGATAGAGACACAAAAAACCCTTCAAAAAATCAATGAATCCAGGAGCTGGTTTTTTGAAAAGATCAACAAAATAGACCCCTAGCAAGACTCATAAAGGAGAAAAGAGACAAGAATCAAATAGACGCAATAAAAAATGAAAAAGGGGATATCACCACTGATCCCACAGAAATACAAACTACCATCAGAGGATACTATAAACACCTCTATGCAAAAAAACTAGAAAACCTAGAAGAAATGGATAAATTCCTGGACTCATACACCCTCACAAGACTAAACCAGGAAGAACTCAAATCCTGGAATAGACCAATAACAGGTTCTGTAATTGAGGCAATAATTAATAGCCTACCAAGCAAAAACATTCCAGGACCAGATAGATTCACAGCCAAATTCTACCAGAGGTACAAAGAGGAGCTGGAACCATTCCTTCTGAAAGTATTCCAATCAATAGAAAAAGAAGGAATCCTCCCTAACTCATTTTGTGAGGGCAGCATCATCCTGATACCAAAGCCTGGCAGAGACAAAACAAAAAAAGATAATTTTAGGCCAATATCCCCAATGAACATGGATGTGAAAATCCTCAATAAAATACTGGCAAACTGAATCCAGCAGCACATCAAAAAGCTTATCCACCATGATCAAGTTGGCTTCATCCCTGGGATGCAAGGCTGGTTCAACATACACACATCAATAAACGTAATCCATCACATAAACAGAACCAATGACAAAAACCGCAAGATTATCTCAAATGATGCAGAAAATGCCTTCAACAAAATTCAACAGCCTTTCATGCTAAAAACTCTCAATAAACTAGGTATTGATTGAATATATCTGAAAATAATAAGCGCTATTTATGACAAACCCACAGCCAATATCATACTGAAAGGGCAAAAACTGGATGCATTCCCTTTGAAAACCAGCACAAGACAACAATGCCCTCTCTCACCACTCCTATTCAATGTAGTATTGGAAGTTCTGGCCAGGCCAATCAGGCAAGAGAAAGAAATAAAGCGTATTCAATTAGGAAAAAGAGGAAGTCAAATTGTCTCTGTTTGCACATGACATGATTGTGTATTTAGAAAACCCCATCATCTCAGCCCAAAATCTCCTTAAGCTGATAAGCAACTTCAGCAAAATCTCAGGATACAAAATCAATGTGCAAAAATTACAAGCATTCCTATACACCAAGAACAGACAAACAGAGAGCAAAATTATGAGTGAACTCCCATTCACAATTGCTTCAAAGAGAATAAAATATCTAGGAATCCAACTTACAAAGGATGTGAAGAACCTCTTCAAGGAGAACTACAAACCACTGCTCAAGGAAATAAAAGAAGACACAAACAAATGGAAGAACATTCCATGCTCATGGATAGGAAGAATCAATATCATGAAAATGGCCATACTACCCAAGGTAATTTATAGATTCATTGCTATCCCCATCAAGCTACCACTGACTTTCTTCACAGAATTGGAAAAAAAATACTTTAAACTTCATATGGATCCAAAAAAGAGCTCCCATAGCCAAGACAATCCTAAGCCAAAAGAACAAAGCTGGAGGCATCATGCTACCTGACTTCAAACTATACTACAAGGCTACAGTAACCAAAACAGCATGGTACTGGTACCAAAACAGAGATATAGACCAATGGAACAGAACAGAGCCCTCAGAAATAACACCACACATCTACAACCATCTGATCTTTGACAAACCTGACAAAAACAAGCAATGGGGAAAGGATTCCCTATTTAATGAATGGTGCTGGGGAAACTGGATAGCCATATGTAGAAAGCTGAAACTGGATACCTTCCTTACACCTTACACAAAAATTAACTGAAGGTGGATTAAAGACTTAAATGTAAGATGTAACACCATAAAAACCCTAGAAGAAAACCTAGGCAATACCATTCAGGACACAGGCATGGGCAAAGACTTCATGATTAAAACACCAAAAGCAATGGCAACGAAAGTCAAAATAGACAAATGGGATCCAATTAAACTAAAGAGATTCTGCACAGCAAAAGAAACTGTCATCAGAGTGAACAGGCAACCTACGGAATGGGAGAAAATTTTTGCAATCTATCCATCTGACAAAGGGCTAATATCCAGCATCTAGAAAGAACTTAAACAAATTTAGAAGAAAAAAACAACCCCATCAAAAAGTGGGCAAAGGATATGAACAGACACTTCTCAAAAGAAGACACTTATGCAGCCAACAGACATAGGAAAAAAGGCTCATCATCACTGGTCATTTAAGGAATGCAAATCAAAACCACAATGAGATACCACTCATGCCAGTTAGAATGACGATCATTAAAAAGTCAGGAAACAACAGATGCTGGAGAGGACGTGGAGAAATAGGAACGCTTTTACACTGTTGGTGGGAGTATAAATTAGTTCAACCGGTGTGGAAGACAGTGTGGTGATTCCTCAAGGGCCTAGAACTAGAAATACCGTTTGACCCAGCAATCCCATTACTGGGTATATACCCTAAAGATTATAAATCATGCTACTATAAAGACACATGGATACCTATGTTCATTGTGGCACTATTCACAATAGCAAAGACTTGGAACCAACCCAAATGTCCATCAGTAATAGACTAGATAAAGAAAATGTGGCACATGTACACCAAGGAATACTATGCAGCAATAAAAAGGATGAGTTCGTGTCCTTCCCAGGGACATAGATGAAGCTGGAAACCATCACTCTCAGCAAAATATCACAAGGGCAGAAAACCAAACTCCGCATATTCTCACTCTTAAGTGGGAATTGACCAATGAGAACACATGGACACAGGGAGGGGAACATCACACACTGGGGCCTGTTGTGGGGTGGGGGGCTGTGGGAGGGATAGCGTTAGCAGAAATGCCTAATGTAAATGACGAGTTGGTGTGTGCAGCAAACCAACATGGCACATGTATACCTATGTAACAAACCTGCACGTTGTGCACATGTACCCTAGAACTTAAAGTATTTTTTAAAAAAAGATTATTTCTTTGAATAAGGGTTCTACTCTTTGCTCCTTCTCAACCGTCTCTTTAAGGCCAATGAATCTTTGATTTTCTCTTTTGAGGCCCTCTTCTAGATCTCTTAAGCATTCTGTGTTCCTTCTCGTTCTTCTTTTCTTTTTTCTCCTCTGACTGTATTTTCAAATAGCTTGTTTTCATGCTCACTAATTCTTTCTGCTGCTTGATCAGTTCTACTGAGACCCACTAATGCATTTTCCAGCCCAGGATTTGTTTGATTTTTTTCTATTACTTCAGTATCCTTGTTAAATTTCTGATATATTTCTGAATTGCTTCTCTGTGTTTCCCTGAAGTTCATTGAGCTTTCTCAAAATAGCTATTCTGAATTCCCTGAGAGGTTACACATCTCCACCTCTCCAGGGTTGGTCACTGGGTGCCTTACTTGGTCCATTTGTTGAGGTCATATTGACTTAAATGTTATTGATACTGTAGATGTTGGTCAATATCTGGGCATTGGAGAATATGGTATTTATTCCAGCCTTTGCAGTCAGGTCTTGTTTGTACCTGTCCTTCAGAGGACCTTCCAGGAATTCAAAGTGGGCTGACGAGTTCCCTAAGCCAGTGATCACTGCAGCCATTCTTATACTACAGGGCATTCAAAGCCCAGGTACACTGCAATTCTTATAGATTCCTAGGTCCCCAGCCCTGTGGACTTGGGGAAGTTCAGGGATTGTTCTCTACATTCCTAGGTAAAGCCTCTAGCTTACTTCCCTTTCTTTCCCCCAAGCAAAAGGAATCTCTCTTCAGGCTGCACTGCCTGGAGTGTGAGGAGGGGTGATACAGACATTCCCATAGCTGCTGCCCTGCTGCTGTCGTACTGGCTTACACCTCAAGTCTAGGGTCTTCCAGACCTATGCAGCTTCAGGGCTTGCCCAAGGACTGCAGTCACTATGTGTCTGGAATTGGTGGGTTCTTGGTCTCACTGACTTCAAGAATGAAGCCACGGACCCTCACGGTGGGTATTACAGTTCTTAAAGGTGGCGTGTCCAGAGTTTTTTCCTTCTGATGTTCGGATGTCTTCGGGGTTTCTTCCTTCTCGTGGGTTGGTGGTCTCACTGGCTCAGGAGTGAAGCTGCAGACCTTCGCAGTGAGTGTCACAGCTCATAAAGGCAGTGTGGACCGAAAGAGTGAGCAGCAGCTAGATTTATTGCAAAGAGCAAAAGAACAAACTTTCCACAGCGTGGAAGGGGACCTGAGCAGGTTGCCGCTTCTGGCTGGGCAGCCTGCTTTTAGTCCCTTATCTGGCCCCACCCACATCCTGCTGATTGGTCCATTTTACAGAGAACCAATTGGTCTGTTTTACAGAGAGCTGATTGGTTTGTTTTGACAGGGTGCTGACTGGTGCCTTTACAATCCCTGAGCTAGACACAAAAGTTATCCACGTCCCCACTAGATAAGCTAGATACAGAGTGTTGATTGGTGTATTTACAAACCCTGAGCTAGACACAGAGTGCTGATTGGTGCATTTACAAACCTTGAGCTAGATACAGAGTGCCAATTGGTGCATTCACAATCCCTTAGCTAGACATAAAGATTCTCCAAGTCCCCACCAGATTAGCTAGATACAGAGTGCATCCACAAACCCTGAGCTAGACACAGGATGCTGATTGGTGCATTTACAAACCTTGAGCTAGATACAGAGTGCTGACTGGTGTATTCATAATCCCTTAGCTAGACATAAAGTTTCTCCCAAGTCCCCACTAGACTGAGGAGCCCAGCTGGCTTCGCCCAGTGGATCTCGCACCAGGGCCGCAGGTGGAGCTGCCTGCCAGTCCCACGCCATGCACCCGCACTCCTCAGCCCTTGGGCGGTTGATGGGACCTGGAGCCATGGAGCAGGAGGCGGCGCTCCTTGGGGAGGCTCAGGCCGTGCAGGAGCCCACTGTGGGGGACTGAGGCATGGCGGGCTGCAGGTCCGGAGCCCTGCCCCGCAGGGAGGCAGCTAAGGCCCAGGGAGAAATCGAGCACAGCACTGGTGGGCCAGCACTGCTGGGGCACCCGGCGCACCCTCCGCAGCTGCTGCCCAGGGTGCTAAGTCCCGCTCCGATTGCGGGGCCGCCAAGCCCATGCCCACCCGGAACTCCAGCTAGCCCCCAAGTGTCTCACACAGCCCGGTTTCCACCCATGCCTCTCCCTTCACACCTCCCCACAAGCCGACGGAGCCGGCTCCTGCCTCAGCCAGCCCAGAGAAGGGCTCCCGTGGTGTAGTGGCGGGCCGAAGGGCTCCTCAAGTGCGGCCAGAATGGGCACCGAGGCCGAGGAGGCACCGAGAGTGAGCGAGGGCTGTGAGGGCTGCCAGCATGCTGTCACCTCTGAACTACAGCCTGGCTGCCACTGAAATTTATTTGTAGCCCAATAAATTTCCAGAGATAAAGCCGGCCAGAACTTTGGTGGGTTCTTCCTGCTGGGGCATCTGATTCCCTTGTGGCCCAGAGTGGGTCTAAATGCTTCTTTTGTGGGCACCAGCCTGGAATCAAGTGCTGTGGGGTTTTGTCCAGTGCCATGTGTCACTATGGCAAGACTGGTACTAAGTTTCAATATAAAGTCCCACACTTTCCTCCTTGTCCCCAAGCCATTAGATTCTCTCTCGGAGATGCATTTCCTGTGGTTGGGGGAGAGGTGTCATAGGCAATGGAAAAGTGTCCGTCCTCCCTTCTTCAATGCATCTTTTCTTGTTATCATGTTAAAACCAGCTGCTATGATCTCTCACCTGATTAGCCTTTGTGAAATTGTTTTCTTACATAGATAGTTGTTCAATTTGATGTTCCTTCAGAGACACCATTGCTGGAGAATTCTATTCTACCATCTTACTCCACCTTCTACCTGTTTATTTTTTAAATGCTTCTAGTAAATAATTGTGAAGTGATAGCTTTATTTTAATCTTGGGGATCAAAAGCATGTAGCTAGGGACTTTTCCCAAGGAATATTTTAAAATTTTTATACAAATATTAATGGAATGACATACTTTTTGATTCAAGGTCCTTAAATGTAGTTTTAGTTTTGATTCAATGTTATAGAACACTGTTTTTTTAAACTGTGATCTGCAGCCCACATGTAATGGAATCACCTGGGGTGCTTATATTTAAAAAATGCAGATTCTAGGGCTCACACCAACTAAATCTCCTGGGATTGGAGACCAGGAGGTAGTTCCTGTAATCTTCACAGCTGCTTCTAAGGTACACCAAGTTTAAGAACCATTCTTTCATATTTTCAGACTGAGGATTCTTACAAAATGACAAAGAAGGAAAACCTTAATCTTTTAAAGTCAGAGTTCAAGCATTAGACTATGCACTTCTTAAACACAGTTTGTCTTTCCCATTTTCTCTTTCCAGTTCTTTATACTGTCAAGGGATTGGTGCAGAAATGGGAAACAAAGCAGTGAAAGAAAAACTATTTATTTCTTTATACACATTTTGCTTTAATAATCACCAAAAAGACTTTCATTTTCTCTCACCTACCCTGTCCACCAGTTATGTTGGCCTTCAATATATGGCGATAGCAACATATGTAAATCTATATCATACATTTATACACACAAGCAGATTCTATCAACACTGTGAAGACACAGACTAGGCTTTACTGTGGCTGGGGGCCTCTCCCATGCCACTTAAAAATCAGCACAGGTTTGCTCTATGCAAGAATTTCAACAGAATTGGTCTGGCCATCAGTCCCCAATTTCCCTGAGGTAAGACAGGGTGACAAAATGGGACAGAGTATTTGAAGTGAGGTCAGTCCAATTTGGATATCATAGAAGAAAAGAAATAGGATGTGCTAGGTTAAGCCTGAAATGGTATCTGGGAAGTCACATTCATGATGTGAACTCAAAGAACACAGGTGCTACAGTGCAGACCAAGGCCCAGTCTGACTGGACCCAACAGGGTCAGGTGTGGATCTGTGAGTAGTGCTCACTGAGCCCCTGCCAGCAGTGTCCAGCAGGGCACCGCTGCTCAGTAGTGTGCTTTTAGAACCTGCCAGAGGAGCTCCAGCATTGGGACCATGTGCCCCATTCATCGTAATCAGGGTCCTATATCCACTGAGTTTTCCATCTCAGGACAGCTGATGAGGCAAGAAATGTGTTGTTGCTAGTTCCCAAGCTGCTGGGGCTGTTGGGAAGCAGTATCACAAAACCTTCTATGCAAACTACGCATCTTTTGCTTAGTGCTGGGCCAAGTGGACCTTGGCTAACGGTATTCCATAGCTGTCAGAAAGGCTTTCTGGTTTTCTCCCAGCTCCACCAGGATACATCTCTGACCCCCTCTTCTGGACCCTCCCGTGGACTTGGAGGAATGAGGCCCAGAAGCTCCTCAGCAGATAGGTAGCTGCACAAAAGGGGGACAGGCCCACGTTTCCTGCTGTTTTAAGGACTTCTGGTGGCTGCGCTTCTTGCATGGTTCCTGGAAGGCAAGGGTCACAAGGAGTACATGGCAGAGCTCTTAGGGATTTCACCTGCAGACAAAAATAAAACAAACCAAATCAGTGTATATTGCCAGGCCCTACTGATGGCTACCTGAAGCTGGAGTGAGAGCTATGGGGTGACTAAAGACAGGAGCACGGTGAGAGCCAGTTAAGAGGATGAGCTAAGAGCATGCGTTGCAGTCTCGAAGAACAACAGGTGCCTGAGGTTAGGGGGAGCCTCCCCACCTCCCTGTGTGCTGAGATCCCTGCTCCGATTCACTGCACACTGGGTGGCTGGATCCTACCACTCCCTCTTCAGGGGCCAGGTGACTCTCCAAATCACTGTCTCAGCAGAAAGAGGGCTTTGCCAAGTCCACCCAAGAAAGAAGTGCTTAGCATGAAACATGCACATACAGAAACAGCCTGTTGTAGAAAGAAGAGGACATTTTGCAGGGGGGTCCTCTGTTAAGTTTATGTCCAGTTGCCACAATGAGGGTGTGGAGGGGCCAAGTCCACAGGGACCTCAGAGCTCAACTAAGTCCAGTTCCATCTTTGACAGATAAGGGTGCAGCAGTCTCATAGAGATTAAAGGACAAGCCAAGGCCACACAGCAGTTAGTGATAAGCCAGGGATTAGAACCGAGGCCTCGGGTCCTTTCCAGTGATCTATGGGAGGTGGAGGGGAAAGCTTCCACACTGGAGAAAGCCAGTGGATACTAGAGACTTTTGGGTTACCTTTTAGTGGATACAAGAGACTTTTTGGGTTACCTTTCCTGGGACAGGAATAAGGCTTTACAGAGGCAATCCTGTAAGTGTTGCTCTAAAGAGGCCTAGGAAAGAGAAGAATTATCAGAGAAAAACAAAAGGGAGTTAGTGAAAAAAAAAAAAAAAAAAAGAGCAAGTTAAACTGGCCCAAGTCATTTTCACACTATTTTCACACTATGGAGATCAACATTCTCTCAGGTTACAGTTTAGAAATATTTCTAGGAATATGCTCAATTGCTTATGGCAAAGCTTTGAAGTCCACGTTAAAAGGTTTAGTTTCTGATTTTTAAACCATTCATATACCTCAAGTTTTTCTTCAAAGCACTTCCTAGGGAACGGTTAACACTTAGTGTTTTAAGTAAATGTAGAGAATATGTGGTACATATATAACATTTTTCCCCTTAAGATTCAGTTGTTATTTATTAACAAATTCTCTTTTAGACCAATGAGACCCAACAGATCTCTTTTGTCATGTTTCTTAAAGATATATCAAAATCAAATTGCTGTTCTTAACACAGGAGTGTGCAGTGAAATCAGTTTATTAGGTTGCAAATTGCTTTTACTTTTTCATGAAGACTAGACCACATAACTGGCCTCAAGATCCCTCTACCAAAAGCTCATTCAGAGGCAGACTTCCGGATGTCTAATGACTTTGAGAGTGAGCTGAATTGCATTTCTCCAGTCTCCTGACTTGGCATCAAAGAAGAAAAATTGGAGTAAAAAGGAGAGATGACGACAATGTGAGAGTGAACCAAAATACTGGGGCAGGAGCTGACAGGGTGAGAGAGTGATGGGAACAGAAATTAGCAGGATGCTCACTGAGGACCTGTGATCTTGCAAGTGGACCCAAAATCTTCTCCTGGAAGGCCAAAGCAGGCCAAGGGTCACCTACAAGATATGCTAACGGATGGCAATGGGTTGGGGACAGGCTTGGTGCCTCTGACTGCTGCAGTAGTTTCCTTACCTCTAAGTTAGTGCTTGCCTTCTTTAAAACATCATGTGTTCTGGTTACTGAAACAACAAAAGAGCACCACAGAGTAGAAATCACCAGCAAAAATTAACCCTACTTGCTTAGCATGAGAATTCTAAAGCATTTATTTCTTTCTGGCCATTCAGCTTGGAGTCTCCTGCTATCCACCCCATCCTCCTCTCCTCTGCATCCACAATTGCTCATGGCACAGGAGGTTTGGGGACATCAAATCAGTCTCAACTCCCAACATCCCCAAGCCCCCCTGGTCACTGCTCATCTGCAGCACAAGTGGGGCATCGGGAAGACTGCCTGTTTCTTCCCCCATTCCCTCTCAGGGAACCTACGCTGGCTGATGATGAACTGCTCCATGCTCTCCTTCTGCTGGTTGGCGGTCTTCAGATGCTCAGCTATGCTTTGAAGGAGCCACTCCTGTTTGGATACTTTGGTTCTCAGTTCCAGAAGTTCCCTTTCTGTCAATTCTCCCTTGATAAGAGGTACAGACTCTTACTGAACAGGCAGAAGGCCTAAAGCACCCTGTGCTTTGTGGCTCTTTCCAATTCAAAGAAGGATTCTACAATCTTCTCCACTCTCCTGAAATGGATTTCCTCCTTCACAGCCTCGAATACTTCCAGCTGAGGACAGTTTCGGATGAGGCCATTAGGCAGGAGTATTGAGACTCTGGAATTCCCCATGCAGACTAGCACAGGCCTACACACCTTTAGCTTAAGAGAACCTCACTTCAGGCTGGTATAAAGCTCCCAAATCTGAAGAGGACCTTGCTTTAGTCCTGATATCAGTTCTGTCACTCTCCCTTCACAGGTAAGATTGAGAGTTCAGAAATGTTATGCTGGAGAGAGAGATCTGGACTCAGGCAAGTTTGCAAGTTTGTAAATATTTGTGCCAACATGAAGATGGCAAAACACCGTCTCCCTGGAATTAGCATAGTTGGATCCAAAAGGTATTGGTGACATTGATCTGGAGTTAGAATCCCTGGGGAGGGGATCCTGAAACCTGCCTACATGAGGGTCTGCCAATCAGAGTTAGCCTGAGCTCTGAACAGATCCTGAGGGGTGGCTGACTTTCCCCAGGCCTGGTCCAGAGAGGCCAGCTTAAGTGATATGCAGGGATTCCAGGCAGTGGCTAAAAAGGCTCAGTCTCATGGGGGCATTCTGTGATCATTTGACCATGGGACCTGAGGGGTGGGAGATGGGTGCTGAAGCTTTCACTTAATTTCATCTCAGCCAAATTTCAGAGAGGTAAAGAAACTGAACATTTATGGATTGCCAGGGTTATGATGTCTCTGCCTTCTCCACACCCCTTCCTATTCTTCTTTGATTTCTTATCCAGGGGCCAGGGGGCTGGCAGGGAATGGGATGTATTTAGAGCTGCAATGAAAGCAGCCACCATGGGCCAGAGATGTCCCTCCAGGGACACTCCTCTAAGTTTCTGTCTATCCCAACTTACTATGTGGCTCCTGATTTTCTGGAAAAGCTGTGACATTGAGGAGAAAGAACAGTATTAGAGGGCAGGAGAACTGGGTTTGAACCAAGAAAGGACACTGGCATCTTTCCACTTTGCCAGGCATCACAGGGATGTGGGTCCTTGGCAGGGCTGCTCTCCAGAACATGGTGAGGAGGGAAGCCAACTCCTCTAGGGCATGGTGCAGGGCACTGGTGCTGCTCTGAAGCTCATGAATGCCTTTGCTGCCAAGCTCCTGGGGAAAGGTAACACCACAGAAGTGGAGAGATTACTTTCTTCCCCCTGCATGGGCTCAAGTTTCCTTTGTGAGTGAGGCACAGAACATGGGCCTGCTTGAACCTGTGAAGCCCTCTCACAACCATTTGCAGCACTCAGAACTAAGGTGCTGCTCCCTTTACCAGGTATGCCTTTCTCCACCTGCAGAACCCACAAGGCTTTCAAAACTCACCCCACTTGCTGTGTCCTCTATGAACCTGTTACCTTCCTCGCCTGAGATAAATGACCACATTTGCATCGGCGCTCTCACAGCATAGGGATGACTTCTCATACTGTGCCTGTAGCCCCTTACTGTGCTTATCTACTTGGGTGTGTGTCTTGTCCTCTAGTGTGGGGGTTCCGTGGAGACAGGGCTGCTCCTATGCATTCATGGGTCTCCAGCAGCTCAGACAGCACAGCCATGGTGCCTGGTCTCTCTCACTGGCAAGGTGCTCTGACAAGCTTTGCTGCCTGCCTTCCCTCTCCCTATGCAGTCTGCACAAGGAAATGCCATGGCTGCCAGACTTCTCACCCCTTCCACATATGGGGGCCATATACCTGCAAATCCTTCAGTTTCTGTCCATCCCATTGAGTCGACTGTGCCCACAGATGGTCATGTGCCTGCATGACTGCAGTAGATAATAAGCTACCAAAGGCTGCTAGGCAATGCCACGTGTTTCTGTGGGGCTGAGGGGAAATATCCAGTCAGCTACATCTGGAACAGAGCAGAACTCAGAGTGAAAATAGGAGATAGAGAAGAAAGGGCCTGGCTGCTATACATGGAAGAGGAAGGCAAAGCATGAAAAAAAGAAAAAAACAAAAATTGTGGGTGAAGCAGTTAACATCAAAGGAAGAAAGGGCACAGGGAAAGAGTGCACCTAAACCTACAGGTGTGATTACCTCTGTGCCTTGGGCTTCAAGGCCAGGGAAGCTGCATGCTGATCTCACAAGAGACACTATCTTTTTGACCAGCAGCTTGCCTTCTGCAACCTGCTGTCTTAGGGCACTGTAGTCATCAATGTGGCCAATGACATGGCGGCCATTCTTATTGGCAAAGGGGCCATCAGTAGCATCACTCTCCAGCTTGGGAGCGGTCTTCATTACTGGAGAAGTATCCAAACCCAAGCCTGAAAAAGAAAATGACAACACAATGGAATCTTCTGTTATTCATAATGATATCCTCAGTTTGCTCCAACTCAAAAGAGGCAGGGAACAAGAAAAGGAAGAGGCTTGGAGCAAGAAAGGAAGCCTTGGAATGTGCAAGGCTGGGGCAAAGTCCATAGAGATCTTCTGGCTTCTATATTTTTATAATCTTTCTTACATTATGTCTTAAAGATAAATTTTCCAGGAGACAATTTTTTCCTTATTGGCTAATGAAATAGGACAAATCATAATAAATAATAAGTTTCTGGGTAGAGAAGACACAGACAAGGAAATCAAGCTGGATACAGAGAACATTTTCAAGAATGGAGAGATTATGGTGCAATGAAGCAAAAACAGCAATAGGAAAACTATTGGAGGATGAATAATGGCAAGAAAGCCAGCCACAGAAGGTGCAGTGAGTAGGGCTAAAGGCCTTGGGGCATGCAGAGAAAACTCTCTAAATACAGATAATATGTTTAGAGACAAAAAAAGGTTGTTTGCGTTAATCACTTTCCATCATCAGTCCCTGGGCCCTTTAGTTGCCATATTTAGCATTTGTTCTGTTGATTATGGCTGTTTCTGAGCCAGGAGTAGAGGAAACAGAGCTGGGGAGGACCAGAGCTGGGGAATTCATACCAACATCCCAGACTGGAGGGGACACAGCTGAATCTGGGGAGTAAAGGCAACCACAGTTTTCAGGAGCCCTGGAACACACTGCACATGAAGCACATGCACACCTAGCCATCCCCACTGAGGCCTAAGGTGGCAGGACTCTCCTCTTACAGAATTATGCGCACGCCACAAGCAAAAGAAAAGCAAAATCCCACGAGTCACTGAGTTCAGAATGTTTCCATTCTTCAGAACAAAAAGATATTCCTTTAATTGAGGGATGTTCCATGAGAAAGTAACCTCTAGTTTGAAAAATTATTAGGTGTATTTTTATAAACCAAGTCTTGAGTATAATCTCTGTGTGGTATCTAATACGATGCCCTGTAACTAAATGTAATATGTATAAATATACATAGTACATATTAAAATGTAGAATCAAATAATAAAAGGATTCATGGGGGACTAAACTCAACTTTCTAGCCATCATTCTGATGAGGGTAATACTGAAAAAAATGTACTTGTGTCTAAAGAACGGAGATGGAAGTCTTGGTGGGTTAACATTGTCTTGCTGGAGACTAAAAAGCAACCCTATGGTAGAGGAATAGGAAAATATCACAAAGAAGGTAGAAAAGGTCCTGCTCAGGCAAGTGTTGCCCAGTGCCTGCTTTCTGGCTCAGGCCTCGGGAGTGCTAGAGAAAGAGAGGCAGGGACTGTGCCAGTGGGGCTTCTTGGCTGCTGTATGGGAAGCCAGTGAGAGGGGAAGGCCTGTTTAGAAGGAAGAGTTGGAGACATAACTGAACACCACAACTATCAGCGCAGCCCAGAGGAGGGCAAGGCATCCACCTAATGTAAGCTGAGAAGTTCCTGGCAGCCAGGCGGTTTGCATGGCGGCCCACATGTGTTTTTTCACTGAATTGCCAACGCAGCGTAATCATGTTATTGTCACCTTCATTTGACAAATAAGGTTACTGTCAGATAAACAAGCATCTACAAGAACCAGAGAAAAATGAAGATTAACATGACCCAGAAATAGCTGGCAGGAGAGTGAAAGCTCAGCTTTAGCGAAACCAAACAGTGGTTCCTGATTTGAATAAAATTGAAGGTATGGCCATGGAGGTGAGTGGAGATGGTGTACTAAATGGTGTATCAAAAGGAAAAAAAGACAGAGGAAGTAGAAATTGAATGATTTAAGACTAGGGGGACACCATTGACATTTCAGTTAAAACTGGGAGAAGTGAGATTGATGGGGGATATCGAGAAGAGAAGGGGGTCCTGGTCAAACACGCCTATCTGAAAAGGCAGGCAAGGGGAGGGGTAGAGAGTGAATGATGGCCACCCGAAATAAATTGCCCACCGTCCAGAACTTCCCCAGAGCCCTGTTTCCTTAAGGGCAGGAACATTTTGCCACACACTGAGTTCCCCACCTGTGAGGGAAAGGGGGACTAGAGAATCTGGGAAGGTCGGCAATACTGAGACAGAACACAATGAGCTGGAAGGAACACAGACTGAAAATCACAACATCTGGTTCTGATCCTGGCTTTGTCTATAACTTCTCTAAACCCTTGCTTGTCTGTTAATATCTCAAGACCTAAGTTTTCTTGTGTGAAATAGAGACAGCAAAACCTGCTTTACTACAGATGAAATTCTATATGTGAAAACACTTCGCTAATACTAAAGCACTAAGCAAATCCAAGAAAAAGATATGAACATATACAGCTACTAATTATTGAGCAATTCTTAGTGTGCCAAGCATTTGTAAATGATTTCATGTAATGCTCAAAATCATATAAGGTATATATTATTATTATCCTAAATATAAGGAAACTAAGGCCTAAACCTCTGATACTTTAAACACCTTGCCCAAATCAAATGATCTTTAAGTGGTAAACTCAGAATCTGGAGCCTGGCCTGGCCTAAATCCCACACTTTCACTCAGGCTGCTAGACTAGAGCATCTCTGATTTCAACCTGACCCTAAGGAGCATAGACCAGGCAGATTGCACCTTCTGCTGCAGACATCCTGGTGATCTCCCCACTGGCTGAGAGCTTTCTAAGTCCCTTTTCCTTCCTACCTTGGAGGAGCAGCTGTTTGTTTCCAGGGTCAGTGCTGGCTGGGAAGTTCTTGTTAATGGAGAAGGGGCTGAGGCTGGCTTTGCCAGCACCGCTATCCAGCTGCTGTCGCAGCTGCAGTCACAGACAATTGTTCCCCTGAATGCTTTGCTCCAGCTGCCCTCTCAGACCTCGTACCTCTCTCACCAGGTGGCTCAGGACACTGCTCAAAGGGATTTGGTGACAAGCATCCAGGCTGTAACCTAAGAGAGAAGAGGAGTCTGGTAACATTGACCCAAGTATTTCCAAGCACTTGTCAGAACCCTCCTCTGTGACACTCTTTTCTGCCAAGGACCCCACTATCATCTGAGTCTCATGCAACCCATCTATGATGGACATGTCATCATTTCTGTGTGTGGCCTGGGGATGGCACTGAGCTGGCACACATCCAGTCTGAAACTTCTTTGTGGTTTAAGTTACACACATGCACCTATAGAGCATTTGATTGGCAGATAAGGATAAGTCCATATTTCATCTCCATAGTAACCTTAGTCCTGTAGGCTAAAGTATAGGATCCTCCAAGGTAGAAGGTCAGCACTGAGCTAGAGAAGGGTAGGGGATGAAGGAGAAAGAGATTTGACAGTCTTCACTCTCAAAAATGAAAGAGGAGAAGGAGGAGGCCTTTTGGTAGCATGTGAGGATATGAGTTCGGCAACTTAGACGAGGGATTATAACTAAGTGAGTTTTTCAACTTCTCTCTCTCTCTCTCTCTCTCTGTGTGTATATATATGTATATATGTATACAGTATATATGTATATGTGTATACATGTATATATGTATATATGTACGTGTGTACATATATACACCTATATATAGTGTGTATATATGTTGTGTGCATATACATACTATATATGTGTATATATGAAATATATGTACATATATATGTACACACATATACACACATGTATATATAAATATATACATGTATATATGAATATATACGCGTATATATAAATATATATGCATATATAAAAATATATATGTGTATATATATTTACCTCCATTCACCACATGTAGTTTATTTCTTTGTACTGGGGATGAAGAGATCTAAGAAATATTCTACAAGTCCACAATCCCTTATCTGAAAACCTTAAGGCCAAATGTATCTCAAAAAGTAAATTTTGTTTTAGTTTTTAGCAAGGCAACAGGGTGCATATATCGTATATAACATGTACCCAGTTGCAGGTGAGCCACAATCCTTAATCAAACATATAACTATTTCTGCAATGAGCTATGTGAACATTCTAAGTAGATAAATAAAGACTTATGAATATCTTCTTGTCAGTTCATCTAGATTTTGTCACTAAATGACTATTTGAAAAATTTAATTTGGAGATCTTACTGGATTTTGAAATTACAGATAAGAGATTATGGAGCTTGAGAGGAGCCAAGATGGCCGAATAGGAACAGCTCCGGTCTACAGCTCACAGCGTGAGCGACGCAGAAGAAGGGTGATTTCTGCATTTCCATCTGAGGTACCGGGTTCATCTCACTAGGGAGTGCCAGACAGTGGGCGCAGGCCAGTGGGTGCGCGCACCGTGCGTGAGCTGAAGCAGGGCGAGGCATTGCCTCACCTGGGAAGCACAAGGGGTCAGGGAGTTCCCTTTCCGAGTCAAAGAAAGGGGTGACGGACGCACCTGGAAAATTGGGTCACTCCCACCCGAATATTGCGCTTTTCAGACCGGCTGAAAAAACAGCGCACCACGAGACTATATCCCACACCTGGCTTGGAGGGTCCTAAGCCCACGGAATCTCGCTGACTGCTAGCACAGCAGTCTGAGATCAAACTGCAAGGCGGCAGCGAGGCTGGGGGAGGGGCGCCCGCCATTGCCCAGGCTTGTTTAGGTAAACAAAGCAGCGGGGAAGCTCGAACTGGGTGGAGCCCATCACAGCTCAAGGAGGCCTGCCTGCTTCTGTAGGCTCCACCTCTGGGGGCAGGGCACAGACAAACAAAAAGACAGCAGTAACCTCTGCAGACTTAAATGTCCCTGTCTGACAGCTTTGAAGAGAGCAGTGGTTCTCCCAGCACGCAGCTGGAGATCTGAGAACGGGCAGACTGCCTTCTCAAGTGGGTCCCTGACCCCTGACCCCCGAGCAGCCTAACTGGGAGGCACCCCCCAGCAGGGGCACACTGACACCTCACACGGCAGGGAATTCCAACAGACCTGCAGCTGAGGGTCCTGTCTGTTAGAAGGAAAACTAACAAACAGAAAGGACATCCACACCGAAAACCCATCTGTACATCACCATCATCAAAGACCCAAAGTAGATAAAACCACAAAGATGGGGAAAAAACAGAACAGAAAAACTGGAAATTCTAAAACGCAGAGTGCCTCTCCTCCTCCAAAGGAACGCAGTTCCTCACCAGCAACGGAACAAAGCTGGATGGAGAATGATTTTGACGAGCTGAGAGAAGAAGGCTTCAGATGATCAAATTACTCTAAGCTATGGGAGGACATTCAAACCAAAGGCAAAGAAGTTGAAAACTTCGAAAAAAATTTAGAAGAATGTATAACTAGAATAACCAATACAGAGAAGTGCTTAAAGGAGCTGATGGAGCTGAAAACCAAGGCTCAAGAACTACGTGAAGAATGCAGAAGCCTCAGGAGCCGATGCGATCAACTGGAAGAAAGGGTATCAGCAATGGAAGATGAAATGAATGAAATGAAGTGAGAAGGGAAGTTTAGAGACAAAAGAATAAAAAGAAATGAGCAAAGCCTCCAAGAAATAAGGGACTATGTGAAAAGACCAAATCTACGTCTGATTGGTGTACCTGAAAGTGATGCGGAGAATGGAATCAAGTTGGAAAACACTCTGCAGGATATTATCCAGGAGAACTTCCCCAATCTAGCAAGGCAGGCCAACGTTCAGATTCAGGAAATACAGAGAACGCCACAAAGATACTCCTCGAGAAGAGCAACTCCAAGACACATAATTGTCAGATTCACCAAAGTTGAAATGAAGGAAAAAATGTTAAGGGCAGCCAGAGAGAAAGGTCGGGTTACCCTCAAAGGGAAGCCCATCAGACTAACAGCGGATCTCTCAGCAGAAACCCTACAAACCAGAAGAGAGTGGGGGCCAATATTCAACATTCTTAAAGAAAAGAATTTTCAACCCAGAATTTCATATCCAGCCAAACTAAGCTTCATAAGTGAAGGAGAAATAAAATACTTTACAGACAAGCAAATGGTGAGAGATTTTGTCACCACCAGGCCTGCCCTAAAAGAGCTCCTGAAGGAAGCGCTAAACGTGGAAAGGAACAACCAGTACCAGCCGCTGCAAAATCATGCCAAAATGTAAAGACCATCGAGACTAGGAAGAAACTGCATCAACTAACGAGCAAAATCACCAGCTAACATCATAATGACAGGATCAAATTCACACATAACGATATTAACTTTAAATGTAAATGGACTAAATTCTCCAATTAAAAGACACAGACTGGCAAGTTGGATAAAGAGTCAAGACCCATCAGTGTGCTGTATTCAAGAAACCCTTCTCACGTGCAGAGACACACATAGGCTGAAAATAAAAGGATGGAGGAAGATCTACCAAGCAAATGGAAAACAAAAAAAGGCAGGGGTTGCAATCCTAGTCTCTGATAAAACAGACTTTAAACCAACAAAGATCAAAAGAGACAAAGAAGGCCATTACATAATGGTAAAGGGATCAATTCAACAAGAGGAGCTAACTATCCTAAATATATATGCACCCAATACAGGAGCACCCAGATTCATAAAGCAAGTCCTGAGTGACCTACAAAGAGACTTAGACTCCCACACATTAATAATGGGAGACTTTAACACCCCACTGTCAACATTAGACAGATCAACGAGACAGAAAGTCAACAAGGATACCCAGGAATTGAACTCAGCTCTGCACCAAGCGGACCTAATAGACATCTACAGAACTCTCCACCCCAAATCAACAGAATATACATTTTTTTCAGCACCACACCACACCTATTCCAAAATTGACCACATAGTTGGAAGTAAAGCTCTCCTCAGCAAATGTAAAAGAACAGAAATTATAACCAACTATCTCTCAGACCACAGTGCAATCAAACTAGAACTCAGGATTAAGAATCTCACTCAAAGCCGCTCAACTACATGGAAACTGAACAACCTGCTCCTGAATGACTACTGGGTACATAACGAAATGAAGGCAGAAATAAAGATGTTCTTTGAAACCAATGAGAACAAAGACACAACATACCAGAATCTCTGGGATGCATTCAAAGCAGTGTGTAGAGGGAAATTTATAGCACTAAATGCCCACAAGAGAAAGCAGGAAAGATCCAAAATTGACACCCTACCATCACAATTAAAAGAACTAGAAAAGCAAGAGCAAACACATTCAAAAGCTAGCAGAAGGCAAGAAATAACTAAAATCAGAGCAGAACTGAAGGAAATAGAGACACAAAAAACCCTTCTAAAAATCAATGAATCCAGGAGCTGGTTTTTTGAAAGGATCAACAAAATTGATAGACCGCTAGCAAGACTAATAAAGAAAAAAAGAGAGAAGAATCAAATAGACACAATAAAAAATGATAAAGGGGATATCACCACCGATCCCACAGAAATACAAACTACCATCAGAGAATACTACAAACACCTCTACGCAAATAAACTAGAAAATCTAGAAGAAATGGATACATTCCTCGACACATACACTCTCCCAAGACTAAACCAGGAAGAAGTCGAATCTCTGAATAGACCAATAAAAGGCTCTGAAATTGTGGCAATAATCAATAGTTTACCAACCAAAAAGAGTCCAGGACCAGATGGATTCACAGCTGAATTCTACCAGAGGTACAAGGAGGAACTGGTACCATTCCTTCTGAAACTATTCCAATCAACAGAAAAAGAGGGAATCCTCCCTAACTCATTTTATGAGGCCAGCATCATTCTGATACCAAAGCCGGGCAGAGACACAACCAAAAAAGAGAATTTTAGACCAATATCCTTGATGAACATTGATGCAAAAATCCTCAATAAAATACTGGCAAACCGAATCCAGCAGCACATCAAAAAGCTTATCCATCATGATCAAGTGGGCTTCATCCCTGGGATGCAAGGCTGGTTCAATATACGCAAATCAATAAATGTAATCCAGCATATAAACAGAGCCAAAGACAAAAACCACATGATTATCTCAATAGATGCAGAAAAAGCCTTTGACAAAATTCAACAACCCTTCATGCTAAACACTCTCAATAAATTAGGTATTGATGGGACGTATCTCAAAATAATAAGAGCTATCTATGACAAATCCACAGCCAATATCATACTGAATGGGCAAAAACTGGAAGCATTCCCTCTGAAAACTGGCACAAGACAGGGATGCCCTCTCTCACCACTCCTATTCAACATAGTGTTGGAAGTTCTGGCCAGGGCAATTAGGCAGGAGAAGGAAACAAAGGGGATTCAATTAGGAAAAGAAGAAGTCAAATTGTCCCTGTATGCAGATGACATGATTGTATATCTAGAAAACCCCATCGTCTCAGCCCAAAATCTCCTTAAGCTGATAAGCAACTTCAGCAAAGTCTCAGGATACAAAATCAATGTACAAAAATCACAAGCATTCCTATACACCAACAACAGACAGAGAGCCAAATCATGAGTGAACTCCCATTCACAATTGCTTCAAAGAGAATAAAATACCTAGGAATCCAACTTACAAGGGATGTGAAGGACCTCTTCAAGGAGAACTACAAACCACTGCTCAAGGAAATAAAAGAGGACACAAACAAATGGAAGAACATTCCATGCTCATGGGTAGGAAGAATCAATATCATGAAAATGGCCATACTGCCCAAGGTAATTTACAGATTCAATGCCATCCCCATCAAGCTACCAATGACTTTCTTCACAGAATTGGAAAAAACTACTTTAAAGTTCATATGGAACCAAAAAAGAGCCCACATCGCCAAGTCAATCCTAAGCCAAAAGAACAAAGCTGGAGGCATCACACTACCTGACTTCAAACTACACTACAAGGCTACAGTAACCAAAACAGCATGGTACTGGCACCAAAACAGAGATATAGATCAATGGAACAGAACAGAGCCCTCAGAAATAATGCCGCTTACCTACAACTATCTGATCTTTGACAAACCTGAGAAAAACAAACAATGGGGAAAGGATTCCCTATTTAATAAATGGTGCTGGGAAAACTGGCTAGCCATATGTAGAAAGCTGAAACTGGATCCCTTCCTTACACCTTATACAAAAATCAATTCAAGATGGATTAAAGATTTAAACGTTAGACCTAAAACCATAAAAACCCTAGAAGAAAACCTAGGCATTACCATTCAGGACATAGGCGTGGGCAAGGACTTCATGTCCAAAACACCAAAAGCAACGGCAACAAAAGCCAAAATTGACAAATGGGATCTAATTAAACTAAAGAGCTTCTGCACAGCAAAAGAAACTACCATCAGAGTGAACAGGCAACCTACAACATGGGAGAAAATTTTCACAACCTACTCATCTGACAAAGGGCTAATATCCAGAATCTACAATGAACTCAAACAAATTTACAAGAAAAAAACAAACAACCCCATCAAAAAGTGGGCGAAGGACATGAACAGACACTTCTCAAAAGAAGACATTTATGCAGTCAAAAAACACATGAAAAAATGCTCGTCATCACTGGCCATCAGAGAAACGTAAATCAAAACCACAATGAGATATCATCTCACACCAGTTAGAATGGCGATCATTAAAAAGTCAGGAAACAACAGGTGCTGGAGAGGATGTGGAGAAATAGGAACACTTTTACACTGTTGGTGGGACTGTAAACTAGTTCAACCATTGTGGAAGTCAGTGTGGCGATTCCTCAAGGATCTAGAACTAGAAATACCATTTGACCCAGCCATCCCATTACTGGGTATATACCCAAATGACTATAAATCATGCTGCTATAAAGACACATGCACACGTATGTTTATTGCGGCATTATTCACAATAGCAAAGACTTGGAACCAACCCAAATGTCCAACAATGATAGACTGGATTAAGAAAATGTGGCACATATACACCATGGAATACTATGCAGCCATAAAAAATGATGAGTTCATGTCCTTTGTAGGGACATGGATGAAATTGGAAACCATCATTCTCAGTAAACTATCGCAAGAACAAAAAACCAAACACCGCATATTCTCACTCATAGGTGGAAATTGAACAATTGAACAATGAGATCGCATGGACACAGGAAGGGGAATATCACACTCTGGGGACTGTGGTGGGGAGGGGGGAGGGGGGAGGGATAGCATTGGGAGATATACCTAATGCTAGATGACGAGTTAGTGGGTGCAGCGCACCAGCATGGCACATGTATACATATGTAACTAACCTGTACAATGTGCACATGTACCCTAAAACTTAAAGTATAATTAAAAAAAAAAAAAAAAGAGATTATGGAGCTTTAGTGGTTGTAGCTCTGAAATGAGTCCTAAAAGGCAGGGAGAAAAGCATGAAAGGAAAGGTAGCTCAGGATGAATTAGTTTTAGAGACTTTGGTAAATAATCTACTCTTGAATTTTGCCCAAAGTTTTGTGATGTTGCTCTCTCTCTTTCTCAATCCAAGTTCTCATTAAATTTTGCTTATTTTTTAAAGAGATGTTTTTAAATCTATCTATACCCTTTCATCTTCCCAATAGCACCTTATATTAGACTGTCATCTCTTAATGTGCCAGAATATCACTAGACCCATCCAATAGGTTTCCCAGATTCTAACGTCTCCCAACTCCAGGACATCCCCTGAGACTTAGCATCTGAAAGCTCTGTTTTCATCATATACTTATCTTCTTTGAAAAAGAACAGACTTAGTTTCATTATCTACTGTACAGAATGTCAACTTTCCCCCTGACCTGTGGGCTTTCAAGATTTGATGACTCTGCTCCACCATCCTGACTTCTCACTCCCCAAACCCCAAGCTTCTCCTGTGGGCAGGCTGGTCCCTCTGACCCAACACTCACCATGACTTTGTACTTAAGCTATTCTCCCAGCCTGGTGAGCCCCTCTGTATTTCTTCAAGTTCCAGTTCACCTTCTCTTTAGAAAATCAGGAAACTAAATCAGGATTTATGATAATTCCAATCTAAATTCCACTGCCCTTCACTCTTTGTTTAGCCCTCTGGAGGGACATAAAATACATGAGTTCTTTTTCACCTTGACAGTTCTTCAAATATCTGAAGCCAGTTCTCATGTCCTCAAGATCTTTTGAAAGCCTAAATTTCTTTAGTTTCTTTGACCAGTTCAAGATGTCTGGTACACACCATTGTGCGCCCTGTCTTCATTATGTTCCCTAGTGTGTCAATGCCCTTTTCAAAGATGGTGCCCCATAATCTAACAATATTTTAGACATGGTCTCCACAGGTGAACATCACACTTACACTACTGTAGTGTTATTTTGAGCTGGTATTTCTAGCATCCTTTTGCCTATGCCATTCTTGTGTGAACATGTTTCTACCAAACCCCAAACCCTGAAGTCCATGAATGGCTGCCTGTCCTATATTTCTATGCTCATCCTATATTTCTACCACTGATACTTTTAATCGAGCTCAGGATTTTGCTTTTAATCTTTGCTAAATTTCATGACATTGATGTCAGCCCTCTGTCCCAGCCTGCTGTGACTTATTAACGTTATGTTTTGAGTACTCTCCTCCATTTAAAGAAGAATGAAGAAATATATCAAAATTCTCAAATATTAGATTATTATTTCAGTAGGAAGCAAAGTCTTCAAAAAATGTCCTTAATATTTAAATCCAGGATTGAAATTTAGGTCTTATTAGTGGTATTTCTATGAAGTTTTTTTGTTTTCATGTCTTTTAATTTTCTCCTGTGGGCAGGCTGGTCCCCACTGACTCAACACTCACCATGACTTTGAACTTAAGCTATTCACCGAGCCTGGTAAGCCCCTGTATTTCTTCAAATTCCAGTTCACCTTCTCTTTAGAAAATCAGGAAACTAAATCAGGATTTATGAAAATTAAATGAAAGGGCAATAAGCTGAGAGCCAGATGTCACTAGGGAAAGGGTCAGGGTGGGAGCAGACTGCCTGCTACATTGGGCTGAATGGGTTGTCAGTATGTATCACTGACAATATTAGAGGCCTTTTCAAATGATATCATTAGGACTGTTCTTTTGCTTTAAAAAATGTTATAATCACCAGGTGCGGTGGCTCACACCTGTAATCCCAGCACTTTGGGAGGCCGAGGTGGGCAGATCATGACATCAGGAGATCAAGACCATCCTAGCTAACATGGTGAAACCCTGTCTCTACTAAAAATACAAAAAAATTAGCTGGGCATGGTGGCAGGTGCCTGTAGTCCCAGCTACTCGGGAGTCTGAGGCAGGAGAATGGCCAGAACCTGGGAGGCAGAGCTTGCAGTGAGCCGAGGTCATGCCACTGCACTCCAGCCTGGGTGACAGAGCGAGACTCCATCTCAAAAAAAAAAAAAAAAAAGTTATAATCTAGACATTGATAGGAATGTCTAGAATGGGAATGTCCAGATTTTCTTAAAGTAATTAAGAATGATCAGGCTGGATCTTGCTCGTGCTACCAACCTGTCACCTTGGGCTTTGTGCATGAGAGTTCCTACTGGGAGCCCCAGGCTTGGGTGGGGTTTCTGAGACAGAACTCTGTAGCTTCCCATGATCTCCACAACTCCCAAAGGAAAGACCTCACTAGCATCTTATGCAAGAGCAAAAAGTTCATGGGGTAAGGGGAGAAGAACACAAACCTTTCAGCCCCTTCTTGGAATTGCCATAAAGTGCCTTGTGGATTTGTAGCTCTGACTGGAGGGACTCAAAGAGCTGCTGTTTCTCTTCACATTGTTGCTGCAGGAGGACCAGCTTGTGCTGCAGTCTGACCAGGGAGCGGCAAGGCCCACTGAAATGGCAGGGCCACTCAGTCACACCAGAGCAATAAGCTGAGAGCCAGATGTCAACCCAGGGGTTCATAAAGGTTTATGGGTAGGGTTACATCTGAGCCCCAGATGTCAACTCAGGGGGTCATGAAGACCATCACTTTTATTTTGCAGATGTGGAAATGGTGGCTGAGGGAGGTCAAGTAACTTTGCTTGAAAACACACCATTACCTACATTAGTTCAGAGCAGAACAGATACACCAGCACAGTCTCCTTACTGCTCCTACAGTGCTCTTTTCATTCTGACAAGCAGTTACAAGGCTTATGATGGGACCTAGCATCACAGCCAGTATAGAAGCTTCCTAGGCGATGGTGAGACTAATGTCCTATACCTAATTGGAAGCATGGGAACCCTTCCTTGTCATGTCTCTGATATACTGAAGATTTCTATAACAGAGTTTTACTCTCTCAACTTGGGAGTGACAAGGCATTCCCAGAGAAGTACTTTCTTCTGCTCAAAGCGCCTTCCTATCCAACAACTGACACACAAAAATCAGGAATAGCAGAGGGAACATTGAGGTTTCCAAAAGAGGACACCAATTGTCTTACCAATATCCCTTCTTCTAATGTAAGAATGAATGTAAGAATGAAGAATGCTACCTTCTGTGTCAATGGGTCCCCTCTTACCTGGAGTCATTTTCCTGGAGGGAAAGACGATCCTCCCTGAAATGCAAGAACTCTTGCTGCTTCTCCCTCAAGTCTTCCAAAAGTTGCTGCCTTTCCATCTTCTGGTGCTCCAGCTCCTTTTCCAGCTATTGAAGGTGGGATTGAGAGGACAGCAGAGCCTCCCTCAGGCTTTCCATTTCCTGGGAGTGCTCTGGTGAGAGGAACACGGAGGATTGATTTATTATCATGGGGTCAGAGCTCAGCAGGAAGATGACCCCAAGCACATCTGCCCTGACAAACAGCTAAGGAGCAGGGAAGGAAGGCCCTATGTTGGTGGGGAAGAGCATGCTGGCTCAACACCCACCGCAGCCTGGAGAATGGTGCATCTCTCTCTCTGCAAAACCTTTCGTCCCACTTAATCTGTCCTACCTTGCTTTTAGAGAAATTCTGGTTTCTAATGTTCACCATTTTCCAAGTGCTCACATACCATCTGTTCAATAATCCATTCTTGAATTTTGACAAAGATCAACATCAAGATTTCTTTTTGGAATATATCACTTTCATTATTTTGAAAACTGGGATATTTGTTCTTTTTTGAACTTGCAGCACTTCTCTGATCTTCACAAGTTGTCAAAGATTATTGAAGACACTCTAAAAATACAGCTGCGGGCTCAGTAAGTCCTCTGGGGAAGGATTCACCTGAGCCTGACAAACTGTATTCATTTAAATCTCTTACTGTCTTCTCACCTGTGAGGTCTCTTCTATTCTCTCCAAGCATGCAATGGTAGCTTAGTAGTTCTGCCCTCTTTCTTATCTGTTAACTTTTGTTATCGTCCCCCAGCAGTGACATTTCCTCTCAAATTTTCTTGCTAATATAGAAATCAATTAATTTAATTAATTAATTAATTTAGGTGGCTAATTTAGAAATATCTCTTGGTGGCGTTTTCCTTTTCCACAAGCATTCCTTCATTCTGGGCTTAATCCTTTTGGATACTACTCTCAGTCTTTTTATGGCAGTTCAATAAATATTTGTGAATAAAAATACTTTGTTATCGATAATACATTGATTTGATCAAGTAGACGAACACCAAGGTCAGCTGTCTCCCAGCCACACGAGAAATGATGCCCACCTGTGAGTGCCCCCTGGCTAGGGCTGGGAAAGTGCTGGGGGGCATTTGCTGGTGCCACTTGGCATGGAGTCATAGGAGTACTGGCCAGAGAGGAGCCCTGAGTCTATGAGTGAGGGATGTGGTGAGGAGGCAGAGGTATGGCAGAGCAGGGCCAGGAGCAACACATGCTGCTGCAATAAAGTCTGGAGAAAGTTGAGAGGGAAGATAGGCATTTGCACTCCCTCCTTTATTGGTTCCAAATCAGTTGTGAGTGAAGGGAGGTAGAACAGATACCAGACTGGTATCCAGATTGATAGCTGGTGACTCTGGATATATGCAGGTGGGTTGTACAGAAATGATGGATTTCCTAGAGCTCTTCACTCCTGGGGACTAGGAGTCTGAGGGGCCCATAGTTGGCACATCTTAGAAAGCAGCCTTCTCTAGACTGAGAATAGCTGTGAGTTTGGGTTGGTGGATCTGAGTAGCTCTGTTATCTCTACCTTCTTCTATTTGCTTCTCCAGTTGGTGATTAGTGTGGCCAGGGAAGAACGAAACTTAAGAGTGACCACAGTTTGTGGGTTTTGACCATGTACCTTTGGAAATATGACTCAGCTGAGCCTGAAGTCTTCAATTTTCTTCCCTGAGGACTCTGCTCTCATTGCAGAGCTGAGGTATGGACTCCAGGCCCTGACTGTAGAAGTTAGAAGTGGATCCTGTCCCAGAAAGTATACTTTTGGGTAACAGAAGCTTCCAAAAGTTTCCCATTCTTTATCTCTCAAAGATACTGCCCCAACCCAGCAGAAAACCCCAAGGACTCAAGGCCTGGCCCTGAATGAAGCATGGGGGTCTGGGTACATGTTTTCTGTGTGCCTCTTCTCAGTGGATTCTTTGCGTGCATCATCACATGCCGTAACTGCAATGGTGCAAGAGTCTCAGTCTCCCTAAACAGCTGCTGCTATGGTATAGGCAAGATAAAAACATATGGAAAGACTGGCCTCCATGTGACAGTAGCTTGGAAGGAGAGTGTAAGGAGAAAGGCCACCTTGGTAAAGTGGCCAGGGGTGGAGTTGGGAGGACCCTTACAGACCTGGCTCCACCACTTATCAATCACGCAACAAAGGCACATACATCAGCAGGCAGTATATAAGCAGATTAAGTATGGGGTGAGATGTCAGGTGATTCTGGGGACCAGATCTAGTTCTGCCTTAAAGAGAGTTACTCTCTAAACTCAGATATATTCAGAAAGTAGGGATAACAGTACTTGCCCACCTCCCTTGTTGGACTATTTATAAGGAGCAAGTGAAGTAAAGAATATCTGTGAAGCTCTGCCTAAAGGTCCCTAAATAGAGCCAGAAACAGGAAGGTCTTGGCCTCTCCTACCACTTCCATGGGCAGTAGAGCCCAGCTGGTGTTCCAGTTGCTCCCGTAGGTGGTCACTGATGCAGATGGATTCCTCTAGGTGCTGGCGCAAGTTCTGGATTTCACCAAGATGCTCTTCCACCAGGGCAGTCCCTGTAGCCAAACCAACAGGACATGGAGAGAGGTGAGAGATGGAGAATCCTGGTTACTGGTGGGTGTGGGGCCTAGCCAGGGGCCTTGCAGCAAGACCTGTAAATATCACTAGTCTTCTGCCAACTGTGTGCTGTCACACGGACACCCAAAGGAATGGTAGTTTGTTTAAACAGTCAATGTGCTTTCAAACACATAACAGTCACTTGCTAAAACATCTCCATGGGCCTCCTCCCACACAGGGGTCTTATGAGAGTTCCACATGTTTTAGAAAAATAACTGAGGGCTCTGGACAAGGCCTGCCTAGCATCTGGAAAGGTATGGCCACCTCCTGGGTGTGACTATGAGGATGATAGGTGAGACCTCACTCTACCTTTCTTCTTACTGACACATGAGTGAGCATTCTTTAGCAAGGGACAAAGCCCTTCCTCCCACCCTTAGAAAGAAGGCCTAAAGTAAAAGTATGTGATCTTACACTCACCCTATGCAGTTAATGACTGACACTGAATGCTTCCCTGAAATCACTTTTAATATAGAAGATGAAAGAATAGCCTGGAAGGATCTAGAGATCTGAGGGCAGATTAGAGAGGGGATGACACCACCCCCCTCCCCCAGCCAAACAAAGGAAAAAGATGCAGAAAAGTCAGAGGGATGCTCACGTCGGATATTAACTGAACCATTTTGCTTTGGGCTCAGTCTTTTCCTGAAAATTACGATTGTCTTACTGTTGGAACTGAGTAGCATCCCAGCATTTATGAGCTTAGCTATACCTCTCCACTTGCTGTGACTGAATTTTGTTCACAGGATATATGTGCAGGGTTGGGGAGCTGCACCCTTGCACCCTTTCCTGTGACAACTCCTGACTGATGGAAGAAAGTCCCATCTATGCCTGGCATTCTAGAGGGGTCTAAGAGAGTGGGCTGCAAAGAGGCTGGGCTGCAAAGAGTCCAGGCTGCAGAGAGATGGAAGGACATGAGTATGAGAGCACAAGAGGTGGGTCCCCGACTTTCCCATATCCCTACAGAGCTCTGAGGCCCTGGGCAGGAGAATGAAGAACGTACTTGGAAAGGATTGAGCCCTGATACAGGTCTTTCATTTTATACCCCCCACTCTGTGAGCCAGGGATGGAGGAGGAATGAAACAGTCCTGCCTGGGTAGGAAAAGAATAGACTCTGAATGAGACTTCTTTTCAAAGGCTGCCATCTCCACTTTGTGCTTTACCTCTGGGTTTGGAGTTAAGCTGGTACACAGAGGAGCCTGAGGATAGGTCCCCGGATACACTCCCTTTCTGAGGACTCATCATGTCCCACTGGCCACTGCTGCCCTGGTACCCAGGCTCCAGGATTCTTCCCAGTTCTATGGTGCCTCTTGGAGGAGAGTCAGGCTGGGCAGAGTTGAGGTAGTGGGAAGAGCCAGCTTCCAAGTCTTTGCTCAGCAATGTAGCTGTGGAAGCAGGAGGAATAGTGCTGGCACCTGGGCAGAAAGAAACATGAGTAAGAAGCAAATGCGGTGTCAGAAGGGAAGGATTTTCAAGGAAGTGTGTGATTACTAAGAATAGAGACTAAAAGGAGACCTGTGGAATGTCAGAGATCACAGTTCACTGTGGTATACCAATTAGACTAAGGCTTGTAACCTAGAGGTTGTAATTCTCACCCTTTGTATTTCCTAGCAGGAGACACAAGAGGTAGAGAATAAAGTATCTTAAAGTCATCAGTATACACAATGGAAAAGTCCAGTGGCCCTGCTCCTGGCTCCTACTACAATCCTTCATGACAGACTCCAAGGAAAGTTCTAAAAGTAGGATTCACTCCCACAGTTACAAGTTGTGAGTGCAGCGGCATACAGGATTGAGCTTACCTGTGAACATGAATGTTTGTTTGTCTACATGTACTTGCCTTCCCCTGAAACTAACCGGTCAATATGTCAGTTCCACCTTGGAGTTTTTCAGAAGAGAAAGGGGACATGAAGTCAAGCTGGATATGATGGCCCTAATTCCTCCAGAATGAAGAACTCTTTGCTGAGGCTGGGGAAGGGCCTATGTAAAGCAAGTATTTATTTGGATCCCATCCAACATGACTCAAAGAGCTGCAAAATGTCATCACTCCTGTCTAAAGAATCATTGAATACTATTCCACAGAGGCAGGTAGGACTTTCATTTCATAGGCTGATACTTTCATAGACCCTTTGAAATCATAGGCCTTTCCCTTGAGCCCCTTCATCTCCACTTCTCTGTAAAAAGAAGCCCAGCATAGAGGAGATAGGGAAAGAGGTGGGCAGAAGTGCAATTTAGGAGAAAATTCAGAAGCCTGCTTTCTTTCAGGGATTATGAACATGGGCAGCAGAATAGACAGGTAGCTCCTCCTAAGCAACAGGAGTGAGGTCATTGTTTCTTCCAACCAAGCCAAACTCCTCGGAGGGGTTAGTGTAATTGCCAGTTGCCAGCTTTTAGCCCCATTTGTAGCTGGTTCTCAAATGTTGGTACATATTGGAATCATCTGAGAAAGTATGGAAACATATACTGAGGTGATTCTAACAGGCAGAAGTTTGAGAAGTCTTGTGATGAGTCTCTCCTCCAATTTGCAAAATACTAGATATTCATCAGGATCACTTAGTTAAGGAAGAAGATTAAAAATTTAAGCACCTACATTTTTGAAGGGATGCAACAAATACGTGATTTCCTGCCTCTTTCAAACTGCCTTCAACCCCATCCAAACACAAGGCAAAGGGAGAAATCAGTGGTTGTAGATAGTCAGCTTACTTTTTAATCAAGGCCATGTGAGGTTTTAAGTCTATCAGTAACAATGATCAGTATTCTCATGTTCCAGTCCATTGGCCACACAATACACAGTACATGCTCTAAACCATGCAAAGATACCATACAGACTCTTGCACAAGATTTTAACCCAGGGACCTGAGAGGCCGCCATGCACCACTGTCCACACGGAAAATTGGCTCAACGCAAACAGTGAGCTTGGATAAGCAATGGCCCTTGGAGAGGACCTTGACTTCAGGTGGAGAAAGAAAGGGCTACAATCTTCCTCATCTAGGCTGGGACCATTTGATCTCCAGTCAATGACCTCAGACTTGACGTAATTCCAATTTAACCCAAAACAATAGACCCTTTTTCATGGACAGTGCTCTCCTTCCATCCTTCCCTTTGGGCAAAGACAAATGGACAAATGTGGATAGATAAAGGAAAAGGAGGCAAGAGGAAGAAATGGAAACTAGAAAATACTCTTGCCATTTGTCTTGGGGGACATTTTTGCCCACCCATTGCTGGTGCCACAACTGCTAAAGTAACAAGTTTTGGGTCAGAAACACCAGCACCTCCTACTGGTCTCTAAAGAGAGGAAAAAAATTGTTGCAAGGATTCCCCAGAGTTTGATCAGCTGATCTCAGCCCCATACTCTAAGCAGGATGGTGACAAAGCCATCCTAAGCAGAAAAGGTATAACAGAAACGTGAAACCTGGAGCGGAAGACCAGATTCAAGCCCATCTCTCCCACCTAGTGACCTTGAACAAGTAACTTCACTTCCCTGAGCTTTAGAGTTCCCTGCACTAGACAAAGTATCCATTTGCTGGGTTGACAAAATAAATAGGCTAGGCTGGGTGCAGTGGCTCATGTCTGTAATCCCAGCACTTTTGGAAACTGAGGTGGGCCGATCACTTGAGCTCAGGAGCTCTAGACCAGTCTTGGCAACATGGCAAAACCCCATCTCTACAAAAAATACAAAAATTAGCCAGGCATGGTGACACACACCTGTAATCCCAGCTACTTGGGGGGCTGAAGTGGGAGAGTCACTTGAGCCCAGGAGGTCAAGGCTGCAATGAGCCGAGATCATGCCGCTGCACTTCAGTCTGGGTGACAAAGTGAGACCCTGTCTCAAAAAAAAAAAAAAAAAAAAAAAAGAAAGGAAGAAGGAAAGAAATAGGTTGGTCCACATGACATTTAGGGCTACAGGGAGGGGGATGCAAATTCTTGGCTGTTGTCTTGCTTCACTAGAAACTGCTGGCATGGTGACCCTATCAGTCTCTGGCTCACCTAAGCTTCTTTGCAGGCACAGAAAGTGCCTGACAAATGAGTTTAAGTTCATTCAAACTGCTTTCTAACTGTTGTGCTTAAGGTGCTACGAGAGAGCAAATTCATGTGAAGGTTTGTCTTTTTTTTTAAGCTATCAATGACCACCAGCATACTAAATTTATGATGAGCATCCAGCCTACAAATATATCTAGCATTTTCTAAAAGGTGACTGTCCACAGTCTACATAACTATATAAGGTCAATTATCTTTGGGAGTCAGAAGATAGGATTCACAGTCAGATGCCATAGCTGACACTGTGGTACCATTACCCTTTTTGCTCCAACCTAATGATGTCAGGAACTGAACTTGATTAACAGCATTTCACAGCAGAAAAGTGTAATAGCCACACAAAGGAGCCCACTGAATGTGGCCCTCTTTTTCTTGGCCACTTCATCCTGCATAGGCAAAGCATAACATCTCCTCCCATCCCCTACCAATGAGCAGTCCACCAGTCTGTCAGGGATTCAGCATACTTGGTGATATCCTACACTATCTACAGTGTGAAAGCACCAGGTCTAGAGCCTCTTGAACATATCTACCTGTTAACTGATGAGACACACATCAGAGAAATAACAGGAAATACATTTCCAAAAAATAAGCAAGCAGAGCTTTCCCTCAGTCTTCCATTTGTAACATGTCCCCATATTGTTTCTTTGAACTCTGCCATCCAGCCCGATCCATGCAGAGCAACACAGTGTGGGGCTGCCATTCACAAGCACACAAATGCAGAAGTGCTCACTTTCTCCCAACTGCTTCTGCAGCATCTGCAGCTCCTGCTGAGCCTCAGCCAAGGAGACCACCGGTGTCTCACAGCAGCCAAGGAGGGGAGGGCCAGTGGGCCTGAAAGGCAGGAAACTGGATGGAGCTGAGGGCAATGGTGCCTGAGGAAGTCTAGTCAGCTTGGGTATGGAGTGAAAATGCCTAGAAACAGAAAGTTAGGGAGAAAAGAGACACATCATCAAAATGAGAGAAAAGAATGAGCAAAAGATTGAGAACCAGACATCACCCTGCAGAGTGGCTATTACCTAGTGTGGTACAGGATGAGACAGCCAAGAGTGACCATTGCTACCAGAGAATCTGGCCTGGCTGACCTTCCCTCTTTTCCCCTGTCAGGGCTATCCTGCATACAACCTCTGTGTTCATCTTGAAAGCAATTGGCTAAACAAGGTAAGGTGGCATTATTGAGCCCCACGCCAGCAATCCTGGGCATGGAAAAGTCAGAGAGCCTGAATGCTCTCAAGGGCCCCTGGGGCTCTGCTCCCAGCATGTATCAGTCCTTGGCCTTGGGACAAGACTCTTTCTCCACCTAGAACTCCTCTCTGATGGCATCAGGTCCCATCCTGAGTAGGAGAGAGATGAACAAAGGCTGTGGGGAAATTTTCATTACTAGTGCATGCAGTTGAGGACTCTGATGGAAACAAACTTCAGAATTCCAAATCAACGTGTTCAATCACCAAATTAAAAATAGATGCCTTGGTAGAGTGGCTTAGACAAAATGGCTTGCAAACCCTTCTGGGCATTTAAATCACATAGCAAAAACTCTTAATATATGTAGATTCTTTAGGCCTTCTTGATTCTGTCTAGGCATTAATGTAGACTTACAGAATTATAAATTCTTGGAACAGGAAATTTGTATTAAAAAAAGTCTTCCCTGGTGATCTTTAGGCAGCCCACCTACAGACAAGTTTTTAGAGACCTTGTGGGTCCAAGTGCCATGCACAAGCACCAGTGGATCAGGATCTTTGCTCTGCTCCTGACTCTACAAGTTACCTCTGTCACCCTGGCCTCCATGGGCATGTACATGCTGTGGGGCACAAGGTGAGCCATTGTGGGGAGAGTGAGAAGATCACAGCAGACTCTTCTTCCTTGGTTACTCTGTCAGATAGATCTTTAGAAGCCCTGTCAAGTTTCAATGTTTAAAATTGTTTCCTCTTCCCTAAAAGCAATTAAAGGGCAGGTAGCCAATGGTGGGGGGCAGAAACCAAGGCTGACCCATAGAGAATGTCTAATGTAGAAGACAATGATTACATCCTAAAACACAACCCAACAGTGCTGACACCATTTCAGATCAAAACTGCAAATACACTCAAATTGCCAGGTAACACAGCCCAGACATTCTTTGAGGAGGCATTCTGATTTTTAAATCCTCCATTCTTCATCTTCTGCTCTGTTTGAACCCAAAACATTTAAGCAGATGTCTACAATTCTGGAAGCAAAGCTTTACTTCATGATTCTGGTCCAGCTGCTGCCCACTCTGGCCTAGAAACTTTGAAACCAGGCTCAGGAAGCATTGGAACACTTCCTCTTCTTTAAGATTTTGGTTGAATTGCCTTCAGGGAAATGAGGGCAGCAGAAGAAAGCACTGTGCTTTCTGGGAGCACCTCTACTCAAGTCAAACCTCACAACAAACCATACTGAAGGCAGCCAGCCAGCTATGGTGGGAGGTAGGAGGTGAAGACAAGGTTTGCCTTTTCCTTGCCACCCCTGGTACAGGGCTGTGAATGAGCAGTGTACCCTCTGGCAACTAAGCTGGACTTGTAAATGAAATGCACCCTTTTAACTGCCCCCAAGATATGCACTACGTACATATCAAGGACTGCCAATCCATTCATACCTCCATTAATGGTAATGTACTATGAACAGAACCTTGTCTGAGGCTGTTCTCAGCGTCCTTGGCTATGAAATAAGTAGCACTGTCTCTTGGGGAGGATCTCCATGCAGATTTAATGGGTAACACATACAGTGGATCAGTAGATGTGAATTTCTTTTCATCCTATGGCTGTTGTAATCCTGGGAGAAACATTTTTCCTCTTTCCTCCCAGGATAAAATGAGAGAAAACCAATAAAAATGTTTCTTTTTAAATGGTCAGCCAACTACTGGTCAAAGCTGGTGTGCGGATCAAAACCTGATGTGGATTACTTATTTTCTAAAATATTTTCTTAAATCAGACACAATTGGTGAATGAGGGTGGTTTCTTGATTCTGTCTAGGTTTTGATGAATTTACGCCCCTAACAGTCCAAACCTCTGTCCTTGAAGAAAAATCAAAGAGGAGATGAAGCTTCTGCCCCATTGGCTGTTGCATACCTGAATGGGCCTGGTCGGCCTCCTTGGGGGGATTCTGGGGAGTTGGCAAGCTGATGGGGTTGCTGCTGGATTTGGCCTTAGCCCCCAGAGATGCACTGGTTGATGACGGTTTAGAAGACAATACAGCAGAATGACTCAAATGATGGATGGAATCTATAAAACCCATGAATGAAAGAAAACGTTTGATGTTCTACAGAGAACTGGAATCCTGGCCTTATATTTAGCCAGGGGTACCAGGGCTAGAGTCTTGCTTTCAGGGAAAGAACCAAGCACAAGCACTGTTAGCAGTGTTCATTTTCTTTCTTGCAGACAGACCCTATAGTGAGGTAAACCACCTTAGGGACGACAGTGGTGCTCTGAGCTCTGGAACATGAAAACGACAACTCCAAAATTATCAGGCAAGACTAGCAGCATTTGTGTACACCCACATATGTTTAGGGAACACTGCTCAGGAATAAGTAGCAAGATCATTGTAGGAGAGGTGAAGGAGGTTTTCCATCTTAAAGAAGATCTGTCTGACAGAGTCGCCGAGGAAGAAGAGTCGGCTGTGATCTTCTCACTCTCCCCACAATGGCTCACCTTGTGCCCAACAGCATGTACAAGCCCATGGAGGCCAGGGTGACAGGGGTAACTTGTAGAGTCAGGATTAGAGCAAAGATCCTGATCCACTGGTGCTTGTGCATGACACTTGGCCCCACAGCCATGTTCAGCCTGATACACACCATAATGGAGCTATAAGTCCTGTTTCCTGAGTTCTCCACTCAGTCTAGACAAAGATGGTACCACCCAGAAAGTGGAGGCTACCTGAGTGAGCGGGAGAAGCTTTCTTCTCTTCATAGTGTGTGTACTCGCTGGCTATGTCCATGTCAGAGCAGGCTTCCAGCTCATCAGACAGGAAAAAGGTGCTGCTGGGAAAGCAGTGGGAGTCAGACAAAGCATGGCTGCTGGAGGGTGTGAGGGACCGAGCATCCACCTTGGCCTGCAGGACTTCAATCACTTTCTCCTTCTCCTGCAGCTCCCTGCTGAGCCTGGTGGGGAGAAGGGGGACAACAGGTAAAACCAGGGTCGCCCAAACCAACCTGTCCTGACTGTGGCTCATAGGAAAAGCCAAGTAAGCCAAGGGGACCATGCCTGCAGAGAATAATAGAAATAACCCACCTCTGCTTAGGGATGGAGCGTAGGTGGGGTGTAGATGGAGAAAGAATAGCTACCCAGTGCTCTGGCCACATAATATGCCGAAGACAAGCAAAGACATAGCTAGCCCTCCTTTTAAGGCACTGCTGCTTAATGTATGATCCCTGGAACAGTTGCAGCCTGCGAACTGTTTGTTACCATCTCCAACAAGACAATTATAAAAATTGAAAGCAAGCATTGAGAAACGCAGAGCAAACCATTGTTCCAGCATCCAAGAGCATGATAAATGGAATCATATAGTTAAGTGAATTCAGACCATGTATGTTTCTATGATGGATTAGAAATAAAAACAAAACAAAACAAAAAACAGCACTGTGTCCTTCACTACAGATATTTTCAGAAGCATTTATGTAGTCTGAGACACAAGCATGACACAAAGAACCCCAACTAGTGGCTACAATGGACTCTGAGCCCATATTTCATTGATCATTATATGAAGCAACTCACTGAGAACTGGGTCCTGAGGCACTGCAGCCTTCTTGTGATCTACACCATCTAGGCCTCTTTCACCAGGTCCTGTTATATGATTCCTTTTTTCCCCCAGGGCAATTGAGTGACTATTAAACTAGCTGTCAACCCAACTTGGGGCAGGCCAACTTTGCAAAAAGCTCATTCTACTTATTAAACACACAGCAGGAAAGCGTGACCCTTAGTGGGGCAGAAGACTCTTGAAACCTAGTTAGTTCACTTTTAGCTCAGACTGTTTCTAGGTTACTAAGCCTGGAGAATTAATGTGCCAATGTGATTAAACCAAAAGGGAAGGAATAATTTAGTTAAAAACAACAGTGAGGTGTTCAATGAATGCATGAATTCAATACATTTAGCACTTTCCTTTATTCCCCTTGATTTGTGGAGTTGCCGCCACCCTTGACCCTTTGGGCCTTAGTCCCAATCTCTTTCCCAGATTCCCCTCTGAATTACCTGAGGACCAGTGGCTCAAGTCCAGCTTGATCTTTCTCACTTTTATGATCCTCAGCAAACCAAATTTAGAAAGAAACAATAAGAAATTAGGCTGGTCCCACTTCCCGCATTACAAATGCAGGAGCCTATCTGGAGACAGAGTAGTGAGCATTTCATGTGTGCATCCAGAACAGTTATTCTGGGAGACCTCAGCTTGTGTCTCTAGAGAAGTGACCTCACTGTCCCTGACCTGCTGGTCACCATCATGACTTCCTCTGCCCTAAATCAGGGTAAAACATTTAAAATGTCTTTTGTTCCATTAACCATGAGGCCCTTGCCCAGATGCCCTGTGGGACACTCCAGCCTCCGAGTCCTGGTGCAGACTAGCTCTCCAATGCATATGTCCCACCACAGCTTTCATGCAGAACCTGCACTGGTCTCTGAGGAGATGACAAGAAGCCCTGCCCCACCTCTGCATCTGCCACCAGGAGGTGGGCTAGGTGGCTCCCAAGTCTGATCCTACTTTACTCCTTTGGATATTCTCTGGAAATTCTGAGTAGAGGACCCCAATAATAACCAATGTAGCCCTTGAACTACTGCAGCCAGTGCCTAAACCATGTATAAAAGAGCATGGCGCTTTATCCATATATGGAGTACCTTCACGTACATTGCCATGCCATAAATGGAGGCACCACAAGGATAAGGCATTTAGCAAGTTGGTGGCAGCATCCAGGCTAGAGCTTGGGTCTTGCAATTCTTAGCTCGGGGCTCTTCCTCCTATAACAAGGCCCTTCCATCTCATGTCCCCTACTCCCTCTTAGCATCAGATAGATGCTGCCCCTGCCCCACAGGTCACATTCCATGAGTGGTGAAGTTTCTATAGTTGTAACCATGGCATCTCCAGCCCTGTGTGTTCCTCTCCATGCTCCCCACTGAGCAGTCTTCATTCTATATTAGCCCCAGGAAATGAAATAGAAACAGGATCCTAGGTTAAAAAGTTACAGTGGAGATGTGGTGGCCACCAGGGGCTGGAACTATGGGGGTGACTGAGAGTATTCCAAAGCCCTGTGGCCAACTTACTGGTGCTGAGTTTGCTGGTGAGCCTCTCTGTCAGCTGGCTTCCCTGGGCGAGTTGCTCCCAGAAGCTCTGTCCCAAGTAGTAGTCAATGTCATTGCTCCTTAGGAGATCCTCAGAAGATTTTACTGTATCTTTTGCATGCCAGGTGATAAGATAACAAATACCTCTCCCTTCTCATATTTTTTGCCATAGGTGAGACAGTTCCCAGGCCTGATCCTGAATCAGGGAATCATATTTCCTAATGCAGGACAGAAGAGGAAAGAGTAAGTATGGAAAGAATGGATGCTAAGTTATGGAGTTATGGGGGCTTCTGTAGAGATTTCTATGAGAACATCTCTAAGGAACTCCCCCAAGCTGAATTCTGGCACATAAGCCATAGGAGGTATTTAAGAGTAAATTCTACCTTGATAAAGTATTGCATTAAAAAACTTAGTATGGGCCAAGTGTGGTGGCTCACGCCTGTAATCCCAGCACTTTGAGAGGCCGAGGCAGGCAGATCTCAAGGTCAGGAGTTCGAGACCAGCCTGGCCAATATGGTGAAACCCCTCCTCTACTAAAAACACACAAAAATTAGCTGGGCATGGTGGAGCATGCCTGTAATCCCAGCTACTGGGGAGGCTGAGGCGGGAGAATTGCTTGAACCTGGGAGGTAGAATTTGTAGTGAGCTGAGATGGCGCCACTGCACTCCAGCCTGGGTGACAGAGTGAGACTCTGTATCAAAACAAAACAAAACAAAACAAAACAACAGCAAAAAAATTTACCATGCCTCTGTTCTTCAACTGTTATGATTTATCTAGGGACATATTTTATATATATTAATTAATTAATTATATATTGTGTCATCGAATGGACACAAATGGAATCATCATCGAATGCAATTGAGTGGAATCATCGAATGGAATAGAATGGAATCATCATTGAATGGAATCGAAAGGAATCATCATCGAATGGAATCGAATGGAATCAACATCGAATGGAATTAAATGGAATCATCATCGAATGGAATCGAATGGAATCATCATCGAAAGGATTCTGAGGGAATCATCGAATGGAATCGAACGGAATTATGCAATTGAATCGAATGGAATCATCATCAAATGGACTCCAATGGAATTATCATCGAATGGTATCAAATGGGATCATCGAATGGACTCGACTGGAATAATCGAAAGGACTCATATGGAATCATCGAATGGAATCGAATGGAATCATTGAATGGAATGAAATGGAATCATCATCGAATGGAATCAAATGGAATCATCAAATGGACTGGAATGGAATCATTGAATGGACTCGAATGGAATGATCATCGAATGGAATAGAGTGGAATCCTCAAATGGAATCAAATGGAATCATCAAATGGAATCGAATGGAATCATCATCAAATGGAATCGAATGGAATCTTTGAATGTAATTGAATGCAATCCTCATCGAATGGAATCGAATGGAATTATCATCAAATAGAATCAAATGGAATCATCGAATGGAATCAAGTGGAGTCATCGTCAAGTGGAATCAAGTGTAATCATCGAATGGAATCAAATGGAATCATTGTTGAATGGAATGTAATGGAATCAATGAATGGAATTGAATGGAATCACCAATGAATGGAATGGAATGCGGTCATCATCAAATGGAATCGAATGGAATCATCGAATGGACTCAAATAGAATCATCATCGAATGGAATCGTGTGGAATCATCTAATGGGGAAGAATAGAATCATCATCGAATGGAATCGAATGGAATCATCTAATGTACTCGAATGGAATTATCATTGAATGGAATAGAATGGAATCATTGAATGGAATTGAACGGAATCATCATTGTATGGAATCAAGTGGAATCATCGAATGGACTCGAACTTAATCATCGGAGAATGGAATCAAATGGAATCATCAAATGGACTCGAATGGAATCATCATCGAATGGAATCATCGAATGGGCTCGAGTGGAATCATCATCGAATATAATCAAAAGCAATCATCAAATGGATTAGAATAGAATCATTGAATGGAATTGAATGGAATCATCATCTAACGGAATCAAATGGAATCATCAAATGGACTCGAGTGAAATCATCATCGAATGGAATCGAATGGAATCATCATCAAATGGAATCGAATGGAATCACTGAATGGACTCGAATGGAATCATAATCAAATGGAATCGAATGGAATCATCTAGTGGACTGCAATAGAAACATCATCGAATGGAATCATCTATTGTACCCAAATGGAATCATCATAAAATGGAATCAAATGGGATCATCGAATGGACTCGAATGGAATAATCATCGAATGGAATCGAATGGAATCATCTAATTGACCTGAATGGAATCATCATTGAATGGAATAGAATGGAATCATCGAATGGAATTGAACGAAATCATCATTGTATGGAATCAAGTGGAATCATTGAATGTACTCGAATGTAATCATCGGAGAATAGAATCAAATGGAATCATCAAATGGACTCGAATGGAATCATCATCGAATGGAATCGAATGGAATCATCGAATAGACTCGAGTGGAATCATCGTCGAATATAATCAAAAGCAATCATCAGATGGATTCGAATACAATCCTCGAATGGACTTGAATGGAATCATCATTGAATGGAATCAAATGGAATCACCGAATGGACTCGAATGAAATCATCATCGAATGGAATCGAATGGAATAATCATCGAATAGAATCGAAAGGAATCATCATCAAATGGAATCAAATAGAATCATCAATGAATGGAATCGAATGGAGTCTTCAAATGGAGTCCGTTAGAATCATCATCGAATGGAACCGATTGCAGTCCTCATCTAATGGAATCAAATGAAATCATCGAATGGACTCAATGGAATCATCATCGCATGGAATCAAATGGAATCATCGAATGGACTCACATGTAATCATCATCGAATGGAATCGAATGGAATAAACGATTGGACAGGAATGGAATCACCATCGAATGGAAACGAATGGAATCTTCGAATGGAATTGAATGAAATTATTGAACGGAATCAAATAGAATCATCATTGAACAGAATCAAATTGGATCATCATCGAATAGAATCTAATGAAATCAACATTGAAAGGAATCTAGTGGAGTTATCATCTAATGGAATTGAATGGAATCAGCAAGGAATGGAATCGAATGGAGAAATTGAATGGAATCCGTTGGAATCATCATCGTATGGAACCGAATGCAGTCATCATAGAATGGAATTGAATGGAATCAATGAAGGGACTTGAATTGTGTCATCATTGAATGGAATCGGATGGAATCATCAAATGGACTCGAATGGAATCATCGAATGGACTCTAATGGAATCATCATCAAATGGAATCAAATGGAATCGAATTGAATCATCGAATGGACTCTAATGGAATCGTCATCGAATGGACTCGAATGGAATCATTGAATGGACTCGAATGGAATCATCATCGAATGGAATCGAGTGGAATCTTCGAATGGAAACAAATGGAATCATTGAATGGAATCGAAGAGATTTATAAGAAACTTACTTGAACCAAACAATAGAAAAACAAACAAACCAAAACTCCCTAAAACTGTGATGAGGAAAGTAGACATCAGAACAGGAAATATCACTGGGGATGAAGAATAACATTTCAAAATGAAAAAGGGGAAAATACACCAAGAAGTCATGTAAATAAGAAATATGTATGCACACAATAGCATTACTTCAAAATACTTAATATAAAACCTATTAAAACTGAAAGGTAAAATAGTAAAACCATAGTCATCCATGGGGATTTCAACAGTCTCCTGCCAGAAATTTTTAAATTTTGTTAAACGAAATGTTGGGAAGGGTAGAGAGGATCTTAAAAATATAATTAGCCAATTTGATCTAATTGAATCTTTTAGAACAATCTAAGGATGAGGAATGAGGTAGCAGAGAGAGAAAAGGCAGACATCAAGGTGACATTAGTGTTTCAAGGCTATGAGAATACACCAATAATGGTGTGTGTGTGTGTGTGCAGATGGTAAGCTCAATCTTAAAAATGTTGAGTTTTAACTGACAATTCATTATTAGGAAAGATAAGAGGAAATGATATCTAGTGAGAGGCTATATGACTGAACTCTAAGAGAAAGGTCACAGCAGAAATTGTGTACTTGACAGCTCTATAAGAAGGTCAGTCAAAAATAAGTCAGTGATGAATTCTCTGGTGTAAAAGCAGAGGAATGAGGATTAGATTGAAAACACATGGAAGCAGAGTGACTTATGATAAAAACATGAGCTTGAAAATCCTGCAGAGAGGGCTTTAAATCCTGGGTATGATATTCTGCTTGTGTAGGCAATAGTGATAAAAACACAACAACAAAGAGAGGTAAAGAGCACTTTCCTTTGATATAAATAAAGGGCACGTCTTATTGCACATATATATATATGTATTGAACTGAGATTCAACATGTTTCTCTCATTGAAACAGCAAGCTCTCCAGGCCTCCATGTTCCCAGTGAGGTAGGTAACCTTCTGATGATTATACTCACCCTCCCTCATTGCAAAGCTCCCATTGTTATTGTCTTGGCTCTGGATTCCCTCAAAAATAGACTATGAAACAAATATCTGGGGTCAGATACTTTAATCAGAAATTGAGTGAGAAAGCACAGAAGTGGAGAAAATGAAACAGAACACGAAGCCAGTGTCAATGAGTAGTTACTACTGTGTGCTCAGTAATGATGGAGGTATGGAGATTGTGTCAAAATAACTTTACAAAGAGATGGGGATGCTGGAATCCCCATCTCTTATTGCTTAAGGATTGCCTTAGAATCATTAACTCTCCACCCCTAACTCCTTCTTTGTTCCTATGTGTGGTTGAGAAGCACTGGTTAGCCTCAAGAAGCTTGCAGGCAGGCCCAAAAATCAGAAAGACAGGCATGATGTGGGGAGCTCTCAGTTAGCTGGAATCAGGTGAATTTCAGATGAACACATTGAGTCCAGGACATAGAAGACAAGTCATCAGCAATATCTGCTATAGCCAGTTTACTTTTTCTTTTTAAGAATATATATACATTTTATTGGGGGTCCCCAAGTCCCCCTTTGGCTTAATGATTCACATAACCCAAGAAAGCTGATTTTTTTTTGTGGTTATAGTTTCTAACAGTGAAAGAAACCAGATTAAAATAATCAGAAGCATAAAAGCACATAAAGTTGAGTCCAGGACAAACCAGATGTGAGCTTACAGGTGTCCTTTCATAGTGGGGACTTCACACTGACTAATTTTCTTTACAATGGTGTGAGACATGTGTGAACTTATTACCAACTAGGGAAGCTCAGTCAGTCTTGAGTCCAGGGTTTTTATTAGGATTCCGCCACATATGCATCAAGCGTCCTGTGACTGAACATAGCTACTCAGTTCCCAACCTCCCTATGCGTTAAGAGAGGTCATATTAATATGGCATTACACAAAGTCATAGGCATACAGAAACAGGTGCTCACAAGAAATCACGTTGTTAGCATCAGCTATTTGATATGACCTACGTTTTCATGTATGCAAAGACTCACATCAGGCAACATATACCAAGGGCTCATAGGTTAACATCTCCCAGGAGCTTGTCAAGGGCCAGTCCTGAAGACCTTTGGAATGCGCAAGATTTTGGAAAGCCATGTCTGCAGAATTAACCCTTCATTACACAACCTCCAAGACTTTTTTTTATCTTTAAAAATGTTCTTTGGTCTTTGACAATGTACCAACCAATACTGAGTAATTAGTAACAACAGTGTACTCCTGAGTACTTGCACCTGCAAGGAGAAAAAGGACAGACGCACTTACATAGGACAGATGCGTATAGACACCACTATGACAAGTAAAGCTGGAATAATCAATAAATTCCTAAAGACAAAGTGGGGCTGGTGAGATTGGGAGACCGCTGACAGCTGCAGAAGTTGGGAAAGATCCACCATCTTGAAAACATTTTCCCCACAAACTCAATGCGATCTCTCAAGCAATTGGTAAGGAATTCAAGAGAGTCTGTATATGACACAGATCAGGGAGAGCAGAACACTTCGGAGGTGACCAGGTCTTGGGGGTCGAGCCCATATGAATGGGGTTAGTGTCTTTATAAAAGAAGCTCAATGGAGTTCTTGTGTGCCTTCCACTACGTGAGGACATAGAAAGAAGGCACTATCTATGAACCATGAAATGGGCTCTCATCAACACTGAATTTGTGAGCATCTTGACCTGAGATCTTACAGCCTCAAGAAGTGTGAAAAAAAAATCTGTTGCTTTTTAGTCACTCAGTTTATGTTATTTTGTTATAAGAGTCCAAATAGAGCAAGATATTCCACTTAATATGTAGGGGAAGGCAACAAAAACTGCCACACTTAGAATACTCCTGATGCTGGGAGTATGAAAACAAGAAAAACAAAACAAACCTGCTCTAGAAGGTGAAGGAGGAATATCACTGAGCTCACCAACACAGCCAGGAAAAGAACAGAAGTGTGAGAAGGTTACATTCCTGAGACCCTGAGAAAAAGTACCTGCATAAGACTGAGATCAAATTACCTACTCTAGTTATGATTGAAATCCCAAAAAGAAAAGAGGGAAAAATAATGGAGCAAAAGAAATATTTTTCAAAATAACTGCCAAAAATATTGTAAAAGAAGTGACAGAAAATCAAACTTCAAATATAGGAAACTCAGAGAATGTCAAATAGAACAAAAAGAAATAAGAATTACATCTTGAAAAATCTTTAAAAAGTCAGGTCTAAATTTTATATCTTGCTCCAAATATATAGAGATATAAATAGGTTATCATCAAGATATGGAGAAAGCCATATCATGGAAACACTAAAATAAGGCTGTGGAAGGACTACATCGATATTAGCCACAACAGAGTTCGGAACAAGAAATAGTATCAGAGATGAGAGATAATACATAATAGAATCATCAATTACATACAAGAAGATGTAAACATCCTACTAATTAGGGTATGCAGCTAACAACAGAACCTCCAAATACATGAGGTAAAACAAGAAAGAAATCAAAGGTGAACTAGAAAAAATCAAAATTATATTTGCAGACTTCAACACTTTTGTCTTAGTAATGGAAAGACAAGGCACAAACTCAATAATCATGTGGAAGTTAAGAACAACAATATCACCAACAAGACATCCAATCTTCAATGGCAGATAATCTTTCCTTTCTAGTGAAAAAAAAACAATATGGCATATTCTCTAACAAACCCAGAATTTATAACATTAGCGTTCTTCCTTACTTCTTTCCATCTTCCTTTCTCTTCTCTTCCCTTCACTTGCCTTCTTCCTTCCTTTCTTCTTTTCCTCTTCCTTTTCTTTTTTCTTTTCCTTTCTTTCTTTTCCTTCTTTTTTTCTCCTTCCTTCCTTCTTTCCTTCTTTGTTTCTTTCCTCTTATTCTTCCTTCCCTAATCCCTCCCTTCCTTTCTCCCTCCCTTTTCTTCCTTCTTTTCTCATATTCTTTCTTTCTTTCTCACGTTCTTGCTTTCTTTCCTTTTTTCTTCCTTCCTCCCTCCCTTCCTTTCCTCTTTTTCTTTCCTTCCTTCGCCTGTTTCTTTTCTTTGTTTCTTTGCCTTCCTCCCTTTTACCATTCTCTCTTCCTCCTTTCCTTCCTCCCTTCCTTTCCTTCTTTCTTTCTTGTGTTCATGTTTTCTGTTTTCTCCCTTCCTGCCTTTCTCCCTTCCTCCCTCCCTCCCATCCTTCCCTCATTTCCTCCTTCTTTTCTCTTTCTTTCTTTATTCCTTCCTTCCTTCTTTCCTTCCATCTTTTTCTTTCTTTGTTTTCTTTTCTTTCTTTCTCTTTATTGCAATTAATATTATTTTAGAAAATTAAGAGAGGGAGTCAGAAACATATAGAAAGCTTTAATCTGCAGGTAAATAGATTATGTCTGCTGTAGGCCAAAGAATGGCCTCCCAAAAATTTTCATGTCCTAATTCCCAGAGTCTAACATACAAATATGTTAGGTTGCACGGCAGTGTGAAATTAGATTTCAAGTGAAATTAAGGTTGCAGAAAAACGATAGAGAGATTGTCTTAAATGGGTGGGATCAATGAAATCACAAACTTCCTTTTAAGTGAAAGAAGAAGGCAGAAGAAAGGCAACCTTGGAGGTGGTGGCATGAGAAATTACTCAACATCACTGACTTTTAAGATACAAGAATGAGGACCCAGTGGGGTGGCTTACGCCTAATCCCAGCACTTTGGGAGGCTAGGGTGGGTTTATCCCGAGGTCAGGAGATCGAGACCATCCTGGCTAACATGGTGAAACCCCATCCCTACTAAAAATACAAAAAATTAACTGGGTGTGGTGGCAAGTGTCTGTAGTCCAAGCTACTCAGGAAGCTGAGTCAGAAGAATCACTTGAACCCGGGAGGCAGAGGTTGCAGTGAGCTGAGATCGTGCCACTGCACTACAGCCTTGGTGACAGAAGGAGACTCCATCTGAAAAAAAAAAAAGAAAAATAGGATATAAGAATGAGGTCATGTTCCAAAGAATAAAGGTGGCCTCTGGATGCTGAAAAATATCAAGTAATAGATTATGCCACATAGCCCTCAGAAAGACTGCAGCCCTACCCAAAACTTGATGTTAGCCCTGCTAGTTTCATTTAAGGCTTCTGTACTACAGAACTGTTGGATTAACGGTCACTTTATTGTAATATATGAAGTTTGTGGTAATTGGTTACAGCAGCAAGAGGAAGTTTATATTGTAATTGTATCATGAAAATGAGAACCATAATTTACAACTGCTTTTAATACTGCCCTTGGATGTTTGAAATCACATACATGGAAATGATCTCTATGTGCATGAGGGAGGATAGCAAATTGATGCCAAAATAATGCAAATGCAAATCTTACACTCATTTCTATGTAGGTTTCATTTAATCTTTGAAATTAAAATGAAATTAAAAGATTGTGATCTTTTGATGAAATTAGACTAAAATGAACAATAACAAAATAAGAACTTACTTATATTCTTTATATGGTCAATAAAGAAGTGATAGTGGAAAAAAACAAGATCAAATGAAGGTGATGATTTAGGAAGTTGGAAAGATAGCTGAAACTACAAAATGGTATATAACCAGTGAACACTTAGACACACTGATTGATGAACTTCAGCTTTTGGCTTGGTGAGAGCATAAAATAAGAGCAGCTGAGGTTTCCAAATTAGTAATCTCCTTGTGGAAAAACAGGGGAAAACACATCTCAGCCTGATAAGATTTCTCTACTAAAGAGTCTAGACTTGATCCATTTGTCCTTGTAATTCAGAAGCTAATTCAAATACTGATTTGATGTATTGTGTGAACAACCATTGCTGATTATCATCGCATACCTGGCATTCTCTTGTATCTGATATCTAAAATATTTGGTAATTCCTGGACTTTCTCTTTTCAAACCCAGGACGGTTTAATTTGAGTCTTAGAACAGTTGTCTTTGAGAAATTCTTCCCTCTACTGCATCTGTGAATGGGTATAGCATGGTTACATACATACTGTCACTCCATAGAACATTTGTTAAATTATAGCCAAAGTTTAAAGCAAGAGCTTTAACTTACTGGTTTTACTAATGGTTTCCTCCCCAATAGCCACAACCATATTGCTACCCTCACACCTTTTAACGTAAAACTTGGTGTTGTCTATTTTTCAGATGCTGTCATCTATATGATCTCAGTATTTTAAAAATCAGCTTCCAGCCCATATGGTGGTTCATGCTTGTAATACCAGCAGTTGAAGAGCCTGACATGAGAGGATTCCTTGAGCCCTGGAGTTCACAAGCAACCTGAGCAACATAGCAAGACCCAGTCTCTATCAAAAGTTAAAAAAAAAAAAGTGGGCAAGGTGATGTGCACCTGTTGTCCTAGCCATTTGGGAGGCCAAGGTGGAAGGATTGCTTGAGCTTGGGAGGCTGAGGCTGCAGTGAGCAGTGATTGCACCACTACACTCCAGCCTAGGCAACAAAGCAAGACCCCATCTCAAAAAATATATATAATAAAAATAAACATCAACTATCATTGATTTCTATGTAAATATGCACAGGTGATGTCCATATAGACATAAATAATAATATTTCTGACAATGGGTCCATATGATCTTCAAAATGTAAAATGCCTGTCTGTGTAATTGACTAGTCTCATTAATGAATATAGATTCAATTCTACTTTCTTGTTCTAGATAAATTATATAATCTAGCTTTTCATTTCACTTATTTACTGATAACAACAGGAAGAATGACAAGATATCTATTTTGGAAAATTACTCTGGTAGGAGTAAAGATGAAACAATGATAGAATTGCACGGACAACTAGAAAAAAGTATGGTCTTCTGATATTCTATCACATCACATACTAAAGGCCTCATAAAACTCAGATATTTTATCTAAAAATGTTATTTTCATCATAGGAATGATCAAAGCATGAGACTACAATTGTATTAAAATGTGCTTGTATCACAAGCACAGGTGCTAAAAAGGAGGGGAAAACATCCTTACTGATATTTTCAACGTATGTTTTACTTTTCATCAACATGAACCTCAACTTGATATGATGCAGATTGAAGGAAATCACCCATAATTCCATAAGAAGAAGGCCTGTGATATTTTATGGGAAAATAAATAGAGAAAATGCTAACAGAAACTCTGTTAAGCATGAAGCTTTATGGAGCAAACACAAATCCAGTGGTGAAAGATAAACACTCGAGTTCTGTTTGTTGTCTTGGAACAATACGGTTTAGGGGTGACTGGCGGGTGAGGAGAACATATGCGAGTTCACCAAAGAGAAAAGCTGAATGAGGCAATGCCTCTTCCTGAGCATATCTCTTACTCAGATAACTATAGAATTTATTGTCCAGTAAAGGGTATATTAAAAAATCATATTAAAAGTCATGCAGTGAAGTTGTCCAGGGAAATCAAGACTTAACAGTCTCACTCTGACAATAATGAACAGGGGGATTCCCTCAAGATAGACTAGGACATGACCCCACACTGGCAGGTAGTAGTACCAGAAAAGAACCCATGGAAAATCTTTACCTTATGCTTGAGGTAGGGACCAGGCTAAAGTGAAAGCCAGACCTAAAATTCTATCTAAAATAAATCCACAATCGAAGAAAATATGTGGTGTACAGGCATAGAATGTCTTTACTGGATCATTGAAATAGTAAGATAAATTCAACTTTTTACATTGTTGTCTTTTCCTCCAGTTAGGGCTTCAGGTTTGTCTCTGGAGAGTGACTGTCAATTGGATCCCTGCCTTTCTGGGGTTCTGGTCAGGGGGTTGTGGATGCTTAACATGTGCCTTTCACAGGACACTTCCTTACCCCAGTGGTGGCCAGGTGTGCATCCCACGACCAGGCCTCCCTCTCACAGAACATCTGTTGAGACTAGGAGATGCCTGGTGACTGTTGCCTGACCTGTGTCCTGTGTATTTCTGACAAGAGCCACTCTCAGAGACCCTGGCCAGGAGGAGAGTTAGGTTCTAGTGTAGGTCAGCTCAGACACATGGAGGCCACAGAACCAAACATGGGAAATCACAGAAGTAGGTTTATTACTCACAGATCCAGAGAGAAGAGGGTAGCTGAGAAGAGGGTTTAGCTGTGTCCCCAGCCAAATCTCATCTTGAATTCCCACATGTTGTGGGAGGGAACAGGTGGGAGGTAATTGAATCATGGGGGCAGGTCTTTCCCATGCTGTTCTTCTGATAGTGAATAAGTCTCACAAGATCTGATGGTTTTATAAAGGGGAGTTTCCCTGCACAAGCTCTCTTTTCTTGTCTGCTGCCATGTGAGACGTGCCTTTCAGCTTGCACCATGATTGTGAGGCCTACCCAGCCATGTGGAACTGTTCGTCTATTAAACCTCTTTCTTCTGGAAATTACCCAGTCTTGGGCATGTCTTTACCGGCGGTGTGAAAATGGACTAATACAGTAGCACACCTCATAGGGCTGAACAAAATGGGGAAGATGAGTGGGGAGCAGGAGAGAGAAAAGGGGTCTGTGGGACTCCAGCCATATTTGGCCCAGAACATTACCCAAATAAGTTTTCCACGGGGCACTAGTCGGTGGGGTGAGTGCCAGCAGGCACATTTCTTGACTCCCGCTGCAAGCGAGCAGGTTACTGTGGCGTGTGGGGGCTGTCCATGTGCGCTGTGAGGTCTGTGGGGTGAGTCAGGTAGGTTGTATCCAACGGTTCCATAGCTGGTAGTCACCACGAGGAGATAACTGTGTAGGGTCAATATCTGGGCCAACCACACTGAGGAAGTGTGAGGGTTAGAACTGGAAATTGTCAAGAGAATCCGAACCCAGCTACCATATGAGAGAGTTCAACTTATGTTCAATGTGAATGCCATGGCAATATTAAAAGGTAAGAATTCGCTCCATATGTGCTTGAGGTAAATAGGAGAAACCTAGAATTTCTGTAAACAGTGAGAAGATTGGATGCGTTTTCCATCTCATATTTTAATACTAGCAACATATTATATATGTCAATCCATCAGGCATTCAGAAATACATGCTTATGAAAAATTTTTGCACCATCAGACAAAAGACAAGGGTAGAAGACATTTGTAACCCTATAAACACTAGTAAATTAAAAACAGAAGGACCTTTATGTCCTAACATATCTGTGTTGTGAAAGGCTGCCCTGTGAAATATGGGATTTCTTAAACATATTTTAAAAATCATAGGTGTCAATGTTTTTAGAAATCCGTTTAAATTTTCTCTTGTTATTTTACAATGCCTATTTATTTATTTAGTGGCTCTGCTGATTTTGATGTATATCCAAAACTTTATATTTTCTTTAAAATATGTTTTATACAACTTTATGTAAAATGTTTCAGTATCTTCACATTCTCTCCCTGTCCTTTTGTTTTGCTCTTATATGGTGGTCTTGAGTCTTTTCTCTGGCTTTTCAAACCTAGTAAGACTAAGACACTAAGGTAACTTTGCCCGTGGTTTGGTAATGCCTTCTAAAGCACATCCTAAGCTCTCGTGCATACAGGGGTCTCCTTTGAGCTCTGTGCTTTTGAGATCCCATACACCTAAATTCCAGTACTCCAAATCAGTACTGCTCGGTTTTAGTGACTAAGTTTAAAAATGTATTTTAATAGCAAGTTAGTTTAGTGCCCTCTTGCTTCTTTCTTGACTGCTTGTATACATTTATATTCCTTTAAATGAATCTTGAAATTTATTTAGAAATATTAAATTATACTAATGAAACTGTATATTGTTGTGAATTCATAAGTGAATTTGGAAAGAATTTGTCTTTATGATACTAAATCCTTTTTATCCAAGAATCATATATGTCTTTATATTTATTCCAGTCTATATTTATATCACTGAGTAAATATGTAGAAATGTGGATACATACAGCTGTAGTTACAGATACAAATATAGATATAACCTGCTAAATCTATATCTATCCCATATAACATATATACATGTTATATGTGTGTGTTTATATATATATGTTTATGTCGTGAAAGAGCTCCCTTAATATTTTTCTTTTATTTCCCTTATAATTTTAGGTCGAGCTTGAATTTTCCTTGTATAAACAAGCAAATATTTATACTAGTATTATTACTGATGTTTAGACATTGTATCTTATTTTAGCGCTGAGTATTTTCACAATTATTATAAATATTATCTAATACTAATAATGTACCTGTTAAAAATATCTAAAATTTTACCTTTGAATTATTTTATTGTTGAATTAAAATTCTTTTAATATGATAGTCAATTTCTATGTTATGCTTTCTCTATGCATATGCAAATTAATGTATCCACTTCTCTATCTCTATGTAGTAACATATGAAAATCAGGCCTCTCTTCTTCTAATGGACATACACATGTTTGCATATAGAATATCAGACTCTTTATAGCATTTAAAATCTTTAAAGACATGAATATTGCCTTTTAACAAATATATTATAGCATGTACTGAGAATCCCCTATTTATTTTTAATTTGGGCTAATCAATATGATTATTAATATTACTGGATTACCAAATTTGGAAACACACTTTCATCCCGAAGGTGGATTTTTTTTTTTTTTTTGCCAATTTCTTGTCTAATTGTTTCAAATATTGTTGGATATTATTTGTATTTTATTTGGCATTTTAGTATCAACATTTGTAATTGAGGTACTCTACATATTTTTTCATCAATATCTGGTGGGTTTCATAGTTACTGCTATATTGGATTTGTAGTAGACATTGACAAAAATTATTCCTGTATGTTTTATAGCTGTATGAAGGAAACTAATATATTTTACCCCTAAATATATTTCCTTGATATATTTCAAAATGGCTATTGAGAAGGGCTGGAAATGCAATGTTAGCTGCAAAGCTGTCTTGGGGAGATTTGCATCGGTAGAGAATCTGCCCTGATGCAGCCAGGTTTTCTCTGAGGTCTGCCCCCTTGTCTGGATCTAGGAAAGGTTAACTGAGAGGCTGAGGTCTCCAAATGTCTGAAAGAAACATTTTCTGTCTATTCTCTCTGAGGACTACTCCCAGTGAGATTCCACCTATGTAATAAGTCCACTGTTGCTAGCCAGGGTCGTTTTCTCACATAACCTTTTTCTTTCTTTTCCCTGTGATCCAAGACCCCATTTTTCTGTAAACTTCATGTGGTAGATAAGTTTCTGCACGCATCGTGTGACTGGGTCTTCGTTCTAAGGGTTCCAGTGTACACACATTGCAGAAACCTGTATGCCTTTTCTACTATTTATCTGCCTCCTATTAGTGATTTTCAGGGAGACTTCAGAAGGCAAAAGGGACATTCTCCTTTAGCCCATTATCAGACAAATTCCCCCAACATTTAACTGATTCCTAATAGCTTAAAATCACTTTGAAAAATACATATATTTATATCCTTTTCTTCCCTCAATGATTTCCGGTCAGCTTGGGTTTTGTTTTTCATTCCATTTACTTCATCCTCGAAAAGATCTATTTTACGTCTATTTATTCTCATTTATGGACATGGAGAAAAGAAAATAACTTTCATGTGAGAAATGCAAGTCCTTTGAAATAATCAGGCCCAGAGAGATATTCAAATGACACAGCAGTTCTGTCCTGCTCCTCTTTGAGCTGTGTGTTCATCTAGGCTGCTTGCTGTTGCCACAGTAGCTATGAATTAACCAATAACGCCACACCAGACACTATAATCCACACCCCATAATAGTGTAACCGTGTATAGCCAGTCACTAATAAATGTTATTTCCATAAGCCAATGAGAATTTGTGACAAACCTCTTTGCATCATCCCACTTCTGGACCCTTTTTTACCTTTAAGAAACTGCTTGTTGCAAAGCTCCAAAGGGAGTTCACATCCAAGGATACTTGGGTCTGTTTCTTCCAGGCAGCTGTCCTCACTGTGGCTTAAGTAAACTCTTTGAATTACGTTTTGTGCTTCAGCCCCTTCCACTTAGATTAACAACATGGATTTGTGTCACCATGTACAGCAATTAAAATGTTTACACTTTTCCCCTCGAGGGCACTGATGTGTTTTCCTGAGCACTTGGAATAGCTACGTAGTGTTTCCTGTCTAGATTATGGTTTCTCAACCTTGGTGCTACTTACCTTTAGGACCAGAGGATTCTTTGTTGTGGGAGGCTGCCCTAGCAATGCTAGGTGTTTCTTGTGACCTCTAAATTTCACACCTCCACCAGTCTTGACATCCCCACGATAACCCTAGACATTGACAAATGTCTCCTGGGGAAAACTCTCCACCAGTTGACAGGCAAAGTTCTGGAAATATTGGAATTGTCAATTGAGATTTTATGTTATCCAAAACAAATATTTTTCTTTGTTTTTAAACATCTACTTCCATCTACTTATCTACTTATTTTTACTTTTATTTGTAACTTAATTCCATCAAGGAGAGAGAGTGCATTTTCTGTTATGCTAAATTTTTGAAGAATGTATTGATATTTTATGACCTGATATATGGATGATATGTAGATATTACATGTTTGTATTATCAAATTTCAGGGTGATAATAAAATAAATACTTATAATATTTATATTGTCACTGTATATTAGTTATTTTCTTTCTTCACTACAGGAGTTTTTCAACCTATAGGCTATGTTTCAATTCTAGGTTATCCAGTAGATTTTGAAATGTTCTGATTAAATATCTACTTCTCAAGCATTCATCTTTGCAAATGAAACGATCCCAAGCTCTTATAATACACATCATATAAAGGGCAGATTAGTCAATGTATGGTTCAGAAATAATTATGTAATATTTATAAGAAAATTAAAAATTTATATCCTTAACTCAGATAAGAATAATCCAAATTAAAATTGGATTTCATTACATAATTTAAAATGACACCAGAATGCTAGTAAAAATTATACAAAAAATTTATGTAATCTTATTAAGCTGTGGGACTTTATTAGCATAAATTCAAATACAGGAACCAAAGTAAGATTGAGAGCTATAGTCAAAGGTTAAAATGTACACATTATAGGGGCATGATTAAACTAATTTAAAGCATAATAACATGGAGAAATATTGCAAAACATACATTTTACTGAATTAATTGTTAGTATCTAATCATTTTGTGAGAACCAAATTAAAAAGTAGCTACACACGCACACACCCACACACAAGTGCAATACTGTCAAATAAACGATGTTCAGCTACACTAGAAATCACACCTGTGTTTTCTCCACAGAAAAGATTAAAAATCGCAATAATTTTTATTGTACATATGGAGGTAAAGATACTCAAAATATTACCCTAAAATACATTATTTTTTTGAGATGGAGTTTTGTTTTTATTGCCCAGGCTAGAGTGCAATGGCACAATCTTGGCTCACTGCAACTTCAGCCTCCCAGGGTCAGGTAATTCTCCTAGCTCGGCCTCCCAAGTAGCTGAGATTACAGGCATGCACCACCACACTCGGCTAATTTTTTGTATTTAGTAGAGACGGCGTTTCACCATGTTGGTCAGGCTGGTCTCCAACTCCTGACTTCAGGTGATCTACCCACTTCAGCCTCCCAAAGTGCTGGGATTACAGGCATGCGCCTGGCCAGCTTTTTGACATATTTCACGATGGCTACTCGGAAGACTGGAGATAGCTTCTTCTACAAGAATAGCTGAAAAGCTGTGTTTGTTGGGGAGATTTGCATTTGTAGAGAAAATCTGCATTGATATAGACAGGCTTTCCCTGAGATACTCCCTTGTCTGGGTATAGGAATGATTAACTGAGCCTGGCACGTTTACATTTCTAAAAGCCATTTCCTATCTATACTTCCCAAGAGGAGGGCTGCTCCCTGTGAGGTTTCATCCATGTAACAAGACCACCTCTGCTGCCAGGCTCCTCTTTCTTCCTTGTCGTCACCTGTCTTCCACAAAGCCTGATTTACCAACCTACAGCTCTGTGTTTTCTGCAACCTCAAGACAGCATAGGCGTGTTGACTACCTTGCCTTTCCTGGAGTTTTTATATAAAGAGTATATATTTGTATATCTCTTTATAATATACAAATATTTGTATAGATATAATATATATATTATGTAAACTCCAAGTGCATACTTGTGCACATATCTGTAAACCTTTTTTTCCTGTTAATTTGTACATTATCAGTTTGTTTTATAGACTCAAATAATTAAAGCTTCAAGGGAAAAATTTAAATTTTCCTATAGAGAAAAGACAAATATATAGGTGACAAATAATATTTAGAGTGTAAGACGCTTTTTAAAGGTATATTTGCAATTTGTGTCAAAACATTGAAATGTACATTTGTTATTTTAACAATAAAATTTCAATTAATTTAAGCCAAATACATAGTATATGCAGAAAATTTAGCAATATATCTATGTAGCACCTTACTGTGAATTATTGTAACCAGCCGTCTAATATAAAGAATTAATTAAGGTAGCAGCTGCTTTCCAAATAGCGCATTTTTTTCACAGACCTATTAAATAAGACAAATAACATTTAAACTTTATTTTTAAATTTGCAGAATAGTAGTTTTCAGCAGATGGTTTATTTTAGCAAATTCCATCTTCACATTGTGCTATGCTTTTATGAGTTCCAGCTGTTAACGGATACTATTTTACTGCTGAAACTATCATGTGTGATATAATTGTTCATTATGTGCCTTAAAACACAAGCAATATAATTATTTTCAACTTGGAGCAAATTAAAATCTTATCAGCAATTTAAAATCTCTAGAGTCATCTTCTTCTGGTTAATTATTTTAAACTTGTATTTTTCTCTTTATGTTTTTAGTGAGTTCTCTTATCAAGGAGAAGATCTCAAGGTGATTATTCTTTTTTTTCTCTTCCATGCACCTCGCAGGTGTGTTAATAATTTCATTTCTCAGAAAATATTCTTTCATATCTATCTTACAAGATGAGAGACCTTTTAATATCTTCCATTCGGATGTGATACCAGTAATGGAACATATTTCAGCTTCATGAATATGGTGATACAAATAGTTATTCATCTAACCTCTTTCAGTGCCAAATGTTTACTATACTCAGTGAGTTACTCAGTTGACTGGTAATTTCTTCTGAAATCACTAATGAGAGGATCAGAGGTCTGGCTGTGGTCTGTACCTCATATGACTCCCAGTGCAGACAATTGTTTCTATGGAGCACAGACAGTTGAAAGGATTGACTTCCTGCCTAGAATAGTTTCTGCTGTGCTTCTTATCCTTCTTGTGGAGATTTCAGATTACCTGAATTGCTTTTCTATCTTAAGAAAAAACGCAACGATTCTCCCACCTGAGAGGAATGTAAACTGAAGTAAGTTAACAGAACCAATCCATAAAGTTTTTACATTGTTTGTTGCAAAATGCAGCGCTGGTGTCTCCATCACTAACCTTTTCTATCCCTCATTGCTCTTTCTTTGACTGCAATAGGATACCTCTATGCAAATCTGTATTCCCGAGACTGAGTGCCCTTTTGGTGAGCTATAAGCACACTCAATGGTAGGCTGAAATACTAGTTTTTATCTATGGCGAAATGGAATCATATCAGTGAATTTTTTAAAAAGGAAATTTAACTCTTGCTATGGTTTGAATGCTTGCCCCTTCCAATCTCATGTTAAAATTTGATCCCCAATGTTGCAGGTGGGGCTCACTGGGAGGTGTTTGGTCATGGGTTTGGACCTTCATGAATGGATAAAACTCTCCCTTAGAAATCTAAAGCTATCCTCCCTCCTCGGTGCCCTCAGGAATGAGTGTACCATTCCTTATTCACCTATGATTACCCCACCCATCCTTTTTGAGATATTGATTACATGTATGTTACACTGATGCACATTGTCTGACCTATGAGTGAGTTTCTGGTTTTCTTATTTTAGTTTACCGTTTGTCCTTTAGTTTGTAATGCTTCTAATTTGTTCTATAAATGTTCTGATGTTAGGGTAAAATCCATTACTTATTCTATCTCATGGAATTTTTATTTCAAGTATTTATTTTTCATCTATATATGTCACATTTTTCATTTTATAACTTTTATTTTTCTCCTATATTTAATTTTCATTTAAGTACCTTGACATATATATGTATTTATCTATATGTATTTATAAAATATATTTACTTTAAGGATCTTGAAATTTCCTTCTTTTCTGTCATTTATAAATGACTTATTTTTATCCTGTTAATATATATTTTAATTATATATGTCTTACAGCTTCTTTGCATTTCAGAGTTTTTTTTGGGTATTTTGATGTTATGCTATTGAATATCTAGATTTTATTGGCTACCTTTGAATAATGTTGTGACAGGCAGTTCAGTAACTTCAGGATGAGTATTTGTCTTGTTTTAAATCTTCTCTTTAAACTTTGTTGAGTTAGTCTAGAGCCATCTGTAATTTGGAGCTAAATGAGCACTGTCACTAGGGCATGAACCTCCAGTGGTCTTTACTGAATATCCTGGAGGTACAGAGGGGATTCCCTTCTCTGATTAGAATTTGGAATATAAAGAGAAAAGAGAAAAATAGAAAGCTATGCATAAACACGTGCATTAAAATGAATTTTATGTGGGCTTTTTCATGAAAATGTTCCTAAGGTATTTTATTTTTTTATTGTGGTAAAATACACATAACATAAAATGTACTCTGTTAACCATTTTAAGTGTACAGTTCAGTGGTACTAAATATAGTCATAACATTGTCCAGCCGTCCCTACCATCCATCTCCATAATTCGTTTCATCTTGTAAAACTGAAACTCTATACCCATTAAACAATACTTCCCCATTTCCTCCTCCCCCCAGCTTCTGGCAACCATCATCGTACCATCTCTATAATGCTAATCAAGCATAGTGGCTGTGTTTCTTGCTTCCTCTAGTCCGCAGGTAGCATACAAATGTAATAAACTACTTATTCATGTCGCATCTATTTATTTTCTGCCTTATACCAAGCTTGTGGGATTCTCTTAAATACAACATTTTTATACTTACACCTATGCAATACCCATTAGCATCGCCTTCCTAAATCAGGGGAAATTGAGCTTCTGTCAGGTGGAGTAACTTCCTAAGATATAAAACTCAGCATTGAAGTCTGTATACTTCAATATCCTGCCCTCTTCTCATGTGTCTTTACTGCCTTTTATGTATGTGTTAGATGTTCAACAAATTCTCTTTTTTAAACTGAATTTAAGCCGTGGAGCAGTGTTTTGTTGAACAATAAATATGATATAGGACACTCTTCCTCCTTTTCATGTATGATCCTGTTCATGAAAAAGAGAAATTCTTTCATTGTGCTAGAAGCTTAAAATAATGAAAATGCCACTTTCTACATTAAACAGAAACTGAAGGGAATCAAGGTGAATTGCATGAGACATAGAAAACAAGTGGGAAAGAAATCTAGTATAATTTGCCCTTTGTGTACCTTTATTATTTAGCGTTTGAGTAAATGATTCCCCCAAATATCTTCCCATCTCAATTCATGTCTATAAAGTAGACGTTTATGTCTCACCTTGTCAAGAAGGGCAAAGTCTAACATAAACATTTCCCAAAAATGCTTCCTGCTAAAACGTAAGCTCAGTCTGGCTAGAAATGCAGCTCACTTCCTAAAGATTAATTGGTAGCTAATTTTGCATGCTGTTCTCTGAACTTGAGTGTAACCTGTCCGTCAGGCATACAGGGAATGACGGGAAAGGTGACAACAGAAGATGAATGCTATGTCACTAACCTTCAAAGATGACCTGCCTTTTCTTTCAAATTCTTGATATCTTATGACTTCATTAATTCATCTCTCTTTTCCCTTGGTTCAACATTTTGCTATACCAAAACTCATGTGAGACAATGACCTAATGTAATAAAAATGGCATTTTTCTTTCATGTAGTTGCAAGCTAACTGGCATTTTTACAATCCACATATTTCCTTTGTCAATTTTTCATTCTGTATTGGAAGTAATTGATGGGTATTTCTGAAGGGATGAAGGTGTTTCTGTGTTCATTGTGATCCAAACTATTTCTAGACCTAGGGGCCTTTGTAAACAATTTGTGCCCACTGACCAAGGATCACTGTGGCAGAAAGCAGCAAACTTGCATAAGATGTCACTGCTTCATAGGTTGGCTTTGAAAACTAGGGGCTTACTCTATACTCTTATGAATAAAAGACATTGATAGATGTAGTATAAGATTACAATCATATTTTCCTTTTGACAGTCACATTATAAATCAAGATGTATTGCAATTAATCTCAATTAGCTGATCACAATTAAAATTAATAATGTTTATTATTGCTGATAAAAATCATGTCTCTCCTGTTCTCAAATGTGCAAGTAATTCTTGTAATTTTAATACAAATTTGCATATTATTATTAATTGATTTAATCTCATTGGATTTGGTTCATGGATCCAATTTATTAAAATATTGATAATGGGATAATGAGTTGTCTCCCCATTTCATGTGCATTAAAAACAACATTTCTTACAATGGTCTGCAAGCCCATCATCATCTGCCGCATGTTAACCGCCAAAATTATTTTATATCTTCACCCTTGATCTTACCAGTGGTCCTGGCCACTTCACTGTCCTCTGGACATACCAACATGCTGCTGCCTTACGATCAAGACTCTAGTTAATTTTTTGGCTTGGAAAGATAGCCCACCATATATCCATTGATCAGCTCATTCAACTTCCTCAGGTCTTTACTGAAACTTCACATTCTCGATGAGGCCTATTCAGTATTTCAAACTGCATCCCAGTTGCAACATTCCAAAACCCCTTACTCTTCTGTGTATTTTTGAAAGGATTTATTGAGATATAATTTACATAGTGTAGAGTGCACACATTAATGTCTACAAGTCAGTGGCTTTTAGTATATGCACAGATAAGTGGAGCCACCATCACAATGAATTTTAGAGCATTTTCATCACTTCAAAAAGAAACCCCACCTTCCCTAGCTGTTAACCTCCTATGCACCCATCCCCTACTCAATCCTAAGCAACCACAAATCTGTTTTCTGTCTCTATAGATTTTCCTATTCTGTTTTCATCTAAATAGAATCGTACAATAGGTGGCCTTTTCTGCCCGGCTTCGTTCAGTTGGCATAATGCTATCAAGGTTCATGTACGTATTGGTACTTTATTTCTTTTTATAACTGTATAACATTCAATTTCATGGATATAACATTTTGTTTATCCAATAATATTTTTATTGACATTTGAGTTGTGTTCAGCCTTTGGCTATTTTAGGTACTGCTGCTAAAAATACTTGTGTACAATTTGTGTTTGAACACCTCTTTCCAATAATCTGGGTGTATACCTAGGAATAAATTTCTGGGTCATATGACAATTCTATGTTTCATATATTTAGAAGCCATCAAATTATTTTCCAAAGTGGTCAGTTCTAGCCATAGAGTATCTAACTGTGGTTTTGATTTGTAGTTGCCTGAAGAGTGATGCTGTTGAGTATATTTTTATGGGATTATTGACCGTTCATGTATCTTCTTGGGAAACACATCTATTCCTATCATTTATCAGTTTTGAGTTGGGATATTTGTGACGGAGTTAAACCAATTTTTCTATATTCAAGATACATATATATATACAGACATATAGATACGTGTTTTTCAAATATCTTCTCACAATTTTGGAGCTGCCTTTTGACTTGCTTGGTTGTCCTCTGAAACACCGATGTCTTTAATTTTTAAGAAATTTTAAATATCTAATTTTTATTCTGTTGCTCATGTTTTTGGGGTTACAGCTATTTCTTTGCTAGATCCAAAATCCTGAAGATTTTCCCATATGCTTTATTCTACCTCTTGCATGTGTGTCTTTAATTCATTTGAGTTAATATTTTTGTATGCTTTGGGGTAAGGGTTCTAATTTATTATTTTGCAAGTGGTGATCCACGTGTACGTTGTTGACCCAGTGTGTTCAAAGACTGTCTCTTCCTCATTGAATTGCACATGGCACCACCTTAAGAATCCATTGACTGTAGACACATAGTTTTATATATGGACTCTCAATTCTCTTCCATCAATCTATATATTTTTCCTTCATCAATGTTGTGTTGTCTTGATTACTGATACTTTGCAGTAAGGTTTGGAGCATGGGGTGTGAATTATCCTAATATGTTTTCTTTCTTCAAGATTATTTTGGCTATTTTGAGTCCCTTACAATTTCATGTGTATTTTAGAATCAGCTTGTCAGTTTCTAGACACAAGTCTGTTGGGATACTTGCAGGGATTTCATCAAATCTGTAGTTCAAATTGTAAAGTACTACAATATCAAATCGTCCAATTCATGGGTGTAAGGTGTTTACTAATTATTTAAATATTCTTTAAACAATAATTTTTAATTTTCAGAGTAAAATCTTGTATCACATTTTCCAAATTAATTAATATTTCCTTTTTTTATGCTATTTTAAATTGAAGTGTTTTCTTAAATTCATTTTGGGGTTTTCATTGCAGATGTGTGCAATTGATTTTTGTACATTTACCTTGTCTGCTGTAATATTGCTGAAATAATTTACGAGTTCTATCGTTCGGTGGATTCCTTAAAATTTTCTATATACAACAATGTTATTTTCAAATAAAGTTTTATTTCTTCCTGTTCAATATGGATGACTCTTATTATTTTAGTTGCCGATTTGCCCTGCATAAAATCTTTAGTACAGTGTTGACTAGAAGAGGTCAAAGTATATATCCTATTCTTATCTCTGACCATAGCGGGAAAGCATCCTTTACCATTAAGTTGCCTGCTTGCTGTTGGCTTTTCACAGGTGCCATGTATCTGGTGTAGAAAGTTCTCTATTCCTGGTTCATTGAGTTTTTATTTTTATTTTTAATCATTAAAGCATTTGGATTCTGTTAAATGTGTTTTCCGAATCTATCGAGATGATCATGAATTCTCTTTTCTTATTCTATGGATAAGATGTATCACCTTAATGGATTTTGGGCTGTTAAACCAACCTGGGATTACTTGTATAAATTTCACTTTGTCATAGTGTATAATTCTTTTATATGTTGCTAGATCTGATTTGTTAGTATTTTTTAAGGAATTTTGCATTTATACTTATAGTAGTTTTATTTTTCTATGCTATTTGGACTAATTTTTGTATCAAAGTAACACTGGCCCCACAGAATAAATTGGAAAGTGAATATTTCTCTTTTTTAAAAAAGCTAGTCAAGAATTAATATCAATTATTCAACACTAACAAATATTATTATTATAAAATATTAATTTCTCTAATTTTAATTTTCTTCCTTCTGCTTGCTTTAGGTTTAGTTTGCTATTCGTTCCAGTGCCTTAATGTGGAACGTCATCTTATCTCATCCTTTCCTTTGTCTTTTCATTTTGTAAGTAGTGTCTTGTTAGCATCAGGTGAGCTCCCCAGGTTGGTAGTACTCCATGTTTGTTGCTGTACAACAATGACAGGTAATATGTCCTGAAGACAATGGAAACTTAACCTTCAAAATCTCCTAGATTCCACCTTATATGATATGTCTCTTCTATTGGTCCTAATTTCTACCCTTTCTCTATTATAAACCATGAGTACAATGGCATTCAATGAGTTCTGTGAGTCTTTCTAGTAAATTCTTGAAACTGAGGGTGTTCAGGGGAAACCCCTGAACTGGCAGTTGGTGTCAGAAGTGAGAATCTTCTTACATGGCCTCTTCCTTTGAACTGTGCAGCTGGACGCAAACTCTGCACAATTTGGGCCAGAACTCTCGTGTTGACTTTGTAGCCTAAAGTATCTTGTAGTTTGTCTAACCCTCAATAAATTTGCTTTCATCAAATATTGTATTTGTTACCCCAAAATTACCATCACGTTTTTTTTTCTCCAAATAACTAACATAGGAGAAATAGCCAGCTGAGTTTGTAACTCAACAGAAATAAGTGATCCATATACCATATACCATATAAGTGGCCATTTCATTTTGCCTTCTTCCACCAAATCTTAGCAACCTCAACCATTACCATGAGCCACTGTAGGCCTACCAGCTACAAACAAACGAGTATCTTGTAAAAACACTTCATACTCCCATTTGATAATTTTCCCAGCAAAGAGATGCCTACTTTAACTCTATGCAAGTGGCTCATATTCACGAAGTCTGTAGATATTATTCATGTAGAGTGAGAAAATCATCCCAGCGGTGCCAGCACATTCTCCTTCCCATGATCTGCTTAGTTTGCAAACATATTCAGGCCATGGGTGAGAGATTTGTATTTCACAGTACAACAATTTTATGGAGGGCATTGAAACTTACATTGAGCATTTTAGTACAGTCACACATCACTGAATGATAGGGATACGTTTTAACAGATGTATTCGTAGGCAATTTTACCATTTTGCAAACATCACAGAGAGTATTACAAACACCTAGATTGTACAGCCTACCACGTTTAGGTTATATGGTATAGCCTCTTTCTCCCAGGCTACAAATCTGTGTACTACATTACTGTACTGAATACTGCAGGCAATAAGAACACAGTGGTAAGAGGTTATGTATCTAAACATAATTAAACGTAGAAAAGTATGTAAAAATATCTATTATAATCTCATGGGACCACTTTTGTATATGTAATCCATCTTTGACTAAAATGTTATTATGCATGACATGACTCTATGACAAAAATAAAATAACACATTGTAAAAAAATATACACAGGTATCAAACATATTAATATTGTAAAAATAAAAATATTTATTCAGTGTAAGAATTTGTAATGATCACAAAATGTTCACAGCTTATATTTTAGTACAGTTTCAAATGCCTAGTGCAATTGCTATTTATTTCTGTATTTTAAACATGTATATAATAAATATTTTTCAGGTTCAACAATATATATCAATCCAACTGGCTCTTATAAATATTAGTTAACATCAATTGGTAAATTCATATATATATATACACACACGTGACTCAGTCTGTATGCGTGTATGTGTGTGTAAATGTAACTGTATGTGTGTGTAAATGTAACTGGATGCATCCTAATATTTACCCTTACCTACAAGATTTCCAAGACTCATTTATTCTCTTTAAATGGTGTGCCTTGAAAGATTTACCAAATAAAACCGCAATCGTGGAATATATCAAGATGTTATTAAATTCATCTTGTGCACATAATTGTTTCTTTAAATTTATGTTTCTTGCAAAACTTGCGGTAATGCTCATGCACAAAATAATTTTCTAAATAAAAAATAAAAACATTTTCTCAGTCATTAATTCTTAAAAAGTATTTCTCCCCAGTAATTAATGTGAATTAATTCTTAATTCTTAATTATAGAATAATGTTGCCCTTCAGAGTTCTGAATCTTTTGCACGTTGTATACATTTTACTGACTGGAACATCTTCTGGAATATTGGCATTAATTAATCTCACTCAGCAATTAATGATTTCAAAGAAATTAAATACCATTCATATTCTGAATCACAAGGGTACTTTGGCATCTAATTTAATCAAGCTCTTTGTATCATCATCTACACTTTAATTACTTAACAAACATTTCTCTGTGTGAGAAAGATTGAGCAGGTTATTGTGCTTTTTTATGATGCAACTTTTGCTTAATCTAGAGATAGGCAATGCTCCCTATAAGGGACAAAGAGAAAAATGAAAGAGCAATAGAGATGTGACAGGCATGGAAAAAGACAATACATTTATAAAACAAATAGGGCCACAGATGATGATAATGGGGATCAAATCTTGAGATACTGACTCAGTTTATAACCGCACTGTACAATAGAGCAAATCATTTGTTAATTATTTTACAAATGGAATCTAATTTAACTAAGATGAATACAGTGTTTTAAACAAGGCAGGTCATCTTAAAATAAAATAGTGGGAAAAGTGATAAAACCAATGTAAAAATCATAAACATTTTATAAAGAATTTTTGTCATGTAATTTAATATTTTTCTTTATTTAAAATCACCCAAATCAAAATAATTTTATCTTAATTAACAAATAATCATCGGAAGTTAACTAATTTTTACTTTATAATACTAGGTTTAAAAATTCTTCACTATATTTTTAATCATACATGCTTATACATAAAATAGACATAGGGTATATGTTTACATGTTCACAATATTATATTGTAATTGTTCCTATGGATGTGGTTTTTCAATAGAATTAATAAGTACTTTTAAAAAGTTTCAATTTCAATGATATATATGTTTGATTTTTCTTTGACAAAGCATACATATATTGATAGGTAATAATAAGAAAATCTTCTAAAGACATTACAGGAACATGAATAAGTAATTAAATCCTCAATAATTTGTAACGTTTTATGTAAGCGGAACACATTTAACTGAAAATTGCTTTTATATAATACTCAAACGAGACTAAAAACATATTAACTAGCGGAGTAAGTCTTCAAATTGATAATCTGAACTATAAAAGAGGAGAAACTTCAAGCACTCAAATATTTGAAATGCTACAAAATATTTATATAAACTATTATTTAACAATTTCTGTTTGTAGAGTGCTATAGAGTAATCGATGTAAATGACATCTCAGTCTTTCTATAGCTTTGACCACATTTACCTCCTAATTTTAATTATTAATATGTTGGAGCAGTGCATACAACTAGATTCCGATCTTCCTTTTTAATGAGTAAAAATATGTCCTTTGAGACAGCATTAAAGAAAGAGCACCTTGTATAAATTCAATGCCAAGAGACAAGATATTCTTGATGCTGAAGTCTTGTTCTTTTATACAGCAATGTAATTAATAAGAAGAAGAAAAGCAGGACATAGAGATGGAGTCTATTTTCATCAAAAATTGTCTATAGATTTTGATGATAAAATTTAAAACTCTACTATATTTAGTTAGTCACAAAAAACGAGGTTGTGGGAACATATTTGGTCAATAAAACACCCCTACCAAATGCCGACAAGAAAAAAAGTTAGGTACCACCTTTCTTCTCTGCAGATGGCCTGAGATGGGTTAATTTGAAAGAATGCTTCCAAACCTGAGGTGACCCCTGAGAACAGCATAATCCACTGCTGTCTCCCACATTCAGTTTCTCAGTCTGTGCTCTTTTAATTTTGGGGGGAGGGAAGCCAGTCCTTTAAAGCGATCTTCAGCATGATGGCAGAGCCAAGGAGTGTGGACAGGTGGCACGGTGTCTGATTTTGTTCCAGCAGCCACTTGGGCTTTCTTTGGGTCTTCTCTGCGCTCGGGATAGCACTACTATTGAAAACATGTCTTTGTGACATTCTCTATGCCAGGAACTCCAAACATATTTTCCTTGAAACTGATGAAATGAAAAAAAAATAAACCAAGAGGTGTGCTGTTTGTTTCTGTTTCCTCCTTTCTGCAGCCCTTCTTGATCATCTAATATTTTTAAATACATTGTCGATCACCAAAAGGAGCATAAGGGCTTTATTGGTTTGTAGCAGATGTATTCATAGCCCAGCCCCTATTCCTTAGCTGTAGCTGCTGGGAAGAAAACCATTCTTAACACTCTACAAGGTCTCATCTCCAGAATTTGCACCAGTTTCTAGCTGAGGACTTTCTCTAGCAGCACGGGAGCTTGTTACTGGGCATGAAGTGGGAAGAAAAGGTGAGGGTAACTAAGAAGAATCTCCCTGGATTCAGTGATGTAATTCTGAGGCATGCTCCACATAGCTTCCCATAATATTAAGCCCAGATATCTAACACAGGAACTTACCTCTTAACACGTGTGGTATTGGCTTTTCTGTCTTTCCTGTTTTATTTTGTTCTCTTTTCCTTGTCTCACTTTCGCTGTGTCCTCACTCCTGCTTTAAGAATACCCAAACAAATACGTTCATTTATTTTTTTAGACTCTCAGAACACAGTTGATAGTTGAACTTGTAATCTATGATAATCAGCTTGGATGCTGTATTGACAGGAAGATGGTGAACTCACAATGTCTAATTAAGATACAATTTAAAAAATATATTGAATCATGTCCAAAGACTTAAAAAGCCTAAGCGGCAGCGTCACAGTTTCTTCTTTTTAGTTTGCATGGTTTCTTAAATGCCTACAATTATTTTAAAGGAAGCCTTGAGTCTAGGAAAAATTGAGACATATGGAATAAATTACTAACCCATTTCTCCTTGAAATCCATTAGATGTTTGATGATTCTTCACATATATTTCTGAACTGAAAAGCTAGTTGGGAATTATTTTTATAAGCATATCCTTATGTAATATATTGTTTCTAAGAGTGAATGGAAGGTTTAAAGATTAAATTATTCTATCCAGAGAATAAAAAACAATTATTTCACAAGGAGAACATGTGTATGTTGACACGACATTTTAAAATCTAGATTTTAAAATAGGTCCCATATAATTTTGAGTCAATTAGAATACGTTTGTATCAGTCTGTCTACAGTTTTACACCTGTCAAATGTTACTTGAACTAAAAGAAGTACCTTGAACAATTTTGAAATTTATTATTCCTCTGAAACTGATGAAAAGAATGACGGTAGAGTGAAATTTGGATTGGCATAATTTAGGAGAGAAATTATTCCTTGGAGATCAACCTCTGCCAAGATAGTTTACAATGACATTGATACTTTTTGATTTACACAATTTGTTATATAAAAAATACTAAGACGATGACAGATAATACACAGACTTTAATTAAAATTGTACTAAAATTAAAAGTCTAAATAAATTACAAGTGTACGTGGTACACCTAAACGTATGTTTATATATTTTATTTGTGCATTTTATTCCTAGGGTTCCTTTTGCTTTAGTTTGTAAAACGTTCTTATTTTTATGGCAGTGTAGTATATACTAAATAAAGAAAAATCAGGAAATAGAAAATGAAGAAGAAAACATTAGCTATTGTCAACCAAATAAAAATTGTGCAATCTCTAAGTACATGAACGATGTATTATTTGTACAGCATGTACAATGTTTATGCTTCACAGGGTGAGGTAGAGACTGCAAAACATTGAACCTGGGACAAATAAGAAAGAAAGGAAATTTTCACAATATATTAATATTACAGAAAATGTTGAACTTAACAGTTAAGATACAAGTAGTGAAAAATGATAGTATTTAAGGAGATCTAGAAAATGTCATCCATACCAGTAATGTGTGAGAAGTATTAGAATAATGCTTGTATTTCTGGATTGGCATCGATTTCTATTGAGACTGGAAACATACTAGAAGTGAGCAAAAAAGAATTTAAATAGTGGATACTTGAGTTTTATACCTAGGAGTTCGAGAAATACATTTTGTTACTGTCAAAGCAGTTGGCACAAGAGTGTACAAAATTCCCTAATTGTGTCTATGTGGTGAAGACATAGACAAACAGAAAATAGCAAAACAGAAATAGCAAAAAAGCACAAATAAATTTTACCTGTATTTTTTACGTAAAAGCCAATTAGAGTAGGAAAACATGAAATTTGTGTTTTATCGAAATTTTTCTCTTATAGTATAGTTGATTATATTACTGGAAAAAAATTGAAGCATTGGTATGTTCACAAAAAAAAGTAAAAGATAAGGTTAAAACCATGGGAATGCAGGGAGCAGACAAAATACACCTAAACACTGATACTGATTTTGCCCTACGGACATGTAGCAAAATGAATGAGTGCAGATTCCTATGGTCATACATCACATAGGACAGTAAAGAAATACATAGTGTTTCCCAAGATAGGGCATCACACAGGAGCTCTTCCCTAAAGCTAGCACCAAAATTTATCTCCTCAGTATAAAGAAGAATCAGAGGTAAATTAGTCTCATTTCACATTCCCTGGAAATGGCAAATAAAAATGACTTGAGATTGGACAGATTTAAAGAAACTCAATCATTAATGATTTACAGCAATTAATTTAAAAATTGTTTAAATGTGCTGTCCAAACATACGTCCAAACACCTTTAGGCCAAGAATTAATATAATGTGGTCCCAGAATGGTGGTGCCTTTAGTAGACTCACAAAAAATTCAAATTCTCTTTGGCAAATTTTCTTCTTACTAATATGCAAAAGTGCACAATAATAATTTTCAGAGAAAAATAAATCTTTGTCATTCAAAGGCATCTAAGTACGCAAGGAAATGATATTCCACCATTTGAAAGGAAAGCAGAAAAAGAGTACAAACAGATCCACAGAGGTTCATTAGTAGAAATATCACTGTTAGATTATAAAGCACATTTGCTTTCAAAAAATTTAAAAAAAGGAATATATTTTTAGGAGACTAAAAAGTTGATGTAGTAAATTTGAAAAGTAGTTTGTATATAGTATTTTAAATTAAAAACTCAAAAATGAACTCATCAGATTAGACATGGCCATGGTGAGAGCTCATAAATATTTCAGAATGCATTACAGAAAATTTAAAAAAAGGCACAATGTGGACAGAATCATGAAGAGACATGGAAGATACAGTGAGAAAGTGTAGCATGTGTTTAGTGAGTGTTCTCATAGAGGAAGGGAACGGGGAAGGGACAATATGTGATGGTATTTTGGCTGAAAGTTCTCTAGAGTTCTGTAAGACACTAATCCACATATTCAAAACTTCTATGCATGCTAAGCAAGCTACGATGGAGATAAACCTACATCTACATATCTCCTAGAGAAATAGTAAACAATCAGGAAGGGAAAAATATTTCAATTAGCACTAGAAAAATCAAATTACCTTTAATCATATTGAAATCTGAAAGCATGAAAGGTAAAATAAACAATATTATTTGTTAAGAATAATAATGCCATTCTGAAATTCTCAACCAAGAAAAATATTCATCAACCTATGGCTAAATCACATATTTAGAGACAAAAAACAAAACACCACCAGCAGAATTCCACTAAAGAAACTCAAAGGAAACTCTGAAAACACGCTTCAGAAAGATTGAAGTTCTGAAATCAAAGAATGAACACAGAGCAAAATATATTGTAAACATAAAGATAGATCAAAATAGAAAATTAGGTGTTGAAACAAAAGAATATTTAAAATTAGGTAAGCACTGCAATATGTATGTTAGGAAGCAAATTATTAGGGCTGAAGTATTCAAAGACCCCTTAATTGTCTGACAAGAGCAGAAAGGTATGACTTTGCAATTCTTTTTTTTTTTTTTTTTTTTTTTTTTTTGAGAAGGAGTCTCATTCACCCTTTCTCCCAGGCTGGAGTATGGTGGCGTCATCTCCGCTCACTGCAACCTCTGCCTCCCAGGTTCAAGCAATTCTCCTGCCTCAGCCTCCTGAGTAGCGGGGATTACAGCCGCGTGCCACCCTGCCTGGCTAATTTTTGTATTTTTAGTAGAGACGGGGTTTCACCATGTTGATCAGGCTAGTCTCCAACTCCTGACCTCGTGATCCACACGCCTCGGCCTCCCGAAGTGTTGAGATTACAGGCGTGAGCCACTGCGCGCGACCGACTTTGGAACTTTAATAAATTGACTGGACATTATGCATTTCTCTGTTGTATCTATGAAAACAATAAAAATAAAAGTCATAATTTTAAAACAAGAAGACAGAAAGTGATAGGAGAAAATGAGACATTTTATATATATATATATATATATATATATATATACACACAACAAATTACTAATACAAAATTAAGTATAAATGATCAAAGATTAACTTAAACCTAAGTAGACAATGTTTTTGTTAAAATACAAAGATTGGCAAAATTTAAAACATCCATCTCTATCATAGTTACAAGAGACACAGCTAATATATAAATTTACAGAAACTTTGAAGTTCAAACAATACAGATACTGTGTATATATGATATACATACAAACACACTACATTTTTTAAAAAGTTGCTATGTAGACCAAATAGAATGTAAGTTAGAAACATTTATTAAAATAAGTTAGTGTAAACAGTGTGATAAAAGTTTTAAGTTATTAAAATGTGATGACTTCAATGTGTATTAGCCTGATACATACATATATATATACACACAAACCACACACTCTCTCTCACACACACAGACACACACGTATTTAGAGAGAGTCAAATTATATAAAGCAAAAATATCAGAAAGTAAGTAGAAATGGATAAGCCCCCAAATATTATAGACATTTCAAACACACGTCTTTCAGTAATAGATAAAAGAAAAAATTAAAAGAGTAAGTTTTAAAAGAAGCTAGTGGATTTTAAAACGGGCAAATATTATATAAGGAACTTGAATATTATAATTCATGTTATTTTCATGTTCATACAGAATACTTACAAAAATTAACATTTTCTAGACCATACCACAAATTCAAACAATTTTCACGGAAATAACGTGACACAGAATATATGTCCTAAACAAACAGCAATGAAGGCAGATATCAATACAAAAACGAAAGTTAGAAACATAAGTGTAATAATATTGGTTGGAAGCCATTTTATTGAATATTGAAATATTTTAAAGGTGAATAGTCACTACAAATAAACCAAACACTTTTGTGAGGCCACTAAGATGCATGTGTAATGTGTAATGCCTCCTTTTATAAGGAGTAAATCTGTAACATCACCTGGGCTATTTGACAACTGCAAAGTGAATGTGAGAAGGAGAGAAACAGTGAGAGAGAGAGAGATAAAAGCAGTAAAATAAACCTAAAGAATGAAGGAGATAGCCAGGCGCCATTGTTCACGCCTGTAATCCCAGCACTTTGGGAGGCCGAGGCAGGTGGGTCACCTGAGGTCAGGAGTTCGAGACCAGCCTGGTCTAACATGGTGAAACCCACTCTCTACTAAATATACAAAAATTAGCCTGGCATGGTGGCATGCATCTGTAACCCCAGCTACTCGGGAGGCTGAGGTGGGAGAATTGCTTGAACGTGGGGGGTGGAAGTTGCAGTGAGTAGAGATCACGCGACTGCACTCCAGCTTGGGCGACAGAGCAAGACTCCGTGTCAGAAAAAAAAAAAACAAAAAACAAGATAGAAAAAAACGAGGAAATAGTACACGAAAAAGCAGAATTAAAGCAACTGGGTATATATTTAAAAATGCAAAAGCTCACTTTTTCAGAAAAATATTAAAATATTAAATCTAACAAATATCTAGGTAGACTGATGGAGAAAAATACAGAAAATGCACAAAAAAGCAATTACCTGGAATGCGAACGTTACAAAACGTCAGCAGTTGTAGATTTTAAATAAGCAATGATTTTTGAGTTCAACCATGATGGGGTATATTGAAAAGAATCTCTCAGAAAAAAAGAAAAAGAAAACTGTTATAAAGCTATGTACAAAATGTTAAGCACTATTAAAGTCTTCCAAATCTACCAGTTACGGAGTTATTGGTCTTGGACTAAGACTCCTGAAAAGAAAAAAAACAAACAAAATAAGACAATACCTAAAAACCTGGATAAAATGGCCTACCGTGGGCACTGGCAATGCATCCAAGCAGGTAGGACCTGGGTGCTACATTCTCTTTGTCAGAACACAAAGCATTCATACACTCTTCTCACCCTCACTTTCACCTTTTAATCTTTGATCTACTATTAAATGTATTCAACATTACTATCAATCCTTTGCTCAAAATTTCTTTACTCACATTTTGCTTGATGCACTTGGATAGACTGTTCAAGAAAGTGTGAGTAGTGAATTCCTCAAACTCTTGCATATTCAAAATCACATTTTTGAACCTCGATGCTTGAAGTGTAGCTTGGGTAACAGATGGGCTTTAAGCCAATTTTGGCATGCAAGGGGTTGAGTTTATTAGGCATCAGCACCGCTGAAAATCGTGGGGATGCAGGCTTAATTTCAACACTATTCTAAATACTTGAAAGATATTATATAAGTCTTTAATAAACTCCTGTGTCTACAAATGGTTCACATTAACTCAATATCCATGATGAAACATCTATAAAATCAAGGCACTGTTATTTAGTGGAGACTTGCTGGCTATTCTATGAGAGGAGGTATTGTTATTGTAATCTCATCATCTCATAAAATTGTATCATATTACTCATAACCAGCCCTTCATATTCTATTCCTATTTTGGTATTTTAAAATAAGATATCTTTGAAATTCTTGAATTCAAAGAGGGAATCTGAATAATTTTTAAAATGTCAATGAAATGCCATTTCTTCATGCTTCAACAACTAAAAATTGACTAAAGTGCTTCTCTTCAATCTTTCTGGGACATTTTTTATCTAAATTCTAAGAACAATCACAATAGGTTTTAACCACAAATGTGAGAATATTCTAAATGTTAGGGTGGAAAAAATTTTTAAATATTTTATAGTAATTTTTTTCATCATAGTGACAGTGTGCTAAATTTTTTTAAGCCAACTATTACTGTAGACATTTAAGTCAGGATTCTAAGAAGCTGTTCTAAAGTCCAAAATTCAGTTTCATATACACTGATATTATATATATATTTGCTTAAAAAATTAATACATGTGAGCCGTGTTTCAAATAGTTGAGAGATTATTATATCAAAGATTCTTGATTATATAAAATGCCAATTACTTATAGGCAGACATGCTTTAAATAATTACTAAGGCAGTTGTGGTTGATTCTACTCTTGCTACTGGCATTTATATGGACATACTATTATGGTCTGAAGAATATTTAGGCAAATTTATCCCTCATATGATCAGAAGAACAATGCAAGATAGTTTATATCTGAAAGGAAAAAAATCTTTATATGGTTCTGAAAGCGTAAATCATTAACAACTTGGATAATAATTAGCATAAAAATACACAAACATGCCCTCTTCCTAGCAGTAAGTACACAGTGACAACAGAATCAAAGCATGTGGCTATGTGCATGTTTATATTTCAAGACGCAGAGCACTCTATTCCTCCTCTCTGCCCTTTCTAGATGGCACAATCCCTCATAAATCTAAGTGCAGTCATAGGGTGGATTAGGGTGACCTGCCATTTGTATGCAACTGATCTCTAGTTTGGAAGTAATTAATGTCAAAATATATTTTTAAAAGGTAATTTCAAATTTCAGGGCAAACTAGCATGGTTTCGCCCCTTTTCTTTGGAACATTTTTTCTAAGGTTGGAAAAGTAAGGTAGGCTTTAGTACGATTTTAAATAATAAGTTTTCAAAGTGAGACGCAAAATGGTGGCGCCAACACATTTCAAATCTGCTACATTTTGAAGACACTTATTGGAGAAAAGACCTTCTCATCATTTTTCTCTTACAGGAAAGGAAATAACACGTACGGTTGACCCTTAAGCAACACGGAGGTTGGGGTGCTGGACCCCCTGCACGGTAGAAAATACACTATAACTTTGACTCCCCCAAAACTTAACTACTAATAGCCTACTGTAAGCCTGACAAATAACACAGTCAATTAACACATATTTAATATGTTATATGTCTTATATACTGTATTCTTAACAAACATGCCAGAGAAAAGAAAAAAGAAAATCATAAGGAAAATAGATTTACTAGTTATTAAATGGAAGTAGATGATCAAACAGGTCTTCATCCTCATCTTTCTCATGGGCAGGATGTGGATAAGGATGTAGAATTGTTGGTTTTGCTAAGTGGACGTGCACAGTTCAAACCCCTGTGGTGCAAAGGCCAACTGTATAGCCATTGAATAGCAATTTATATTTAGAAATTAACCTCACTAAAATACTCTTAGGAAGATGCCCAGAAAAAAAGTGAATAAGAATTTTTGGTTCATCTATTACATCATTTCATTTCATTATTTCATTTCTTTTCATCATTTCATTTCATTTCCTCATTTCATCCTTTCATTTCATCATTTCATCATTTCATCTCATTTCCTCATTTCATCCTTTCATTTCATCATTTCATCATTTCATCTCATTTCCTCATTTCATCATTTCATTTCATCCTTCCATTTCATCATTTCATCTTATCATTTCATCTCATTTTATCATTTCATTTCATTCTTTCATTTCATTTCATCATTTCATCTCAACATTTCATTTCATCATTTCACTTCATCTCATCATTTCATCTCATCATTTCATTTCATCTCACCATTTCATTTCATCTCATCATTTCATTTCATCTCATCATTTTATCTTTTCATCTCATCATTTCATCATTTCATTTCATCTTTTCATCTCATTTCATTTCATCAATTCATCATTTCATCTCATCATTTCATCTCATTTCATTTCACTTCATTTCATTGTTTCATTTCATTTCATTTCATCACTTCATCTCGACATTTCATTTCGTCATTTCACTTAATCTCATTTCATCTTTTCATCTCATGATTTCATTTCATCTCATTTCATTTCATCTCATTTCATTTCATCTCATCATTTCATTTCATCTTTTCATCTCATCATTTCATCATTTCATCTCATTTCATTTCATCATTTCATTTCATTTATTTCATCATTGCATCATTTGACTTCATGTCATCATTTCATATCATTTCATCATTTCATGTTTTCATTCAATCATTTCATCATTTCACTTATTCATTTCATTTCATCTTTTCATTTCCTCATCATTTCATTTCATCCTTTCATCATTTCATCTCATCATTTCATCCTTTCATTTCATTATTTCATTTCATAATTTCTTCTCATTGTTGCATTTTGTCATTCCATCATTTCATCATTTCACTTCATCTCATCATTTCATCATCTCACGATTTCATCTCATTTCATCTCGTTTCATCTTTTCATCTCGTCATTTCATTTCATCATTTCATTTCATCTCATCTTTTCATCTCATTTCATTTGATCATTTCATCAATTCATCATTTCATCATTTCATTTCATTATTTCATCATTTAATCATTTAACTTCATTTCATCACTTCATTTCATTTCATCATTTCATATCATTTCTTCATTTCACCATTTGATCTTCTCATTTCATTTCATCATTTCATCATTTCACTTCATTTCATTTCATCATTTCATTTCCTCATTTCATTTCACCATTTCATTTCCTCATTTCATTTCATCATTCCATTTCATCATTTCATTACATTTCATCATTTCATCATTTCACTTCATCTCATCATTTCATCATTTCATCTCATGATTTCATTTCATCTCATTTCATCATTTCACTTCATTCTTTCATTTCATTTCATCATTTCATCTCAACATTTCATTTCATTTCATCATTTCACTTCATCTCATCATTTCATCATCTCATGATTTCATTTCATCTCATCATTTCATCTCATTTCATCTTTTCATCTCGTCATTACATTTCATCATTTCATTTCATCTTTTCATCTCGTCATTTCATTTGATCATTTCATCAATTCATCATTTCATCATTTCATTTCATTTCATTATTTCATCATTTAATCATTTAACTTCATTTCCTCATTTCATTTCATTTCATCATTTCATATCATTTCTTCACTTCACCATTTGATCTTTTCATTTCATTTCATCATTCCATTTCATTTCCTCATTTCATTTCACAATTTCATTTCATCATTTCATTTCATCATTCCATTTCATCACATTTCATCATTTCATCATTTCACTTCATCTCATCATTTCATCATCTCACGATTTCATTTCATCTCATTTCATCTCATTTCATCTTTTCATCTCGTCATTTCATTTCATCATTTCATTTCATCTCATCTTTTCATCTCATTTCATTTGATCATTTCATCAATTCATCATTTCATCATTTCATTTCATTATTTCATCATTTAATCATTCAACTTCATTTCATCACTTCATTTCATTTCATCATTTCATATCATTTCTTCATTTCACCATTTGATCTTCTCATTTCATTTCATCATTTCATCATTTCACTTCATTTCATCATTTCATTTCATTTCCTCATTTCACCATTTCATTTCATCATTTCATTTCATCATTCCATTTCATCATTTCATTACATTTCATCATTTCATCATTTCACTTCATCTCATCATTTCATCATTTCATCTCATGATTTCATTTCATCTCATTTCATCATTTCATTTCATTCTTTCATTTCATTTCATCATTTCATCTCAACATTTCATTTCATTTCATCATTTCATTTCATCTCATCATTTCATCATTTCACTTCATCTCATCATTTCATCATCTCATGATTTCATTTCATCTCATCATTTCATCTCATTTCATCTTTTCATCTCGTCATTACATTTCATCATTTCATTTCATCTTTTCATCTCGTCATTTCATTTGATCATTTCATCAATTCATCATTTCATCATTTCATTTCATTTCATTATTTCATCATTTAATCATTTAACTTCATTTCCTCATTTCATTTCATTTCATCATTTCATATCATTTCTTCACTTCACCGTTTGATCTTTTCATTTCATTTCATCATTCCATTTCATTTCCTCATTTCATTTCACAATTTCATTTCATCATTTCATTTCATCATTCCATTTCATCACATTTCATCATTTCATCATTTCACTTCATCTCATCATATCATCTTTCATTGCATTATTTCATTTCATCTCATCATTTCATTTCATCATTTCACTTCATCTCATCATTTCATCACATCATTTCATTTCATCTCATCATTTCATTTCATCTTTTCGTCTCCTCATTTCATTTAATCATTTCGTTTCTTTTCACCTTTTCATCTCATCATTTCATTTCATCAATTCATCATTTAATTTCATTTTTTCGTCATTTCATCATTCACTTCATTTCGTTTCATTTCATCATTTCATACATTTCCTCAATTCATCATTTCATCTTTTCATTTCATTTCATCATTTCATCATTTCATTTCATTTCACTTCATTATTTCATTTCATTTCATTTCACCATTTTATGTCATCATTTCATTTTTCATCATTCCATTTCATCATTTCATTTCATTTCATCATCATTTCAGCTCATTATTTCATTTCTTCATTTCATCATTTCGTTTCATTTCATCATTTCATCATTTCATTTCATCATTTCATCATATCATTTCATTTCAGTGATACATGTATTTAATTGCTAATGCGATGCCCAGGAGACACCCTATTTCCCTTTCTAAAACACCTCCTTCAACAAAAGGCAACTTCTCATGGCTGGCTAAGTCTACAGGGATAGCAGCCTCTCCTCAACCACCCAATTTCATTTAAAACCTCAAACAGCACCTCAGTTTCATAAAAACCTAAAACATAAACACAACACTTGGTTGTAAGTGAGCCGACAGTTTCTTGTCTCTTTCTCTGCTCAAGGCTTAAGGCTGTGTCTCCCCAACTACATTCAGTGGAAGAGAAGATCCCATGGACAAATAAGTTTGAGAATTGTTGTTGCAGGAATTCTCAGAACTTTCAAAACACAAATCTTCATCCGCAGGGATCTTCAGGAGGGAGATGGCTGATGCAGCACAACTTTCTTTCAGAGGAGTATCTTGCAGAATACAGTATGAGATACAGAAAGGCTGCATTGAGTCTTTTTAATGGCCCGGGCCTTGGTGAGGGTGGGGTAGGAGCTCTCCAGATAGCATCTAATGAGTAGGAACATTCAGGTGGCTTTTTTTTTTCCTTATTCGCAAAACTGTGTGTACACCATGAATGAAGCTGGTCTCCCTTATCCACGTCAAAACTAAACCTAAATTAATTGGCTAAATTGGGACTCAACACCTCCAGGAGCCACGCGGCAGAAAGCCCCAACACACTTTAAATTAGCTTGCCTCATCATATTTGAGGAAAGCAAAACGCTTATGACCAGTATGCTGCTAATACAAGTCTACAGATAATGCTGTATGAAAAACTAGTTTTCCCAATCATAGCTGGCATAGTCCACATTTTGCATTACACTTTCCCCCCCCTTTTTTTAAATTTTAAACACAGGTCTTTTTCTCTTCTTTTTTTCAATTTTAATTAAATTATACAAGACAGAGTCTCAGTATGTTGCCCAGGCTGGTCTTCAACTCCTGAGCTCAAGCGATACAACCGTCTCCGCCTCCCAAAGTGCTGAGATTGCAGGCCTGAGACACTGTGCCTGGCCTTAAACACAAATCTTAATTCATTCTTACAATTATTCTGAGGTTACAAAAATGGAAGGGGAAGAAAAATGGCAAGTAGGTAGGCTGACTTCGGCTTCATTATTTGGAAGGACAGTTTGCTCGGTTAAAACACACTACTGCCTACAAAGGCCAAGACAACAGAAAAATACAGACTTACATAAATAGATTTTATATGTGACAGCAGTTTGAATGGAGACTTTTTCAATGCAATGAGAAACAGCTGTGCTTGGGAATAAATGACAACGAATTTTTTTTATCTCAACAGCTGTCCTGAGAGCATGTCTCTACATCTCTACCTGCATTCTGGAATCAGGGAGAAAGCCAAAACGGACGACAAGACACTAGATCAGCCGTGTCCAACCCTTTGCCTACAAGGACTTTTCCACCTATCTGTGGTGGTGGGTAGCATGAAAATTATGCACAAACCTTTTTTTTTTTTTAACCCCATCAGCTGTTTTAGCATTAGTGTATTTTATGTGCGGCCCAGGAGCATTCTTCTTCCAATGTGGCCCTGAGAAGCCAAAAGACTGGACACCTGTGCACTAGATCAAAAGGCTACTCCTTCTGGAAGCAATTGTAAAGAATTTCTGACATTATCTTGACATGAAAACCAATGGGTAGTGGGACAGAATGCAAAATCTTGAAGAATTTTTCTTGTCTTTTTTTTTTTTTTTTTTTGAGTCACGGTCTTGCTCTGTGGCCCAGGCTGGAGTACACTGGTGAGATCAGAGCTCAGTGCAGGATCAAGTGCTCCTCCCGCCTCAGCCACAGTAGTAGCTGGGACTACAGATGCGCACAACCACCCCTGGCTAATATTTTATTTTTTGTAGAGATGGGGTCTCACTATATTGTCCAGGTTGGTCTCAAACTCCTTGACTCAAGGGATCCAGGAAAGGATAACAGGTGGGAGCCACCACACCTGGCTATGTGCATGAACTTTTAAGACAAACACAAGGCCCCACAAAAGTTAAGGTTTTTCCCACCTAATTTCCAGGGGGATCTTTTGGTGCAAGGCTGAGAAGCCCTTAAAAGTACACAGACAACTCCAAAGATTCAAGACAGTTCATTTGGGCTGAGCCAGCCCACTGGGCAGACTGACCTTCCAAAAAGACCCACCCATGACATACACCAGATGGCTCTCCAAGAATCTCTTCAGTCCTCAGGGTCCCTAACGTACTGGACAGAGCTAGGAAAGCAAACCCATTTGCTTCTTCCTGCAGGAAACCCCTTGAGGTTAAGACCCCACAATCACATGAGGATGGAGTGGCTCACCCTCAGTCAACAGGCCAGACTCAAGGTGGTATAATGTCTTAACCACGGGTGCGGGCCTCCAGGTCTGACTCCCAACTCAGTTCTTCTTTAATAACCACACTTTGTTAATTTTCCTTAACAGGGGTTCCTGGCAAGTCATTTCTCCCTCAGGCCTTCGGTTTCCTCACCTACAAGATGAGAGGGCTGGACCAGATGGAAATTCAGGGGGTAAGGGGATGTCCTCACGCAGCCCACCCCCACCCCCACGGGACCCTGGAGCCTCCATCCCAGTTCCCACCACGCACCCGCTCCACAAATCCTGCCCAAGGTGAGGGCTGGTCCTGGGTCCCCTGGTGCCGCATCAGCGAGTGCAGGAGGGAGGGGAAGCCTCCAAGGGGGTGACGTGGGCTCAAAGATGCAACTCGGCCAGGAGTGAACTGGGGCCCCGAAGGAGGTGTCCGGGCCGCTCCTGGAGCCCAGCCCGGGTCCCCGAACCCCTTACCTCCAGGGTCTGTATCTCCTGCTGGGTGAGGTCGTTGGACACAGCGCACTTGGTGCACAGCCCGCACAGGCTGCCAATGAAGATGACGATGAGCTTCTGGAGCTGCCCGCACTGCTGCAGCGCCCGGCTGGCCGCAGCCCCTGTGCCACCCTCCGTGGCCGCCGCATCACCCCCACCACCGCCCTCCTTCTTCTCTCCCATCGCCTCCACAGGCAGCGCCACTCTATGCAGGCCACAGGGGCCTAGGCAAGGAGCCTGGGGCGCCGGCGCCTAGGCAAGGAATCCCTGAGCCAGGAGAGCTGGACCAGGAGCACCCCTCAGAGCTGCCCTTGCCAGGACGCCAGTAGAGCTGGCAGCCGAGTCTGCCGCTCCCGCCCTCAGAGCCGTGGCGGCGGGGACAAAAATCCTCGGCGGCGGGGGCAAAACGCCGCGGCGGCGAAAAAGTCGCTGCGGCAGGGGGACAAAAAGCCGTGACAGCGGGGCGCAAAAAGCCGCGGCGGGTAAAAGGCCGTGGCGAGTAAAAAGCCGCGATGGCAAAAAGCCGCGGTGGGCAAAAAGCCACGGCGGCGGTGGGGCAAAAAGCAGCGGCGGTGGCGGAGGGGCAAAAAGCCGTGGCAGCGAGGGGGCAGAAAGCCGCGGCGGCAAAAAGCCAAGGCGGCGAGTGTGCAAAAAGCTGTGTCGGCGGTGGGGCAAAAAGCCGCGGCGGCGGGTGTGTGGCAGAAAGCCGCGGCGGGCAAAAAGCCGCGGCGGCGAGGGGGGCACAAATCCGCGGCGGGCAAAAAGCCGCGGCGGCGCGGGGTAAAAAGCCGCGGTGGGCAAGAAGCCGAGGCGGGGTGGAGGCAAAAAGCCGCGGCGGCGGGTGGCAAAAAGCTGCGGCGGGTAAAAGGCCGCGGGGGCAGGGGGGAAAAGCCACGGCGGGGAAAAAGCCGCGGCGGCGGGGTGCGAAAAGCGGCGGGGGGCAAAACGCCTCGGCGGGCAAAAAGCCGAGGCAGGGTGGGGGCAAAAAGCTGCGGCGGCGGGTGGGTGGCAGAAAGCCGCGGCGGTGAGGGGGGCACAAAGCCGCGGCGGGCAAAAAGCCGAGGAGGGGTGGGGGCAAAAAGCCGCGGCGGCGGGGGGCAAAAAGCCGCGGCGGGCAAAAAGCCGAGGCGGGGTGGGGGCAAAAAGCTGCGGCGGGTGAAAAGTCGCGGGGGCAGGGGGGAAAAATCCACGGCGGGAAAAAGCCGCGGCGGCGAGGGGGCAAAAGGCGGCGGGGGGCAAAAAGCCGCAGCGGCGGGGGGCGGGCAAAAAGCCGCGGCGACAAAACTCGCAACGGCGAGGGGTCAAAAAGCCGGGGCGGACTAAAAGCCCTGGCGCCGGGGCGGCGGGGGCGCAAAAAGCCGCAGCGGCGGGTGGGGGCAGAAAGCCGCAGCGGCGATGGGGCAAAAAGCCACGGCGGCGGGGGTAAAAAGTCGCTGCGGGCAAAAAGTCGCGGCGGCGGGGAGAAAAAGGCGCGGCGGGCAAAAAGCCGTGGCGCAGGGGGACAAAAAGCCGCGGCGGGGGGTGGGGAAGCCACGGCGGGCAAAAAGCCGCGGCGGCGAGGGGCACAAAGCCCCGGCGGGCAAAAACCCGAGGCGGGGTGGGGTCTAAAAGCCGAGGCGGCTGGGGGTAAAAAGCCGAGGCGGGTAAAAAGCCGTGGGGGCAGGGGGGAAAAAGCCACGGCGGCGGGGGGGCAAAAAGCGGAGGGGGGCAAAATGCCGCAGCAGCGGGGGACAAAAAGCCGCGGCGGCAAAATTCGCAGCGGCGAGGGGTCAAAAAGCCGCGGCGGGCTAAAAGCCCTGGCGCCGGGGGGCACAAAGCAGCGGCGGGCAAAAAGCCTAGGCGGGGTGGGGGGAATAAGCCGCGGCGGCGGGGGGGCGGGAAAAAGCCGCGGCGGTGGCGGCGGAGGGCGAAATAATGGAGATGGAGTGGAAGGCCGGCACAGCTTGGCATTGCTGGAGTGCGATGTGATAGGAAATGTGCAGCCAAAGACAAAAAGATGTAAGTAGGCTTGACTCATTGAAGCTAAGAACCCAGATGTTATCTTGAGGGTATTAACTAATAAGCAGTTTAAATCAGAATGGCACATTCTGATTTGTTTCTTGTACGTTCACATTTGGCAGGCATAGATACTGTTTGAAGAGAGAAAAGTCAGTAGAGAGAGGTAACAAACTTAAATATGTGCCAAGTCTAGAAACAAGAGACCAGGGGGATAGGGACCTTTCAAAATAAAATGCAAGATTTGAAAACTGATTGGCTGGGGGATGAGGAAAAGGCAGGTCTTTAAGGTCCACCCCTGTTTTGCTTTAAGTTGTTAGGGGGTGGTTTTATCACATGTTGTAGAATATGTCATTTCAGTTTTGAACATCTTGAGTTAAATTGTCCTAGCATATCTTATGAATTTGATTTTCTTCCCTGGAAAGCTAATATTTCAAACACTTAAAGAGTATATAGATTTCCAACTTGTATCCAGTTTATAAAACTATCTCTAGGCTGCTGATTTCAGGAGGAGGCTTATGAGTATTCTCCTTGCAGAGAATATATCAGGAGTTAACAGCAGCTTCAATATTTGTGGATGACCGGTTAACTAAGCCACCTCTTAGTGTCTTTAGTTGGGAAATCTTAGCTGAAGATATTCAATAATGAACCAAGAGTGACTAAGAAATTCAATATTTAAGTATATTTCATTGTAATTAATTTGAATTGAAGTAGCCATATACAGCTAGTATTTACTATATTGAACAATGCAAATAAGAGGAAAAAATTAATAACCATCTCTAATACCACAGGCCAAAATCCTCATCAATTTATTCTAGCTAAAGGAGTTGATCAGAAGCAGCAGTTGAAAGCACCAACTAAACCCAGCTGGGGTTAGTTCACTGTCATTCTCTCAGAACCGTCTCTTCTCTGAACAAAACAAGTACAAGAGTTCATTGTGAATCTGCATTCTCCTTGCCTATTTTAAGGTTTTGATGTTGACGCAAATTTGTGAAATCCCTCCTGTGGTGTGATATTTCGTTTTCCTTGCTTTGTGTTAGGACAAGAATGCTTCAGCTCTTAATTTAAAATTATGTTTCTCCCTCCTAGGTTGAGTGAACTTAGAATGCATTCTCTGACATATCCAAGATTTTGTTAATATGAATTTCGGGATAAAAGCATACTTAATTAGCTAAGACGTCTTATTCTAAGCTTGACCCTATGTTCGACATCTTTTGAATTTCTGGTTGTGTGGGCTGCTCTCTGACACTGGTTAGTGACCTGGAAGCTCTATTAATGTTAGGGGAGGTGGTGTATGAGCATTAGAGGTATCCTTGCAAGGAAAGACTTGTCTTATCTCAATACGTCTTTTTTTTTGCACACAAGAAAGTCAATGTCTGAGTCTTCTAAAATCTTCCTATTTCCAAATTGCAGATTATGATTGATTCCTAAACAAAGACCTAATTTTTGACTCAGAGACGTGGCAAGCTAGTGAATCACCGTTATAATTTAACAATCTTCAAGATAAAATTATCTCTGATATTTAGATTTTGCCCAATTATTAAGATATTTGGGTGTTTCGTTAAGAATGGAAAACTCTAGTCTCTTGAGCAGAGACTATAAAGGCCTCAGATGATCATTTTTAATTTTATGCTCTTTTCTTTAACACCTTCAACACAGTTGGAAACAGCCGATATTCCGCAGAGTTGTTGTGTTTTTTAAACCAAATGCATGGTTCAGTGGTAGAAAACTGGGCTGATCCAAGCTGTTTTCAGTAAACACTTCATTTCAGGTGACCCATTTCATATTAAATAATCTCTAGATCCTGTCTTCGAAACTAACTAGATCAGATAAACTACCCTGGATTTTCTCTTTTTAGGGTCTGAGAGCTGCAGTCACTTTTGTGAACATGATTACAATGACAAGATAGAGTTGTAGATGGGGAAAATGTTTTGACTAATTTAAGCATAGTGGTATTTCATATGAGAATTTAAGTTACACACATTTGAAAATTATAATGGAGTCTCTTGGCTGAGCTTTAAAAAGAAATAGCGTTTAGGCTAAAAAGGGAACTGCTACCTCTCCTAAAATCAGAAAGATGTTACAGTAATTCTCCATTCTCTAGAATTATCAAGAAGCACCTTTGTGATGATTTACTTTTGCTCTTGCGACTGTGAGCCCGTGTAGTCGTGGAACCATCAATTAGAATGGTGGCTTTCTGATCCCAAAGTCACTCGTTCTGAAAACAATATTTTTCATAAATTTGAAAGTGAGAAGTTTTGATCTTGCCATTCCCAAGTAACTCTCTTAATAAGAGGCATCAGCATGCTTCAGTGACAGCTGTCACCTTCCATTGCTGAGAGTCATCTTTGAGTTCTCTATTTCACTCCCTACACTCCAATTTAGCTGCAGTTCTCTTGGCCAGTCCTATGAAATACATCCATGGCCTAACGACTTCTCACCACTACTACCACTCATGCTGACAGCATTCTCACCTAAGTCACTACCTTTTTTCACTGGATTAGAGTAGCCTCCCAATTTATTTGCTCACATAACCTATTTATTCTACACAGTGCACCAGATACACCCCTTTGAAATGCAAACACAATCATTTTATTCTCTGGTGAAATTATCTCATATATTCCTATCGCATTTAAAATTAATTCAGAATCATCCCATGATTATCAAAACCCTACATGCTCTTCCACAACATGGTTTACTTCCAAGATATCTCTTCAACATTTTTTTCACTGTACTGAATTGGTGACTAATAGTCATATTTTTGTTTTTGCTCAAAAAGTCTTGACTTGTAAATTTTTCAGTTTCTCCTTTATCCACAGGTAACTCTTTCCTGATAAGGCGAATTGCTTGCTTCCTTGAATTCTGCTCTCAAAGATACCCTTCACTTTCTACCTAATATTAATAACTTTAATCATTCATTATTCCATTACTATGCTCTATGGTGTATACAATTTCTGTTCTTTGTCATGTTATTAACTAAATTATTTATTGGGTCCAGTAACGTATTCCATAAATATTGTACACATAAAAATTGTGTTATTTTTATTCCTGTATGCTCAGCTGCCCAATAACAGTCTGAGGATTAACATATTTGTTAAATGCACAAATACATTCTTTCACAAATATTAGTTTAATAATTTTATATTAAACTCCCTCTATACTTACAATATGAATTAGATAATTCAGAATAAACATTCCATTGGAAAAAGCTACACAATTTGTTATAAAACATCCTTAAAAGCATCAGAAAATTAATACAGCAATGAAGAATTACAGGACCAAATTAAGAATGGCATGAAAGCCTGTTTGTGACGCTTATGTTTGGGTTATCTCTTTATTTGAGTGACTATAAATCTCAAAAGAGAACTAAAGGGAGAAATAACCGTATCTACTAACACGCTAAGGGTACTTAAACATCTCTTAGTAATTGAGAAAATTGAAAGAAAAGAAAAAAGAGAAAGGGAGAAAGAGAAACAGCGAAAGGGATAATGAAGGAGAGAAAGAAGAAGAGAAAGGAAGAGGAAGAAAAGTAAAAAGGAGGAGGAGGGGGAAGGAAGAAGGCACAATCACAGCTCACTGCAGTCTCGACCTTCCAGGCTCAAATGATCCTCCCACCTCAGCATCCCAAGTAGCTCACACTACAGGCACCCACCACCACACCAAGCTAATTTTTATTTTTTTTGTAGAGATGGAGTCTCACTATATTGCCCAGGCTGGTCTTGAACTACTGTAGTCAAGTGGTCCTCCCACCTGAGCCTCCCAAAGTGCTGGGATTACAAGCATAAGCCACCATACTTGGTGAGATATGAATTTCTAGGAAAAAAAATCAAAATTGACTCAAAAAGTAGAAAAAAAACTTACATAGATTAAATATATTGAATCAGTAATGAAAAAACTTCCCATAAAGAAATTTCCAGGCCCAAGTGCCTTCACCAAAAAGTTCCATGAAACATACAAGAGAAACAAACCAACCAACCAAACAACAACAACAAAAAAAACTCTGCCACCAACACAGAGAATAAAAAAAGAAGACTCCCGAGTTCATTTTACAAGGTTAAAATAAAAATAACCTTGATATCAAAACCCAACAAGGCAAGTGCAAGAGAAAATATTTACAGGCCATCATTATTCAACGTGGATCAGCAATTATTTTTAAGATGTACTGGCCAGGTGTGGTGGTCATGCCTATAATCCTAGTATTTTGGGAGGCCCGAGTGAGAGGATGGCCTGAGCTCAGGAGTTTGAGACCAGCCTGGGCAACAAGGCAAAATCACGTCTTTATAAAAAATACAAAAATTAGCTGGGCATGGCAGCACACCTATAGACCCAGCTATTCGGGAGGCTGAGGTGGGAGGATCACTTGAGCCTAGCAGGTTGAGAATGCAGTGATCCCTGATCATGCCACTGTGCTCCAGCCTGGGCAACAGAGTGAGACCCTGTCTCAAAACAACAACAGAAAGATATGCTGACCGCCTGTGATGCTGGCCAGGATGGCGTATGCATGCTACGGCCTGTCATTTCCACTGATCACAATTTGAAACTCTGGACAAAATATAAATAGCAATGACCCAAGTACTCTGAAAAGTAACCAGCAGACAGGTTGGGAAACGTCAAAACCTGAAGAATTATCTGGATGGTGGTGGTGAGAGATCATATTCTGGGTCATAAAACAAACCCTAAAGTTAAACAATTAAAATTCAGTGAATTATTTTCTCTGATGACAGAATTAAACTAGGAATCTAGAACATTTCTAGAACATCCCCAAATATGAGAAGTTAAATGGCATACTTCTAAATGGCCCATAGGTCAAAGAGAGTATCTTAAGACAAATTGGAAAACAGTTTGAACTTAATAAATATGACATCATCTTATCAAAATATGTGCTTACAGGGCAATTTATGGCACTAAATTATGAGAAATGAAGCATCAAATCAATAATGTAAGCATTTACTTTAAGTAAAAAAAGAACCAAATAAACTCAAATCAGGCATAAGAAAAACAGACTAAATCAGTAATATTTAAACAAAAACAGTAAAGGAAAAAAATTCAACGAAATCCAAAGTTGGTTCTTTGCAAGGGCGGTGGGAGGTGGAAGTCAATCAAATGAGGAAGCCTCTAGCAGACTGACAAAGGAAGAAGAGAAAACACAAATTGCCAATACCAGAAATGAAAGGAATATTATTACAAATCCTGTAGACACTAGAAGGCTAGAATGGACACTACAAAAACAAAACAAACAACTATATGCTTCTAAATTCTACAAATTAGGTGAAATAGATCAATTCCTTGAAAGACAGACTACCGAAACTCAAGAAGAAACAGACAGCTTGAATACCCCTGTATTTATTAAAGAAACAGAAGTGGCACAGCACTTTGGAAGACAATTTGGCAGGTTCTGATAAAGTCAAACGTACATGGACCATGTGACTCGGCAATCCTACCCTTAGGCATTTGCACAAGTGAAATGAAAACCTATGCTCAGACAAAAAGCACTTTGTGAATTCCAATCCACTTATAATTTATCAAAAAGTGAAAATAGTCCATATTCCTCCAATGACAAACCAATAAGCAAACCATGTAGTATTTATACAATGGATTACTATTTGGCAATTAAAAGGAATAACTGTTGATACAGTATATGAAAGTAGCCAGACTCAAAAGGCTACATCCTGAACGATTCCATTTGTATAAAATTCTGAAAAAAAAGCAATGCCAGAGGAACACAGATCAGTTATTGCCAGAAGTTTACAATGGAAGGTTTTACTATAAAGGGCAAGGTAATTTTTGGAGTGATCATATAATTTTGTAATCTACCAAAAACAAACATAATAAATGGGCAGATAAGTAAAGTTCATGGATTGGAAAGTTCAATATTGCAAAGGTCTCCCAAAAATGACCTATCAATTTAATCCCAGTGGAAATTCCAATCAGTTTTGTGAAGGCTGCTAAGTCAACTCTAAAATGGCCAAGAATAGACAAGATCACCGGAGAGGAAGCAGGGAGGTGGACACAAATATCTTCTGATTGATGAGTGAAATCATTAGAAGGCCAGCAAAAATACAAGTAAGCCAGAATTTCTAAAGCACCACAAAAGAACACTAGTTAGTAGTGCATAAAGGTATCTCCTAAATTTGTTGTAAACATAGGCCTTTAAAAAAATATTAGAAACTGATATTTAAAGAGATATAAACTCATATTAATCTTTTAAAAAATTCTAAGCAAGGGCCTCACCTAATTTCATAAAAGGTTGCGTAGAACCAACCATTGCTGCAAACGATGTGCTGCCCTGAGATGTGAGGATCCCAGTGGTCCCTCTGGGTCAACAGCAGCTACCGCAGGTGAGCCCAAATTCTGATACATTATCTATCTACAATCATTATTTTTAACAATTTATATCAATGCTACCCATAAGGCACAGAGAAGCAGAAATGTTTATGTGGCCTCCTGCCAAAAACAATCACTTGCACTTATTTCTAGTACTCCAGAAGACAGTAATAGAAGTTTTTCAATTTAGAAAAACATTTACAGCAAAGAAAAAAATCTCTGTAAACTTCCTGCTTAACCAATCTAGTGAATTGTGATGAGCCATATAAATTCATTTAGCCACCTTATGAAAGACTTAATCCAAAGTCACTTCTAACTTCTAGAAGAGCTAATGTATTATAATCACAGTTGTGAAAGACTCAAAGGCCAGAAATGTCAAGGTGTGGTCTATATCCTAAGTCCAGAAAAAAAAACAAAAAGCAACATGTACAGGCCAAATGATTGCCAATTTCTTCTGCCTACGTCATCTTTCTTCACTATAGCCTGAAATTACATTTCATGTTTGACAATTCTCAGCAAGGAGACAAAACAAGCTTATGAGTAAAATAATAGAAAGCAGAGCCACAGAGAGGACGAGAGGCAGGAGTCATCTCCCAAGTCCAAGTTCAACTTCTATATTATTAGACAAGGCCTCAGTGTCTTTGAACTGCAAGGAATTAATATTGATTGTAGCATGAGTAAAATCTATCTTCTACTCATCATGAAAAGTCACAGTCGTTTTGTTTAAAGACTCCAGAATTATTATAGGCAGAAACAAGTAGGTTCCACACCTATTTGGTGAAACGAGGAATCAGGAATGAGCATTCCCAAGAGAATACAATTACAAAAGTAAAATCACCTAGAGTTTTTGGGCTGCTTAAAAAACCCAGAAAGAAGTGCCAAATGGGAAAATAATCAAATTCAGTGGAAAAACTCACTTGAAGGTATCATGGTCAGCTGGGTTTCCACCCCTTTGTTGCACTTCAAATCCTGTGTATTCCACAAAGACTTGCTCCTTTCTAAAGGCTATGGTTCACATTCAACAGAATAGCAGCAACCACCATGAGCCTGAGGGCTGGCTAGTCTTTAGTATTCTGCCTTATTCAAAGAAAGGATCATTTCCCTCATTCCTAAAGATCTCCCAGGTCCATCACAAAAAAAAAAGGAGCAGCAGCCAGGCGCAATGGCTCACACCTGTAATCCCAGCACTTTGAGAGGCCAAGGGGGGAGGATCACCTGAGGTCGAGAGTTCAAGATCAGCCTGGCCAACATGATGAAACTAAAAATACAAAAATCAGCCGGGTGTGGTGGTGTGTGCCTGTAATCCCAGCTACTTTGGAGCTGGGTAACTGGCAGAGGTTGAACAATTTGCAGGTCTCAGAAGACAGGAAAATGTGGGAAAGTTTGAAATTCCAAGAGACTTGTTGAATGGCTTTGACCAAAATGCTGATAATGATATGGACAATGAAATCCATGCTGAGGCAGTCTCTGATGGAGATGAGGAACTTGCTGGGAACTGGAGCAAAGGTGACTCTTGTCACCTTTGATAAGATGGTGGTTGAGGAGAGGTCTTGGCAAGCAGTGATGTGTGAATGTAGTGAGGGGCCTGAAAATGGAACTCAGAGAGGACACTGGGTTTTAGAGGCTGAAACTACAGAAAGTCCGCTGCGTTCAAGGCCTGCTTCCACCAAAATCTAGCAGTGTGGCCTCAAACCATTTCATTTCTCTTGGCCTCAGTTTCTACATCTGCAAAATGGGATTTATAATCCCACCCCAGCCCACAGAATTCAGAGTTATATGAGAAGGCTAGAAGAGCTCACCTACCAAGGGACTCTTAATGGCAAGGTGGGGAAACTGAGGCACCGAGAGGGCTAGGGCTCTGCTAGCTGTCACCCAGAGTCTGATGGACCTGAGATGAGAAACCAGAACTCCTGCCCCTAGTTCCCCCGGCTTTCCTCAGGCTGGGGAGTGAGTGCGGTGAGATAGAAAGGGCAAGCCCTCCTGCTGTTTCTCTCTGGACAGGGGCGGGATGCTGGGTGAAGGGTGAAAGGAAGAGGCTGGAGAAGGGAGAAAAGCTCCAGCTCACACTAAGTCTGAATTTTTTTAAAATGCGGACTCCGTGGCCCCTCCCTTACCCGCCCCAATCCTCTCTGAAGTCCTGGTTGTGAGGGGCCAAGTCCCAAAGTCTGCTGCTCCGCCTCTCTGTGTGCAGAGCCATGGGGCCTTCACAGGCTGCAGTGGGTCCCGAGCCCCCAGGGCTGTGCCTGCTGGTCCTGACCAAGATCGCGGCTGCCGAGGTCAGTCCAGCGCCAAGGGCACAGGGCCAGGGCAGGCGGGGCAGGGCTACCCGAAGCGCATAGAGGCTGCTGGTGTCAACGTGACGTCTTCTGGGGCGCCTGGCATCCCTAGGAGTGGAAGCCGCTGATGAAGTCAAAGCTGCCTCCTCCTTCAGGAAGACTTTGCTCCCATAGCTGGCGAACAGGAAGCGGAGCAGCGCCAGGAGGATCTGCGGGCGCTGCTGAGGGCTTCTTTGCAGGGACAGTGCAGCAGGCAGCCAGGGACAAGACTGCACGGCAGCCCCCCATGGCCAGGGGAAGCTCAGAACCGGAGTCGCCCGCTGCCCGGCGATTCTCCATCCCTGGATCGGTACAGGGGCATTTGGACGCTGTGGGGAAGTCGCGGTCTGGGGATATTGGGTCCAGCCTTCGGGTAGAAGCAGGTGATAAACGCACTCAGGCCAGCCCGGAGCGTCAGCCACACTGCGGTGCCCACGATGCCCAGGGTGAGCGCCACGAGGCGCAGGAAATTGGCTAGGGTGGGAGCTCACTGGTAGGCGGCCCTGGAAGTCAAAGATCTGCTGCTCCAGCGCTGCCACCAGTTGCAGGCAGCAGAAGGCGAGGAGCGTGTGGCACCCGCGTACTCGCCCATCGCTCCGCGGACCTCTTTATCCAACCTTCAATAATTATTCTTTTTATTATATTCAATGATTATTCTACTTTTCATAGAGAGCAGCTGTCAGTCCAATAACACACTTAACAAATGATATACCTAGTCCTCAAGGTTAACAAACACATGAAGACCAGCCCAACCCTGAAAATCAGTTTGCAAACCTTCGCTATATCTGATGCCATTCCTAAAAATTTTTAGGGACAAGTTTTGTTTGTGGTAAACAACATAAGGTGGGGTGTGTGCTGAGCCCAAAGCTGACCAATTGCTCACAATTACTCATAACTACCCATTGACTTGATTTTATCAAACTTCAGACAGTCTTGTCTCCTCTCCTCAGGCCCCTGGACCTTGGCTCACCACCTAAGACTGAACAAGCACTAAAGGACAGACCAGCCCGCTAACAGCTCACTCCAAAAATGAGCGGGACTCCCAGAGAAACTATTTTTATTGGAGCATCCTGGTTTTGCCACCTGCTCACCCCACTGCCTGTTCTTCTCTCCAAGGAGGCTTCTGCCAGCCCTGCTTGTCCTTCCCTAGAAAAGGAAAGCCTTTTCCTGTTTGATCCTGAGACACCTGTAGATTGAGTTTGGAATATTCTCCCTATTGCAATAGTATTTTTGAATAAGTTTTATTTTTCCCTACCTCTGGTTGATTTTTAATTAATACCAGTAAGCTTGGATGAAAGCCTGCACACCTTAGGTGTGTGTGTGTGTGTGTATGTATGTACTTTAGCATTATCATAAAGTAATAACAGTAAAATCAAACAAACACAGATGGATAAGCAATATGTTGGACTAGTATGAAAATGGCATTGCCAGCAGTGATATGATTTTTTTTTCAAAATGGTACACTTTTTGAAGTATAATCTTATTTTAACCTAAAATCTTACTATCAGAAAATGCAGTGTACATTAAAATGTTCTGAACTGCTTTTATTCATATATTAAATGGTTGTACTCAAATATCTACAAATTTGTTTTTCACTTATGTAATTGTCTTATAGAATGTTCAAAAGTCTTGCAGAATGTGAGACAATTTTCTATTGAATACGATCGCTTTATCATTGCAAGACATCAAACATCCCTGTTTCCTGCCAAATAAATGTACAATAGCAATAAATGTAAAGATGTGTTTTGTAAAAAAGATATATTTTTGAGTTACAAAACAAGGATTTTAAAACTTGAATTGTTACAGTGAATATGTCTTAATACAGGCCAGAGTCATTTAGGTAAAAAATTACCTCATATCTATTCTTTGCAGTATCACTTAAAGGTGTTTATTTAGCGGCAAAGATTTTTTTTTTTTGTGCCTAGAGGCAGATATTTTGCCCCATGGCTATTTACGGTATGAAACTGTATTTAAATGAGTGTACATACATAAAAGCTGCCATTCTGGCTGTAAACTATTGCAGGTTATCAAGATTAAAAAATAAACAAATAAAAATATTTCAGTTTTTCTATGAAATGTCTTTACTCGAGTCCAAATGTAGAGATATAAAATGCTTGAAATTCATAAAACCAAGTGTTTCACATATTTCAGTTGTGATGGCCTTTGTCCTACTTTTGTTAGTGAAGCAGGCAGACTGCATTTTTTCCCTCTCATACATCTTCAAATGGTAGACAGAAAAATTTGATAAAACTTCTAGGGCATTATCTGATGAAACACATTAAACACTAAAGGAGAAATACAACTTCATTGTTTATAAAAGACGTATAAGAAGGAAACCTGCATACATATATCTATCAGTTTTGTATTTTCAAGAAATATTTGCCTTAAAATGAACTTCATTAGAATATGTGTTCTCCCACAGAGCCAAGGAAAGTAAGTTAGACACAGGATCTGGAAGTCTACCTGTGTGATGTAATTACATTGAAAACATTCCACAAATAATGCAGAAATGTATCATTGTGACCCAAAATATTCTCTAAATTTTCTCAAAGCAATGTGGCCACATCTATTATCTTTTACTATGACTAGTCATCATTCCATGCATTTGAACATTACCTCACCCATTTGCAGCCTCCTATCTCTGCAATTAATTATGGCTAACATTCTCAGCAGTCCAAACATCTTGCAAGTGACAGCTTGAAAAGGCCTACCAGAATGATGTTCACTCTGCCACCTGACTAGCTTGTCTTCCATCTAGACATTGCAGTATGTAGAAGAGTGCTTTTAGTATTATAAATTTGATCCAACACGTGTTCAATTAGATGAAATCTTAAATATTGCACTACATGTGAATTGGGAAAATGTTAATTTACTTCTGTAGTTTTAAGTGTATTCTCAGAGGCAGATGAAGACATATTACATCACTGAGTTCAAGAAATAAAGTAAATAGAAGAAAAAAGGTGTTATTTTAGTTTGGTTATGTTTATATTTGAAGTTTTCTTATCATACCTTATTTTTCGTTTATTAATTCTAGGGTAGAGTAGAAAAATATGCTCTCATATAATATAAAAATGATATGGGGAAAAGAAGTAAAAAATTAACTTAGAGACACCATTAATTAATTTCTTTTATAAATGAAACACTAGATAGTTTCTATTTGTTTTGACAAATAGATAATATATTTAGAATCAATGCTTTATTTCTTGGAAAGTGGAGTGAAAAATTTAAATGTAGTATTCAGATTGTATTATAACTGTGCACTACAGATCACATACATTTGTCTTTTCTTTGTATTATACATTATTTAATGGTAAGCATCCTTTCAAGGGCTATTTTATATAAGTAGTAAGGTATCTGGAATTTCTGAAATAATAAAAGTGACCTAAATCACTGTGTTTGGTAAATTCACAATACCCAAATAGCAGGAGGGGAGTGCTAGAGGTAGGGAGGAGAATGCTCATGTTCTCATTATTCCCAAACAGATTCTTAAAGTCTTCTCACTGGACACATGGATGCACCTCTGTAATACCCAATGTCTTAGCCACAACTGTCTGCACTTTTTAATGAGATACATTTCAACATTATTCCTTGTCACCTCAATATCAGATACTTTCTCATGTAATCTTTTACTTCTGAGGAGTTGAATTCTTGATCCATAAACTGAATCCATAGCTATGCATCTGTGGATGTTTTTAAATTATGTGAAAATTTTGTATATGCATTTTTCAGGGGAAAGTATCAGATCACCCACCTGGTGATTGTAACAAAAACAATCACTCCTGTTGGTATTTAAGTCTTAATTAATTCAGAAAAATTTGCACACACCCTAAGGTCAGATAGTATTTTGTACCCTACATATAAAAACTCCTTTTTTTTTTTTTTGAGATGGAGTCTCACTCTGTTGCCCAGGTTGGAGTGCACTGGCATGATCTTTGCTCACTGCAAACTCTGCCTCCCATAACATTAATGATCACTGATCACAGATCACCGTAACGAATATAATAATAAGGAAATATTTTAAAAATTGTGAAGATTAACAAAGTGTGAAACCAAGACACAAAGTGAGCACAGGCTGTTTGTTAAATGGCACCAATAGACTTGCTTCACCAGGGTTGTCACAAACATCTCATTTGTAAATAAAGAAAAAATGTTCCTATCTGTGAAGCACAATAAAGAGAAGTGCAATAAAATATGTTTGTATTAATTTGGTTAACTTTATTCCAACTTAATGTAAATTAGTTTTAAAACAGTTTATAAAATTCTTAAATGAACCTGGCAAATTTAGAGCAATAATAAAATTATTTAAATTAGAAAAGTCTTTTTTAAAAAGGATAAATAACAAATGTCTCATTGGAATTATTAAAGTTGTTTCAAGTTCAGCTCTGAGGTTCTTAGAAACTAAAGTAAAAAAGTATGACCAGTTTCTGAAGTCAAGATAAAATCATACAATCTTTAACTTAGAAAATTATCTTCTGTGTTGTGTCCTAAGCATAAACAAATGTAAGGACTTGCCCTGACACTCTGTAAGTAGTTCCACTCCAATACGCCCTGCAGAAATATTTCCTGGCAAGAACAGCAAGTCAGAAGCCTTTTCAGCATGGCAAGGAGGGAGAGAGACTATGCTATTAAAAAAAAAAAAAAAAAGATGAGGAGGAACAATAGCACCTTAGACAAGTGAGAAGTTTCAAAAGAGACATATAAGGAGAGCAGTTGCAATTATAAGGAGCAAAATATGGAATGATGAAAAAAGATACTTTAAAGAAAGTTTTCCTCAGTACTTTGCAATGCGCTTGCCACCTTCTGAAGAAAGCTGGCTCCTTCTGGAACCTTAGGGTATTTGGACTCATGCTTTGGAATGGGGTGACCATCTACATCAAGCTAACTTAAATTCAAATTTGTGTGCATAGGATAAGAATAATTGGGTTAAATAAAATTCACTTTTAATCTAAAATGTCATTCATTAGTTTTGACCAACTTTCCTTACCACTGGCCACTTGGTCCTTGTCTTGTTTGACCAGGGTTGTCAAACAAGGTTTGTTGTTTCCTTCTTTGAAGGAAAGAGTCAGTGTTTCTTCCATTCCAATGCATCCACTTGAGGAATTTTTAATAAAATGGGCAATGAATGGGCAGCAGAAGAAGTTACAGGCCTGCTGATCAAATGCTAAGTAATAAACCCTGGAAATTCTAAACTCGTTTGCATGAAGACCTTGCTTATTTTGTAACTATTATGTATTATCAAATGTATACTTAATTCTTTGAATGTGTTAGTATGTGTTCAAAGTACACCTTAATTTTATATATATATATATTTAAATTACATAAAATAAATAAGCCACTAAAAATTTTTAAACATTTTCTTATATTTCCTTTCAGTATTTTTATGTGCATGCATCTGTACTTGGTAATATTGCTGAATGCATGTTTGCATTGACAAAGCCTCTCCCCTTGCCCAAACTCTAGTTGGGATCCTCTAAGCCACCTCTCAGCCTCAGCTTTCAGTGTTCATCCTAGTCTGACCCACATCTCTCAGGTTTAGGAAGAAACTTGCAAAGAATCCCCCACTCTCAGTACTGATCACCTTTGATATCTGATCAAATTTGTTATCTCCCACCACCCTCCAGATGATTTCTGATCAGTCTGGCCTGCCTTCAGTAAGAATCCTGTTCGATCTGTTTAACCCAAATCCCCTTTGCCCCTGATATTTCCTCTTAGTATCCCCAGTTGAGCCAATTTTCAACCATTAAAAAAATCTTGGACAAAATTAAGTTCAGATAGGTTCCAGAGTGCTTATGTTCAGTTCTTGGCTTTCTGAAGACCTGGCATATCCTCTTTAAATTGCCTCAATATAAGAAAATACAAAATGGAAAGAAGTAGACATTAGAAATTGGAAAAATGGAGAAATACAGGAATAAACATAAGTTTCTATTTCAAGTAATTAGGTAAATTGTAAGATGTTTATATTTAACTTTTTCTCATTAGCTTTAGCCCCTTGAATCTTTGAGAACATGTTATTACTATAGTTATCGAATGTTATATTTTTTATTTTAACGTAGAATGGTATTTTCACTCAAATCTCTTGAAACATATATTTATAGTCAATAGTTAAATTTTATTTAATATCAATTGTTCCTTTTTATTAGTATTTTCTTAAAAAAATAATATTGGCCCAGCGCAGTGGTTCACACCTGTAATCCCAGCACTTTGGGAGGCTAAGGTGGGCAGATCACTTGAGGTCGGGAGTTGGAGACCAGCCTGAGCAACTTGGAGACAACCTTTCTCTACTAAAAATACAAAAATTAGCCGGACGTGGTGGTGCATGCCTGTAATCCCAGCTACTCAGGAGGCTTGAGGCAAGAGAATTGCTTGAACCTGGGAGGTAGAGGTTGCAGTGAGCCGAGATCGCACCACCGCACTCTAGCCTGGGTGACAGAGCGAGACTCCATCTCAAAAAAAAAGAAAGAAAGAAAATGCCAGACATTTATTGAAGGGCTGGAATGGTATAGTGAAGTGTTCTGAGTCAGTTGGGCTCTGATTGATAAAGAGCTTGGCATGTTTGAAGGACAGCAAGGAAGCCAGAATAGCTGGAGCATAGCAGCAGGGAGACAAGTGCCACAAGATGAGCTGGAGAAAGGCACTGGGAAAGGTTTGTCTTTTAAGTGCTCTGAGAAGCAATTGAAGATTTGAAATAGAATAGTGACTTGCTTGATCACATTTGTACTTTTGAAAAGTTCCTCTGGCTGCTGTGGGGAAAGGCTTGAGTAGATGCAGGGTGGGAGAAGCATAACCAGCAGTAGACTCTTGTAGCAGGTTAGGTGAGAGATGGTGGTGGCCACGAGTGGGCTGCTAGTGGTGGAAGTGACAAGAAGCAGAAGGATCGGAGACAAAACTTGAAGATAAAAAGTCTTGAATTTGCTGATGATTTGCATTGACGAGGTGTTGGGGGAGAGGACTGAAGGAGCAGAGGAGAGTGACAAGGGACTGGATGCCATTTATAAGGATGGGGAAGACTGGGATGAAACCGGTTAAGGGAGAAATTTTAACCATGGCAAAATTAAGAGGGGTTTTATGTGAGAAAATGGAAATGCTAAGGAGGAAGTTGAAAATCCTGCTAATTTGGAGATCTTTGATTAAAACTAGAAATAAGAATGTGGGAAGCATCAACTTGCAAGATGCCCTCATTGTAGATAACACCATTTAGGATCTAGGCTCAAGCCCTGGGAAACTCCAGGGCTTTGGAAGTCAAATAGAGGAAGAACACGTACAGGAGATGAAGAAAGATTAGCGAGTAAGTCAGTGAAATATCCACAGGTGGGCTGCTGCCAAATCCAGCAGAACAGTATGCCAGATGTTAGGAGCATGAGTAAAATGAGAAAAGAGAAATGGCTTTTGACAACACTTCCCTACTAATAGTAGGGAAGAAGACATAGGTACAGATTCAAGTTGATTTGAAATTATGAAAGTGAGGTAATTGACCTGCAGTGGTTGCTGCTCAGTGAAATCAGCATAGTGATTACCTGAGCTAGGTTAGAGATTTGATGGGTAAGAAAGAACACCTGAGGGTAATCCTGGAGGGGGAAAAAAATAAAGTGTTTGCTGGAGAGAATGAGTTGGATTGCTGGACTTCAATGTGTGTGGGTTGAGTTTGTGACTTAAAAATGAAACCAGTCTATTGCTTGTGTGGCTTTTCCAAAATACTGTTATTCCGTTACCTATCTCTTACCCCAAGAGTAGTCACATTCTTATTTCTGGTTATTTTAATTCCTGGTGGTATTTTTATGTGATTAATGAGATAGTACTTGTTAATTTGATGATATTCTAGAAACCTGGTAAGTACCATGTACCTTGTCTTAAGTTTTGGTTACTTGATTGGTAAAATTATGCATGCACCATTGAATTACCTAATTCAAAATATATCCTTTTATTGTTTGACATTTGTCTTGTTTTTCTTTAAAATGTTATCTTTGTGGAGTAAACATTTTTCTTTATGCTGTTTAGCATCTTCAGATTAGTTCAGGGTATTGCTGAATGTGGTTGTTTGGAAGTAAAATGTTTTAGTTTTAGTTATATAGATTTTAATAAGATACTACTTTCTATATAATTTATCAGGTACTTTAGGCATTTTAATTTGCAAATTTAGGACAATTTGCTTTAACGTTTCTTCACTTTTGTCCATTGGATGTAATTTCCATAAAGTATTCATTTCCCTGAGTAAAAACCGAAACCAAACCGGCAACTAATGGTCACTGAAGAAAGAGTGATTAAATGCTAAGATTATAATGGTATTTGCATTTTAATGTTACCAGCTCTCTACAGTGTAAAGTTTATGCATTTATCTATTGCTTATGTTTCTCATTGCATTCTTTGGCCTACTGGTTTTGGTTGTTTATAGCTATAGAATATAGAATTCCTTATGGTTATCCATTTCTCCTTTTAAGTAGAGTGATAGTTGTTAGAAGAAAAATAACCCCCCAATACTTTCTTCTAGTGTTAATTCTTAAAGTGTGATTGACTTTTATTTACTTTTTGGTGCAGTAATTGCAGTTCATGAGTCAATGTTGATGTCATATAAACCTTAATTTTTAATGTTTCATTGTAGTGATGTCTCTGTAGCAGCAATCATTTAAGTTATTTGTTATACTTAAATGTTTAAATCACTGTTAGTGATTAGCTTATTTTGCCTTCCTTGAAGCAATTTGTCCTAAATTTCCATATGTTTGCATTTGTTTTTGCTGTTCTAAAATTCCTTAGTTGCTGGCTTTGACCTTTTATGTTGCTGAGTTTTACACATCTATTTTCTCAACTGCCATATCCTAGGAGGCTTGGAGTACCCATAATACAGTGAGCCCACCTTCCTGGTCCCCAGACATTTCAGGAGGTCGGGAAATTTTTAAACCCAGGCAGCTTCCTGGCAGTGCCATTTGGAGCATCAAAGTGGTAAATAAAATTGCATTTACATTCATATATCATTTCTGTCTGATTTGTTTTGCCCTACTGGGTGTAAAGAATTAAATCTTTCTTTTCTAGATTGAGCTTCCAGAAACACTTTTTAAATCTAAAAATTTTAATGTAAAGAAATAATATGCTTGCATTTAAAAATCAATATACATTTTTAATACCTCTTTTTATGGTTAATTCCTTTTGTTGTGATTACTACCGGTTTTATGAGGGAGAAGTCCTTGACATGTAGACCAAAAGGTAATTAAGGACCTTTTCATTCATGATATCATAAAACTTTGTTGCTTAGAAAAAAGCAAAAGAAAAAACTCCATTAATTTATTATGTTCTTATGGAGAAGAAATACCAAAATTGTGGCAGATTTCATTGTCTGTTTAATACCTTAAAATGACAAGGCTTTTTCCCCCATGACATTGGTTGATGGCTGTGCCAGTCCTTGAAGTGAGTTAAGTAGTGTGATGCATTTTGAAGAGAAAAAAATTAATTTGAAAAAGTATTAACTCAAAAGTTAAAATACTTCATTGACTGGAGATGACAGTTTTTCTTCATATTCTATATTTAATATTCTGGAATATGGCTGTTTAATTCAGACTAATCAAGGATTTTAAGGAATTCTAGATTATACTTTATTTTCTTTCATGACTGGAAGTACTATTTTTTTTTAACCTCCCTACCTCCCCCTGATATCATCCAAGATATTGAGGTATAAATATACCTCATTTGACAGTTTGATAATATAGACCACCAATTTTTACTTACCTTTTTTCTGGGTCAGCATTTCATGTTTGAGAAAAGAAATTGAGAGATTACTGTAGTCTTGATTTTTAATCACTGACTTAATTTTTCAAAAATCTTTTATACCAGCTTAATAACAAAACAAACTCGGCCGGGCGCAGTGGCTCACGCCTGTAATCCCAGCACTTTGGGAGGCTGAGGGGGCAGATCACCGGAGGTCAGGAGTTCGAGGCCAACCTGGCCAAAGTGGTGAAACCCCGTCTCTACTAAAAATACAAAGAGATTTAGCCGTGCGTGGTGGCATGTGCCTGTAATCCCAGCTGCTAGGGAGGCTGAGGCAGGAGAATTGCTTGAACCCAGGAGATGGAGGTTGCAGTGAGCCAAGATCACATCATTGCACTCCAGCCTGGGCAAAGAAGCGAGACTCCATCTCAAAAACAAACAAACAAACAAAAAACCCAAAAAACTAACCTGACCCCATCTATCTGTTGTGCAAAGAAGCTGATGCACTTCTCAAAAGGGATCTCAAGGAGAGCAGGGTAAGAGAAGACAGGAGTGGCAGTTTGAAACTGGGAGCTGGCTGTATTTATTACATCCAAAGGGAAAAAAGCCATTCCTCCCATTCCTTTTGTTCATGTGTTTCTATTTTATGCTTACAGTATCATCATAAATTTTTGACTTGGAAACCATTCTGCTAAATAGGGAATCAGTTTATTTCAAACTATGATAAGGGACATCAGTTGAAGATATGACATATTATTTAACTTATGGTGAGGGAAACACCTAAGTATTTTCCTGAGCATCTGGATAATTTTAAATACACATAATTCATCTACTTAGGTAGGTGCCAGGTTTTTTCAAGGAGTAATTAATTAGTACGAACAAGGGTGAGGGGGCAGGGAACACCATACTCTGGTACTTAATGTCTGAAATTATCAGGGAATTTAACACATTTTCCCATAGGTTTATTTCTTGTGTAAGAAGTCAGATAAATTATTTCCATTTCAAGTATTTATTATTCAGATTATTTAAAGCAAAGCTTTCACAAAGCCTTTTGTCAGCTTTCCTGTAATCCTCAAATAATTTTTCCTGGCTGGACGCTTTGGCTTACTCCTGTAATCCTGGCACTTTGGGAGGCAGAAGCAGGAGGATCACTTGAGCCCAAGAGTTCTAGGCTGCAGTGAGCTGTGATCACACCACTGCACTCCAACCTGAGTGACGGATCAAGTTCTTGTCTCAAAAATAAAAGTAATAACAATAATAATAAATTTTCCTCTAAATACAATGGTGAATGAGGTAGAAATGTTGAGTTCATAAGAGAACTGTTGAATAGTGAAGGAAACTGACTTAATTTTAATGACAGGAAGAATACTGTTACACACTAGCAAAAATAAACTTTCATGCTGATGTAGCAGTACAGAATATGCTTCCAACCCAGGGACGCTGGAGCCAGGCTTGCTAGCTAAGCGACCTTGGACAAGTTACTTAACCATTTTATTCCTCAGCACACTCATCTCAAACGAGGATAATAAAACCTACTATATGGGATTGTTGAGAGTAAAAAATACTTAGATTAGTACATAGTAAGTACTCAATAGATGTTAGCTATTACTGTAATCACCGCGAGACCAGTTAATGAGAGAGTTCTTCCTTATCCTTACTCTATATTGAATACAATTTGTTGCACTTCGAAATATCTGGATAAGGCTATAGTTGTTGTCGTCACCGAGAATGTAGGAGTGGCAAAGAGAAAAATCATGCAAAGGCTTGCTGATAGCGTTCACAGTGACAGCCCGAAAGTATGATTCTAAGGTTGTAAGCATTTTATATTTAGAATTTTAAGTTGTGGAATATACTTTTAAAGATAAAAATAATAAGCCAGGTCTCTTAATACTTATCTAAAGAAGTGTTTGTATAACATTTAATAAAATGTTTTATCTCAGTGGCATTTGGATTTAAAAATTATTTTGGGCTGTCACAGAATGTTGACTTTTCCTAATCTGTTACATAGGGCCATGGGTCTGGATTTCCAGGAAAGCGGAGACCTCGAGGTGCAGGACTGTCGGGGCGAGGTGGCCGAGGCAGGTCAAAGCTGAAAAGTGGAATCGGAGCTGTTGTATTGCCTGGGGTGAGGCTTGCTTCATGTATATTTTCTCTAATCTAAATGTCAGTTAATGATGAAAATCTCATAGCAAGTTATTTTGAACTTAAAAATCATATAAATAGGTCAAAATGTTTATTTTACTGTCCTACTTTGCTTTTTTTTTTTTTTTTTGAGCCTCTGGTTACGTTTTCTTGTATATTTACTTTCTCATCCTTTCTCTTTTCTTACCTTCCTCTTTGACTCCTTATCTTTCTATGCCAACCCTCTCTAAAAAGTCAGTATGTAATATAGTTGCTCTTTTATTTAAAAAATTTTAAGATTGATATTTGCTTACTATCATGTTACGAGGCTTTATTTATATGTGTATTACAAATATATTTGTTAACTACTAGCAAATATTTTATGTAATAACTTCGCTATTTTATTAAAATCCTGTTTTTAAAATTCTGAAATGTCATTTTAAGTATAGGAGACAGGTGAAATTGTTCAAGTTTACTACTAAACCAGGAATAAGGAAGCTTAGATTCTTGTCCTTTTTTCAAAAAGAAAAATTTTAAAACCAGGCTTATTGAGGTATAGTTGATATAAGCTATATTTGACATGTACAATTCCATAAGCTTTGATATATACATATACACCCTTGAAAACGATACCACAATCATGATAGTGAATATATTCATCTCCCAACGTTTCTTCATGTCCCTCTGTAATTTTCTGCATTCCCCCTGCCATCCGTCCTTGTCCCCAAGATTAGTTTGCATTTTCTAGAGTTGTATATAAGTGGAATCATACAGAACTGTGTGCTTTTTGGACTGATTTATTTCAGCACAATTATTTGGAGATTAATCTATGCTGTTGTACTTGTTAACAGTGTACTTCCTTTTCTTGCTGAATATTAATAAAACTGTGGATGCACCACGGTTGTAGACCTGTGCACTTTTTTTCTTCTTTTTTTTTTTTTTTTTTTTCTGAGACAGGTTCTCGTTCTAATTCCTGGCTGGAGTGCAGTGGTGCGATCATAGCTAACTCCAGCTTTGACCTCCCACCTCTGTCTCACAAGTAGCTGGGACCATAGCTGTGTGCCAACACACCCAACTACTTTTTTAAAATTTTTAATAGAGACAGCATCTCACTATGTTGTCCAGGCTGGTCTCGAACATCTGAGCTCAAGCAATTTTCCCACCTTGGCTTCCCAAAATGCTGGGATTACAGGCGTGAGTCACCATGCCCCAGCCTGTAGTCTTAATTTCTTGTAATGTCTTCATCTGGTTTTGGTATCAGCATAACTCCAGCTTCATAGAATGAATCAGAAAGTATATTCTCATCTTCAGTTTTCTGGAAAAGTTGTGTAGTAGTGGAAATGTATCTTCTTATATTATACATGAATTTATTAGTGAAACCATCTTGGCCTGAAATTTTCTTTGTGGGGGGTTTTTGTTGTGTTTTCTTTTTTTTTTTCTTTCTTTTGAGATGGAGTTTCGCTCTTGTTGCCTAGGCTGGAGTGCAATGGCACAATCTCAGCTCATGCAACCACTGCCTCCCAGGTTCAAGTGATTCCCCTGCCTCAGCCCCCTGGGTAGCTGGGATTACATGTGCCTGCCACCATGCCTGGCTAATTTTTTTTTTTTTTTTTTTTTGTATTTTTAGTAGAGACAGTTTTTCACCATGTTGGCCAGGCTGGTCTCGAACTCCTGACCTCATGTGATCCACCTGCCTTGGCCTCCCAAAGTGTTGGGATTACAGGCATGAGCCACCATGCCCAGGCTGGAGTGCAGTGGCGTGATCTCTGCTCACTACAGCCTCCACCTCCCAGGTTCAAGCAATTCTCCTGCCTCAGCCTTCTGAGTAGCTGGGATTACTGGCATGCACCAACATGCCTAGCTAATTTTTGTGTTTTGGGTAGAGATGGGGTTTCGCCATGTTGGCCAGGCTGGTCTCGAACTCCTGACCTCAGGTGATCCATCTCCCAAAGTGCTAGGATTATGGGATGAGCCACTGGTGCCCAGCCTGTGGGACAGTTTTTAACAACAAATTTTATTTCTTTAATAGGTACCTATTTAGGTTATCTGTCTCTCCTTGCATAAATTTGCACCTTTCAAGAAATTTGTTCATTTTGTCTATCTTGACAAATTAAAGGAATGGAGTTGATCATAATGTTTCTTATTATTTTAATACCTGTAGAATCTGTAGTGATTTCACCTTCCTCATTCTTGATACTAATAATTTGTATCTTGTCTTATTTTTTTCCTGATCAGTCTGGCTAGAGATTTATCAATCTTATTGATCTTCTTGAGTCAGCCTTTGTTTTCATGGACTTTTCTCTATTTTCTTTCCCCTTTCTGTTTTATTGATTTATATTCTCATCTTTATTTTTTCCTATCTTCTCACTTTGAGTTTAGTTTGATCTTCTTTTTTTGTTTACTCTTACGTGTCCCTGCTTGGAAGGGACACTTGTGAAGTTTAGGTCAGAGCTTTCTATTCTCCTTGGCTTATATCTGTGGTCTAGGAAAATGAAATTTCTATCACCTTCTGGATAAATCACACTATTATCTATGCAGGCAACAATAGCACATATTTTCTGAAAGATTACCTTTGCCCTCAAGTTAGGTTTTATTTTTCTAGCAGTCTAAAGGTCATGAAATAAATTATAAAATAAAAACAGTGGGTCTTCAAGCTAGATGATACTGTTTTCTTTCTTGCATGGACAATTATTTTAAAATATTTTGGTTTTTCTGCACTTATTATTTAAATATGACTCCCCACCCCCACTTGAATCTAGGGACATTGTAGTTTTCTACTGCAGACTTTGTTTCTGGTTTATACTGGGAATATATTGTTTATCATTTTCAGTGAAAGCATCCACTGGTTAAATTTCCTTTTAAAAATAATAATGGATCTTTACAATTTCTTTGAGCTGCTCAGTGTGTATAATGTGTTGAATTTTCTGTTAGTGGTTGGGAGGTAGAAATAGATACTTTATCTCTATTTTAGCCATTTCCACAATTATATATCTCAATAACCTTGTCAATGCATCATTAGTCCTATGACTGAATTAATGATTACTTTTAGTAGTCACTTAGTTTCTTACTGGTGATGATGATTCTACTTTTGTGAATCATCTTGGATGATTCTCTAAAATCTTAGAAAGCTAATTTTGTTAATGCTATGCATATAACACATCAATACATTTTCTCTATTAAAAAAATTAAAGCGTTATAGGTAGATCAGAATTTACCATTACTAACTCCTCAAGTCCTCCTTATTTCCCTGTTACCAGTTTGGTATATTTATATATTAGGTTGATCCATATGAAATTGCCAATATTATTTCTGAACTGATGAAAAGCAGCAATTTCTTATGATTCAACCTATTGTATGTGCCCATAGACTACATATAATGACTTTGCATGTTTTTATATTATAGTGCTATACCTCAAATACTGTTCTGCAATTTATTTTTTCATCAACAACGTCTTTTGATAATTTCTTTCATGGCAGTCTATACAAGTTTCTACCTCCCTACTTTTAAAATGTTGCGTAATTTTCTAATGTTTGGATTTGTCATGGCTTTACTTACTCCCTAATGATGAATATTGGCATTATTAACACTTGTAGTCATTAGGGTTCATATGACTATAAATTGCTCTTATAAAGCATTAGTACTATCCATTAAAACTGCTTTTAGGCTGGGCACGGTGGCTCATGCCTGTAATCCCAGCACTTCGGGAGGCCAAGGTGGGTGGATCGTGAGGACTGGAGATCGAGACCATCCTGGCTAACATGGTGAAACCCCATCTCTACTAAAAATACAAAAAATTAGCTGGGCATGGTGGCAGGCGCCTGTAGTCCCAGCTACTCGGGAGGCTGAGGCAGGAGAATGCCGTGAAGACAGAGCTTGCAGTGAGCTGAGATTGTGCCACTGCACTCCAGCCTGGGTGACATAGCAAGACTCCATCTCAAAAACAAACAAACAAAAAAACAAACAAAAAAAAACTGCTTTTAAATGTATTTGTATTGAAAAATACTGAGATATAGTCCTTCTATTTAGTTAACCAACCAACCTTCCTTCCTTCCTCTTTTTTTTTTTTTTTTTTTTTTTGGGACAGGGTCTCCCTCTGTCACCCAGGCTGGAGTGCAGTGGCGTAATCTTGGCTCACTGTAACCTCTGCCTCCTGGGTTCAAGTGATTCTCCTGCCTCAGTCTCCTGAGTAGCTGAGACTACAGGCGTGTGCCACCACGCTCGGCTGTTTTTTGTATTTTTGGTAGAGACAGGATTTCACCATGTTGCCCAGGCTGGTCTCGAACTCCTGAGCTCAAGCGATCCACACACTTTAGCCTCTCAAAGTGCTAAGATTATAGGCATGAGCCACCACACCCAGCTGGTTAATCTTTCAGTTGTTCCTCAAGAAAAGTAATTCAGTCGTTTTATGTTTTGACCTTGAACATAACCTGTTGTGTTTCAACTCTGTCTTTCCAGGCTTCGGTTGTAAGCTTTTTAAAGAAAGAGGATTGTATTTTATGATTTTGGCAGTGCCCTCCTTGTCTTCTTCTACAACTTCTAGTTCAGAGCTTTATTTTGTTTCATATCACTCTAGAAATTATTAACAAACCAGTGGCTACTTAGTTGATTTAGTCAAATAGAACTAAGTCCAGACTGAACAATATTGGTTGATAATCATTTGGCTGATACTGAAATTTGGATGTTATTCAAAATAATATTCTAAAGCGGTGCTAATAGAAATATAATGAGAACCACATATGCAATTTAAAACTTCCTAGTAGCCACATTAAAAAGTTACAGTGAGCTGGGTGCAGTGGATCATTTGAGGTCAGGAGTTAAGAGACCAGCCTTTCCAATATGGTGAAACCCCATCTCTACTAAAAATACAGAAATTAGCTGGGCATGGTGGTGGACAACTGTAATCCCAGCTACTTGGGAGGCTGAGTAAGGGAGAACAGCTTGAACCAGGAGGCAGAGGTTGCAACGAGCCGAGATCGCGCCATTACACTCCAGCCTGGTCAACAAGAGTGAAACTCCTCTCGAAACAAAATAAAGGTATAGTGAACAGGCGAAATTAATTTTAATGCCTTCCATTTTGACCGATATATCTAAAATATTACCATTTCAACATGTAATATGTAATTATGTGCTGTATTTTCTGTTTGCAGGACATCTCAGTTCAGACTAACTACATTGCAGATCCCAAGTGTGTGTCATTAAAATAGTGATAGATTTGTGGTGTACATACCTATAATATTATCATTTATAGTTTCTTGATTAGAATTCTGCATAATCAAGTCTTACTAAGACAGGTTTATTATATTTTCTCATTACTTCTTGGTCTAAAGGAATTCTACCTCTAAAGAGAGAATGAGTTGAATAATAAAATGTCATGACTCCATTTTGCTGTAGTATCTTAGCATTAATATTTGGAATTGTTATTCTAGACCTTAGCAAAAATATATGTTTTGATTATGAATTTTCTGAAGCTTTCCAGTTAAGTGTAAAACAAGTGAAAAATATAACTTCGTATTTTGTGTATTTTGCTTTTTATAGGTGTCTACTGCAGATATTTCATCAAATAAGGATGATGAAGAAAACTCTGTGCTCGATATGGTTGTGTTGTTTTCTAGCAGTGACAAATTCACTTTGAATCAGGTTTGAACTTGACAATTTACTGTCTTCCTCATTGAATTCCTCCTTGCACATTTCTGCTTTATCTCATATACACAGAAGTGATCCAATATTTAGCTATAGAGCTATATTAGTTAAGAAGGTATTTTTAAAGTAAAATTTGTAGGTTTTTAGCTTAGTCTCCATTTAAAATATGTTCTGTTTTCTTAACTTCAGGATATATGTGTAGTTTGTGGCAGTTTTGGCCAAGGAGCAGAAGGAAGATTACTTGCCTGTTCTCAGTGTGGTCAGTGTTACCATCCATACTGTGTCAGTATTAAGGTAAACATCCTTAAACTGAGTTAACAAATATGTATTGAATTTTTATTTGGTTTTAGTAGTAACATGAGCTCCCAGTTCTCACAATTAAGTATTATGATTATTAAACATATGTGACAGTATTTAAGTACTTTAAATACTGCTTTTAAGGGTTTCCTATCTCAAGAAATTTGCTCCTCTATAAATCTTATATTGTACTAATATCCTGCTTTTGTCTTGAAAAAGTAAAACATAAAAATATATGCATTTAATTTAAAAGACAATTTATACTATTCACAAAGATTTTAGGTTTAGCTGATTCATTTTGTCTGTTGACTTATAAAGCTGAGAACTGGAGTATTTAGTAAAAAATTATTATCCCATTCTGTTCTTTCCCACATTCTGTCTCCTCTGTGCTCACTCATATACAAAATGACATTTTCTCCTTATAGCCAAAAGAAAGAAAACAAGTGTCATATTTAATGCAATCGGTAATAATCGAGAGTCAGCACTGCTCACTTTCAAGCATTTCAGGATAGAGGCTTTCTGGGGAACCTTTTAAGTGGTATCGTGTGCTTGGTTTTAAATATGGACAGGTCTCAATACTTCACTAGTTGTATCTAAGGTTCTTGGTTTTTTCTTAATAAACTCAGTCTTAATAAAACTTACATATTTGAATAAAGTGTCATGGCCACTGGAAGCAAGCATGGAGGTATAGCTGTACAGCAGAGGTCTTAAACTGTATACTCCACAAGGAAATCTTTTCTAGTATTGCCATACTATGTAATATAAATACTAACCTCAGTTTCAATAATAGGTTGTGAACCATGAGTGATTTTTATACCATTCTCCCCTGCCCTTCAGACATCACTGTGTTATATCATTGTCAGTAAAATGTCAGTATAGTAAGCAAATCAACATTATCTCCTTCAGAATTCTTTGTTGATAACTACACTAGTATTTATTTTATAGGGTAATACAGGTTTTTGTGAATTTAGGAATCAAAATGAAAGATTGTAATTAATACTATCCAAAATAGAAGACTAGTACGGTTAATTTCTGTAGTTTTTTAAAATTAGTTGCTCATGCTATGTGACTGAAAAACACAGAGTATATAAAGCCAATTAAAAATGGAGTTATATATGCATAAAACATGTTTCTTTTCTTCTTTGTACTTTATATTCTGTATAAAAGTAGCTGCTATCATTAGATTTTGTTTTTTAGAATGCTTAATGTTTTGGACCTAAGGAAATTGAATAAGATCCCTTTCAAGATAGTAATGTATTTCTTTTAACCCATCCAACAATTACCGAATTCCCATTTTACAGATGAGTACGACTTACATAAGTTAAGATTGGACAATTAGTGCACTATCAGACACCTAGTTATTCCTGTTTTTAAAAATTATGTGTGGTTCCTTTTACATGACACTGTTTTGGACAGTATAGAATACTGCAGTCTCATTGAGAAATACAGCAGTATCTAGAAATATACTAGGGATATATGAATTGGCTCAGCTTGCATTTTTATTGCAGGAGGCAATTGTTTGTGGATAAGTTTGATACCTTTGAAGCTTCTTTTTAAGCTTGCTGGGGCAAGTCTAGAAAGCCTTCACTCTAAGGTGGATATTTTCAAACTTTATGGTTTTAGAACCTTAACACTCTTTAAAATTACTGGGGACGCCATAGTTTTTGTTCATGAGGATTTTAACTATGGACTATTCAGCATTTTAGAAATTAAAACTAGGAACATTTTGTAACACAAGACTACAGAAGCACAACCTGTACAATGTCAATGTAATATTATGATACAACATGTAGCTTCTATAAACACCACTGTATAATTGTGAATAAATTAAAGTGAAAAAAGGCAAATTAAATCTTAGTATTATTTAAACTTGTTTTAACTTTACAGACCCACTGGGGTTCCCTAGTCCACATTTTGGTAGCTGCAGTCCTAGCATTAGTTTAACCCTATACTTAAGACTTGGCCTTTCTGGGATCACTACTGAATTCTACCCCCTGTTCACCAGTGTCTTTGTACTCTGACTGGTTGTGCTTCACTTGTCTTTGAGCCTTTTGCAAGCTCTGGTAATTGTGCAGCTTACACATTCCCAGTAGATGTACTTTCCCCTGGTTGTGGGTCTTTGGGCTTCTAGAAGTACGGCTTGGTGTTCCACCAAAGACTTCAGGGGATCCTTTGTAGATTTCTGGAGCTCTTAGTCCTTATTGCTTCTTCATTTTGAGTACTGTGTCCTGCAAATTCCACTGCCTCGCCTCCCCTAACCTCAGCGAGGCCATTGATTGTACTCTGCTGAGGTTCTCCCTCCCTGGGCAGCATTCTGGAAAATGTTTCTAGGCAGAATATCATAGGACTCCCTGAGTGTTTCCTTCCTCTCAGAGACCACTGTCTCCTTTACTATGTGTTGTCCAATATCTGAAAACAGTTGTTTCATACACTTTGTCCAATTTTCTACTATCTTATGGGAAAACAGGCTGGTCCCATATACTCCATTATCGTTGAAGCATGTATCCGTATTAGATTATAAAACATATCTGTAACAACTTTGGACATGGTACCATGGATGGAATCCTGGATGACATCTTATTTGAAAAAACTTTTAAAACTAAGGCTAAACTGGTTCAATGGAAGAAAAAAATGATAGTACAACCCCAGTACCTAAGTTAAAAGGAAATTTCAAAGATGGAGAAATTGTTGAAGTGTTGAAGTACTAGAAGTCAAGAAACACAAACACTAATGTTTCCATTAGATTTGAGAATAAGAAGGTCTTGACAAGCCTGGCTTAAGCAGTTATGAGTGGATGTGGGTGTAGAGACCAGACTGTAGTGTTTTGAAGAGTGAATATAAGCGGAGAAACGTGAGAGTTTGGTTGTAAAAGGGACCACAGGTATCTGTGAAGAAAACTTAGTAGGAATGAAGATAAATATTTTAAAAATTCTGCCACTAAACACCTCAGATCTGTCTGCCACTTTGTCTTCAGGTCATTGTTTAAGCCAGGGTCAGGCAGACTGGCCCATAGACTAAATCTGGCCCATTTCCTGTGTTTGCAAATAAACTTTTATTGAAATATGGCCAAGTTCTTTTGTTTACATATATTTGTAGCGGTTTTTGCATTACACTGGCAGAGTTTTTATAAAGTTGCAACAGATCATATGGCCCTCAAAACTTTCTGTTTACTCTCTGGCCCTTTATTGGAAATGTTTGCTGGCTACTGCTCTAAGCCACTCTGATCTTACCCCAGGCCATTTCCTTCATTTGGGCAAATAATATACTAACTTGGTAATCTAAGACAAATTCTTAAAAATCAATAAGCTAATCAAAATAATAAATATACATGTTTAAAAATCAAATGACATTAAAAGCCTCGTAATGGGCCAGGTGTGGTGCCTCACACCTGTCATCCCAGCACTTTGGGAGGCCGAGGTGGGTGGATCACTTGAGGGCAGGAGTTCAAGCCAGCCTGGCCAACACAGTAAAACCCCATCTCTACTAAAAATACAAAAATTAGCCGAGTGTGGTGGCTCATTCCTCTAGTCCTAGCTACTCAGGAGGCTGAGCCAGGAGAATTATTTGAACATGGGAGCCGGAGGTTGCAGTGAGCTGAGATCACACCACTGCACTCCAGCCCAGGCAACAGAGCAAGACTCCATCTCAAAAAAAAAAAAAAAAAAAAAAGGCCTTGTAATGAACAACCAACTCTTGTCTTACTCTACGTCCACATCTGAGGGAATCACTTTTAATCTTTTCAGGTCTTTTTTCTTGCGGTTAATGCTATAGCTCTAAATAATCAACTGGTTTACTGCTTTATCAATGCTAGATTTTGTTGACTTTCTGCTGTGAATAAATAAATTCTGATTTAGGTCTTAAAATACACCTCCTTCCTTCTCCCAATATAGTTGTATTACTATGTTTAGTTCAATTAATAAGGTGTTGGTTATGACTCAGTAAATGTTCACTGCAGATCTAAACAGTATACTATGAGTTTCTTTTGTCTTTCATGGAGTTTTTAATAACAAGAAAGTAATAGTGACTCTCCATTCGTACTTTGTTTTTGCCTACTATAGAACTATCATATAAGATTATTTTTTAAAGTACTGTTTTTTTCTGGGAGAAGTCCTACCCTCTTTCTAGACATTCCCTTCTCCTGCTCTGATATGTGCCAGTGGCTTCTGGGTGTGTTGTTCTCATCCTTAAACTTCCCTGGCCTGATGTCCTTTGTCGGATCTGTTGATTTATAGATCCCAAGTCTTCCTTTTCTTTGTAATACATCCTCATTCTGTTCTGCATATCTCTAAGTAACTTTATTAGAAGGAGAATGAAGGAGCTGAATTTTGAGTCTTCCTGTGTCTACAACGTATTCTGTCTTCACACATAGTTGCTTGTGTAGCTAGGTTGAGAATTGTACTTTGAAAAGTATTTTCCTGTAGAATTGGAAGATTATACTCTTCTAGCATCTGGAGTTGGGAAGTTTTGTGCCATTCTGATGGGTGTTCCTTTGAATTTAACTCTTTTATTTTCTTCTCTGGTAGCTTTTAGGCTTTCTTGTACCTCATGATCTGAATTTTTATTCTGTACCCTCATTACTTGCTGTTTCATTATAATGTGGGCACTTGATTGGTTCTGTCTGAGGATCCTAGTCTTTTGAGATCTTTAAGAAGTTCCGCAATCTTAATATTACATGGTGTGGCTTCCTTCAGGAGTTTGTTAGGGATTTGGAAATTCCCAAATATTCTGCTAACTTATACCCTTGAGAGAGGGGAGAATAAACAGAGGAGTGAATGTGAACTTCAGAATTCCTAGCTTCATAGTCTAAATAGAAATCTTCTAAGATCATAAAATGTCCCTAAGAACTCATGCTTTACATTATTTTTTTTGGTATTTTTTCTATTGATTCTAAGCATGGAAATGTAGATGGAGATTTTGTTGATGTATTTTCAAATTATGTATCAATAATAGTGAAGCTTACTTGATTTCTTTAAAATCTGGTCACTATATCTATAAATACAGTGGACATTAAATGTACAGCATAAGGTAATTATGTGGACTTTAAAAAGGCATTAAAATATGTGCCATTTTCTATTATTCTGCTCAGTAGCCTCCTAAAAGCGTGTATGAACATGCCCAACCCAGTATTGGGCCTCCGTAGGCGCTCAATAAATGTTAGTTGATTGCCCCTTTCTGCTTCTAGGTACATAAGCACCATATTAATTTATATAGTATATTTGATTATGTTAGGTTAATGCATAAATCACATGGATTGGTTGTTTCTTTTACAGATCACTAAAGTGGTTCTTAGCAAAGGTTGGAGGTGTCTTGAGTGCACTGTGTGTGAGGCCTGTGGGAAGGCAACTGACCCAGGAAGATTCCTGCTGTGTGATGATTGTGACATAAGTTATCACACCTACTGCCTAGACCCTCCATTGCAGACAGTTCCCAAAGGAGACTGGAAGTGCAAATGGTTCTCTAGGGTTTGTTTGCCTTGTTAGTCTTTCAAGTTCAGAGCTTTCTCATACCACTTTAGTTTTTAAAAATTAGCCATACCTATTTAATTGAATAATACACATATTCTATGATAGATACCACTAATCAGAAAAATTTTCACATACACATTAAATCATTTGCCCCATTATGTTCGTATGTAGCTTCCTGAATTACAGTAACTGAATAACTAAGAAAATAAAATTGAGACTTTTCGGGGGGATTTGGATTTCAGGTGTGTTTGGTGCAGACACTGTGGAGCAACATCTGCAGGTCTAAGATGTGAATGGCAGAACAATTACACACAGTGCGCTCCTTGTGCAAGTTTATCTTCCTGTCCAGTCTGCTATTGAAACTATAAAGAAGAAGATCTTATTCTGCAATGAAGACAATGTGATAGGTATTGTGCTATTTTTTCATCTTTTTAAAGCTTTTCTCTTTGAAATGTAGCAAAAAAAAAAAAAATGGAAAATAGCTTTTCCTTAATCACAAGTTTTAGGTACAGAGCTTTTTGCCTTGTAGATTTTTAGTCACCTAGAAACTTACAGAATTGATTTCCTGTTTTGAACTCTCAACTCCAGACTAAAGTTTTGTTTTGTTTTGTTTTGTTTTTAAATTTACAGACAGAGTCTTGCTCTGTCGCCAGGCTGGAGTGCATCGGTGCTATCTCGGCTCACTGCAAACTCCACCTCCGCCTCCTGGGTTCAAGCGATTCTCCTGCCTCAGCCTCCGGAGTAGCAGGGACTACAGGTGCATGCCACCACGCCCAGCTAATTTTTGTATTTTTAGTAGAGACAGGGTTTCACCATGTTGGCCAGGATGGTCTCCATCTTTTGACCTTGTGATCCACCCGCCTCAGCCTCCCAAAGTTTTATGATTATAGGTGTGAGCCACTGTGTCCACCCAAGACTGAAGATTTTTAATTTAGGCCTTTTTGAGGGTTTAGGAATCCCTTGAAATTAGATGGAGAATTATTGCCTTCATCTATGCTGTTTCTTATGAAGGATTTCTGAATCTTTTAATAGATTATAAAAAATATCTAACACTTTCTGTTCTCCTTAAACCACTTTCTCTAGAAGCTCTAGATACTAGATATCTAGGTATTAGATAGCACCTTCTGCCCTCCCTACGTAATTATGTGGAATTTCAAAATCAAGAATGTTTCCTTGCTTTCATTGGTATATTGTTGTACTCTTTAGAAGTTAAGCAGTGAACATATATTGATAGTATTATCTTATCAGTAGTACAGTATTCTTGGGACTCTGGCTACTAATTATCTGTTCCATTGTAAGACAACTTTTTACTTTATTTCCCAATTACCATTCAACATCGCTTTCCATGATATATGTCTACTTCAAGTTAGATGCATTGCCTGGAGCCCATATATGCTAGCACTGCCATTTGCCGTTTTCTGAATACCTTTGTGTTTGCCCTAACTAGCTTCCTTGCTGTCTTTGAAATATTTAATATATGATGATAAAATAATTAGCTTCCTTATGTAATGTGCTTTGCTTCCTCTCTAATAGTTGTTCTCATTCCTTTTTATTTCCTCCTTAGCTCTATGAAAGTTTTTCTGTTAATAGGGATAGTTAGGAGAAAAGGGCAAGGTAGGAGGAGCATGTGAGGCTTAGGGCTTTTAAGTTTGATGACTCAGTGTTACAGGTTTTAAAAGGTAGCAGTTCTCAGTATATTCCATTTTTTTAAAAAAATGTACAAATATGGTCTTTTTAGATGGATGCATGCAGTTCGTCAGAACTTAAATACTGAGGAAGAAGTGGAAAATGTAGCAGACATTGGTTTTGATTGTAACATGTGCAGACCCTATATGCCTGCGTCTAATGGTAAGAGAATAATTTAAACTGTGAGTCTGCACTCTTGTACCACTCACTTGCACCTTACTGTCCATAACCAATGAATTAGCTTAGCTCTACTCTATTTTGTCTTTGTGAAACTTACTTTGACAAGTATTTTATGAAAAATATTATTGTTGGTTATACATGACTTATCACAACTTGTTATAAAACAATTTACATGAAACAATAAAAAGCATATACTTTAGATGTAAACTATAATTTTGCTTCCAAGGAACATGATCTTGTAGTTATTGACAATATGTTAAAATCCAATGTGTTGATTCTTTCTTAGCCAGGTTTTCCTCCATGACTTGAGTATTTCCTTCATCACTTCTTGTTTTGTTGTTGCTTTAAAAAGTGCTTTTAACTTTAGTGTTCAAACATTTATTTTAATAAAATGAGTATAGAAACAGAAATTTTAATCATATGTAAGTATGTAAATACACTCTACCTTTTCTGAAAAGAATTACCTGGATTTTTTTTTTTTCATTTCAGTGCCTTCCTCAGACTGCTGTGGATCTTCACTTGTAGCACAAATTGTCACAAAAGTAAAAGAGCTAGTTAAAATTTGAAATGCTTTACTTAATTTAATTAATTTACTTTGCTTAATTTTTACATAATTGGCTTACCACTTGTAAAATCTGCTTCAATCATATGGGTGTTCTATCCAAATTCTGTAATGTTGGTAATCATTTCCACAATGATATATAAAATGTCATCCAGCTTTACTGGGGCAGTATTCCTATAAATTTCAGCAAGTTGGCAACAAAAATAACAGCTCTTAGAATAACCATTAATGCCATACTTGCTTTGGTTTCATTGATATATTACTGTGCTTAATTATCAGTTAACAGAAAATACGGCCTAGTTAGCAAGCAGATTTCTTTTAGAATTAATTCAATCTCTTAATTTTTTAAAATAATTAATAAGCCTAGTATGGTGATTAATATGATATTCTTATTAAACAGTCATTCTTTTGAATACTTGTATTTAATAGCACCTGATACAAAAACATTTGGATAGTACAGAAATTGTTCTAAGGAACAACAGTTTTGTACATTTAAAATTAAATCTGCAGGATTTGTACTTATTTATTACTTCTCCCTATTAGTAATTATGTTGATACTCTGATTTTTCCAGATGAGCTTCTGGAGTATTCTCTCTTCTCTTGTGTAAATAGATCCCTGCCTTTTGATCTTTTCCAGGAAAAAGCTCATAGTGGATTAGCTGAGCATTGCATATATTTGCAGTGCTTCTAACTCTTTTTATTGGGACATGAACATAAAAATGCCAGGAAGACTTTTTTGAGACGGAGTCTCACCCTGTTGCCCAGGCTGGAGTGCAGTGGCACGATCTCGGCTCACTGCAACCTCCGCCTCCCGGGTTCAAGCGATTCTCCTGCCTCAGCCTCACGCACAGCTGGGATTACAGGTGCCCGCCACCACGCCGGGCTAATTTTTTGTATTTTTAGAAGAGACAGGGTTTCACTGTGTTTGCCATGATGGTCTCGATCTCCTGACCTCGTGATCTGCCTGCCGCCTCGGCCTCCCAGAGTGCTGGGATTACAGGCATGAGCCCCCACAACGGGCCCAGGAAGACCATTTTTTAAAAACATGTAACATTTCTGCCTATAATCCAAGGAAGTTTGACCTATTGTTCCTAGTTTTTATTGGGTATCATGAAATTAATTATTCATGCATTTCATAGATACGTAATTACTTTCTAGAACTACAGTCACATTCCCTTGACATGGGTATTTTGGAACAGTAATCGGTCAAACTTAAAATGAAAGTTTAAATTTGTATTCTTGGGATTTTGTAATTTTAGACCCACCCAAGACTTATACCCAGGATGGTGTGTGTTTGACTGAATCAGGGAAGACTCAGTTACAGAGCCTCACAGTTACAGTTCCAAGAAGAAAACTGTCAAAACCAAAACTGAAATTGAAGATTATAAATCAGAATAGCGTGGCCGTCCTTCAGACCCCTCCAGACATCCAATCAGAACATTCAAGGGATGGTGATATGGATGATAGTCGAGGTAATACTAATTTATTTTCCGTGAAATATGTGTGCAAGAATTACAGCATATAAAGTAACTTTTGAAATATGTGTATGGTTTACCAAAGGGTAAATCACACTGACTTAGATAACCCCGATGTGACCCTTGCCATCTCCAAATGAGTGATCTTCTTAGACCTTGCCTTTTCGGGTTCTCTTCCTTTCACACATTTTAGAACAGACCTACCTTACAGAAATCTCAAGGAGCACCATATCTTTGAAGATCACAGGTGGGGAAATACAGAGGTCTTGACTTTAGTTTGCTAGATAACGACACAAACCTTCTCAGATACTGTGAGCTTGGATAATACCATGTTTAAGTTAAGGTAGTTGAGGCATACATTCTAGAAATGGAAAAGCTGTCATTTAATATTACTTCAGGTATAACTTCATATTCACCAGTGTGCATCATAAAGTATTGGTTTATAAACATTTTCTTAATCAAAGTAAATATAAGGTTTTTCTAGCTGAATTCTTTTTTTTTTTTTTTTTTTTTTTTTGGTTGGGAGACAAGGTCTTGCTCTGTTGCCCAGGTTAGAGTGCAGTGGCATGATCTTGGCTTACTACAACCTCTGCCTACTGGGTTCATGCGACCCTCCTACCTCAGCCTCCTGAGTAGCTGGGACCATGGATGTGGGCCCCCACGCCTGGCTAATTTTTGTATTTTTTTGTAGAGATGGGGTTTTGCCATTTTGCCAAGACTGGTCTTGAACTCCTGGGCTCAAGCCATCTGCTCTGCTCAGCCTGCTGAATTCTTGAGATAGCAAAATATTTTAATAGTAACCTAAAATCCAATATGAATTAAAGAGGATTACTGTAGGTTTCCTCATTTTTGGGGCAGTTATTTATTTTCAACTGATTCAGAAGTGAAGTGATAATTATTTCTGTTCCATTACATTTTATTTCATAGCTTTTTTTTTTTTTTTTTTTTTTTTAAGGGGCAGTGTCTTGTTACATTGCCCAGGCTGGTTTCCAACTCCTGGGCTCAAGTGATCCTCCTGCCTCAGCCTCTCAAGTAGCAGGTACTATAGGCATGCGCCACTGCAGCCGGCTTTTAGACAATAGAATTTATTGAATACCTACTGTATGTCAGATGTTGGAAATCATATCAGTGTACAAAGCAGGTAGAATTCTCTGCATAGAGTTTATATTTTAATGTTAGGTAACTCAACTCTTAAAAAAAATCAGTTAATTATAATGTGTTTGGCAAGTTCCATGGTAAAAATAAAGTTTGATAAAGAGGAATTGCCTGGCCAGGCACAGTGGCTTATGCCTGTAATCTCAGCACTTTGGGAGGCCGAGGTAGGTAGATCACTTGAGGTCAGGAGTTCGAGACCAGACTGGCCAACATGGTGAAACCCGTTCTCTGCTAAAAATACAAAAATTAGCCGGGCTCAGTGGCATGCACCTCTAATCCCAGCTACTTAGGAGGCCAAGGCAGGAGAATTGCTTGAACCTGGGAGGCGGAGGTTACAGTGAGCCGAGATTGCACCACTGCACTCCAGCGTGGTTAACAGAGCAAGACTCCGTCTCCAAAAAAAAAAAAAAAAAAAAGAAAAAAAGGAATTGGAAGTACAGACAGGTGTTTAGAGTCCATATGAACAGAAAGCAGTATTTGAGCACAGATTTTAAAGAGGTGAGTGAGTGAGCCACTTGATTACCTGAGAGAAGAGCACCCCAGACAGTGAAGAAGCCAGTGTAAAGGCTCTGGGTGAGAGTGTGCTGAGCATGTTTGAAGAGTGTTGTGGAGACCAACAGAGTGAGCAGAGGGGACAGTCAGAAGGTGAGAAGATTAGAGATGTGAGGACAAGAAGGACGGCTCAGTATATCTCACACAACCATAAGGTGATGTGTCAGTAGTTTGTGCTTAATAGCAATGGAATGGGAGGCCATTGAATGTTCCTGAAAAGAAGAACACCATGATCTTATTTATATTTTAAGAGGAACACTCTCCTATGATATAAGTAGATGATTAGGTGCAAGAGTTATGACAGGTAGATCAGTGAGAAACAATGGTCCAGGTGAGAGGTAATTGTGGCTTTGAAAAGGTATGTCTTTTGTGGCCGGGCTCGGTGGCTCATGCCTGTAATCCCAGCACTTTGGGAGGCCAAGGCGGGTGGATCACCTGAGGTCAGGAGATCAAGACCATCCTGGCCAACATGGTGAAACCTCGTCTTTACTAAAAATACAAAAATTAGCTGGGCGTGGTGGCAGGCACCTGTAATCCCAGCTATTTGGGAGGCAGAGGCAGAGGATTGCTTGAACCCAGGAGGCAGAGGTTGCAGTGAGCCAAGATCGAGCCACTGCACTCCAGCCTGGTGACAGAGTGAGACTCCATCTCAAAAAATAAATAAATACATGAAAAGATATGTCTTTTGTATGTTCTTGATAATTTTTGTTTTGTAGTGTGTTTTGGGTCTATGTTGCTGGGAGAAACACTTTCTGATGCTTGTATGTAACTGATTTTCAGATACAGTTGAACAGGTAATTTGATTTGGGGGCTTGGAGTTTGCAAAGAAGTAGTCCATATACTTGGAGGAATTGATCAGATCAGCATTAACAAGAATTTCCATTTCTGAGGATGTTAAAAAATGTCTGAAAAAGGTTTCCATAGTCTCTTAAATTTGGGAAGTGCTCCATTTCACAAAATATGAAAGGTTTCTTGATAATAGTACACATTGTTTCCCAAATTATGTGATTATAATACCTTTTAAAAACAACACAGAAGATCTTGGAAGGTTTTCCTTGTGACTTACCACTTGTAAACACTGAGAAATGGTGATATGTTTCAATTTCATATTTTCTCATTGACTCGTATCATGGTAAAAGAAAATCAGTTGAAAAATTACCCTTGCTTTTTTAAAATTTACGTGATAAAATAGCCCATCTGAATTTACTGAATTTGTCTTTATTTTTATTGAATATGAAAAAAGATTGTTTAGTGTGTTAGATGTTAAATGCTAAGACAATTTTAGAATTTAAGGAATTGAATATACAGTATTTTCATGACTAGTCCCTCACGTTCCTTTACATGCCAGGATCTCACATCCTTTGCAGAAGGAAAGGTACATTCCTAGGGATAAAATAAATGCATGTTACTTGGACAACATTTTTGCTTTCTGTTTGCTAAATAAAAATCCTTTTTAAAAATTTAGTATTGCCAAACTTTGCCATATTAAAAATGTTTTAGATTACTATATTATCCTGAAACTACATGTACACACACACCACTAAAATAAGTTTTATGGTATTTCATATGCCTGTACGGGAGAAAAAATAGGAAAAGAATACAATCATCATAAGTTCTTATTATTACATTATGCTGAGATTTCTAATAACGCTGCCCTTTTCTGGGTATTTTGTATTAAACCTAAAATTTGTGATGTTTTAGACTGTTTCACTAACATGTTTTGATAACGTCTCAGTACCCTTGGGAAAGCATTATAAAGTAGTGGGCAATGATGAAACCTACTCTGGATGTTTTTAGGCAAATTTTTTAACTTCTCTGATTCTAGTGTTCTCTTTTATAAAATAGGTGAACCAGGATGAGCCCATAGGATAGTTGTGCTGATGAGGTGCAAGGATGCATGCCAGGCACCCAGCACTGGCTCTTCCCAGACATGGAGTGCTCAGTAATCGTGAGCTATTAGAATACAGGTGCCCAACCAGTGCTTGAGCAATTGTGTTCTGTGTCCAACAGAACTCAACAGAATCCCACGTTTGTCTTTATATGTGAATTCAGTTCCTTTTGAGTTGGTAAGAAATTTTGCCTGTGTTGGGGTAATTGAACTTTCAGGAGGAGGGAATTGTCTGCCACAATTATTCTCTGAACTTAATGTTTCCATGTCTTTTTCTTCATTTTGGAAGTTGTGGAAAAATTATAATGAAAGAGTATATAAACGTTTTCCTCTGTATTATAGCGTATCTGACAGTTTCCTTTATTAAAAAGTATGATACATTAGGGAGAGACTTAATGAATTTAAAATTAAAGTTTGAAAAGTGTTATTGACTATAAGTGATCTTCAGCTGTGCAGTTTTCAACTTGAGGTTGTCAGAATGTAATATTACACATTATATTACACACATCTACAGAATCCAAATTGTGATGTTCCTGGAGTATTGGAACAATACCTATGACTTTTTGTTTCTATTGATTTTTAACTCTTCTAATAACCACTTCTTTAAGAAAAGTCATACATCATCACTTTGGTGTATCAGAAACAAATTCCTTATGCAATAAAAGCATACTTCTTTCTCATTCACCTACTGGGATCTAGAAACCCTGTTAATGCAAGAAAAAATCCCAAACCTCAATAAAATAACACTCTGTTTGTCTGAAGAGTGGAAACACAACACATTTCCTCTCAACTGGTGGTCCCAGATCGACCATCACAGTGTATGGATGTGTTTGGAGGTGTGGGAATAGGACTGCTCTGAGGCTCTAGAAGGCCAGCAGGTTGGGCAGACTGAATGGAGGGAGGGGACTGGCATTCAGTAACTACTGGAGCGTGGGAAGAGTGAGGTAGACTGTCCATCTGGTGAAGGTGGCTGCTTCCTTGAGGTTTGTTACTTTCTGTAATGTTAATTCCCTCAACTTTTAAAATTTGATTTTTAGACAAGTTATACATTCAAATGATTTAAAATTGGAAAATAATAAAAAGGTAAACAGTGAAGTCTCTCCCTTTCCCCTGCCTTCATGCCCCCAGTTTGCATCTCCAGAAACCTCAGAGGTTTCTCGTGTAACTTTCCAGATGTGTTTTATGCATGTACAAGGAAATGTGTGTTTATATATATATAGTGTGTGTGTGTGTGTGTATATATATTTTGTTCCTTTTGTCTTACTACTTTTTACTGTCCTTCATTTTTTTATGGCTGCAAATATTCCTTTGTATGGAAATATAAGCAATTTAATTTACCTGTTCTTTCCCCTGTTGATAGACCTTTGGGTTTCTTTCAATCTTTTTTTTTTTTTTTTTTTTTTTTTTTTTTTTTGAGACAGAGTCTCACTCTGTCACCCAGGCTGGAGTGCAGTGGCATGATCTTCGCTCACTGCAAGCTCCGCCTCCTGGGTTCACGCCATTCTCCTGCCTCAGCCTCCCGAGTAGCTGGGACTACAGGCACCCGCCACCACGCCCGGCTAATTTTTTTGTATTTTTAGTAGAGACGGGGTTTCACCATGTTAGTCAGGATGGTCTCGATCTCCTGACCTCGTGATCTGCCCGCCTCGGCCTCCCAAAGTGCTGGGATTACAGGCGTGAGCCACCACTCCCGGCGTTCTTTCAATCTTTTACTGTGAATAGTACAATGAATCACCTGGTATATTTATAATGTTGTAGGTAAGTGGGCCTGCAAAGGTGAATTCCATGCTAAATCCAAAGACATAATGCATTTGAAACTGTTTTTGGCAGGTAGGATACAGTTTTTTGTTTTTTTCTTCATTTATTTTTATTATACATATCTGAGGTATACAACATGCTTTGTATACATAGTGAAATGATTACTATGGTCAAACAAATATCTGTATCCTTCACCTTCCATAGTTACTCTCTGTGTATGTACACCTAAAATCTCTTTCAGCAAATTTTCAGTACACAATATTATTAACTATGGTTCTCATGCTGTGTATTAATTTGATCTCTAGAATTATTCATCTTACCTAACTGCAGATTTGTACCCTCCGACCTACTTCTGCCCATCCCACCCATCCCCTGCCTCCAGACTCTTGATAACCACCATTCTACTCTCTATACATTCAGCTTCTCACCCCCCTGCCTCCCATTCTGCTTCTTAAGTGAGATCATACAGTATTTTTCTGTGTCTGGCTTACTTTATTTAGCATACTTTCCTCCCGGTTCATCCATGTTGTCACAAATGGCAGTATCTCCTTTCTTAAAGCTAACTATTCCATTGTATAAAGTCCTCATTGTCATCAGTAAGTTCTTAGAAACTGTGGTTAAGAGGGAAAAAAAAGTATGACAAAACTGATTTTTTTTTCATTTTGCATTATGCCAAAATTAGATTGAAGGAAACAGTGTTACTTGAGGACCTGCTGTATGTTCATTTAGCTTAACGTCTCAGTTCCCAAGAACCTATTGATGACATTAAGGGAGGACTTAATATATGTATAAACAAATGTCACAATTTCTTTATCCATTCATCTGTCCTTGAATGGGTAAGTAAATTGTCCATTAGGACACTTAGTTTGTTTCCATGTCTTGGCTATTGGGAGTAATGCCGCCATGAACGTGGGAATCCAGATGTCTCTCTCAGATGCTGATTTTATTACCTTTGAATATATGCCCAACAGAGGCATTGTTGGATCTTATGGTAGTTGTATTTTTTTTAAGGAAACTCTATACTGTTTTCAATAATGGCTATACTAATTTACATTCCTATCAACCATGTACAAAGGTTTCATTTTCTACACATCCTCACCAACACTTATGTCTTTGCCTTTTTGTTAATAGTCATTCTAAGAGACACGAGATGATATCTATTGTGGTTTTAATTTTCATTTTCCTCATGATTATGATATTGAGCATCTTTTCATATACCATTTGACCATTTGTGTGACTTTGGAAAAATGGCTATTCAGGTCCTTGCCTATTTTAAAATCCAGTTATTTGGGGATTTTTTTTTGCTACTGAGTTGTGTGAGTTCCTTATATGTTTTGGATTTTAACCCCTTATCAGATGTGTGGTTTGCCAATATTTTCCCCTAATCCCTGTGCTACCTTTTTACCCCATTTTTTTTTATTGCTATGCAGAAGCTTATTTGCTTGATGTAGTCCCACTTGCTTATTTTTGCTTTTGCTGCCTGAGCTTTTGGTGTGATATCCAAAAAATCATTGTCAAGGAGGATATTAAGGAGTTTTTCTCCTATATTTCCTTCTAGGAGTTTTATGGTTTCAGGTGTTAGGTATTTAATCTATTTGAGTTGCTTTTTATGTATGATGTGTAAGATAGGCATCAGGTCCAGTTTCATTCTTTTGCATATAGATATCTAGTTTTCTTACCACTACTTATTGAAGACACCATCTTTTCCCTATTGTATCTTATTGGACTTGTCAAAAATCAGCTCATAATATATGTTTGGGTTTATTTTTGGGCTCTGTATTCAGTTCCATTGATCCATGTGTCTGCTTTTATGCCAGTACCATACGTTTTGATAACTATCACTTTGTAATATAAGTTGAAATCAGGTAGTGTGATACCTTCTACTTTGTTTTTCTTTCTCAAGATTCTTTTGGCTATTCAGGGTCTTTTATGATTTAATACAAATTTTAGAATTGTGTTTTCTATTTTTGTAAAAAATGCCTTTGGAAATTTGATAGGGATTGCATTGAATCTGTAGATCACTTTGGATAGTATGGACATTTTAACAATATTCTTCCAATCCACAAACTTGGGGATATCGTTATATTTATTTGTGTCTGTAGGTTTTTTCTGTTTTTTGAGACAGAGTCACGCTCTGTTGCCCAGGCAGAAGTGCAGTGGTGTGATCTCAGCTCACTGCAACTTCCACCGCCTCCTGGGTTCAAGCAATTCTGCTGCCTCAGCCCCCCAAGTAGCTGGGATTACAGGTGCCTGCCACCATGCCCGACTGGCCAATTTTTGTATTTTTAGTAGAGACAGGGTTTCACCATGTTGGCCAGGCTGGTCTTGAACTCCTGACTTCAGGTGATCTACCTGCCTTGGCATCCCAAAGTGCTGGGATTACAGGCGTGAGCCACCATGCCCGGCTGTGTGTCTTCAGTTTACTTTGTCAGTATTTTATAGTGTTTAGTATATAAAGCTTTCACTTCCTTCATTAAATTTGTTTCTCGGTGTTTTATTCTTTTTGATGTTATTTTAAGTGGAAATGTTTTCTTGATTTTTTTTCAGATCATTATTTGTATAAAGAAATGCATCTGATTTTTGTATATTGATTTTGTATCCTGCTACTTGACTGAATTCATTTATTCTAGTAACTGTGGAATTTTTAGGGGTTTCTACATACAGGATCATGTCATCTGCACACAGGGATAATTTTACCCCCTTTTTTCTGCTGATGCCTTTTATTTCCTTTTCTTATGTGATTGCTCTGGCTAGGACTATGGTGAATATAAGTGTTAAGAGTAGGCATCCTTGCCTTGTAGCAGATATTGAAGAAAAGCTTTCAGTCTTTCCCTGTTGTAGGTTTGTTTTTGAATAGGCAATACCTGTGCATGATACAAGAAATACAAAGGTCTTAAAAAGAGTGAACAATGTTAAGTTAGCCTACCTTTTGGCCATCCCTTCCTTGGAAAGAACCAGTGTTTTCTTATAACTTTCCAGAGATTAGTCATCTAGATACAAGTATGTATATATGGGAGAATTTCTCATATTTGGGTGATATGGTCTTTTTCTCTTTTCTTTTCTTTTCTTCCGGTCTGTCTTTCTTTCTGTCCTCGTCTCGTCTCTTCTCTTCTCTTTTCTTCATTTCTTTTGATGGAGTCTTGCTTTGTCATCCAGGCTGGAGTGTAGTGGCGCAATCTCGGCTCACTGCAAGTTCTGCCTCCCAGGTTCACGCCATTCTCTTGCCTCAGCCTCTGGAGTAGCTGGGACTACAGGCACCCACCACCACGCCCAGCTAATTTTTTGTATTTTTGTGTTTTTAGTTCCTCTCCTCTCCAGGAGAGGAACAGGGGCCACAGGGAGCTGATCATGAAACACACTGAGGGTGTTTCATCAGGGAAGTGACAGGAGCATAGTCACATTCAGGAAAGATCACTGCCTCTGGGAAGACAGAGGGTCAGGGCAGAGCCTGGAGGCCAGGAGAGTGCCACCTTCAAACAGGGTGGAGGAGGCACAATTCTGGACAGGGATGTCCATGGCCAGAGGAGTGATCCAGCTCCTAGAAGATGAGGAGAGACCGAAGGTGAGGATGGCTCTTCAGTTTCAGGTTTAGGCACCTGGACAGATGGTCTTGCCTTCTCCAGCGGCAGAAAGCACTGAAGGGGAAAGAGGTTGGGGGAAGGGACTGTGTAGGCTGAGCAGCCTAAGTCTGAGAAGCTGGGCCACTTGCAGGTGTTGGTCCAGGGTGCAAGTGCATTTGGTGAAGGGGGAGACTAGGAAGGGAGGAGAAAGTCTAGTCTGTTACTAGACCTCACCATGCTGCAGGTGTCTGGGCCAGCAGGTCGCAGCTGGAGCTGTGCAGCTGGCTGCTGTCACATCCCTTTCTCTCCCAGCTGCCTTCAGCTGAGCTTAACGCCAGCAGAGGCCGAAACACTTCACAAATGCAACTTGTCAGCTGGGAGGTGCACTCAGAGCTCAGGAACACTGTTTTCCCTCTTTATTGTTTTCCATCATTTTTTTTTTTCAGTCTGGGTTTTGGGCCCCGTCAGTTCCTTTTCTGTTCAACACTGAGCTATGTATCCACCCCTCTCAAGGTTGAAAAAGAGAAAGACTGTAAAAGTGCCCTGCAAAGAAGAGGCTTCCAACTCTCTGGGGGTGGGGGGGGTGGGGGGCTCTCTTCCTCCTCTTGTCTTCTGGGTTCATTCCAAATTATTCCCCAAAGGAAAAATCACTGAAGGACTGGGGGCGGTGGTGGGGAAAAGGACAGTCTCCCAAGAGGTCAGGTGAAGCCCCAGCCTCATGGTGTTGAGGGAGGGGCTGGGGGAAGCGGGAGCCTGTTCCTAGGAGACACTGTCTACTGGACACCTCATCCTAGAAGGCTTCCCTGAGTTCTGACACTGTTCTAGGAGGAGGAATCATTATTCCACGTTGTGGAGAAGGAAACCAAGGCCGGGTAAAGTAATGTAGGGCCCTTAAAGTTGCAGAGCCAGGAATAAAGTCCGGATTGGGACTCAGGTCTGTGGGCAATCCAAGGCGGTCCCCTTTACACTTCAAATGCTCTTTCCCCCTCCGGAAGCCCTCGCGTCCTCATCCCTACCCCACCTCTTGTTCCCCAAGCGTGGCTAGGGCTAGGACTCCAGGGCTACACCAAGCACCCTTCGGTCTTCCCGGGAAGAATTTTCCCCGGCCCGGGGCTAGGGTCTGGCGCTGGGGCGCTCCTGGGACCTGCGGGATCACCACTACACTCTGGCGCGCCGAGCGCGGTGAGCTAGGGCGCCAAGGCACAGGTGGGGCTGGAGTCCAGCGCGGAGGCGCGGGGGACGAGACGCGGGGCCGGGGAGCGGCCAGGGACCGCGGCAGCGCCGCAGTGCCAGCCCGGCGCCGGCGACTGCCTGCCCCAGCCCCTCAGTGGCGGCTTGCTCCCTTCTCTCGCTCCGAACCAGACACAGCCGCTGTCGCTGCCATGTGGCGCGCCGCAGACTCCCGAGAACAGCCCTGGCTGTCAGCGGGCACCAGCCGCTTCCTGTGCCCATCGCGTAGACTGGAGGGGCGCACCACGGCCACCGAGCCAGAGGCGCTTCAGGAAGCAAGAGAAGTCCCCGCGCGCTCCGGGACCCGGCGCAGCTCATGGTGAGCGCCCTCTGGGGCTCGAGGGTCCCTTGGCTGAGGGGGCGCATCCTCGGGGTGCCCGATGGGGCTGCCTGGGGGTCGCAGGGCTGTAGTTGGGATCGCACACAAACCGACTCTGCGGCCCAGCCCGAAATGCTGCCGCCAAGGAGCAACGGCACCGCGTACCCGGGGCAGTTAGCGCTATACCAGCAGCTGGTGCAGGGGAATGCCGTGGGGGGCTCGGCGGGGGCACCGCCACTGGGGCCCGTGCAGGTGGTCACCGCCTGCCTGCTGACCCTACTCATCATCTGGACCTTGCTGGGCAACGTGCTGGTGTCCGCAGCCATCGTGCGGAGCCGCCACCTGCGCGCCAAGATGACCAACGTCTTCATCGTGTCTCTACCTGTGTCAGACCTCTTCGTGGCGCTGCTGGTCATGTCCTGGAAGGCAGTCGCCGAGGTGGCCGGTTACTGGCCCTTTGAAGCGTTCTGCGACGTCTGGGTGGCCTTCGACATCATGTGCTCCACCGCCTCCATCCTGAACCTGTGCGTCAGCAGGTCATCAGCGTGGCCCGCTACTGGGCCATCTCCAGGCCCTTCCGCTACGAGCGCAAGATGACCCAGCGCATGGCCTTGGTCATGGTCCACCCGGCCTGGACCTTGTCCAGCCTCATCTCCTTCATTCCGGTCCAGCTCAACTGGCACAGGGACCAGGCGGTCTCTTGAGGTGGGCTGGACCTGCCAAACAACCTGGCCAACTGGACGCCCTGGGAGGAGGCCGTTTGGGAGCCCGACGTGAGGGCAGAGAACTGTGACTCCAGCCTGAATCGAACCTACGCCATCTCTTCCTCGCTCATCAGCTTCTACATCCCCATGGCCATCATGATCGTGACCTACACGCGCATCTACAGCATCGCCCAGGTGCAGATCCGCAGGATTTCCTCCCTGGAGAGGGCCGCAGAGCACGTGCAGAGCTGCCGGAGCAGCGCAGGCTGCGCGCCCGACACCAGCCTGCGGTTTTCCATCAAGAAGGAGACCGAGGTTCTCAAGACCCTGTCGGTGATCATGGGGGTCTTCGTGTGTTGCTGGCTGCCCTTCTTCATCCTTAACTGCATGGTCCCTTTCTGCAGTGGACACCCCAAAGGCCCTCCGGCCGGCTTCCCCTGCGTCAGTGAGACCACATTCGATGTCTTCATCTGGTTCTGCTGGGCCAACTCCTCACTCAACCCAGTCACTATGCCTTCAACGCCGACTTCCGGAAGGTGTTTGCCCAGCTGCTGGGGTGCAGCCACGTCTGCTCCCGCACGCCGGTGGAGACGGTGAACATCAGCAATGAGCTCATCTCCTACAGCCAAGACACGGTCTTCCACAAGGAAATCGCAGCTGCCTACATCCACATGATGCCCAACGCCGTTCCCCCCGGGGACCGGGAGGTGGACAACGATGAGGAGGAGGAGAGTCCTTTCGATCGCATGTCCCAGATCTATCAGACATCCCCAGATGGTGACCCTGTTGCAGAGTCTGTCTGAGAGCTGGACTGCGAGGGGGAGATTTCTTTAGACAAAATAACACCTTTCACCCCAAATGGATTCCATTAAACTGCATTAAGAAACCCCCTCATGGATCTGCATAACCACACAGACATTGACAAGCATGCACACACAAGCAAATACATGGCTTTCCAGTACTGCTCCCTTTATCATGTGTTTCTGTGTAGTAGCTGGTGTGCTTAGAAACCTCACCCCATTGATTGATAGTTCAAAGAATTGGCAGAAGCAGTTGCAATAAACTCAGTCAAATGTACCCAGCCTACCAGAGATGGAACAATGATCCTGTGAGAGAAGAGAGTATGGTGCTGGCTCCTTAAAAAAAAAAAAAAAAAAAAAAAAAGATACTTGGTCCTTAAAAAATATGCTCTCCCCTCCCTTTTTAAACAAATGGCTTTTTCAGTCACTTGTTTGTGTTTGAATTGATTTTTAAACAGCAGGTTTTGTGTGTGTGCAGTGATGTGGTGGGAGCACAGCTTTCCTGGGTCTGGATTCCCGTGGCTTTGTGCTTGTGTCATTTCTTCTCTCTGTGCTGGTGGGGGTCTCTTTACCATAGCTTAAGAAGTCTCCCTGATTTATTCTGGTATCTAATAAACACAGATTATTTGTATTATGTGGTGACTATCTTTGCTTTGCTACACTGGGTTTCAGGATTGCTTCTGAAGAAACGATGAGTGCATCCTTAAAATGCAAAGAAGACATTTGCTGGGTCTGGAAGTACATGCTTATTCTCTTTACAGTTTGGCCTTAAAGATACACCAGGGCAAAGGACCTTGAGGAGCTTCTGTTTTCTCAGGTTTCTTTTTATTACTTATACACATGTTGGGTCTGTGCTGAAACCTGGCTTCAATGGCATGGCATTAGATCTTCTCAAGCCCAGATTTTTTTTTTCATTTGGAATCTTTTTTGAAGTAACATGAGACAACTCTCCTTATTCCTAGACAGATGCGATCAGTTCATTGAAAAGTTCATGTAGAATAATATCTTGAATCTTTCTCCATCTGAAATCTGTAGCATGTTTTAGAATCACATGGCTTTTGAGAAATCCTGTTTTCTGAAGGGCTTTGAAATGTGTGAATCAAGATGCTTTAAAAAAGAAATCTATTTTTAAATAGGCATTTTCCTTAGTGGACAATAGCAAATAGAGAAATGCTTTTTAACTAAAATGTAGAAGCCAGAGATGAAATGTGAATGAACTTGAAATTGGAAAATCTGTAGGTCGAGGTGCTCAATAGAAAAGCCCAGCTGACTCCAATCATTTTGTTTTTCCTCTCTGCAGTGTGCACAGTCAAGGGGAGTGTTTTATTCCAGACCCACACCAGTTGAGAGCATAGTATTACCATCAGATCTAAATATGAGCACTATTAATGGAAGCAAATGAAATGTGAATATGCAATTTCTTGCAAGTCCCTGCTTTGAAGCAGTTTTATCAAGGACAGTTCAATCAATTTTGATCTCTCTAAGGCTAATTTTATTGTCAGTCTTCTGTGCAGCCAACTGCAAAATGTGCAGCTCCTGGCACATCGTACTTAATAAATATTTGTTGAATGAATGACTATTCTGGAATAGTGAGATTGAAAGCAAATCCTATTCGGTACATCAATTTTTATATATAATTTAGTCAAAATGATACTGGAATCTGAGGCCCGTGTACAGTTTCTGACCTCCTGTGAATGGATAGCTAAGTGAACCATTAGGCAACATTAGGGGCAGTGAAAAGCACACAGCTCTACGATTCAGGAGATGGTCGCATGACCTTGAGTGAGTCAATTAACCTTTCTGGGCCTCATTTTCTGTCTGTGTCTGTAAATGGAAGGACTTCAGCTGGATCACTGTTTACCCAATTGTGCTTTGTGATGCAGATGTTAATGGATGGGGTCTCTGGTGAAATAAGTTCAGCAAACCCAGGTTCAACACCTGTTTTCTCGATAGGACTTCTTAGAGCTTCTCCTGTGCATGATGCATCTCCAGTGCGAGAAGATTCTGTATCATTTCCCAATGCCATTCACTTTGTGAACCTTGTTTGGTGGAATTCCTGTTACTGTTTCACTGGAGTCCACAGTCACTACTTGAGAAACTCAAATCTAACTGATCTGGAAGTCTTTACAATATTCTGTTCTAAAGCATGGGTTGCTATAAGCAAAATCTTTTGTGAAAAACACTGTTCTAGGCTCCAGTTTAAATAAGTTCTGTGTTATGGAAAATGGGTTATGTGAGGACTTTGGAATTTCCTTCTGTAAAATATCACTCACCATTCATTATAATTACGTACTATGCTCTAGGCATTGTTCTAGATGCTGGGAATATAGTTGTCAATCAAATTCTCTGCTCTCTTGGAACATTTATGTGAGCTGTGGGAGAGATAAGCCAATAAAGAGATCTGTACTATACTGCACTGCATTGCACTGTGCTGTACTGACCAGGATAGATAATGCCAGGCAGGGGTAATTGCTATGTTGCAAAAAGCCCAGGGTGAGTAGGGTGGTGAAGCTGCTGTTTTATTTATGGTGGTCAGGGGAGGACTTTCCAAAGAGCCACATGAAGAGAGACCTTGATGAAGTAAGGATTGGAGGGCTGCTAATGTCTGGGAAGGAGAGCAATCCAGGCAGAGGGAGTGGCAAGTGCAAAGGCTTGGAAATGGGATTGTTCTTGGCACCCTCAGAGGAGTGTGGCTGGAGGGCTATAAAAGAGGAGTGTGATAGGATTAATGTTAATTGCTGTAGCAGCAATTGCAGCAGGCATGATGGAGACCCAGCCTGTGCTGGGTACAATACATGTATTAATTCATTTCACTCTCATTGCCCTGTGAGGTAAGCACTTTTATTACCCCATTTTACAGATAAGGAAATGAAGGCATTGGCAGGCTAAATAACCAGCCTGTGGTCACATAACTCCTGAGTGGCAGAGCTCAACTTGAACCCAGGTAGCCTGGCTGTGGAGTCTTTAATCCTAACTGCTCTTTGATGGTGAGAGAGGATGCCAGGACATCTTCAGTCAGCAAATGCACTAGTGCACAGATCAGGACATTCAGTTTTTTGTTCATTTGTTACTGAAATGGTTAATTGATTCATCCCCACAGCTATACAACAGCAGATCTTCACTGTGTACCTCCTCTGTGCACAGCTTTGTGTTTGGAGGGAAGGCACCCTAGGGTTATGGGCAAAGTAGCTCTTACATGATGGGCCAATTGCTTTCCTGGATTCTTATTTATTCCTCACATTAACCTCACATGTTATTATTTTTCCATTTTACAGGTGAGGACATGGGGGCACAGAGGACCTTGAGGACAAGGTTGTTTGTCCAAGGTCATGTGAAAAGTAAGTAGTGGAACCACGGTTCACCCTAGGTCAGTGGTTCTTAAATGAGGGAACTTTGCACCCTGCACCCCCACAGATATTTGGCAATGTCTGGAGACATTTTTGGTTGTCACAACTGGGTGTCAGGTGCTCCTGCCGTCTTCTGGGTAGAGGCCAAAGATGTTGCTAAACAACTTATGGTGCACAGAGAATTATCCGGCCCCAAATACCCATCTTGCAGCACTCGAGAGGCCTTGGCCAGGCGGGCAGACTCCAGGTCCCAGCTCCCCGTCCACAAGGCCACCTGCCTGGGATTGGAGGCTCCAGTGCCCTAAGTTTGAAGTTTGGCTCCACCATTTATTAGTCTTCTGAATTTGGGCACCTTTCTGAGCTCCAGCTTCTTTATCTGAGCAATGGGCACATGAACCACACAGAGCGTGAATTACACAAAACACATGCCCCAGAACTTCCTTGTTCTGATACATGCTGAATCTTCTTTTATAATTAGGCATCCATACACCATATTCATTGGTTAGAAATGAGTCATTACGTCCAAATCATATTCAAGGGGAGGTGATTAGACTTTACCTCTTCATGGGAGGAGTGCCAAAGAATTTGCAGAAGAGATGTTTTACATTTTATGCTTTATTTTTAAACACTTGTTCTCACATAGTTTCAGACTTACAGAAACCTTGCAACACGGTACAAAGAATTTCTAAATATTGTTTACCCAGATCCCCCAAACATCAGGGTTTCACTGTATCACTTATCTCTGTTCTTCCCTTTTTCTTCTGAGTCATCTAAGGTGTGATGCCCATTTACTCTTGAATATTTTGTTGCATATTTCCTAAAAACAGGGAATTCTCTCGTCTCATCTACAGACTTTATTCAGACTTCACAATAATGTCCTTTATAACAAAACAATCCAAGACCATGTGTTGCATTTAGCTGTCCCCTGTAATTTGAAAGTTTCTGCTGCTTTGTCTTTCTTGACACAGACCTTTGTGAAGATTACCTGGCCAGTTACTTGGTATAATTGTCCTTCAACTTCGGTTTTTTGGTGCTTTTCCATGATTAGATTCTGTTATGCATGTTGGGCAGGAATATCACTGATGCCATGCTGAGCTCCTGTAGCTCAAGGCATGAGGGGCAGGTGCTATTAATTAGTCCCATTACTAGCAATGTTAACTTTGTTCATGGGGTTACGGTGCTGTCCACCGTTTTACTCTTTATAATTAATATGTATTTCCTTTGGAGAAATACTTTGAGACTATGAAGATATCCTATTATTTCTCAAACTTGCATCCATTGGTTTTAGCATTTATTAGTAGCCCTTCCCTGAATCAGTTATTACTGTGGTTGTCAAATCATGTTTTTTAAAAAAATTCTGTAATCTTTCTAAATGTATTGTTGGTTTTCTACTGTAAGGAAGAACACTTGTTTATATTATTGACATCGGCATAGAATCTTGGTTTTCTAGTTTTCTGTTTGTTTTTGAGACAGGGTCTCACTCTGTTGTCTAGGCTGGAGAGCAGTGGCATGATCACAGATCACTGCAACCTTGACTCCAGGGCTGAAGTGATCCTCCCACCTCAGCCTCCCAAGTAGCTGGGACCACAGGCATATGCCACCATGCCCAGGTAATTTTTTTTTTTTTTTTTTTTTGTAGAGACGGGGCCTCCCTATGTTGTCCAGGCTGGTCTCAAGCTCCTGGGCTCAAACAGACTTCCCGCCTCAGCCTCCCAAAGTGCTGAGATTTACAGGCTTGAGTCACCATGCCCAGCCCGGGTTTCTAGTTTTTATAATAGGTTATAATCTTTTACTTGACGCTGTTAATGGATACTATTTTTACATTCCAGGTATGGGACCTGGGGACACATGTGTCCCATTTCTATGATATTAACACAATGCTCATTCTAGGGGCAACACTCAGAACACTGTTTTCTATTGTCTTCTAAGACTGTCCCTGACCTCAAATCTCTCAGTGAACTGAGGGTATCCATACTTATCATGATATTTAGGTTGCCCTAGATTTGGTGAGTGGGAGCCCTTTAAGTTGGTTCTTGTGTCCTTTTGACATGCTGTCATTATTCTTTGAGTAGTTTGTTACTTTTCAACATGAGATATGTCAGACTCATCTTGTGTATTCCCTGTCCAAGCCTTGGAATCATCCATTTTTCCAAGGAGACCAGGGTTCCTTCTAGCAGAAAATGATATGGAGAAATCAAGATGTGGGCACTAGGGTGTTTATTGTTACTGGGGTGATATTGTTTCTATATCCTCTTAAAAGACAGAGTTGGGAAATGGATACATGTATATACATGCACACATATTCATATGTGCATATACACATATCCTTGAGCATCTCTATCTATTTCTATGCCTACCTATGTACATATATCAAATCCCATGCACTCATTTTGATATCTAGCAGACATATTTTAAAAACCATCACCTCTGGTTCAAATCTTGATTCTCTAATGTTCTAGTTCATGAGAACTGGAAGTCAAAGAGATTAAGTTACCTTCCTAGGTTTAAAAAATATTAAAAAGGGAATAATTAGTTGCTTACCTTGTAGTTTATTGTCAGAGTTATGTGCTATGATGCATGTGGAATGTGTAAGGGTGTTACACAATGAGAATTTAAAAATGGTCTTCTTGTGACTGTGCCCTTAAGAGCTGAGAGTACAGGGCAGAACCTTCCTGTTTCTATGTAGTGGTTCCATGCTCCATTTTACAGACAGTGTGAGAAGCTACTAGGGATCAAGAATTCAAGAGTCAATATGCAGGAGAGGGATAGAGTAGCTGAAGAGCAAACTAGACTTGCCTACACCTAGAATAGGAAGAAATAGCACAAGATGTCAAGCTTGATAGGAGGAAGTTGTTGATATGAGGGGAGAGTTAATCAGAGAATGTTGAGCCCATGTGGAACCCCCTGGACCTCTAGGCCAATTTGGGGGAAGGGCTTAAAGGGAATATGAGTACCCCTACTCACAAGAGCAGGCAGAGCCATCAGACTTTTGCTTTGACACTGTTAATGAAGTACCATTTTGATATTCCAGGTATGAGACCAGGGGATACATGTCTCCCATTTGTAGGATATTAATAATACAATGCCAGTTCCAGGGAAAACACTCAGAACTTTGATCTGATTCTCTTCTAAGATCATTGCTGTCCTAAAAACTCTTAGTGAACTATGAGTACCAGCACTCCACCAACACTGACAGAATAAAGGTGACAACCAGTATTTGTTGACTATCTATTGGGCAAGGTGCTTTGTATACATCTTCTCATGGAATCACTGCAATATTCTTGTGACATAGGCACCATTGTCCTCATTTGGAAAAGGAGGCTGAGAGAGGCTCAATAGCAAGCCAGGTTATACTTCTAGTAAGGGATAGAAGTGGGATTTGAAGAGCATCTACTCCTGGAGAGCCCCCCTTTTGGGCTTTACACAACTCTTTGGAGGGACTCAGGAAGAGGAGAGCTCCTTCATGTATATTGCCCATGGGTCCTCTCCAGGTGAAGTATTTTGAGGTTCTGAAACCATTATCAGACTTGGCTGTAAATTCCCTCTCCATCTTGGACCTTTTCCTGTGCTCTTCCAATGGCCATTTCCAATGGGTAATTAGACCTCAGTTGTCTACATGAGTGAGATCTGCTCAGCATGGAGAGGGCTCTATTTTTCTACACCCTTGATAATTTGTAGGTTTGGGAAAGCATGCCCAGTGTGGCTTGTCAGGGCTAACACATATGCCTTCATTCATATGTCAACTTGGCTTCATGGGTAGGGGCTGCCTGGAGTCCTGGGATGAGAAAGACTACACAATTGCATTCCAACCAATGACATTGAGGGGACTGGCTAATAAATGATTTCTGTTAGGAGCTTGGGAGGTGGGGGATGTGTGAATGTTCTAAGTACTTGCCATTCTGTGTCTCTCCACAGCCCCTAAACCTGTCTTTCCTAGAACCACTTGAAAGTTAAAATATTGATGTCTGGGGCCCACTCCAAATTAGTTAAATCTGAATTTCTAAGGAATAGGACCTAAGCTTCACTTTTTAAAAAAAATTGAATGTGTTAGAATGTATATAGCCACAATTGAAAAACACCATTGGTCTACACTATCATTAGGCATGTTTGAAAATTATCTGCCTTGACCCTGCCCTGATCTTGCCTTTGCTACAATATTAAATGGGCTCTTATTAACAATGAATATATCTAATTATTCTCTAGATCTTTTATTAGCTTGAATTATTCTTAGATATTCTGCCACATAAAAGTATTTGAATGTGTAGTCTTTGTGGTTGATGGTCTAATCAGCTAAACTCAAACCTCACTGCAGCTGTGACTAGAAAGTCCTCATTGATGGAGAATCCTAGAGGTCCTTTCAGAGAAGAAAAAATAATTCAGTGGGCCAAGCTGTAATATTTTGCCTCTGATTCTCAGATTCCTTGTTGGCAAAATGGGAATGCAAAATAAATAGAGTCTATAGTCAGTACCTAATAAGTATTTGTTGAATGAATAAATTAGTGGAATACAAAATTAAAATACTTGTCTCATCAAACATCTAGAGAAAAAGGAGACAGATATAGAGCTAACCCATGCCTGTTATACCATTTAATGCTAGGCGTATGGAAGCAGATACTGTGTCTCTCTAGTTTCACAGGCTCTCAGAGAGAGAGGAACTGTACTCTAGGAGCTGCATGTGACTAGTCATTCTCAAGAAGTCCCCACCCCAATACCTGATTTGATGAGATTCTGAACTTTAGTTGATGCTGAAGGGGGAGGAGATTTTTAGGGATCTTGGCAGGACACAAGTGTATTTTGCATGGGGTGGAGGATGTGAATCACTGGGGGCTGGAGGACAGGCTTCCCAGCAGCCCCTAAGATGGCCTCCAGTGATCCATGTCTCCTGGTATTCATGCCCTTGTATAATCCTCTCCACTCCCTTATATCTTGGCTGAACCTAATGTCTTGTTCCTAACAAACACAATATGGTGAAACTGATGAACAGCACCTCTGAGAAGTTACAAAAAGAAAATGACTTCCATCCTGCTCACCCTCTCTTGCTCTCTTGCTTTCTTGTTCTGATGGAAGCCAGCAGCCATGTTGTGGGTGTTCTATGAAGAGGCCCAGTAGCAAGAAACCAGAGGCTGGGGGAGTGTCTGACCAAGAGTCAGCCAAAACCTGAACCTGCTAATAATCACATGAGTGAGCTTGGAAAGGAAGCATCCCTCAGTTGAGCCTTCAGATGAGACCATAGCCTTATATTACTCCTTGATTGCGGCCTTTGGGAGACTGTGAGCCAGAAGACCCAGCGAAGCTTTGCCTGGGCTCCTGACTCATAGACACTATCAGAAAAACACTTGCTGTTTTAAGCTGCTAAGTTCTGGGTTAATTTGTTATTTAGCAATAGATAACTAATATAGAAGAAAAGGGAGAGAACATTTATTGAATCCTTTGCTATGCCCCAGGTACTTTGTAAATCTTTTTCCATTTCATCCTTAAGTCAACCTGGATGAAAATATTCAGGTTCAGAGATGCTGGGTGAGTGCCAGGGGCAGGATATGAATCACTACTGTTTGATTTGAAAGCCTGTGCTCATTTCTCTATTCCAGGATGCAAACCAGGAGACGTTTTCTATTCTATGTTTCTTTTTTCTTTTCTTTTCTTTTCTTTTTTTGTGGCAGGGGGACAGGGTCCTGCTCTGTCATCCAGGCTAGAGTGAAGTGGAGCAATCATGGTTCACTGCAGCCTGAAACTCTTGGGCTCTGGTGATCCTCCTGCTACAGCCTACCAAGTAGCTGGGATTATAGGCATGCGCCACCACACCTGGATAGTTTTTTTTTTTTTTTTAATTTTTATTAGAGACTAGGTCGCACTACGTCACCCAGGTTGGTCTCAAACTCCTGAGCTCAAGGGCTTCTTCTGCCTCAGCCCCTACAAAGTGCTAGGATTACAGGTAGGAGCCATTGTGTCCGGCCACATTTTCTCTGTTCGTAAAGTCAGCAGTAGAATAGCTAACATTGTTGCTAAACAGTTTGTATAAAATGAGTAATTATTAGTGCCCCTGCATGCAGCCACCTGCTGTTGCTGACCTTCTGTGCCTCTGCAGCCAAACATACATCAGGTACTTATGTATACACACTCCACAGGCACACAGATGCCTCCACAATACACATGTGCCCAAGATGCAATTGCAAGCACACAAGTGCACAAATAAGTACACACATGTGTCTTCACAAAGAACTATCTCCACCTTCATTTTCTCCCATCCAAGTACTAATCAGGTCTGACCCTTTTTAGCTTCCAAGATCAGATGAGATTGGGCATGTTCAGGGTATATGGCTGTAGCCTACATCCTCTTTTTTTTTTTTTTTTTTTTTTGAGACGGAATTTCGCTCTTGTTGCCCAGGCTGGAATGCAATGGTGCTATCTCGGCTCACAGCAACCTCTGCCTCCCGGGTTCAAGCCATTCTCCTGCCTCAGCCTCCGGAGTAGCTGGGATTACAGGCATGCGCTACCACGCCTGGCTAATTTTGTATTTTTAGTAGAGATGGGGTTTCTCCATGTTGGTCATTTTTAAATGAAAGACCCTTTGAGACAGTTCATACCTAAATATGTAAATAGTGCACAAGATTTTGCAGCCTGAACAGAAATGGCCACTATAGTTTTTTCTCTTTAGCAATTTTCTGTGTGCTGTAAACAAATTTGAAATCTGGCTAGAGACTTTGGAAATCATGTTGACCACTCCCCATATTGTGCAGATGCAGAAATTGAGGCCCTGAGGGACTTGCCCAAGTACCCCAGCAAAGTGGTGTGAACTGAAGTCCAGGTCTCCCAACTCCCAGTTGACTGTCCTTGCTGTGGCACTGTGCACCGTCGGTGGGGAGAACACTCCTGGTCCTTAGGAATCCATTTCTAAAGGACATCAGGAGCACAAACAAGTTCATGACCTATTGTTCTTTCCACGTAAAAGAAGTTGATGACATTTATGCTTTTCTCACAATACACCATTAAGATAGAACATTGTTGAATTATTTGTGGATTAAATACAGATGTGCAGGGATTTTAGGGCCCTGATTGATTTTCTGTTGAAAGAAGCGAAAGGAATGTTAATTACAACTGGCAAATGTTAGCTCTTAGGAGGAGGCAAAACAGCATTTCGAAGGCCTGTTTTTTGTTTGGTTTTGGTATTTCATGAAAGAGATTTTTCTGTGCAAAGTGGCAGGAAGCCATTTTCAACAAGAGCTAAAGGGAATGAAGATTTAAAAAATGGACCAAAAACAAACTCAAAGGTGCCAGGCCTTTGTTACTGCAAGCCCCTCTTGCAGGATGAGAGGCTGCTAAAACAAAATCAATAATTTAAGCAACTTTCTGTCCCTCTCTCCCCTGCTATTCTGGTAAAATGATTTGACATTTCAGACAACAAGGAATGAACATCAGACCAGGAAGAAAAGGGCTTGGTTATGAGTCCCAGTTGTGTGATTTTAAGTACATGATTAAACGTTTATTAATTTGGTTCTCTCATCTCTAATAATGAAACCATCACTCTTACATCTTGAGTGTAAAAAATGCTCATTTACTAGAACTCACCCTGTATCAGATGCCACATTAGGATTTGTGTGGAGTGATCTCATTAATTCCTTTTTTTTTTTTTTTGAGATGGAATTTCACTCTTGTCACCCAGGCTGGAGTGCAGTGGTGCAATCTTGGCTCACTGCATCCTCTCTCTGCCACCCGGTTTTGGTTTCAAGCGATTCTCCTGCCTCAGCCTCCCGAGTAGCTGGGATTACAGGCGCCCACCACCATGCCCGGCTAATTTTTTGTATTATTAGTAGAGACGGGGTTTCACCATGTTGGTCAGGCTGGTCTCGAACTCCTGACTTCAGGTGATCCACCCACCTCGGCCTCAAGTGCTAGGATTGCAGGTGGGAGCCACCATGCCCAGCCTCGTTAATTCTTTATAGCAGCCTTGTGAGGAGGTCTGTTCATTCTCACTGTACAGCTGAAGGTGCTGAGGCTCAGAAAACTCAAGCTTGTCGCTCAGGGTCACACAGCTAAGAAATGACAAGGTGGAGATTTAAACCTATGCTTGTCTGGCTAGGCACTGTCTTATATAGTAAGAGTGTGAGGATGACAGATTGCAAAACAAAGCAAAATAAAACTCACAAGCTCTGAAGATGTAGTGACTGCCTACTCTGCCCCTGTGCTAGCGACCCAGAGTTAAAGATGGGTTCTCATCATGGTCTCTGCTTCTATGGATCCCTCAGTGGCTTGAGAGGAAAGCAAACCTGGTGGTGGCAACGAGGGCATCTAATATTTTGGATTCCATTTTGGACTCATGTTTAAAGTGCATATGGGCTATACAGGTGGGTGTATGAGCCGAGGACAAGAGCAGAGGTCTGGGTTTGGGACCAACATCACCAAAGATGATAGCCAACACTGAGTGACTGCTGAATTTGTGCTGGGCACTGTGCCAAAGAGTTCTCAGGCATTAACCCATTCTTTTTTTTTTTTTTTTTTTTTTTTTGCGGAGACAAAGTCTCACTCTGTCACCCAGGCTGGAGTGCAGTGGTGTGATCTTGGCTCACTGCAACCTCCGTCTCCCAGGTTCAAGCAATTCTCCTGCCTCAGCCTCCCAAGTAGCTGGGCCTACAGGCATGCACCACCACACTCAGCTAGTATTTTTGTATTTTAGTATAGACGGGGTTTCACCGTGTTGGCCAGGGTGTCTTGATCTCTTGACCTCATGATCCGCCTGCTTCGGCCTCCTAAAGTGCTGGGATTACAGGCATGAGCCACTGTGCCTGGCTGCATTAACCCATTCTATCCTCAGACTGATGCTGTGAGGCTGCTGTCCTTACCCTGCTGTACAGAGCAGTGAGAAAACTTGCTTGTAGGTGAAAGTTAAAACTTCAAGGAGGATTTTTCTTGAAAGCCATCCCAAGGTTTTTCTATTTGGTGATTCATGATCAATCTTATGCCCCAAGTCCCCACATTCCCTCTATTTTGAGTCACTCTGTCTCATAAGAGCCCCTGGTGCCTTTGTTTTGCTTCATTTGAATTCTGGATTCAGCATGCATCAGAAATGTTCTCCCTGAGAGCTGGAAAGCATTTTTGTGATGGCTGGGCTGCAGGGCCATTAAGAAAATACCTTTGCACACCAACAAAAAAGACTAAAGCCTTAATTGCTGATCCAAAAGGCAACAGGAAAGGATGCACCACTGCATATATGGTGAGGGATGCATTGCCTTGGTCAGGGCACAGGTCCTCTGTCCCTGAGTCCTGTTTCCTTGTGTGGGTAGAGGGCATTTTCACACTCTCTGTCCCCAAAAGACCTCAGGGGGAACAAAAGAGCAGCATGAGCAGGGGGCCATGGTCATGGGCATTGACTGGGTGCTTGCTGCATGCAAAGGCTCTGTGTTAAGCACCTTGGGAACACTAACTCATTTACTGTCCCAACAAATCCAGGATGTAGGTACAAGTAATAGTCCCACTTTACAGGTGACAAAAATGAGGAATAGAGAGGTTTGGTGATTTGCTCAAGATCACACAGTATGTGTGGCACAGCTGAGATTCTGACCCACAGGTGAGACTCTTGAGCTTATTCTTCTCACTGAACCCCCTGCCTCTCATGGTTATGTGGCTCATGCTCCCATAGCCTTAAGTCCTGAGGCTAAGGAAGGGTCCTCAGATAAAAGACGTCAATTTCTGTGTCTTTTTTGAGCAGGCTTCATGAACATCAACACTCATTTGAGGTTACTGAGAGCATTTGCCTGGCCTTAACATTGTCATCCCAAAGCTGTTTGCCAATTCATTCCCATCTTCATAACCCTGTCTTTCTCCAGCAGGCTTGGTCTGTGGTTCTAATGAACACAGGAGGCTTGGTTCATTCGGATGCAGGAAGTGAGGAGGAATAACATGAAGGGGATTGACCAGATGCCTCAATTCTAATCAGCTGAATGGAGATACTTATGATACCTCCTTATGCAGTGCTGTAACGATTAGATGGGATTCTTTATATAAAGGACTTAGAACAATACCTGGCATGTTGTTAGTACTCAATTAACTTTATACAATATATTAGTCAGGCTTTGTTGTGATGATGCCACATAAAAAGTAATCCCCAAATCTCAATGCTAACAACAACAAACATTTACTTCTCATTTCCATAGGTCAGCTGTGGTTCTACAGGGCTCTTCTGGGCTGGCTAGATTCAGATGGGCCTGGATCTGGGTGGTGAATTGGGTTCCTATTTGCTTCACTTGGCTCTCAGAAGAGGATCCAGGGGAGTAGCAGCAGCTATCTGAAGCATGTTCATCTCATGCTGGAGGACAGGATCACCAGAGGCCATGCAGGAATATTTAACGCCTCTGCTTGGATGTGGCATTCACTGAGTCACCCACATTCCATTAGCTGAAGCAAGTCACATGGCTAAGCCCAATGTCAGTGGGGTGGGGAGGTACACCACTTCCATTGAAAGGAGGGAAAACAGATGTTTGCTGAACAATAATACAATACTATGATCTATCACAATACTATGATCTACCATTATGCTATGATCTACCATTAACATTTCTTGAATGCCTAATAGCTCTCAGGAAGTGTTCCAAGAATCATGGATTCTAGAGATGAATCACATAGCAGCTCTGCTGTCTGCTCTCAAGGGTGCCCTCACTACAGAGTGTGGTCACTGCAATGACAAAGGTGGCCCCAGGACAACTTAACCTCTCCTGAACTATTTTAATTCTCACAATTTCCTTGTAACCCCAGTATCACTATCCCTATTTTATAGACAAATAAACTGGGACTCAGAGAGGTTCAGTAATTTTCTTTTGTCCCCATGGCTAGAAAATGGCTAAGCCTAGTACCAAATCCTTGTGTGATTGTTCCAGGGTTCTGTTCTTTGCATGACAACTCTGGACTCAGGTATGTAGGCAGAGACATTAGAATTGAGACAGAGACTGACCAAAACTCTCATATCTTGGCAGGAGCCCAAGTCTGCATATGTATGAACCTCATCCATATATATGCAAGCTGTGGCTGAGACATCTGTAACCTAGACTTTCATAGCTGGGCTACTAACTTCAATCATCTGAAGGAAGACTCAAGTTATAAACTGCCACCAATTCAGTGAATTATCCATAAACTTGTTTCTATATTGCCCTATGATGCTCAGTTCAAGCCCAAGTCAAATGCTCCCTCCTGAAAACTTCTCTGATTCCCTAGCCACCAGTTTCTGCCTGTGTTGCCTGTCCACAGCACCAAACACTTAAGACACTTTCTCCATGATCCTACAATTTTTTTTTTATTTTTCTGAGACAGGGTCTCACTCTGTCACCCCGGCTAGAGTGCAGTGGTGCACATGATCCTACAACCTTGATGTATATATTTTAGGCAATCACTGCTCACAGAAAGCCCATATTCTCCTATTCCACCTCCACAGTCCCCAGAGTTCCAGCCCAGTGCTTGGCATTCAGCAGGGGCTAGATGAAAGTGTGTGGAATGAGTGAATGAACGACGGATGGATAGAGGCTGCTGGGTCCTTAGGAAAGAGAGCAGATGAGATTTATTTTTTATTTTTGTCCGTATCTCCTCTTTGGTCCTTTGGAGGGATTTTAGTCAGGATGAGTCTGGTGCAACCAGGTGATCCAAGGGTTATAGGCACAGAGGGAAGTAACTGGAGCTCCCTTTGGGTACCACAGTAAACACTGGTGGTGGAATGCCATTGTCTTATCTTCTGAGAAGTAGCAGGAGGCTTCCATATTCTTGTGTTTCGTCAACTGGCTCTAATCATTAAGCTAAATACTCAGCTTATGCAATGCACTTAGCCCAGCTGATTTAGAAGTGGCACCTTCCCAATCAGTCTAGAGCATTTGGGTGGTCACTGTATTCCAACATTCACTACAATTAGGGACTGCCAGAAAAGCCTGATTGTCTTCACTGGTTATTTATAACCAAATCATAGTAGCAATCATTATGTAAAAAGAGCTGTTTCTCCACGCCCCCAACTTCTCTGCCTCGCCCACTCCCAATGTCAGTCCTTCCATTTTATTTAATGCTTCTGGCTGCAGTGATTAGATGTAATGAGAGTGATAGGGCTTTGAGTTGGAAAGTGCTAGAGGCAAAGGAGTTTTGTTATTCTCATCCTTAGAGACACAGAATTCAAGAGGTAAAGGGGACTTAGAGATTTCTAGTCCAGCAGTCCCATGCTATAGATGGGAAAACTTGAGGATCAAAGTTAGGTAGCTTCATGAAAAGGGTATAAATGTGGAAATCCAAGACTCCAGTTCTAACTGAGGCTTAATCACAGATAACGTGTGTGATCTTGAGCTACTTGCTTAGTGTCTCTGGGTCTGAGTTTTCCTTTCTAGAAGATGGGGAAACTAATACGTATTCTGGAGTGATTAGAGATAAGGTGTAGAAGTAGCCAGGTGTATGTCAGCTGGTACAATGGATGCCATAGTAAAGGAGTTGGTGCCAGAATCACTGCATCACTGCTCTCTTCCCATCACTCCACATTGCCTTCAACTAGCTGAGTGCTCCTGCTGAAGAACCGACTCCTATGTTCCCTGGCTCTCAACATGACTCAGTTTGACTTTTCATAAGTGCAGGTAAGCAAGGTAAAATGGGAGTTCTTTTTCCTCTCTACAGATGGAAAATACCAGCAGGAGACCAGCCAAGTAGAGCTGGGGGAAGTCTTGAGACTCACCCTATGGTCTCCATGACCTTTGTCTTAGTTCCTTTGAGCCGCTAAAACAAAATACCTTAGATTGGGTAATTTATAAACAATAGAAGTTTATTTATTTATTTATTTTTTGCAGTGTCAGAGGCTGGGAAGTCTAAGATCAAGGCATCTGCAGATTCAGTGTCTTGGTGAGGGCTTGCTCTCTGCTTTAAGATGGTACCTTCTTGCTATGTCCTCATGTGGTGGAAGGGGTCATTTGTTCATCTTCATTTCTTTTATAAGGTCATTAATCCCATTCAGAAGGGCTCTGTCCAAATGCCTTAATCAGCTCCTAAATGCCCCACCTCTTAAAACTATCACCTTGATTAAGTTTCCACATATGAAATTTGGAGAGACACAGACATTCAGACCATGGTAGTCCCCATCCTCTGATGTGGACCGGCAGCACACTCACAGTCTTACATAAATGACTCTGCAAGTGCAGCTTTCTGAGCTCCATTCCAATTGTCCCTCTCCCCACCTCCATAGCAGTTTTGGTGAAGCCCTATGTAATTTCATGATCTACAGGTAGATTTGATAGATGGTGTTATGGTACCAGGAGTGGGGAGCAGCCAAAACACAAACCCTAAAATATGTGGCTCTAGGGCCAGATGGCAGTCAGCAAGAGAACCGTTACTGAGGGTTGGAAAGATGGTAATCTATGTTATGCAGTGGTGAAATATTTGGTAAAGCTGTTGTAGGAATAACTTGAAGGGCGGATGATGTGCTGAAGGAACTTGAAGCTTAAGGTGAAAAGATGGGGAAACTGAACGTTAGTAACATCCCTTGGTCACTACTGTAAGAAAGAGATGAGCTCAGAAAAGAATTGGCTAAATTGTAAGCAGGTATAAAAAGAAGTAGAGAGGGTCCAGGACTTCTGGAGTCCCATTTCTCCCAGGAAGGGGCCTGCCTCAGTATCCATGCCAAGCTCAGTTACTGGCTGGGAGCTGCTTGTGGGAATCACTTCCCTCTGAGTGTGACTCAGTCATACTCTAAAGTACGACATGACTCTTCCTTGCAGAGATCTGGACATATACAGTGTCCAGTCACACGGACAGATGCAGCTTCTGTGGTCACTCTAGATGATGCTAACTTCCTTATGCTGGCATGCTATCCTCATAATGCAGGCTGCAGTTAACTATTTTAAAAGTTAACATGGTAAGCAGAAGTGATTCCTCTTTGGCTTGAACATGGACTGTTTGGAGGGCACTGGAGAGAACCAAAAGAGTGACAAGTTTTGAGTGCTTGTCATGTAAGAAACAGGAAAGAAAATGCGGCATAATTACCTGTCTCTGGGGAGAGGAGCAGGATTGCTTTTGTTCCTCCAAGTAGGCAGAAACAGAAACACTGGGCAGCTGGTACAGAGAGACGGGTTTTGAGAGGCAGTACTCTCCCAGCAGCACTGTCTAGCCAGCTGTCTGCCCGAGTCTGGGGGTGCTAGTGCCTTCTGCAGGATTACCCTATAGGAGGCATTTCCAGGGTGCTGATGTGGACTCATGCCAGAGGTGACAGTGTCAGCCATCCATGGTGGAAACACAAAAATAAGGACACTTAGTGAGCTTGGCCCAAGCTATTACATTTTCATCTCTGAGGTTATATTTCCCACACCTTTACCGTTGAATGTCCTTTTATCAAAATAGTAGTCATTGTTTAAGTGATATCTCTATGTTAAACCTTACATTTTTTTCTTTTTAATTTTATTGATTTGTGAAATCCTAAAGTCTTGAAACTCCTAAGCTAGCTGACTTTTCAGATCTGGGATCTGTTTTATCTCTAAATGATTATGATTCCTGACTTTTTTTTGATATAAACACTCAACTGCCATTAAGAGTGCTCATGATAGGGAATAGATGCTGCATTTGTTCATGTTTAAATACTGAGGCTCAAGTACCTGTCAGAAGGAGTTTATTATATTTTCTAGGCTCTCTGAAATTACATCAGAAAAATGTGAATTAGAATATAACCCATAAATAATATCTGGCCACATGCAAAGTAATTGAAGATCAATTGAAATAGCTATTGGATTAAGAAATAGAGACTGAGGTAAATTTACAGGGTCAGGGAGGATCTAAGGAGGAAGCATTGACACTGGAGCCCAGGGACCTGGGATTACAGAACAGATTCTACCAGTGCTAACTTACTGCTCCAAAGAAAATATCAATTCTGCTCATCCGCAGGTACTATTCATCAAGAAAGGGATTACAAGTTCACAAATGTGTTCAAAATGTACCCATACTTCGACATATTAATGAAGTAATCACATTCTACACATGACTACTCCATATGGAATACTGGGGTGGGGTGTTCCAAATAAAGAGACTGAGGATTTCTCATGAGAACTCAGTGTCTGCTAGAAAATATCTAAGTAAAATATTTTACTTATGTGGAAGGTGTGGATGTTTGTGCATCACAAGTTTCAAGAATCCCTAAAATGTACAATGGAGATGAGGAGAAAATATCAGAATTTCCCAGCACCAGAAATGAGGCAAGAAAAAATTCAGAGGAGTTGTAAATGTGAAAAGCCAATGGCTGGTCACACAGCAACATTGATAACCTTGTGCCAGGACAACTAGAATAAATACATAAACATACAGATTGAAAGTATTTCCAATATTAGATCTCCCTCATGTGAGAACTAAATTATAAAGATTGAAGCATATAAGAAAATAAGCTACCAGAATTTAGGCTACCAGAATAAATTCGATTACACATAAATTTCTGATATTGAAATTCTCACAAATGTTTAAGTTGGTAGTGGAAGACAAAGGACATATAATCTTGGGAGTCCTAGGGCCCTGCCCGCTGCCAGTTCCTCCATGCTACTACAGCTGATGCTTTCTGGAAAGCAACACCTCCTGGCAGGAGGCCAACCAGCACAAATATAGAGCATTAAACCACTAAAGCTAAGGACCCTCACAGAGTCTATTGCACCCTTCACCACCTCCACTGGAACAGGCGCCGGTATCCATGGCTGAGAGACCCATAGATGGTTCACATCACAGGGCTCTATGCAGACAACCCCTAGTACCAGCCCAAAGCCAGGTAGACCTGCTGGGTGGCTAGACCCAGAGGAGAGACAACAATCAATGCACTTTGGCTCACAGGAAGCCATGCCCATAGGAAAAGTGGGAGAGTACTACATCAAGGGAACACTCTGTGTGACAAAAGAGTCTGAACAACAGTCTTCAGCCCTAGACCTTTCCTCTGACAGAGTCTACCTAAATGAGAAGGAACCAGGAAACCAACCCTGGTAATCTGACAAAACAAGACTCTTCAACAACCCCCAAATAATCACACCAGTTCATCACCAATGGATCCAAACAAAGAAGAAATCACTGATTTATCTGAAAAAGAATTCAGGTTAGTTATTAAGCTAATCAGGGAGGGGCCAGAGAAAGGTGAAGCCCAATGCAAGAAAATCCAAAAAATGATACAATAAGTAAAGGGAGAAACAGTCAAGGAAATAGCTTAAATAAAAAATAATAATAATAATAAAAAATCAGGAAACTTTGGACGCATTTTTAGAAATGTGAAATTCTCTGGAAAGTCTCAGCAATAGAATTGAACAAGTAGAAGAAAGAAATTCAGAATTCGAAGACAAGGTCTTTGATTTAACCCAATCCAATAAAGACAAAGAAGAAAGAACAAGAAAATATGAGCAAAGCCTCCAAGGAGTCTGGCATTCTGTTAAACGATGAAACCTAAGATTAATTGGTGTACCTGAGGAAGAAGTGAACTCTAAAAGCCAGGAAAATGTATTTGGGGGAATAATCAAGGAAAACTTCTGTGGCCTTGTGAGAGACCTAGACATCCAAATACAAGGAGCACTAATAACACCTGGGAAATTCATCACAAAAAGATCTTAGCCTAGGCACATTGTCATTAGGTTATCCAAAGTTAAGACAAAGGAAATAATCTTAAGGGCTGTGAGACAGAAGCACTAGGTAACCTATAAAGGAAAACCTATCAAACTAACAGCAGATTTTGCAGCAGAAACTTTACAAGCTAGATGGGATTGGGGCACTTTCTTCAGCCTCCTCAAACAAAACAATTATCAGCCAAGAATTTTGTATCCAGCAAAACTAAACATCATATATGAAGGAAAGATACAGTCATATTCAGACAAACAAATGCCGACAGAATTTGCCGTTACCAAACCAGCACTGTAAGAACTGCTAAAAGGAGCTCTAAATCATGAAACAAATTCTGGAAACACATCAAAACAGAACTTCATTAAAGCATAAATCACACAAGAGCTATAAAACAAAAATACAAGTTAAAAAGCAAAAACAACAAAAAAAAACAAAGTATAGAGGCAACAAAGAGCATGATGAAAGCAATGGTACCTCACTTTTTAATACTAATGTTGGTTGTAAATGGCTTAAATGCTCCACTTACAAGATACAGAACCACAGAATGGATAAGAACTCACCAACTAACTATCTGCTGCCTTCAGGAGACTCACCTAACACATAATGACTTACATAAACTTAAGGAAAGTGGTAGAAACAGACATTTCATGCAAATGGACACCAAAAGCGAGCAGCAGTAGCTATTCTCATATGAGACAAAACAAACTTTAAAGCAACAGTAGCTAAAAGAGACAAACACAGACAGTATATAATGGTAAAGGTCTCATCCAACAGAAAAATATGACAATCCTAAACATACATGAACCTAACACCGGAGCTCCCAAATTTATAAAACAATTACTAGTAGACATAAGAAATGAGATAGACAGCAACACAATAATAGTGGGGGACTTCAATACTCCACTGACAGCACTAGACAGGTCATCAAGACAGAAAGTCAACAAAGAAACACTGGATTTAAACTATACTTTGGAACTAATGGACTTAGATATATACAGAACATTTCATCAACAATCACATAATACACATTCTATTCCACAGCACATGGAATTTTCTCCAAGATAGACCATATGATAGGCCATAAAACGAGTCTCAATAAATTTAAGAAAATTGAAATTGTATCACGCACTCTCTCAGATCACAGTGGAATAAAACTGAAAATCAACTCCAAAAGGAATCTTCAAAACCATGCAAATACATGGAAATTAAATAACCTGCTCCTGAATGAGCATTGGGTGAAAAATGAAATCAAGATGGAAATGTAAAAAATTTCTTCGAACTGGATGACACAACCTATCAAGACCTCTGGGATACAGCAAAGGCAGTGCGAAGAGGAAAGTTTGTAGCCCTAAACACCTACGTCAAAAAGTCTGAAAGAGCACAAACAGACAATCTAAGTTCACATCTCAGGGAACTAGAGAAGCAGGAACAAGCCAAACCCAATCCCAGCAAACAAAGGAAATAACCAAGATCAGAGCAGAACTAAATGAAATCGACACAACAACAACAACAACAACAACAACAACAAATACAAAACATAAATAAAACAAAAAGTTGGTTATTTGAAAAGATAAATAAAACTGATAGACCATTAGCAAGATTAACCAAGAAAAGAAGAGAGAAAATCCAAATAACCTCACTAAGAAATGAAACAGGGGATATTACAACTGACACTACTGAAATATTAAAGATTATTCAAGGGTACTATGAACACCTTTTGGCACATAAACTAGAAAACCTAGGAGAGTTGGATAAATTCCTGGAAAAATACAACCCTCCTAGCTTAATCAGGAAGAAGTAGATACCTCAAGCAGACCAATAAAGCAAGCAGCAAGATCGAAATGGTAATTTTAAAATTACCAACCAAAAAAACCGAGGACCAGACAGATTCACAGCAGAATTCTACCAGACATTCAAAGAATGTCTTCTTTCATTCAAAGAAGAAATGATACCAATCCTTTCACACTATTCCACAAGACAGAGAAAGAAGAAAGCCTCCCTGATTCATTCTATGAAGCCAGCATCACCCTAATACCAAAACCATGAAAGGACATAACCAAAAAAGAAAACTACAGACCAATATCCTTGATGATCACAGATGCCAAAATCCTTAACAAAATACTATCTAACTGAATCCAACAACATATCAAAAAGATAATCCACCATGATCAAGTGGGTTTCATACCAGTGATACAGGTATGGTTTAACATATGCAAGTCAATAAATGTGATATACCAAATAAACAGAATTAAAAAAAAACTCAAATGATTATATCAACAGATGCAGAAAAAGCATTCAACAAAATCTAGCATTGCTTTATGATTAAAGCTCTCAGCAAAATAGGCATACAAGGGACATACCTTAATGTAATAAAAGCCGTCTATGACAAACCCACAGCCAACATAATACTGAATGGGGAAAAGGTGAAAGCATTCTCTCTGAGAACTAGAACAAGATGAGGAGCCTACTCTCACCAGTCCTCTTCAACATAGTACTGGAAGTGCTTGCCAGAACAATCAGACAAAAGAAGGAAATAGAGGAAATCCAAATCGGTAAAAAGGAAGTCAAACTATCACTGGTTGCTGACGATATGATCTTTCGCCTTGAAAACCCTATGGACTCCTCTAGAAAGCTTCTAGAACTGATAAAAGAATTCAGCCAAGTTTCCAGATACAAGATTAATGTACACAAATCAGTAGCTCTTCTATACATCAACAGCTACCAAGCAGAGAATCACATCAAGAACTCAACCCCTTTTACAATAGCTGCAAAAACAAACAAACAAACAAACAAACAAAAAACTTAGGAATATACCTAGCAAAGGAATCAAAAGACCTCTACGATGAAAATTACAAAACACTGCTGAAAGAAATCATAGTTGGAGCCAAGCATGTTGGCACATGCGTATAATCCCAGCTACTCGGGAAGCTGAGGCAGGAGAATCGCTTGAACCTGGGAGGCAGAAGTTGTAGTGAGCCGAGATCACACCATTGCACTCCCACCTCAGCGACAAGAGCAAAACTCCCTCTGAAGAAAAAAAAAAAAAAGAAAGAAAGAAAAGAAATCATAGATGACACAAACAGATGGAAACGCATCCCCATGCTCGTGGATGGGTAGAACCAATATTGTGAAAATTACCATTCTGTTAAAGGCAATCTACAAATTCAATGCAATCCCCATCTGAATACCACCATCATTCTTCACAGAATTACAAAAACAATTCTAAAATTAATATGGAACCAAAAGAGAGCCATGTAGCCCAACCAAGGCTAAGCAAAAAGAACAAACCTGGAGGCATCACAGTACTTGATTTCAAACTGTACAATAAGGCCATAGCTACCAAAACAGCATGGTACTGGTTTAAAAATACGCACATAGACTAATGTAACAGAAGAGAGAACCCATAAATTAACCCAAATACTTACAGCCGACTGATCTTCGACAAAGTAAGCAAAAAATAAAGTGGGGAAAGGACACCCTTTTCAACATATGATGTTGGGATAATTGGCGAGCCATATGTAGGGGAATAAAACTGGATTCTCATCTCTCACCTTATACAAAAATCTACTCAAGATGGATTAAAAACTTAAACCTAATTCCTGAACTATAAAAATTCTAGAAGATAACACTGGATAAACCCTTCTAGACATTGGCATAGGCAAGGATTTCATGACCAAGAACCCAAATGCAAATGCAATAAAAACAAAGATAAATAGCTGGGACTTAATTAAACTAAATAGCTTTTGCATGGCAAAGGGAACAGTCAGTAGAGTAAATAGACAGCCAACAGAGTGGGACCCCTGACCCTGACCCCTAACCTTAACCCTAATCCCTAACCCTAACCCCTAACCACAACTCTCCCCCTCCCCCTAACCCAACCCTAACCCCTAATCCCTAACCCCCAACCTCTCTTAACCCCTAACTCTAAATGTTGACTCCTAACCCCTAACTCTGACCCCAACCCCTATCTCCAACCCCTAACCCTAAACTTAACCCCTAACACCAACCTTAAGCCTAGGTTCGTTACTACGTTTGTATTGACTATGTCAATGTTGATTATTATGATCGCTGTCTTAGGACTGCACGGCAGCGAGGGGATTGTGGATCTTATATTAATGTTTTTGTGTCGAGGCAGTGCATTAGCACTACAGGTGCTTGTTACATGAGCAAGGGGGGTGTCATATTTTGAGTGCCATGTCTGCATTAGGAATGCTGCATTTGTCTTCCGAGGCTGCGGTGTGGATCTCGCACTGCGGCCGCCTCACCTTGGCTGGGGAGAACCTCGGTGGGCAGGATTCAGAGGGGCTTTTGGTTTCCCGTTTTCCACACTGAACCCTTCTATCTGGTTTCTGACCCTGATTATTCAGGGCTGCAAACAGGAAGGATTTTATTCACCGTCGATGCGGCCCCGAGTTGTCCCAAAGCGAGGCAGTGCCCCCAAGGTCCGTGCTGAGGAGAACGCTGCTCTGCCTTCGCGGTGTCCCCCGGGTCTGTGCTGAGCAGAATGCAGCTCCGCCCTCGCGGTGCCCCCGGCCCGCCCGGGTCTGTGCCAAGGAGAACACTGCTCCGCCTTCGCTGTATCTCCGAAGTCTGTGCACAGGAGAACTCAGCTCCGCCCTCGCGATGCTCTCCGAGTCTGTGCTGAGCACAACGCAGCTCCGCCCTCGCAAAGGCACAGCGCGGGCGCAGGCGCCCAGAGGCGCACAGGAGACCTCAGGCCCAGACTCCACTCCCCAGCTGTGAAAGGGTAAGAATTGAGGGTGGCTGAGGCTCGGGGTTGTTCAGGGCGGGGTGGGCTCTGGACCCAGCAGGCCCGGCACCCAGGTCAGGGATCCAGGGGAGGCCAGGTGGGGCGAAGGCCAAGAAGGGGCCGGGGCTGGTCAGGAAGGGCTCCTGGTGACCAGAACACTTTGCGTGAGCCAGCGTGGGAGGAAGGTGGGCTGGATGAGCCAGGGAGGCGCCGGGAGGGGCCTTGGCAGAGGCGACCCCCTCCGTCAGCCCCCAGGCCACTGAACCCTGGGTAGCAAGAACCGGCAGGGGAGGCTGCAGACGGAGGAGTGGAGGCTCCTTGGCTTTGGGGGCTCTGAGCAGAAGCATCTAGGGGGTCCCTCAAGAGACCCCCAAATGCTGCCCCATGGTGAGAAAACAGGGAGAGGCCCTGCAGGGACCCCCCGGGGTTACAAAGGGCTGCCACTGTGAGAAGGCAACGCTGCTGGCTGGGGCTGGGCTTTCTACCTCACCAAGCCTCTTCCCACCCAAAGGGCCCAGAGAGGGGCAGCTGCCCCCCCAGCGGGCACAGCACCTCCTCCCTGTGTGATGGGGTGGGGTCCACAGTCTCCTTTCTCGCGGCCTGCCTGGGCTGACCCTGGGTCCCAGCTCGGCCATGGGGCTTCGGCATGTAAAGCCCTTGGGGGGCAGAGCCTCCCGCCCCCGCCAGCTTCTGGCTCTCTGTGTCGCCCCCAGCACTGGACTGGTGCCTTGGAGGGAGGCTCCGCCCTCCTCCACATCAACCCGCTGAGGAGTTCTGTCTTCCCAGGGTTGTGAGGGAAACCAGCTCTGCAGGCCTATGTCCAAGTCTAGGCACCGCCTCCTCCAGGGAGCCTTCCAGACCTGATCTGTGTGGCAGAGGCCCAGAAGGACCTGGGTGTGGGGATCCTAGAGGGAGGCGGGGGACCCAGCGTGAGGAGAGAGGGTCCCAGTGCTTCCTCCTGAGTGAGGGTCACCCATCTGACTCCGGCTGCACAGAGCCACTCCCTCTAAGCGCTCCTGCTCTCTGCCTTCCTGCATTAGCTCTTGCCTGTACCCGGCCCAGCAAACCCCTGCTCATCTTTCAGACCCAAGTTCAAGGCCCCCTCCCACTCCGGGTGGCTCATCACCTGGCCTCCCCAGGCAGAGAGGCTAGGCTCCTGCTCACTGGGGCGTCTCCCTTGCCCACTGGCACGGGACTACAAGGAAAGGGGTTGACCCCCACCCTCCCCCGCCATGCCCAGGAGGGTGCAGACACAACTGGGAAGGTGCTAGAGACCCCGGGGGGAGGCTGGGCCAGCACCAGGCATTGGGGGGCAGGTTCCCGTCTCTACACCCCAGCCCCAGGCGGACAGCGCATGCCCCTCCCGCTGCCCCACCTGTCACCCACCTGCTGGCCCCGGGCTGTCTCTGCTCCTGGCTCCCCTCCCAGCTGCGTCCCCAGCTGCCTCTCCAGGGAGGAGTGACAGCTGGCCTGTGCCACACCCTCGAGCTCCCCCGGACTACCCCCTCCCTGGGGCAGGACCCCTGCCTGTGGCACAACCAAGGGGCCTGCTGATGGGGGCTCATGTGAGCAGTGCCCCAGCTGTGGGTGTGGGTGCTGCCAGCTGCCACCGCCTTTGCCCTGGTTTCCCAGATAGACCCCGACCCACACTCCGAAGCTGTATCATGAACGCTGTGGTGGGCGGCTGGTGGGGAGCGGGGTTGCCGTCCCACTACCCTCTGGAAGCCTCAGCCATGAAGGGCCCCTGTGGGCACCTTTTCCCGGCACACGGTGCTGTGTTTCTCCACTCTTGGGCTCTGCAGTGACTTGAGGGGTCAAGTCTATGATCCCACGGGAGGCTGGGCTAATGAGGGGACCAGAGACCTCAGTGCTGTGCAGGGAGTCCTGAACCACCCTGGTGGAAGGCCCAGCCCAACTCCCCAGTCCTCCCGCCAGCTCCCTGTGGTGTCCAGGAGACCTGTGGTCAGGCCTGGAGGAGAAGCTCCTCCTCCCCTCGACATCCTCCCTGCAGCCCTTGCTCTTCACCAGAGCCTCCTGACTCCCCAGGACCCCAGAGAGGACTGACCCTCTCCAGCCGACCTCTGGGCTCAGGACAGCTGGGCGGGGCAGCCACAGGAGCTGCCTGTAGGGAGCAGAGTCAGGACGGGGACCGAGCCGGACACCCATTCTGGAAGTGTCTGCACTTCCAGGCAGGGGAAGGACGGCAGTGGGTAGCTGGGAGTGCTGGGCCGAAGATGGGCATTGTCAGGCCCTCAGTGGGGACTGGGAGGTAGAGGTGGGGAGGTCTGTGGAGGAAGGAGAAGAAGGGCCAGTGTCCCGAGTTGGGGGTGGTTGGCAGTGGACGAGGCCGACAGGAACAGACCTGAGCTTGGGGAGCTCCACTCAGAACGAGGCATCCTTCAGGGTTCTGTGCATACTGGTGTCCCTGGCTGGGGGCCGGGCCCCGAAGTGGAGCCTGGGACTGTGAGGGTGGTGGGGGTGTGCTGGGGTGGGAGGTGGATGGAGCCCCCCCCCCACCGCCTGGCCGCTTGGGCTGAACCTTGGACTTCGGAGCCGGAACAGACATAGGAAATGGCCTAACTGCATTTGCGCAGGAACACCAAATCCCTCGCAGCTGCACGGGGCTGAGCCAGGGCCACGGGCGGGGTCGGCCATCCCAGAGTCCTGACAGCTCCGTGGTGTATGCCAAGGGGCCTGGGCCGCTGACCGAGGGGCGCCTTTCCCAGGCCAGAGGCCCCCACCCCACCCCAGGAGAGCTGCCCCCCTTTCAGTTCCCAGAACGGAGCCCGGCTGTGGAATAGTGATGCGGTGAGGTCATGGGGAGGGGGCCCGCATGACTCATATCCTGGGGTAGGGGAAAGGGAGGAGACGGAGAAGGGGCCCAGAGGCCTCCACGTCCTCAGCTCTGCTGGGTCAGAGGCCAGGGGCTGGCGGGGCTTCTCCCCAGCACTGGGTTTTAGGGGAGACACCAGGAGATGCTTACTCTGCATCCCCACTCTGTCCCCCAGGCCCCTAGCCAGGGAGAGCTCAGTCAGAGTGATCCTCCAGGGGCCCAGCTCTGCATGGATGATGTTCCCAGAGTACACACCTGGGCCTCGTGCCAGGGCCGGCACCGCCATTGTCAGGGCTATGGCAAGGCAAACAGTCAATGTTTGCCTCACTAAAGTGAGGCTGCAGCACCCTGAAGGGATCCCTGGAGGGGGACGTGGTCCCCTTGTTCCCAAGCTTGTCTGCACATGCACGTGGATGTCAAGGGTTCCCGTGTGTGAGCACGTGCATATTTGTATGTGCATGGGGTGCGGGCATGTGTGCCTGTGTGGCCGGAGCGTGGGCTCGTGGAGAATGTGTGTGAGTTGGGTGTGCACCTGCATGTGCCCCAGGCCTAGGGAGTCCCGCGCCCGGCCGCACTCCATGTGTTGGGCATGAGCTGTGAGCAGAGTGAGGGCCTTTATGGGGCTGTTGGGGCCCGGACTCGTTGCCCTTAGGGGTGGACCTAAGGAAACGTGTGCACACGGGCTTCTGGGGTCTCTGTGCCAATGTGTGCTTCCAAGCCACGCCTCCCCTATGGCTTGGTGGAGGGGGTCTGTGGAGCTGGAGTGAGGGCCCTGGACCCATTGGAAGCCCAGGTCCAAGGAGGAGCTTGGGCTCCATCTCATGCCCCAGGCCCAAGGACACACACCCCAGCTGAGACCTTGCTCACATGGAGGGGCTGGGACATGGGAACATGGGGAGCAACATGGCCAGGCTTCTCCTCCATGGAAACCCTCCACCTCCTCAATACTCTGCCCCAGCTCTGCGCCGCCCTCCATTTGGAGGGGCTGGGTCGTGAGTGGGGGCGTGAGTGAGCATGAGGGCCCCTGCACCCCAGGCTCTGCCTCCCCACGTGGAACGAGGCCCAGCAGCCCCCAGCCAGGTGGCTACTACTGCATTCAATCAGTGCCCCTCCATCTAACAAATACTCCCTCATATAATCAGTACTCCTCCATCCAATCAATATTCCTTCATCAACACCTTTCTATACAACCAATAGTCCTCCATCTAATCAATGCTCCTCCATCCAACCAATACTCTGCAATTTAACCACTGTCCCTCCATCCATTCAATGTCCCTCCATCCATCCCATGGTCCCCCAGCCCTACCCCATGAGCAGCATGGAGGCAGACCCACATCTGTCTTGTGCGCCATCATCTCCCTGATGCTCTTCAGGAAAGGGAGGTGTCTCACAATTGCATTGAATGGAGGAAGGCACATCTTTCCAGTGATCCCCACTCTAGGGCTGCATTGGGAAATCGCTCCCAGGGAAAACACAAACACAAAGCAGAGGGTTGCCCAGTGTGACCCTCTGATGTGACCACGGTGGCTGTCCACTAAGGTAATCCTGATGCTTTTCCTCCTCTGCAGACTGCTGGCCAGACCCCCAAGCTAGCCCGCCAGGCCTCCATAGAGCTGCCCAGCATGGCTGCATCCAGTACCAAGAGTTGGTGGGAGACGGGTGAGGTACAGGCTCAGTCTGCGGCCAAGACTCCGTCCTGCAAGGTAAGGTCCCCTCCAGGGGCAAGGCTGGGCTGCAGAGCCAGCACTGGGGAGTTTAGTAGCAGGCCAGGTTTCCTTGTTAAGACAAGCGTGGGACTGTCCAGGATGAATGTGGGCAGACAGAACCCTGAGGTATTGCAGTAGGGTTGGGTTCACCCTTGCTGGTGTAGAAGGCTGTGTTGTCCGAGTGGAGGTGGATGGCACCTTTATTCCTTTCCCTGCTTCTTCCACTGGGATCGCACAGAAAAAGTTTTGGTAGGCAGATCCCAGGCCCCCTGGCCAGGTAAGGCAAGGCAGGAGAGAAGGGCCCAGGGCTTCTACTCCCCAAGATCCAGGGGTCTGCCCTTGTGACATACCCTTCTGCTGCCCCCGGGATATTGTGGCTGGAGACATGAGCAAGAAAAGCCTCTGGGAGCAGAAGGGAGGCTCCAAGACCTCATCAACAATTAAGGTAGAGCCTAAATGTGGTTGGTGCAGGCAGGAAATATTAACTTATTTCATTGTCACACGAAACCAGAAGACATAAAACAGTTAAAATAGGCCAGGCACAGTGGCTCACACCTGTAATCCCAGCACTTTGGGAGGCCGAGGCGGGTGGATCACGAGGTCAGGAGGAGACCATCCTGGCCAACGTGGTGAAACTTGGTCTATACTAAAAATACAAAAAAAAAAAAAAAAAAAATTAGCCGAGCGCAGGGGCACATGCCTGTAATTCCAGCTACTTGGGAGGCTGAGGCAGGAGAATCACTTGAACCAGCAAGTTGGAGGTTGCAGTGAGCCGAGCTCGCACCCTGCACTCCAGCCTGGCGACAGAGGGAGACTCAGTCTCAAAAAACAAACACACAAGCAAATAAAAAAAACAAAACAACTTGACACACTTAGAAAATGAAGGTTTGTGCTATTGGTTTTCTTTTATTTTAGAAAAACAAAGCATTGTTTAAATATTTCTTACAAGTACAAATATAATTTAAATTTAATAAATGTTCAAAAATATCTGTAATTAAGTTTCATTCAGCAGACATATGTCTAATAGAGAACTTGCTAAGTAAGATATAAAGGATGATTACATGAAAAAATCACAAAATTGTCAGTAAGAGTCTTAAAAGTCAGTGATAGGACAGTAGTTAAAAGATATCAAATAGTTATTTATTCTTAAACATTAAACAGGATATTAATAGTTTTAATAATCTTGAAGTTTGACAACACTGTGAAAACATTACAGACCACTTTTATTTATGAAAATACGTGCAAATAGCAAACACCAGTTGGGCTTAAGGCTGCTACTTACTTACCCAGTAAGTGACAAAGCTGGAATTCAAACCAGGTTTGAGCTATACCACTACTACCCTTGAAAAGGTTTCATTACACTCAGCTTTCCTTAATTTCTTAAACTCTTTTTTTTTTTTTTGATTGAGACAGAATCTTGCTCTATTGCCCAGGCGGGAGTGCAGTGACATGATCTTGGCTCACTGCAACCTCTGCCTCCCAGATTCAAGCAATTCTCATGCCTCAGCCTCCCAAGAAGCTGTGATTACCCGTGTGCGTCACCACACCTGGCTAATTTTTGTGCTTTTAGCAGAGGTGGTGTTTTGCCATGTCAGCGAGGCTGATCTTGAACTCCTGACCTCAGGTGATCCGATCCGCCCGCCTCGGCCTCCCAAAATGCTGATATTACTGGTGTGAGCCACCACTCCTGGCCAATTTCTTAAACTTTTGATTATACTAAATATGGTCCTTCTGCGTGATAACACTGTTTTTCCTTTTATAAAATTAATCTCTTAAAATACTTTAAAATTCAAAGTACACTTTTTAGATTCTTTAAAATACTCTTTGCCATGTTCATGGCCTTTAGATGTGTGATCATAGCCTATTTGCTTTTCATTGACTTAGTTTCATATTTCTTTGCCTTTTTCCCCCTACTTTTCCTTATAGAACTATTTACTAGTAATGAAATCATTTTAAAGAATACACTTTTTATTCCACCTGCTAACTGTTAAGAGAATGTTTTATAATCACTCTGGTCATGGCCTGTAAGTTTCTTTTCTAAACTATCTTTTCAGGATACATATTTACTAACTTGCTTTCAAATGAATATGGTCATGTCTATGCAGCAAGTTTCTTTTCTTTCTTCTTTTCTTCTTCTCTTTTTTCTTTTTCTTTTCTTTCTTTTTTAAGGCAAGATTTCGCTCTGTAGCCCAGGTTGAAGTGCAGTTGTAGAAACATGACTCACTGTAGCCTCAACCTCTCTGGCTCAAGTGATCTGCCCACTTCAGCCTCCCAGCCAAGTAGCTGGGACTGCAGGTGTGCACCACCCTGCTCCACTAAGTTATTTAGTTTTTTGTAGACATGGATTCTCAGTGTGTTGCCCAGGCTAGTCTTGAACTCCTGGGCTCAAGCCATCTTCCTGCCTTGACCTCCCAAAGTGATAAGATTACAGGCTTGAGACATTATGCCCAACCTCTTTTTCTTTTTCTTTCTTTCTTTCTTTTTTTTTTTTTTTTGAGACAGTCTTGCTCTTGTTGCCCAGGCTGGAGTGCAGTGGCATGATCTTGGCTCACCGCAACCTCCACTTCCCGGGTTCATGCGATTCTCCTGCCTCAGCCTCCCGAGTAGCTGGGATTACAGGCATGCACCACCACACCCAGCTGATTTTGTATTTTTTAGTAGAGACAGGGTTTCTCCATGTTGGTCAGCCTGGTCTTGAACTCCCGACCTCAGGTGATCTGCCCGCCTTGGCCTCCCAAAGTGCTGGGATTACAGGTGTGAGCCACCATTCCTGGCCCTCTTTTTCTTTTTAACTGAGCTTATTTATCTCTTCCCCAGCTTGAGTCTGGGTCCTACTGTCTTGGTCAGAGTATTTTACTATATTGACCTGGACAATTCTGCCATCATGAACCATATTCCAAACCTAAATATGTAAGAACATAGAAAGATTATTTTAGCAGGAGAATTTTAACACACACACACACTTTATTCTGAAAATTTAGCAACAAAATGAAAGGTGAGTTGTGGTAGTTGATGTATCAACAAATAGAAAGAAGAAAGCCTGTAATCTGTTTCAGAATGCTATTTCTGGGGCTGGTAACATCAAAAATAATCAAATTAAGTGTTAACTTGCTGACTCGTAAGATTTTCTCTAATTTAGAAGTTGGAGAACATATATACTCCTATTACCACTTTCCATCTTTCTCAAATATAGTTTTTATAGTTTTCTGTTGGCTTCATCATCGTATTGAAAGATTATTAATCACTTACATATATGTAGTTTTCTGTTAAGTCCTGTTCAATATATTACAAAATTTTGATCTGTGTATGTAATATCAATTAATAAGATGGTGTTAGTTAAATCAGATTACGTGTTCATTCATTAAGTCATTGTTAATACTTCACAGAATATAAATCGTGTTCCATGAGCATGAATTTCTCTCTGAATTCCACATAATTGTCTTAAAATTATGCACCATTTATTGTTAAGAGTGAAAGATTATGTGTCATTTATTGTAGTGGTAGAAGAAAATAAAACCAAAACAGAATCCAATCCAAAAGCTTAGGTTTTTGTTGCTACTACAGTAATTACATCTTCATATACGAAGGACAGCACATTATTACTGTCCAAGAATGGTGCCTCGGACAACTGGTTGCTTACACTGTTTTCAGAGATGAAATAGGAACATAAGCAGGAAGATTTTTGTCTAAATATGAAGCAAGAAAGGCTTAAATGTCTTTATTCAGGGGATTAGGCATCATAAGTTTTTTTTTTTTTAGAGAAATTGTTTTCATGATATTTCCTATCTCCTTTTGTCACTTTGCTTTTGTCGGTAAATTTTACAACTAAATAAGGATTACCAGGCATAAAAAGCAGCAGACAATCATGATGCAAACTGAAAATAATCAATCAAAACTGACCCAGAACTTAAATAGATGTTAAAATTAGCAGAGGAGGACATTAAAACTGTTTTTATACATGTATCTCATATAATCAAAACATTAAATAGAGACATGGGAGATAAACAAGAAAAGCCAAAATCAAACTTTCAAAGACAAAAACATTTGAGATGAAAATTACATTGGATGAACTAAGGCAGATTAGAAACTGCAGAAGAAAAGATTAGCAAACTTGAAGATACAAGAACAGACACTAGCTAAAGTACAAAAAGAAAAAAAAATGTTAAAAAGTGATTTTTAAAAAGCATCAGTGAGCAGTCAGGCAACTTCAAATGGCCTAATAATATGCAGGTAACTGGAGTCCCCAAAGGAGAAAAAAAAGAAAGAGAAAAAAAATACTTGAAGAAACAACTGCTGAAAATGTTCTAGCCATAACAAGACCTATTAACTCACGGATCCAAGAAACTCAGCAAACCCCAAGCACAAGAAACATGAAGAAAATTACACTAAGGGATAACATAATCAAATTGTTCAAAATCAAGGAAACATTATTAATAGCAGGTGTATAAAAAGACATGTTACCTATAGAAGAACAAAGATAAGAACAACATCAGATTTCTTTTGAGAAACAATGCAAGTGAGAAGACAGCAGTACATCTCTAAAGTTCTAGAAGAAAAAAGGCCAACTAGAATTCTATGCCTAGCAAAAATATCTTTCAAAAATGAAGGTGAAATAAAGACACACCAGAAACATAAATAATGAAATAATTCATCACCAGGAGACCTTCACTGCAAGAAATGTTAAAGGATATTCTTCAGAAACAAAATGATGTCAGATGAAAATCTGGACCAATACGAAGGAATAAAGAGCACCAAAGTGGTAACTATATGAGCAAACATCTTTTAAATTTTTTATTATTTAAATCTCTAAGAGATACATGTTTAATAAAAAAACAGCAAAATGTTACAGAGTTTATAACATATGTAAAAGTCAAATGCATGGCAGCAATAGCACAAAGTGCAGGAGGGAGGAAAAGAAAGTAAATGAAGGAATGCTTTTATTATAGATGAAGTGTACAATATTACTTGACCTCTCTAAATGTGCACTATAATCTTAAAGGAACCACAAAAATAATTTTTAAAAATAAGTAAAAGTATTAAAAAGAGGCAAACTGGAATCATAATAAATAATGTAAGCTGGGCACGGTGGCTCACGCCTGTAATCCCAGCACTTTGGGAGGCCAGGGTAAGCGGATCACAAAGTCAGGAGATCGAGACCATCTTGGCCAACATGGTGAAACCCCGTCTCTACTAAAAATACAAAAATTAGCTGGGTGTGGTGGTGCACACCTGTAATCCCAGCTACTCAGGAGACTGAGGCAGGAGAATCGCTTGAACCCAGGAGGCGGAGACTCTAGTGAACCAAGATAGCGCCACTGCACTCCAGCCTGGCAACAGAGCGAGACTCTCTCTCTCAAAAAAAAAAAATAAATAAATAAAGTAAAAGCATGCAAGAAGACCAGGTGCAATGGCTCACACCTGTAATCCCAGCACTCTGGGTGGCCAAGGCAGGAGACTCACTTGAGCTCAGGAGTATGAGACCAGCCTGGACAACATAGTGAGACCCCATATATAAAAAAATAAAGTAGCCGGGTATGATGGTGCACAACTGTGGTCTCCACTATTGGGAGGCTGAGGTAGATCACTTGAGCCTAGCAGGTCAAGGCTGCAGTAAGGTATGATCACACCACTGCACTCTAGCTTGGGTGACAGAGCAAGACCCCATCTTGGCAGGTGGGGGATGCAAGAAAAATGCAAGGAACAGATAGAGATAAATAGAAAACATAAGAAGACAATCATATTAAATGTACATGGTCTAAATACCCCCAATTAAAAAGCAGAGGTTTTAGACCATATACATTTAATGTGATTGTCTTCTTATATGTTTTTATCAGAGAAATAAAACTATCGCCTTCAAGAAACACAAGTTAAATACAAAGATGCAAACAGGTTAAAATAAAAGAATGGAATAATATATACCATGCTTACGCTAGTCAAGAGAAAGCTAGAGTAGAAATACTAATATCAGGCAAAGCATATTTCAGAGTTAAACACAACATTTTTCCACTATTTGCAGTCAAAAGTATCGTTAACACTCTCTTTACTCTGCTCAAAGTTACAGAGTTCTTTTGTATAAACATTAGAACACTTATCACAGCCTGCCTATAATGGAGAATAATTCCATGTTGTATACTATACAACACTCTTACTAAAGTCCATTAGACAGAAATATGTAGCATTTGAGACATCTTCCAATTATAAAACTCTATGCAAACAAAAATTAACAAAGCAGATCTGAGACTATTATATTATCCTGTGAAGGAGGGTCTGTCTGTCTGCACAGTTGGTCCTAGGCTGGCTTCTGAGGACTTGAATTTCAAGAGGGTTCCATAACTGGTAATCATGGTTTACTGTATCTAGACTATGGAAATAATGTGGCTTATCCTGCTATTCTTTTTGTGAGTCTGGAAATTTCACACATGCTAGGCAGAGTACACATATGTGACCCAGCCGAGATAAAACCTGTGTTTCTTGGGAAGTCACATAGGTTGTTGTATTTTCATTAAGGGGGAAAGAAGGTAGTCTGTGTGATCCTCATGGAAGGCACAGCACATAAGGAAGCCGGTACATGGATTTTTCCAGACTCTGTCAGTGTCTTTTGCCATTGAGTTCTTTCTACTATATATCCATACTATGTTACAGTAATAAATCTTAGCCATTACAACCCTAAGCTGATCCCATGAGTCCTTATAGCAAATCTCCAAACATGGAGGCAGTCTTGTGGATCCCTGACACAAATATAGTGTTGTGATCTCTTAAGGTTTATCCTTCCTCTTAAACTATAAAGAGCTGGCTGGGCACAGTGGCTCACGCTTGTAATGCCAGCACTTTGGGAGGCCGAGGCGGGTGGATCACGAGGTCAAAAGATTGAGACCATCCTAGTCAACATGGCGAAACCCCGTCTCTACTAAAACTACAAAAATTAGCAGGGCGTGGTGGCACACGTCTGTAGTCCCAGCTACTCGGGAGGCTGAGGCAGGAGAGTCGCTTGAACCAGGGAGGCAGAGGTTGCAGTAAGCCGAGATCGCACCACTGCACTCCAGCCTGGTGACAGAGGGAAACTTCATCTCAAAAAAAAGAAAGAAACTATAAAGGGCTGGGTGCAGTGGCTCACGCCTATAATACTAGCACCTTGGCAGGCCCAGGTGGGAGAATTGCTTGGGCCCAGGAATTGAGACCAACCTGGACAACAGAGCAAGACCCTGTCTCTTAAAAAAAAAAAAAAAGAAAAGTTGGCCGGGTGTGATGGATCACACTTGTAGTCCCAACACTTTGGGAGGCCGAGGTGGGCAAATCACAAGGTCAAGAGTTCGAGACCAGCCAGGCCAACATGGTGAAACCCCATCTCTATCAAAAAAAATACAAAAAATTCACTGGGCATGGTGGTGGGCACCTGTAATCCCAGCTACTTGGAAGGTTGAGGCAGGAGAATCACTTGAACCTGGGAGGCAGAGGTTGCAGTGAGCTGAGATCACGCCACTGCATTCCAGCCCGGTGATAGTGTGAGACTCCATCTCAAAAAAATAAAAAAGAAAAGAAAAGAAAAGTTAGCCAGGTATGGTGGCATGCATTTGTGATCCCAGCTACTCTAGAGGCTGAGACAGGAGGACTGCTTGAGCCTAAGAAGTCAAGGTTGCAGTAAGCCATGATCATGCTACTGCATTCCAGCTTAAACAACTGAGATGCTATCTCTTAAAAACAGAAGTAGAAGCAAACAACTATAGGGGAAAATGAGGGATACATACTTTAAGAATTTTTAAAAATTTACATGGAAAAACACCAGGATTCTATAGAAAATAAAACAGTATTAAATAACATTATTTATAAAATAGATACTAGCAAATTACCTTACGTAAAGATTCAAGTCAGTAACTTAAAGGATCTTACATAAAAGTACTTTCCGTTGGTTGGAAGAGAGATTTTTACTATACACTGTTTTTCAATTTTTTTAGACAAATTACATTTAAAAGTTTAAATTTGCTTATCTACATTCTTAATGTGAATTGCCACCTTACTATAGGAAGGCTATTTTTGTTCCTGCAGTCTACAAAAAGAACAAAAATATTAAAAACGTACAACTCTTCTCACAGAACTAAGTTGGTTTTATACAAAGACATTTGGCACAAAATACAATGATATTTCAATATAGAATTACAGCAGGGGATGAGGGTGGAGAAGGAAGAGATTGCCAGTTCTAAGAGGGGAGACAACAGAAGTATTTTTTTAATGTCTTATTTTAAGAGTAAAACACCTGCTTTTTTTTGAGATGGAGTTTTAGGCGGGAGTGCAGTGGAACGATCTCGGCTCACTGCAATCTCTGCCTCCAGGATTCAAGTGATTCTCCTGCCTCAGCCTCTTGAGTAGCTGGGATTACGGGCACACGTCACCACGCCAAGCTAATTTTTGTATTTTTAGTAGAGAGGGGGTTTCACCACATTGGCCAGGCTGGTTTCAAACTCCTGACCTCAGCCTCAGCCTCCCAAAGTGCTAGGATTACAGGCATGAGCCACCATGCCCAGCCAACACTGAACATTTTGTTCAGAACTAGTTAAGAAAACAGAAATATACATTGGGGGTTTATGGATTACTTATTTTTGGGGTGCAATACTGGGAATAGAAGAGAAAGGAGCTTCCTTTCCCTCTCCTTCTTTCATTCATTCATTCATTTTGAGAAGAAGTCCTGCTCTGTTGCCCAGGATGGAGTGCAGTGGCGAAAACTCAGCTCACTGCAACCTCCACCTCCTGGGTTCAAGCAATTCTCCTGCCTCAGCCTCCCAAGTAGCTGAGATTACAGGCACGCACCACCACACACAGTTAATTTTTATACTTTTTTAGTAGAGACAGGGTTTTGCCATTTTGGCTAGGCTGGTCTCCAACTCCTGACCTCAGGTGATCCACCTGCCTCAGCCTCCCAAAGTGCTGGGATTACAGGCATGAGCCACCGCACCTGGCCAAGAAAGGAGCTTTAGATAAATAAAATGATTAAACATTTGTAGCATGTAGAATGAAACTATTCCCTTAGTAATACTCAAATTATCCAGATTTCCAAGATGTTGGTAGCACCCCGAGAGCTTCAAAAGGGAAATTAAAAGAAAAACGACGTTACCCTTCCTGAAACACAGATTCACTGTTTGCCATATTCTTTTCTCTAGTAAAAGATGAATAGTTTCCCCTGGAAAAACTAAAAACAATCTGAGGTATATTTCAGAGAAAACAAAATTGCTTGATAAAAATGCCATGTTAACAACTGAGGAAATTGTTTTACATATATTAATTTTAACACAGGAATAATATGTCAAACCAGGATTTCTCAACCTCAGCACTATCGACATTTTAAGCTGTATAGTTTTTGGTGTGGGAGGCTGTCCTGTATATTGTAGAATGTTTAGTGGCAGCCCTGGCCTCTACCCAAGAGGCCAGTAGGACCTACCTCCTCATTCAAGCTAATGCACTAAATTTTTCCCTTCATTGACAAATCCCATTAATGCGTGTATTTATCCCATTAGTTACTCTCTTGTGTTCCAGGTACTTTGTTAGGCACCAGAGAAAATATGATAAAGCAAAACAGCTATTTTCCTCACTCTCATGGTGCTTACAGCCATGGTGGGAAAAATCCATAGGAAAAGACTCACATACACAAATGCAGGCAGAATAAAAAAACTCACACAAACAAACGTTGCAGATGTTGTTAAGTTACATAAAGGAGATATGCATGGCTGTGCATGGTGGCTCGTGCCTGTAATCTTAGCACTTGGGGAGGCCAAGGCAGGTGGATCACTTGAGGCCAGGAGCTCAAGACCAGCCTGGCCAACATGGCGAAACCCTGTCTCTACTAAAAATACAAAAATTAGCCAGGCATGGTGGTCCATGCCTATGATCTCAGCTACTTGGGAGACTGAGGTGGGAGGATCACTTGGGCCCAGGAGGCAGAGGGTACAGTGAACTGAGATTGCACCACTGCAATCTCAGCCTAGGAGACAGAGAGAGACGTCTCCTGTTCTCCTGGAGAACAACAAGTCATGATGTCAGACAAGAACTTGGATTTTGGAGACACGGGTTTGAATTTCAGTCATTCATTCTTTTATTCAGTAAATATTTAGCAAGTACTGACATGTCCCAGATGTTGTTTTACTCACTGGTTATACAATGGGAGGGAGACAGAGAAAGAGAGAGAGAGAGAGAGAGACGCTATTCTAAAAGCTTGAAGTCTAGGCTGTGCAGAGTGGCTCATGCCTATAATCGCAGCACTCTGGGAGGCTGAGGCGGGTGGATCATGAGGTCAGGAGATTGAGATCATCCCGGCTAACACAGTGAAACTCCCTCTCTACAAAAATACAAAAAATTAGCTGAGCATGGTGGCAGGCGCCTATAGTCCCAGCTACTTTGGAGGCTGAGGCAGGAGAATGGTGTGAACCCAGGAAGCGGAGCTTGCAGTGAGCCAAGATCACACCACCGCACTCCAGGCTGGGCGACAGAGCCAGACTCCATCTCAAAAAAAAAAAAAAAAATGCGTAAAGTCTAGATAGACTTTAACCCAGGAATAATCCAAGGAAATGAACAATTACGAATGTGACAAGGGCTGTGAAGGGAAAGTTCACAGCCTTATCGAAGTGTACAGTAGTTGGGGAGGTTGGCCAAGGCAAGATGTTTAGGAAAGGCTTTCCTGGGGAAATTTCTCTTTGGGTTGAATCACAGTTAAGTAGGCAAAGGGGAAGACAGAGGGAAGGGAAGTATGGCAGGCAGGAAGAATAGGCACTTAATAGCTTTGGGATATTGGGCAGGTCGCTTGATCTTTCTGAGCTTCAGTTTTCTCATCTGGGAAATGAGTTAATAATAGTCGTTTAGAAAGTGTGATGAGACCAGCCAGGTGTGATGGCTCAGGCCTGTAATCCCAGCACTTTGGGAGGCCGAGGCAGGTAGATCATGAAGTCAGGAGATTGAGACCATCCTCGCCAACATGGTGAAACTCTGTCTCTACTAAAAATACAAAAATTACCCAGGCATGGTGGCGTGTGGGAGGCAGAGGTTGCAGTGAGCCAAGATGGCACCACTGCACTCCAGCCTGGGTGACAGAGCGAGACTCCACCTCAGAAAAAAAAAAAAAGGAAGAAACTGTGATGAGATCAAAACAGTTAATGCATGAGTGTTCTGAACCTCGTTTCTCCCTCTGCTGTATCTATGCAGTTTCTTGACCTGGGCTGTGCTCCAAAGAGGATTCTAGCTTGGCTTTTGTGATAGAGGATGGATACATTATTAGACCTGAAAAGCCAGAGCAGGGAGGAATGGTCCCAAAAGGAAGAAACTGTGCTTGTCTTCACAATAAAGAGCAGAGAAGTGGGAGAGGTATTGAAAGCTGTGGGTGGAGTTTTGCAGGTAAGATTGTGTGAAAGAGGTGAGGGAACTACAATCTAGGGGAATGTGGATAGGAGAGTAAAAGGGAATTCTAGAGAACAATCCCTACTGACTTCACACAACTTAAGAAATGCAAGTAAAGGGCCGGGCACGGTGACCCACACCTGTAATCCCAGTACTTTGGGAGGCAGAGGCAGGTGGATCACTTGAAGTCAGGAGTTCAAGAAGAGCCTGGCCAACATGGTGAAACCGCATCTGGGTTAGCCAGGCATGGTGGCATGTGTCTGTAATCCCAGCTACAGAAAGATAGAGAGGTGGCTGAGGCAGGAGAATTACTCAAACCCAGGAGTTGGAGGTTGCAGTGAGCCGAGATCACACCACTGCACTCCAGTCTGCTGGACAACAGAGCAAGACTCAGGGGGTGGGGTGGGGGAAGGAAAGAAGGAAGGAAGGAAGGAAGAAAGGAAGGAAGGAAAATAGAAATAGAAATGCAAGTAAAGAATTTCAGTTTGAAAATTGCCTTTTGTCTACTGAACATGAGACTGCTTGGAAACTGGGCAACGTGGATTTTTATAAGTTGTACAAAGCACTTAGCAATTTTCAAACCTCTCCATCCTGCAGAGCCAGCTCAATCACTTCTCCAGAAAGACTTACTGAGTCCTCTGCACTGAACAGGTGTCCTGTGCTCCAGGAGAGCCCTGGGCTGGCTCCTAGTGTAGCCATTATGACCCTGGAATGCACCATCTTTCACATCACTGCCTGGCCTTCTAGAATCTCAGCTTCTTAAATCAAGAAATTGTGTCTTGTTCATGTCTGAATTCCCCAAGTGAACACAGTGAGTGGGTGCTTGACAAATCTTTGTTGGTAATGAGCAAAAAAGGGGATTCTGTGCCCAATACCATGAAATCAATGCACAGAAGATTCAATCAATCAAGAAAGGTGCACAGACGCTGGCCACACACACTGACATTTGTTTTCAGATGTTCCAGTCCCCCTGACTTCCACCAACCCATTCATTCATTCCACAAGCATTTTTGCTGGGGTGGAAGCAGGGCCATACAGGGTGTGTAAGTAACAGATAGGGTGGGTTTGTATAATGAGTATAAAAAACTTCTAGCAGAAGATGACAAAGTATATCAAGAAAGGGCTCTCTTCGAAATCACACCACTGCACTCCAGCCTGGGTAACAGAGGGAGATTCCATCTAAAAAAAAAAAAAAAAAAAAAAAAAAAAACAGGGATGGGGGCAAGGGAGCTCTTTTTTTCCAGTTAGCACAAGATTGCCATTTCAGCTAGGGATTCTGCTGCAACTATCTCCCAGACCCTATTCTAGGGCCCGGGGATAGAAACAGAATCAAAAACATATTCCTTGTCTTTTTTGGGCTTATATTATTGAGGAGAGAGAAATAAACAATTTCAAAATAAACAATGTCATACAGTGCTAAGTGCTATAAATAAAATCAAACAGAATAACGAAAGAGAAAGTAGCTAGACTGGAGGGAAAAGCTGCTTCAGAATGAGTTGTCAAGGAAGCCTCTTTGCAATCAGAAAGGTGAGAAGGATTTAGTCAGGCAAATATCAGGAGTAAATTATTCTTGGAGGAAAGTAAGCCCATGCAAAGGCCCTGGGGCAGAGTGGGCTTATTTGATAAAGAGGTAAAAGGGTCAGGATATCTGTAGCAATAGTGGCCAAGGGAGGGAGAGGTATGAGACAGAGGAGGTGAGCCCTGTTGCCATGGTGAGGGCATGAGGATTTATTCTAAGTTCCAGATACCTGGAGTTAAAGTCCCCTGAACTGGACAACAACTACAAGCCTTCATATCTCAATGCTACCATCTTTAAGCCCCTGTTATAAGAGCTCAGAGGCTTCAGAGATGACAGGAAACACCAGAACGCTATGGTGGAGCATATCTAGGTGCCTTCTCCCAACTCAGATCCTTTGACTATAGAAAGACACAGATTTCAAGGCTGAGATCCACAAAACTCTAGCAAATACTGCACAGACACTGACCAATGACAGCAGGTGCTGCCTGTCACCCTGGAGCACCAGGCAGGGTTCCAAAGCACCCTTGCTGTGCCAGCCTCTGATTGCTGGTTATAGGGAGGTCTGGGGTAGTCCCAAAAGCTGGGATGTCTAAGGCAGCTGGGGTCAGTCAGGAGGCTCAGGGCAGTGGCAGGAAAATATTTTCCTCCCTGGTAGAGCCACAGCGGGGTATCCAGGCTGAATATTATTGGCGAGAAGGACCATGGCACAGCACCAAGACCTGCAGGACAAACTTTGTTGGAGCTGAATCCAGAAAAACAATCTTCTTCTAAACCACTCTCCTGCCCCTCATTTAATTATTGTGCTTTTGGGTGCACTTGGACTACTCTGAAACATTCAGAACTCTGTCAAAAAAAAAAAAAAAGACCTCTCTCCTCAGCACCTCTCCCACTTGGGCATCAGTCTTGGCTTCCTCTCTACTTGCTTTCACTTGCTCCTTGTGGCAGAGATTGCCCTCAGCAGATCCCTTCCCTTAGGTTCCTTGCTGTCAAGTGGAGGCTAGGGAGCGAGATTATGGCCAATAGAATGTGGGCGGAACCACAGATCTGAGCCTGAGGAACATCCCACAGGACCCTGAGCTCTTCCTCCAGCTGCTGCAGTGGCCTTGGAAGCCATGTCTGTTCTAGAAGTGTAGCTACAGATGGAGAAGGCCCATGTGCTAGCTAGTCTCCAAAGATGGCGTATCAGGCCATTCTTGCGTTGCTATAAAGAAATATCTGAGATGTTAATTTATAAAGAAAAGAGTTTGTATTGGCTCATTGTTCTGCGGGCTTCACAAGAAGCATGGTGCTGGCATCTGCTTGGCTTCTAAGGAGGCCTAGGAAGTTTACAATCATGAGCAGGCACATCATGTGGCCAAAGCAGGAACAAGGAAGAGAGAGTCGGTGGGTGTGGGGAGGGACATGCCACACACTTTTAAATAACCAGATCTCACAAGAACTCACTATCTCAAAGACAGCAGCAAGCCATGAGGGATCTACCCCCATGGTCAAAACAACTCCCACCATGCCCCAACTCCAGCACTGGAGACTGCAATTTAACTTGAAATCTGGGTGGAGATAAATATCCAAATTATATCAGAGGGCCTTCCCTCGAACCAAACCTCCTGGTTTCCAGGTCCCCTTTCTTGCTGCTTCTGGGCTGGCCTCCTGGGAAGCCAAGACTGCAGTGGCTCTGATGCTGCATGGGGGCTGAGGCTCAGCCATGAGGAGGCTCGCAGCTGCCACTTTGGTCTTTTGGAAACTTTGCTCATGAGAGTCTCCCCGTTGGGCCGCAGCCACCATGCTGAGAAATGAGGGTCATGTGGAGAGGCCACATGGAGGTTTTCTGGTCTAGAGCACAACTGAGCTCCCAGAAAGCAGCCAGCATCAATGGCTGGGCATGTAAGCCAGCTGGCATGGACATTCCAGACCAGTCTGTCCTTTTGTCACCTTAGCTACAGGGAAGGCCCATGACCCCAGAAGTGCCCATCATTATGCTGAATTCCCGAGCCTCAGTGGTCCACCGAGGTGTGGAAGCATGTCTCACAAGGGTCAGATGGAGTTCTGGCCTGGATTGATGTGTAGAAGCTGGAGAGAGAAGCTGGGTTTCTTTCAGCTGGGGTGGCTCTGCTGGGATGTGGTGGGCCTTTTGGGTTTCCAGGTGGTCATTTTCCTTATTTGCAGTAGAAGGAACGAGGCCCATATAGAGAATAGAGCAAATTAAAAGGAGAGAAAGAGAAAAAAGTAAGGAGAGAGGGAGAAAGAGAAAAAGAAGGAAAAGAAGAACGGAGGGAAGGAGGAGAGGAAAGAAAAAGAGAAGGAAAATGAGAAGGAGGAGAGGAAGAGGAGAGAGAGAGAGAGAGAGAAAATAACTTACTTGAACCTCCAAATTCAGGCATACCATGGTCTTTGCAGTTATAAAAATCAATAAGTCACCCTTCAGCTGAAACATGTCTAAGTGGAGTTTCAGTTGTTACAACTGACAGAGCCCTGCCTAGCACAAGGAATAAACAATGTTCAGCAGTGGCATGAGAACAAGGGACAGCCTGTTTGGTGGGCAGCATGGCAAATGACTGTCTGGAAAATATGATGCTTGGGCTGGAGGGCAAAGTGGAATTCACCAGCATGCAGGGTGGAAGTACGACCCTAGCAGACGGAACAGCACTGGCAAAGGCTCAGAGGCAAGAAGCTTTACATGTGAAAGGATACATTTTTAGAACACTAAACATTCTCCCTGTTATCCAAAACACTGAGTTTCTCTTCATTTTTTGGCCAGGTGTGGTGGCTCACGCCTTTAATCCCAGCACTTTCGGGGCTGAGGTGGGTAGATCACCTGAGGTCAGGAGCTCAAACCAGCCTGACCAACATGGCAAAACCCCATCTCTACTAAAAATACAAAAATTAGCTGGGTGAGGTGGCAGACACCTGTAATCCCAGCTACTCGGGAGGCTGAGGGAGAAGAATAACTTGAACCAGGAGTCAGAGGTTACAGTGAGCTGAGATCGTGCCACTGCACTCCAGCCTGGGAGATGAGACAGAGCAAGACTATCTAAAAAAAAAAAAAGACTGAGTTTCTCATCATTTTTTGAAATTGAGAGTTTTCTCTGTATCGATAAGACCTTATAATGCAAAATATAATATAATATGCAGCTAGGTCTCCACAGCCTTCAGTCTTTCCCAGGGAGGGTTCCATGAGCTGCTTGTCTGGTGGGGATGGTGGTTTTGAGCAAGTAGTTGGTGTCCTGTCTTACCCAGGCTCTTTCCCACAAAGAGTTGGGAAGAATTAAAAACTACTGGAAACCAAGATCTCTCCCTGATGTTGACTTTCAGAGCTCAGCCTCATCAGCACAGGCTCTAATCAGCTAAGCAGCTGCCTCGTTTCATCCAGCCAGAGCCCTGATCTCAGGGGATGATAGTGAGGAAATGATCCTTTCACATGCCTGGCTCCTGCAAAATTGTGCTAAGAGGATTTTCCTCAAACAGTTTAGCACAGAGCGAGGTTTCCTGATCCAGTTAGCAAATATTCTTCTGTTTGAACTCACTGACCCTCCTTTTTCTGAAGATGTATTTTAAATTGGATTTGCTTCACTGACACAAATGGAAAACTTGATAAGAAAATCGGTGGGATTTTGCTGCACCCACTGCTGATATCAAGACTGAACTCTGTATTATAGCAAGAAAAGCTCTGTTCTGTGGCTACAGGATACATGCTGAGCTCCCAGCCACCAGCCCTGCCAATGTGCTCAGCTTGGCACAGGGCAGGGAGCAGGGTAGAGGGGAGGGGATGGGGAGGGGCAGGTGGAAAGGCTCAGGTGATGAGCCAGCCACATCACCTCAAGCACAGGACCCCTGATGGTGGCCCTAGATCCTCCTCTTGAAATCCAAAGCTCAGTCCCTCTCCCCAGTTCAGGAGCAAGGAGGTTTCTGGCAGGTTAAAATGGCTAACTCAAGAGCTTGCCACCTTTGAAAGGCAGCACTGTGTAGACAGAGGCAGAAGGATGGGCTTACGAGACAGTCCTGGCTTCAAATCCTTCTCTGACTTACCAGCTCTGGAACCTTAAGCAAGTGACGTAACCTCTCTAAGCCTCAGTTGCCTCATCTTTAAAATGGCATCCCTAATCCTTACTATGAAGAGATATCATGGGTAAATGAGATGCTGTACTTACGAAAGGGCAAGTCCCTGTATTGGTCAAGTGTTTTTACAGCATTGCTGCATAACACACAGCCCCAGGGGCTCAGCAGCTCAAAACAAGTGTTTATTTCTTGCTAATAATTTGCAGTGAGCTGGGAAGCCTTGCCTCGGACTGGGGGCCAGGCTCTGTTTGCTTCTGTGTGTCTCATTCACAGGCCAGTGGTTCCCCGGAGCTTGCTCTTCTCATTGTGCAGGGGTAGGGTCAGTGCTGCCACCCAACACCACATTCAGTTAGAGCCTCCAGTCAGACCAGGCATGCACTAACTCTGCTCATGCATCTCTAGCCAAAGCTGGTCATGTGCACAGCAAGAAATCTGCTCTGTCCTGTCCACAGGGAAGTCGCAGGAATGTGGAAAGGCCAGGAAGGATTGTGAGCCAATAATACATCTTGACAATCCACAATAGATGGAAGCTATTATTGATTCATTATCTCAAAATGGCTCCACCAGCCAACCCCTTCTATCCATCCCCAGTGCTACCTCCTAATTGAGGTCCTCGACGCTTTTTGCTTGCATGGCTGCCAGAGCCTTTGGGCAGGTCTCTGTGTTGATGTGTTCACCCCCACTCCTATCTCCTCCATCCAACGCTCTACCACCAAGGCAATCCTCCTAAAACACAACCACAGTGTTCTTCACACTCCCTATGATTCCCTGCCACCCACATTATTAATCATTAATCCAATTAATAAAAATTAATGTACTAATCCCCAGCTCCTCAGTGTGGCCCTTCACAATCTGCTTGTCCAGCCTCGTCTCTTGCCTCCCCAGCTTTCCCCAGCAGACCCCTCTCCCACCCATTCCAATGCCATCCTCTTCTCCCAGCCTAGTTCTTTCAGGCCCTGTGCGTTTGCACTTGCCCCTGTCTGAAATGTCCTTCCCACTTCTTCTTGAAGGGGGTGAGTGCCAACTCACCTTTCCAACCCCACACCAATGCACACCAGGATCTCCCCAAGACTCCAGGGTAGTAGTCACCATCTGTATTTCTGCAGCACACTGCACCTGCCTCTAGCACAGCTCGACAGCCCACTGAAGTGAATGATCTCTTCGATCGGTGCCGACTTGCCTTTCTTTCCCAGCTGCAAACCACCCAAGGTGAAGTCATCTTAGCCTCTTGGAGTCAGCCTGACTGGGGTGAACCCATTGATATGTATTGCATAAATGAACATATCATGACAGTAGTGATGAGGGATCTCCAGCTATCCGTGTACTCTCTATGCTTCCCAGACTCTTTGGCAGTTGCACTGGGTACTGGCTGAGTTCTGGAAAACAGGAATGTGAGCAGAGTGCTGCAGATCTCCTTGTCAGGAGCACCTAAGAACTGGCATGACTCTACACCCTCTCTCCTTCTGCAATGACCTCGTGTCAAGATGGCAGACCCGCAGAGATGAATGTGCCTGGATACCTGAGTCACCAGGTGGAGGAAACTCCCATTGACATGCATCACACTCCACATATGAAACCCTTCTTTTTCTGCACTGTCACTGGGGTTAGGGATTATTACTCACTGCAACTTAGCCTAGCATTAAGTTGCTTGACTAATACAAGTTTCAATAAATGTCGCTTCATTTCCCATGGCTTCTGACTGAATGCTGTGCAATATCCACAAACCATCCAGATTGTGGTTTATAAATACCACCCTTCACTAAAAGGACTCAGAGCTCCTTGTAGAAATGGCTGATGCTAAGGCTGGGGTAGGGAAGTACAAGGTGAGCCCAGAGTGCTGTGTGGTGCCAGAAAGCAAGGAAGCATTTAAAAAATGACAGGGACATGTCAAAGGACACATCAATCAACTTCAAGGGGCTTCCACTGGCCAAATCTAGGATGATGTGAGCATCCAAATTAATAATGATAATGGTAGATTATAGTCTATTGAATAAAATGGGAACCTATAGCTATAGAAAGAAAGAAAAGGGAAGGAAGAAAAGAAAGAAGAAGAGAGGGAGGGAGGGAGAGAGGGAGGGAGGGACGGAGGGAGGGAAGAAGGAAGAAGACTTTCTTACAGTAGAATGCCAATGAATAAATACAGAGGGAATAATAGAAAACTCCATTTGCAAACATGATCATAATAGTTTATTCAAGGAAGAATCATCACTGAGTGAAAATTTAGGAAGGTAAAGTATGTTTTCATTGTCTCATAGCACTTCCACTCATATGGTTTATTAATTGCAAAGAGAAAAAGTGGTAACTTAACAGTAGAGAAACCCAGCAGGTCCTCCCTTAATGAGCTGAACAAAGTTAACAACACCAGGAATAGGACAAATGGGTGCCAAGTGTTTCTTGATGTGATACACTGAGAACACAGCATTGCTTCTGTAGCATTCCGGTCCCTGGAGGAAACATCAGACAAACACAGATGGAGGGACCTTCAAGGACTGACCTGAACTGTTCTTCGGCGTCAACCCCATGATAGACAAAAAGAGGCAGAGGAACTGTTCCAGATTAAGGGAGACTAAAAAGGTATGACAGCTGGATCAGGGGAAACGTGCCTTAAAGGGCATTATTGGGACTGTTGGCGAAATTTTAAGTGAACTGTATATTAGACAATTATCAAGGACTACACGATTGTATGGCATCAACCTCAAATTCCCCGAACTTGAGCACTAGAGTCTTCTTGTTCTGATGGAATATGTTCTGGAATGTTTAAGGGAGAGGAGAAGGATGCCTGCAACTGAATTTCAAATGGTTCAGGGAAAGATAATAGAGTAGAATAGACTATATAGATGGAGAAAGTAAATGTGGCAAATAACAATTGGTGAAGGTGGGTGAAGGTCATGAAAGTTCTTTGCCTTACAATTAATTCTTCTATAAGTCTGAAATTATTTGAAAATAAGAGAAATGCTTTCAGCTGTGAATAACAGAAAGCCTGACTACTTGTGGCTTTTGCAATAAAGACATTTAGTTATGTAACATAACAGGATTTAAGAGGAAGAAGGCAAGGACTTGAAAAGGCTCAGTGATGTAGCTGAGGCCCCAGATTCCTTTTATCATTTTGTCCAAAGGCTCCACCTTCCTGAATATTACTGCTTTATACCCTTGGAGCTTCATGATCACAGGATGGCTGTTATAGCTCCAGCCATCATGACCAAGTTCAGACTCCAGGAACAAGATGGAGGAAGCTATGTCAAGGGGGGCTTTTCTTGATGTGTCTCTCGCCTTTAACCAGTGAAGAAAATCTTCTTAGAAGGACACAGCAGACTTCTCCTTATGTCTCATTATCCAGAAGTGGACCACAGGACAGTCCCTACTGTAAACTCTTTCAAGTATCAGGCAAAAAGGAACAAAAGGCCCCAGCCTGGCTTAAACCAACCTTGAGTCATCACCTGACACTGGACACTTTGTTTATCCAAGCAAAATCAGGATTTTCTGTTAGCAAGCAAAGGAACTGCTCATGGGTAAGAAATTAACAGTGTGTGCCATAATTCATATTTGTCGCCAAGCATCTTCTCAGGCTGACACTGTGCCAAACAAGGGATTATAGAGATGAAGATGCAGCTTCCATCCCTGAAAGCTCACAGTCCATTCTCTCAGGGCAATCCCGGTAACCTCCTCATCACAATCATCCATCCAGATCATGGAAGTCCCTTTACTCCCCAAATAAGAAGGAGTAGCAGGAAAAAGTGACCTCATCAAGCTGACTCGAGTTTTTCCAAAAGCAAATAAATAAATAAATAACTTTTTAACCTGCACAGCCAAATATCAAATAAATACATGTGTGTTTTTTGGGGGGGTTGGGGGGTGTTTTTTTTTCTGAGCTTCCTGTGGTATTGAAACTATCTCCCACTTCCTCCTTTTTGTCTCAAAAGATCTTAAGCATTGGGCCAGACACAGTGGCTCCTGCCTGTAATCCCAGTACTTTGGGAGGCCGAGGTGGGCAGATTGCTTTAGCCCAGGTGTTCGAGACGAGTCTGGGCAACGTAAAAATAGCCCATCTCTAAAAAAATAAAATAAAATAAAATACAAAAATTAGCCAGGCATAGAGGTGGATGCATGTAGTTCCAGCTACCTGGGAGGCTGAGGTGGGAGGATCACTTGAGCCCCAGGGGTTGAGGCTGCAGTGAACCATGATCATCACATCTGGGCAACAGAGCAAGACCCTGTCTCAAAAAAAAAAAAAAAAAAAATCTAAGCATCCATTCATTTTAGTTCATTTGAGGATAATTATTGATCTCCTCTTCTACCACCACTAGGGATACAGAGGAGGAGCAAACAGACATTATTCCTTTCTCTTGAGGCTCACAGTTAATTGGTAAAGAGGGACCACTATTCAGAAAGTCCCACACATCATTGTATGATCAAAAGCTATGACAGATGCAAGGAAGGAAAGCTGGATGGTGTTGTGAGGCTTCATGGCAGGGACACCAGACCTGGTCTAGAGGTGAGGGAAGACTTCCCTGAGGCACTGGCTTGAATGGAGAGCTGAAGGAGGAATAGGAATTCACTAGAAGAAAGAAGAGGAAGCAGCAAGTGCAAGGCCCTCCTGCAGCAGGAGAGAGCATAGCACATTCAAGGAAAAGAAGCCAGCAGTGTGGATTACAGAGGAAGAGTGCAGCACGAGGGCAGTGGCTTGAGATGAGGCCAGAGAGGAGGGCACGCAGGACCAAGGGGACCAAGGCAAGGATTTTGGTGTCCATCAAATTGGAGAGTGCTGAGCAGGGGAGGGGTAACCGTGTAATTGCCTTTCTCAAATGCCCGTTTTACCGTAGCAAGGATAGACTGGTAGAAGCAAGGGATGAACTGGAGAGATGAGTGAGGAAGCTGCTCCAGAAGACCCATCAGGAGATGATGGTGACAGGGAATTGAGTGGTAGGAATGACAATGGGAAGAGATGAGCGGAATCCAGGTATTTGTGGGTAGAAGTGGCAGGTGTGGCTACTTATTGGAGATGGGGCTGTAGAGCTGTGAAGGTGTGAGTCCTTTACTTATCCATCTTAAGGGTCACGGCCAACACTCCTATAACAAAAGACACATTAACAAGAGAAAAACAGAGCAAATTTATTTAATCCAAGTTTTATGTGACATGGGAGGCTTCAGAAATGACAACCCAAAGGCCCAGGGAAAACTGTTAATTTTTATGCTTAGATTAGATGAAGAATGGACAGCCAGATAGAAATGTGATTGGACAAACGGGTATGACCTACTGGGAACAGACTGAAAGGGGACCCAGCAAAACTGTCTGCTCAGATTCTTCTCAGCCTCTCTGTGTAGCCTCCATTCCTCCTGGGTATGGGGCGGGACCCTTTCTGAAATGAGAGTTTTCAAAGGAGAAGGAGAAGATAGAGAGTGACCTTTCTAGGTTTTATGGTTTGCTTTAGCAGGAGGGTTTCTAGGTTCTATGACCCATCTTGAGGAAGATAAATTCTGGTTTCTGTGACTCACTTTGGAGGATGAAGGCAAGCAGAAGAGAGGGTCTGAGGAGGTTGGAAAGACCTTGCTTCTGAGTTCCTTCCAATGTCCTTCAGTTCAAAATACTCAGGCTGAGGCACCACGCTTTGGGGTGTCATGTTCTAAGCCCCGACAGCATAAGGGCAGCGTTGAGACAGCCTTTGCAGCCTGGCCTGCATAATGGACAGACGCTAGTGCAATCCATAGGGTTGGAAATGTGGAGGGATAACTGAATGGCGATGCCGGGAGCCTTGAGTTCAGTGTTGGACACATTGAGTGTAAAGTGCCTTTGAGACACCCAAGTAGGCTGTTGGAAATAACCAGCCTGGAGCTGAGAGGTCAGGTTGAAAAGCAGTGTCTGGACGGCAGGTGGGCCCTTGGCCATGAATTAGACCACCAAGGAGAGCAAAGTGAGAAGTCAAGAGGACCTAGTAGGGCCCCTGAAAACTCCAAATGGCCAAGAAGAGGCAAAGAGCTACAAACAATCCTGAGAGGGGGCCGAGGGCAGAGCCACCTGGAGGGAATGTTCATCAAAGTCACACCCTGCCCCTGCATCCGCCCCTCACTCTGCACATGGGAGCTCAAGAAGCCAAGGGGCTTGCTCTGTACCCGGGTCACCCAGCTTCATCCTGGGCAAAATGAGATCACAGTCCCACTCTCATTTGCCCTCTTTTCTGCTTTTGTTTTTTGTTTTTTTTTTCTTTTATGCTCTTTTTCATTTTTTTCTGGGTACACATTAGGTGCATATATATGTGAGGTACATGAGATGTTTTGATACAGACATGCACTGTGAAATAAGCACATCATGGAGAATGAGGTGTCCATCCCTGAAGCATTTATCCTTTCTTTCTTTCTTTTTTTTTTTTTTGAGATGGAGTCCAGCTCTGTTACCCAGGCTGGAGTGCAATGGCGTGATCTCTGCTCACTGCAAGCTCCGCCCCCCAGGTTCATGCCATTCTCCTGCCTCAGCCTCTTGAGCAGCTGGGACTACAGGTGCCCGCCACCATGCCAGGCTAATTTTTTTTGTATTTTTAGTAGAGATGGGGTTTCACAGTGTTCACGGGGATGCTCTCGATCTCCTGACCTCATGATCCGCCCACTTCGGCCTCCCAAAGTGCTGGGATTACAGGCCTGAGCCACTGCACCCGGCACATTTATCCTTTCTAATACCAACAATCTAATTACAGTCTTTTAGTTATTTGTAAATGTACAATTATTAATGACTACAGTCATCCTGCTGTGTGATCAAACAGTATATCTTATTCATTCTTTCTAACATCATCCCCACCTGCCCTCAGCCCCCCACTCCTCTTCCCAGCCTCTGGTAACCACCTTTCTGCTCTCTAGCTCCATGAGTTGAACTGTTTTGATTTTTAGATCCCACAAATCAGTGAGAACACGCAATGTGTGTCTTTCTGTGCCTGGCTTGTTTCACTTAACATAATGACCTCCCATTCCATCCATACCATTTTCTGCTTTTGTACAAGGCATCAAGGCATAAAAAGCAGGGCAATGGGACTCAATGGATTTTCCACGCTGCTCTAACACACTACTGCAAACCTGGCAGCTTCAAACAACACAGATGTATTCTCTCATAGTTCTGGAGGTCACAAATCCAAAACGAGTCTTCCTGGACTAAAACTGAGGTGTTGCCAGGACCCTTGGTAAAAGCCCTAGAGGAGAATCCATTCCTTGCCTCTTTGGTGGCTGCTGGCATTGTGAATTGTGGGCACATCACTCCAATCTCTGCCTCCACGGTCGCATCACCTTCTCTTCTGTAGTCGAATCTCCTCTGCCTCCCTCTTCATCTATAAGGACACTTTGTGATTACATTGCGTATCCACACAGATAACCCACGATAGTCTCCCCGTCGCAAATCTTTGAAGTAATCTCATCCACAGAGTCTCTTCTGCCAACATCCCATTCACTAGTTCTGGAGGTTAGGACGTGGACATCTTTGGGGGTTATCATTCCCCCTTTCACAGGCTATCTGGGCTGTATACAGAACCAGAGATCTGAGAATCATCTTGGCGGCCTCACTCTGTGAGCAGAGAAACGTGTCTGTGCTCAGCAGCAATCCCTGGAGGCAGAGACTGGAAATTACACCTGCAACCGTAGTAAGAGCTTGCCAGGGGCCGGAATGGGTGCCATAACTAGAGCTGTACAGGCATCCACCTCAATTCTCTCAGCGGCCCTTTGAGGTCGCTCTCTTACTGCCACCAAGGTGCAGGGTGGTGAAGTTAACTCAGAGCAGAGACCTGGCCTCGAAGCCTCGTCTCCCTGGGGAACAACCAATCAGCAGGAATCTGAACACAAGCACGAGAGGCAATCCGAGCCCTTCCCCAAAGCCTCACTCTTCATTCACTCTGGCTGGAATCCTGCCCTCCCTTCAGGGCCAAGCTTAGGGAACAAGGAGCAACCAGATCCTACCTCCAAGGACAGAGCCCTTACATATTTCTGCAATCTGTCTGCAGCTGATGGTCTGAATGAGCATCGTGTCATCACAGCACTTGTAAATTTTGGAGGGGCTCCTCCACACTGAGGGAATATGCTTGTTCAGGGAAGGGCACACTCCCCCATTTCTCCCGGAACCACACTTCTGCCGTGGGACCCTGAGAACACAAGGGCCCTCCCCTTGCCCTGTTGCTTCATGTGGCTTAGTCTTGCTTAACAAACATGCTAGGTGTGGAGGCTGAGGCCTACATGTAGTGTTGAGGGCAAGCAGGGACCGCCTGGAAATGCTGAAAGCATTCTCTTAAAGTGAGGCCTTCCCATCATGATTGCTAGGCCCATGATGAGAAGATATTGCAGGAAAGCACGACCTGGACCATAGAAAGGGCAGATCAATGTGTGGGCCTTTATGTGCTTATCCCTCCCACCACCCTGCTGCAGACCCCACCCACACTCAAGCTTAGCCCCTGTGGCTTGGAACCCAAGGACGCTTCTGAGCTGAGGCAGACTTCAGGGAGTACTAGTTAGGATAGGTCAGCTGCAAGTAACAAACAAACAAAATACGCAGCAAACTCTGGCCCTCAGGGCCAAATTCAGCCCACCATCTATTTTTATAAGTAAAGTTTTATTGGAACATAGGTGTACCCATTCATTTACACATTGTCTATGGTTGTTTTTAGGGTTGTAGTGCCAACAGAGATCTCATGGCCCACACAGAGCCTAAAATGTTTTCCATGTGGCCCTTTATGGAAAAAGTTCACCCACCCCTGGCTTGAACAATGACAACATTGAATTATCTGCCATCACAAGAACTCCAGAGGAAGGTGGCTCCAGGGTCACACGAAGGCTCAGCAAAGTCCTCGAGGCCCCAGGCTCCTGTTCCCTCCTTGGCAGGTTGGCCTTTCTTCTTGGGCTGGTTTCTTCATGGTCACAAGCCGGCTGCCACAGTTCCAGGCTTGACTGCCTCTCAGAAGCACATTCAGGCCAGGAGGAAGGGCAGGCTTCCTCCTCACCTCTTCTTATTTAGGGATCAAAAATCCCTCCAGGGCGGTGCAGCAGAGGTCCCTTACCTCTCAGTGTTTAGACCAGAGGTCAGTAAGCATTTCCTATAAAGGACCAGATAGTGAGTATTTTAGGCTTGTCAGGTCACATATGATCTCTGCAGCATATTCTGTGTGTGTGTGTGTGTGTGTGTGTGTGTGTGTGTGTGTGAGAGAGAGAGAGAGAGAGAGAGATGACCCTTTAAAAATGTACACTCCATTCTTCTCATGAGCCATAGTTTGTCAACGCCTGGTCTGGCACTCTTCACATGCCCTCTCCGTGCCCATCTCCAGCAAAGGATAGCGGGCTTACCCTTGCTATCAAAGGTGCTTGGCTTAGACCAATCACCCAAAACTGATGTTTCAGAGATGCCTGCTGGAGGAGTGTAGGCAGATATTACTGATGTCAGAAAAACAGTTTGAGCGCCACTTCCTTCTCTGGCAGGAAGGAGTGATTGGCTGCTGGTCCTGCCCTGTCCGAGGAGGAGGACGGAACCCACCCACCAAGCTGTGGAGAGGTGGACCCCACAAATCCCCTCGCAAGCCACGTCTGAGAGCGAGCAGAGGGAAGAAACTCAAGCGTTTGTAGTCCTCTTTCTTAACAACCAGGCTTAAAGCGCCATCTTGTGTCTTGAAGGCAGAAGGAGATCAGGATGTGTGTGCTAGAAGCAGGCAGAGGATCTTCACCAATGTCTCAAAAACTAGAGAAGGAAACATGGCGATCCTCAAGGCCCGCGGCGGCCCCAGCCCTTCCCGCACCCTGCGATAGTCTGGTGTTGGGAGGGTGGCCCACGTGTCCAAGCAACCACATCAGGGAGGTTCTGGGAGAGGAGAAGGCAAAGCTCATGCCCTCATGAGGCAGGCAGTCCCATCCAGGACTGGACTGGATGAGCACCAATAAATAAGAAAACACAGCTGGCAGCTGACTGTGAAGGGTCTGGACAGGGTGCCGAAGTGAAGCGTAATGAGCTGGATAGTGAGGACCTCACTACAGAGGGACATCTATCTACACACAGCCTGAAGGGTGAGAAAGATGGATCCTTGCCCTGAGCCAGAAGTGCACACCCCAGAGAGAGCAGCTCCTGCGGAGGTCCTGTGGGGCAGGCATGGTAGGAATATTAAAGAGAAGAAGCCAGGTGTGGCTGCAGCCATGCAGGAGGAAGGGCGATGGGGTTGGGGAGGCAGAGGATGGGACTGGCATGAGAAGATGGAGATGCAGAGCCCAGATCGTGATAGCCCCAATAGTCCACGGGTAGGAGTTTGTATTTTCTACTAAAAGCAATGGGAGGGCGGGGCGCGGTAGCTCATGCCTATAATTCCAGCACTTTGGGAGGCCGAGGCGGGTGGATCACCTGAGGTCAGGAGTTCGAGAACAGCCTGACCAACATGGTGAAACCCCATCTTTACTAAAAATACAAAAATTAGACAAGTGTTATGGCGCGCGCCTGTAATCCCAGCTACTCAGGAGGCTGAGGCAGGAGAATCGCTTGAACCCAGGAGGCGGAGGTTGCAGTGAGCTGAGATCATGCCATTGCACTCCAGCCTGGGTGACAAGAGCGAAACTCCGCCTCAAAAAAAGGGAGGGGGGGCAATGGGAAACCATTGAATCGTTTTTAGCAGGTGGCCTGATTTGATTTACATTTTTTAGACATGTAGCTTCACTATCATGGTTATGGTGGTCCGTGCATTACTAACATTGCTAAAACCACCATCATGCCAGAATTACCCTCCCATTTGTGGGTTAAAACACTGCACCCATCTGTCCCTCCCCAGAGTCCTCTTAGTGGCTGCTCTTAGGAGGAACTAACATGGACTACATTCCCCCATCACACCCAGCACAAGTGCCCTCCTAGCCTCCCCCACCCAACTCAGTCCCATTCACACGCGGCATGCCAGGGACTCTCCCATCAGGGGAACACCCTGTAACTCCCAAGTTCCTCCAAAGCCTCTTGAGAGGGACCATGGTGCCCTGCAGGGAGTGGGTCCTGGTGGGTCCAGTGGAGGGAACGTCCTTGCTGAAACTGGCTGGGTCTTAGCCGGGAAGTGGTGACAGGTATCTCTCACATACGCTACGGGAACCCAGCGCAGCCAATGGAGTCCAATCAGCACACCTTGCGCCCACCCCTTCGTTTGGTAACTTGAGGCCACTGCCCACCCGCCAGGTACCCTCTCTCAAGCGTGCCCTGAAGTTCAGGGAAAGACGCCAGCACCCCCTGCTGGTTGCGCTCTCCCATAGCAGGGCTCACATTTTGGGAGAAAGAAATCAGCTGTTAGCAGCTTTCGTTCTTCACCATGTTAAGCAAAGCACAACATTTTATAACTGGGTGAAAAGCCAGATATTCTGTCAGCTGATTTGATTGTTCTGTACGCATATCCCTAAGCCATTGTTTGACGGATATTTTTACTGAGTTGACTTTCTTCATAAGATGATAGGACTAATGAAGAGAAAAGGCAATGGAGTTTTTAAAACCAGCGTGATGAACCAAATGCTGCCACTGACTAGCTATGTACATGTAATCCAAAAGTTCCCTCCGTTGAAACAAAATAACAGTGCTTACCTAACCAGGTCAGCTGTGAGCTGGGACTTCACAGACAGGCATAGAGAGACATGGATGCAGGAAGGGCTTCCTTAGCTGAGAGGGTCGTGAAACTGGAAGGTAGTAGCAAGCATTTTCCAGTTGGATCTTTTGGCCGACATTTGTAGTGGGGAGACAAACATGTCTAATTTTCCCCCCACCCCGGCACATGGGCAGGTAGGAAGATGCTGGTGGGTTTGGTTCGACAGTTTGGAGAATGTCTTGTGGAAGGGGTGCTTTTTTTAATGCACACTCAGGCACCATGGGAGCCTGTTGTCACCCTGGATATCTAGCTCCATGCCCTTGCCCTTTCACTCTGCCTCGACAAGAGTCATGGCACCCAAAATACATGAGTTCAAATCTGAGTTTCACAGGCTCAGGGAGGAACCCAAGCTACCAAATGCACAGGCCCCTCCTGTATACGGTTACAGCAGGTAAGGGAGTAACTTACTCAGTGCAAGCTGCTGTAACAAAATAGCACAAGCTGGGTGGCTAATCAACAACAGGCATTTATTTCTCACAGGTCTGGAGGCTGGAAGCCCAAGATCAGGGTGCCAGTGCTGGCATGGTTGGGTTCTGGTGAGGGCCCTCTTCCAGGTCACAGACAGCTGTCTTCTCATTGCATCCTCACATGACAGAAAAGAAGTGCACAAGCTCTCTGGCCCCCTCTTACAGGCGCTAATCCCATTCACAACGGTCCTACCATCATGACCTCATTACCTCCCAAAGACCACACCTCCAAATACCACCACATTGCCATTAAGCTTCAACATATGAATTTAAGGGGGAAACAAACATCCAGTCCATTGCAGATTGTTCTGATAATATGTGTGCCCAGGGCATTGCCCCCACAGAAAAGAGCGACATTGGAAGGCAAACCAATGTCAGGTTTCCTAATGTGCACGGAGTCATCCCTGGAAGAGTGAGTCCGGTGATCTTACCAGCTAATTGCATTGAGCTACACCACCTTGGGGATCTACCTGCCAAGGAGAACAGAACACCACTGGCTTTGACACCCATCTCTCAACAATGATGGAAGAATGCTGGAAATTTACCTGCTCTGGTAGCTCTCTCTAAGTTCATCTTCCTTGTATGGACTTTCTTTTTTTATTGCTCTCAAATACTTGTATTATTAAATATCTCATTTAAAATTTCTTTAAAATACATTAAAAGTGCATTTAAAGAGTACATTTTAAGAGTGCAGATGAAAACATAATGAATACATCTTTGCTTAAGAAAAAATATTTCGGACACAGCATGAACTCAGTTGCTGGTTCCAAGCCCCTCCCCTTCTCACTACACTGAACTTGGCATGCATTCTTTCTTCAGGTGTGTTTGTAATCTTACTACATATGGACATATCCCCCAGCAATATCAGGGATTGTTTTGCTTGTTCCTAGACATCATATAAATGGTATCATACCAATTATACCCCTACACTACTTAATGTTTCATTCAACATTGTTTTGGGGGACTATCCATGTTGATACATGAATTCTGTTGTGTTCATTTTTTCCTCTTGTGAAATAGTCCATTATGGAAATTGTCCCTAGTGTGTCTATCTGCACTCCTAATTGACAGGCATTTAGGCTGTTTTCCATTTTCCTAATTACAATTATGCTGAGTGAACATTCCTGAACACAGGTGTGAGGTTGTCTCTGGAGCACATGCCAGGGAACAGAATTCTTAGGTCGTAAGGAATGTGTACCTCCAGCCTTAGTCAATATTGCCAATTGCTGTCCTATCTGATTTTATTCATTTACGCTCCCACTAGCAGTATATATGAGTCTTTCTTTCACTTCTTGCCAACTCTTGCCAATCTAATGAATGGGAAGTGGTAACTCATTATTATTTCAATTTGTATTCCCTGAGACCTTAACACTTGTGTATTGCACATTCTGGTTCCTCTTTGGCAAATTGCCTTGGCATTAAGATAGTAAATTTTCCTTGCCACCTACGCTGGTTGAGTCAGGATGCTTAATTACTTGGAGGTAAAAAGCACCTGGCTGAAATAGCCATCCCTGAGGCTGCCTGTTGAGGATAGGAGATGCTTCATCCATCTTTAGATCCTTTCTTGGAAACGCTGAGCCTGGCCAGCCATGCAGGCTTTTCCAAGCTCTGATGCTGCCCTGTGTCCACAATAGCATCCCCACAGCCTGGATCCATCATTCCCAGCATTATGATAGCTCCTTTGTCTCCTTGGAAGAGCCCAAAACCCACAGCTGAGGCCTCAGGGCTTTTCTAATGTGCTTAGAACAGGGGTAAAGGTAATGCCAACCAAAATGGGGAAACCTGTATTCCTGCTCAGTCACTGCTTAGTCAGCATAAATCACTCCAGAGGATAGTTTGTTACTGACCTCAAAGACTCAGTTACAAAGATGATCACCATAGCATTGTTTACAGTAGCACCAAAAAAAGGAACCACCTAAATATCTCTAAATGTCCAACATCACCGTTTGAAAAAATAAGGAATGGTACATCCTTCCATGGAATGTACCTTAAATCCACCCAAAATCATACTGCATATGGATATGCAATGTCAAGGAAACTTACTCGGGAGTCCTAGCTTGGGGTCCATGGACGTCCAAGGAGATGCTTATCAAAGGGAGTTGGCACCCCCTGAGATGCTCATGAAAGTGCAGACTTCCGGGCCCCCCTCCAGACTGAATCTGCACTTCCAGCTTGGAGGGCAGGAATCCTAACAAGTTCCCCAGATGAGTCTCAGGCACACTAAAGCCAGAGCATCGATGCCTGGGACCCAAAATAGGGAAGAAGCACTCTGGTGTATCAAGAGGAAAAAAGCAAGTTACATACAAACGCAGTATACATAAAAACACCGCCTTCATGTGGGTGTGGGTGTGGGTGTGGGTGTCGATGTATGCGTACTTTTGAAAAAAAAAAATATCGGCTGGGTGTGGTGGCCCACGTCTGTAATCCCAGCACTTTGGGAGGCCAAGGTGGGTGGATCACCTGAGGTCAGGGGTTCAAGGCCAGCCTGGCCAATATGATGAAACCCTGTCTGTACTAAAAATACAAAAATTAGCTGGGCGTGGTGGCAGGCATCTGTAATCCCAGTTACTCCAGAGGCTGAGGCAGGAGAATCGCTTGACCCCAGGAGGCGGCAGTTGCAGTGAGCCAAGATCATGCCATTGCACTCCAGCCTGGGTGACAAGAGTGAAAGTCTGTCTCAAAAAAATAAAAAAAACAAAATATATATATATATATATATATATATATATATATATATATATATAATTTTTTTAATTTTTATTTTTTAGAGACAGGGTCTTGCTGTGCCACCCAAGCTAGAATGCAGTGGCACAATCTTGTCTCACTACCCAATCTCAAACTCCTGGGCTCAAGTGATCCTCTCCACTCAGCCTCATGAGTAGCTGGGACTACAGGCATACTCCACCGCACCTGGGTTTTTTGTTTTGTGTTTTGTACAGACAGGGTCTCACTATGTTTGTGTTCCCTGGCTGGTCTTAAACTCTTGGCCTCAAGCGATCCTTCTGTGGCCTCCCAAAGTGTTGGGATTACAGGCGTGAGCCACCATGTCCAGCCTGTGTGTGTGTACTAATAGCTACCTAGATAACAATACTTAACAGCAATTACCTCTAGATTACCTCAGCACCATTGACAATCAGCCCGAAGACTTTGTGGTGGGGCTGTCCTGTGTGTTGTAGGGTGTTAGCAGTATCCCTGGGTGCAGTAGTGTAACAATCAAAAATGTGTTTGGTAGCACAAAAGTACAACTATAGTTAACAACAATTTATTGTATATTTTAGAGTAACTAACATAGTGAAATTAGAATGTTCCTAACACACAAAAAAGATACATACCTGAGGGTATGAATATCTGTCACCCTGATTTGATTATTATTTATTATATGTTTATATCAAAATATCACATGTACCCTGTAAGTATGTATAAATATTATGTATAATTTAGATTTATTTTAATTTTAATAAAAAATAAATATTAAAAAATGTCTTCAGATATTGCTAAATGTCCCCTCAAGGAACAAGGTCCCCAGTTGGAGAACCGATTCTCTAGATGGGACATGTATAGATGATGCTTTCCTTTGTTTTTTAGTATATATGCCTATTTTTTAGTTTTTTCTAAAATAAGTGTACTTTAGTCATGTTAAAAAAAAACTTTGTATTTATTACTGTCCCATTGCCTGCACTGTCTGAAAAAAAATACACTCAAATGAAAAGATACATTAATACTTACATTAAGAAAATTAATTTTATTATTATTTTAAAATAGCTGTGGAAAAGCTATACAAAGGCCTCCCAAATGTCAATATTCCTTAGGCACCTTTGAAATATTTCTAAACTTAATCTTTGGACTAGGCATCCTAATTGTAATTCCATATCTTAAAGAAGCAATTCTAAATATAGGAAATGCTTCACAAATATGGTTGATTTTTGCAGAGTTACCTATAAAAGCAAAAAGTTATAAACACTGTAAAACCAACCATAGGAAACTATGTTAATTAAGGTACATTCACTTGATAGACTATCATACAGCATTAAAATGATATTTATAAAGAACTTATAACAATATGGGGGCAAGGTTTATGCCATATTGTTAAGTAGGAAAATAACTGAATACAAAATCAAATATGTTACATCACCATTCAAAGGTATAATAATGACAATAAAAAGAATCTCATCAACATGGTCGGAAGAAATACACCAAGATATTAAAAGTAATTGTTAATTGAACAATGGCATCGTAGGTGACTTTTTCTCTCTACTTTTCTGAAATATCCAAATTTTTTACAATAAACATGTGTGTATTTACAGTGAAAGAGAGAACAGTGAAATTTCTTTTTAAAAATACTTGAAAATGATCACAAAAATGTGCCAACATTTCAGGTAAGAAATGTGTTTTTATATGGGTCTGTATACAAATTTCTATCCAGCTGATAAAAATAACTTCAAGAAATTAAACCTATTCAGAAACAATAGTGATTGTGTCTAAATTCATAGGCTTTGAGAAGGATAAATTTTTAAAGTATAAATTACTATGCAGGTGGTCAGGAAAAGGTTGTATGGAGTCACATGATAAATGACACAAAGAAAATGCTTTTTATGAAAAACAAACTGGATAGATTTTTTCCCAAGCCAGAATCACATTCTTCTAAATCATTTAGAAGGCAATAAAATAATTTGGGCTTGATTAGCATTTAACTAACCAAGGACAGATTCCAGCCACCTTATGGATTTTGATCTAACTTGTTTACATTCATCAGGGGTGATGGGCAGTTCCAGCCCACAGGAAGCACAATCTTTGCAGACAAAAGGTGGCCCTTCTCATGTTTGTCAGGCAATATTTGTCCAACCTGGCCATTCCCAGTTGGCTCCAATGAACTCTTGTTAGCTCACTCTTGTTAGTCACTTGTTAGTCTCTTGTGGACTTAGACTATATCTTACAATAGACCTCAAAGAGGGAGGCAGCTGCGTGCATTGCATAGAAAATAGAAAAAGCCATGGCCAGGTTGACCACAATTATCCAGGGTTCAAAGCCAAAGACAATCTCCTCCAATCCATTGTCATACTCAGGTCGACAGCCAAAAGCGGGAGGTATCCAAAGCTGCAAGAGAAGAGAAAATGGCCTGTGGTGGGGAGCAGCTTCCAAGCCACCACGGAGGCCCCACTCAAGTCCCAGGCCTCATGGGAGCTGACCCTGATGCACGGGGACTGAGTCACCCCTGACAGAACAATAAGGAGACCTCGTGGCATTTCCCATCTCCACAGAAACCACCAAATCCATGTCTGCCATGATCCTGCTCACTTCCTCACCCACCCTTCCCTGCAATCCATCCCTAATGAGCGCTCTTTGAACCCATCCAACTCTCTCCATCTCTACAGCCCTCGCCCAGCCTCAGTTTCCTCATTTGAAAGATGGGAATTCTAACACGTGTCTGAGAGGGCTTAGATGAGAATTAAGTTTGCAAAACTGAAAGCAGTGACTTTTGTTTGTGTTGCTCACAGAACGTACACACTGTTCCCTGCTTCTCAGGCTCTTCTCTGTCCCAGTTCTCTCCCTTTCTGCCACCCCTTGAGTTGTCAGGCTCCTCACTCCCGCTTCAGGCTGCACCCTTCTTCAGCTTCCTCCACTCCCTGGCTGTGGCAGGCAGCCTCTAGGATGACCCTCAATGATCCCCAGCTCCTGCAGTCACCCTCTTGTGGAGTCCCCACCCCTTTAGTGTGGGATGCACCTAATGACTCACTTCCAACTCACAAAATATGGCAAAAGACACAGGAAGTCACCTCTGAAATTAGGTTGCAAAAGGACCTGCTATCCCTCTTGCTCATCTTCTCCTGAAAGACAGGTGGCAGAGCTGCCATGCTGCGAAGCACCCTATGCGGCAAGGGGCCCAGGGAGTACCCCTGTCAACAGCCAGCAAGGAACTCAGACCCTCAGCCCAACAAGCCACAGCTGAATCCTGCCAACAGTCACATGAGTAGATTTGGAAACAAATCCTCTGCCACCTCTCAGAAAGTCAAGCCTTGAAATGAATGCAGCCCCAGCCAACAGTTTCAGCCTGGGAATGGCCCTGTGCAGAGATACTCAGCTAAAACTGTAGTTGGAGTCATAAGTCAGAGAAACTATGAAATCATAAATGTACATTGTTTTAAGTTGCTGAGTATTGGGGTGGTCTCTTCCATAGCAATAGGTAACTGAGACACATAGCCTTCATTTGTATCTCCATACAGAACACTCCCTGGTATATACAGCCGACCTCTGTATCCAGGGACCTGTGTCTGTGGATTGAACCAACCACAGATCAAAAATATTCAAAAAGTAGGCTGGGCACAGTGGTTCACACCTATAATCCCAGAACTTTGGGAGGCCGAGGCAGGTGGATCACCTGAGGTCAGGAGTTCAAGGCCAGCCTGGCCAACATGGTGAAACCCCATCTCTACTAAAAATACAAAAAATTAGCAAGGTGTAGTGGCATGTGCCTGTAATCCCAGCTACTCAGGGGGCTGAGGCAGGAGAATCCCTTGAACCCAGGAGGCGAAGCTTGCAGTAAGCCAAGATCATGCCGCTGCACTCCAGCCTGGGCAACAGTGAAGCTCGGTCTCAAAAAATAAAAATAAATTAATTAAAAAAATAAAATGGTTTGTTGTGTCTGTACTGAATAGGTACAAACTTTCTTCTTGTCATTATTCTCTAAACAATACAATGTAACAACTATTTACATAGCATTTAAATTGTATTAGGTATTCTAAGTAATTTAGAGATGTCTTAAAGTGTACGGGAGGATGGGTAGGTTACATGCAAGTATAGGACTTGAGCATCTGTGCATTTGGTATACACCACGGGGGCCCTGGAACCAAGACCCCTCTCTTCTGCTTTGCTTACTGGCTGCTGTGACTCTTAGGAGCTCTCCTACTTGTTCGGCGGGTCCCTCCCAGTCTCCTTTGCTGTTTCATCCTTTGCTCTGCCTCTTAATGTTAGCCAGCGTCCAGGGCTCATTCCTGGGTCCCTTTCTATTCTCTCTACACATGAACCCTGGGGCTCTCTCCCAGTCCCTGGTTGTAAATACCAGCTATAGGCCTATGACTTCCCAGTCTCAATCTCCAGCCTGGACCACTTCCAAGAACCCCAGACTCATAGTTTCCGGTGGCAACTTGGGTGTCTAAAACACATCTCAAACTCAACCCACCTTCCCCATTTCTCCATCTGCTCAGCTACATCGTCCTCCCAGGTGGTCCATCGAGGCTCCAGGTGTCAACCTTATCTCCCTCCTACTCTCATAACCATGCCCCCTCCCATCCAGTCCCTCAGCGCATCTCCACTGTGCACCTCCAAAGCAGTATCTTCAGCCCACCTGTGGCTCTCTCTCTCCACCTGTCCAGCCGGCCTCTCTCACCTGGACCATGGCGGTGGCCCCGTGCCTGGTCTCCCAGCTCGAACTAGGGTTCCACTCGGCCACCAGATTTACATTATATGGAAATCAGATCCTGTCCCTACCTTGATTAAACCCCTAAAGTCTTCCCAAAATATTTAAAATAAATTCTACACTCCCGCACGGAGTGATAAAGTGCTCTGTTAGCTGATTTCTAACCACCCACGCTTCTCTCCACTCACCCCACCCACATTGCAGGCAACCCTTCTTCCTGTTTCTCAAACCAGACCCGCTCACTCCCACTGGGGGTTTTATACCAGCCATTGTTCCCTCTGCCCTGAACATGCGTGGCCAACCCCTTCCTGTCTCGTGTCACCCTTCAGCGAGGCCTTCCCGCTAAGCTGGTCCATCTGATCTACAATGGCAGCCCAAGAGCTATTTCCCACACCCTCCTTTTCCACTTCTCTGCTTAACACGGGTACACTATAAGGTGTCTTTCTTGCTCAGTTGATGGTTTCACCTGCTGTTGCCTGGTTTGTAAGCCCCATAAGAGGAAGACCAGAGATCTTGGTCATTGCTGTACCCTCACCATTCATAGCAGTCCCTGTACCTCTGTAGGTACTTAAGGGACACCTTTTAAAGGAAGGGTGAGAGGAAGGGCAAGGGAGACAGGGAGGAAAAGGGAGAAGAAAGGAAGGCAGGAAAATGGGACCTCTTTTCTGAAATCCACATCTTTATATGTGCTGTTTAGTTGGCTGGAAATTCTTGTTACTTATCCTATTGAGAAGTGGCCTATGACCTCTTTCTTTGAATCTAGATGGACTCTGTGACTACATGACTAATAAAATATGGCAGAAATGACACCATGCAGTTTCCAAGCCCAGGCCTTAGGAGACAGGCAGCTTCCAGTTCAGTCTTTTGGAGGGTCAGCTCTGGGGCCCTCAGCCATCAAGCATGGAGTCCAACCACCCTGAGACGTCATGCTGGAGACCCACCTGTGGATGCCCCAGTCAAGAGTCCTGGCTGAGCCCAGCCTCCCAGCCACCCCCACCCAAGGCACCAGACCACGGAGCTTCTGGCCAAGGCTTCACCAACTTCACTTGATGCTGTGAGGAACAGAACTGCCCATCCAAGCCCTGCCAGAATTTCTAACCCACAAAGCCACGAGTCACAATAAATGCTATGGGACAAAAACAGTCATGCATGTTGCTTTTGTCATACATTAGTGGTAGTTCATTGCACGGCAATAGAAAACCAAAATATCTGTCTACTGGGTTCGTCCATTTGGATGCCACAGAGGCACCTGAAACAGAACACGTTCATTACTTAACTCTGGTTCTTCCTTCCACACTGACCTCCACCCACTGCTCCCAAGGTTGCCCCTCTTCCAGAGTCCTCCTCCATCTCCAACATAGTATCACCATCTCCCCAGGAACTCAAGTGTGAAGGCAGGGGTCATGTTTGGCGTCTGTCACCCTTTGCGAGTTGCAACCTGGAGACCCTGGAGGATGTTATGATGAGTGAAATAACCTAATCACAAAAGGACTAATACTCCATAAATTCACTTATATGAGGAGTCTAGGAGTCAAATTCCTAGAGACTGAAAGAACGGTGGTTGTCAGGGGCTGGGGAGAATGGGGAGTTCATATTTAATGGGGGCAGAGTTTCAGTTTTGCCAGACGAGAATAACCTGGAAATGGATGGTGTGATGTTTGCACAATGTGAACGTACTTTACTCCACTATACACTTGAAAGTGGGTGCAATGGGAAAGTTTATTTGATGAGTTTTTTACCACAATTAAAAATATAACAAAATAAGCATGAGTCAGATCCCGTCACTCTCAGTGTAGACCTTTCCATGGTTTTCTGTTGCATTTAGGATTGAGTCTTGGCTCGCAGGCCCTGTGTGGTCTCCCCTCTGCCCTCTGCTCTGTGCTCCCAGGTCATGTCCAGTGAGCCCTGCCTTGCCTTGCATCCGTCCCTTCCCCACACCTGCAGCTCTGCCCTGATAGTCTCTCATCCCAGCCCCATCCACACCCTTCCTTAGAAGAGGCCTTCCCTGACCCATCTCCCACAGCACCCTGCCCTTCCCGGTCACCACAACCACCCTCTGTTGTCTCCAGTGCCACGGCTCCTGGAAATTCAACTAACATTTCCATGTCCGTCTCTGGAGTGGAGCCCACTCCACCTGGACATGCACATCAGCACCTGCAGCTGGGGCCTCTGGACTGGCTCCCGATGCTGGAGAAGACAGCTCTTGCTCTCTGCCAGATGCCTTTGGCACCACCTGGGGTCAATCACAAGGTTTCAAAGTGCCACCCATGAGCCAGCACGGGTATCCTAAGACTCCACCCTGCGATGATTTCCATCCTCTGGTTCAACCCCCCAGAACCCAACCAGTGCCTGGGGGCATCATGGGCCAAGCACAGGGAGGAAGAGACGGAGCCCACCCTTCTCCTTGGACTGGGCCCTGGGTCTGGCTTTCGGGTCCTGACAGACCATGAATTGCCACTTGATTCTGGTATTTCGGACAGTGCTATCTTTCTTCAAGTGGGTCCAAAAATGCAAGCCAAGTATTTCACCCAGTGGTCAACCAAAAAGGCAACCAGGGAAAGATAACTTTTCAGAACTTAGTTTTAAAAAGAAATATTAGGTCAGAAGCAGTGGCTCGCGCCTGTAATCCCAGCATTTTAGGACGCCTAGGCAGGCAGATCACCTGAGGTCAGGAGTTCGAGACCACCCTGACCAACCTAGTGAAACCCTGTCTCTACTAAAAGTAGAAAAATTAGCTGGGCATGGTTGTTGCATGCCTGTAGTCCCACCTCCTCGGGAGGCTGAGGCAGGAGAATCACTTAAACCCAAGAGGCGGAGGTTGCAGTGAGCCGAGATCGCACCATTGCACTACAGCCTGGGCAACACAGCAGGACTCCATCTCAAAATATATGTATATTAATATTAATCACAGGATATGTACAAAAAGCATATACTTGAGGAAGATTCTAGAACTAGCTCTGACTTTATAAGAATTTGCATTTTGGAATATGCACCTCAAAAAAATGCAGCTTACAGTATCTATCTCTCTTGTTAACTCTTTCAATTTTTGACTCACTGCTGTGCCCCTGACATAGTCCCTGGCATACAGCAGGTGCCTGGCAAATGTCTGTTAGATGGAGAAGAGGGTCTCCCTGCAGCCAAACTCTTCTGGGCCTTCCACCTTCAGAGCCCCTCCTCACTGCCTAGCAAACTGAAGGAACCTGGGTGATCCAAGGCTAGGGTGGATCAGGTTTGCTTGGCAGACACACAGCCATTCTGACTTTAGACGGGACTTACTTTCCCAACTTTGTGTTCTTAGGGTGATATCAAAAGCTGCAGACCCCGTATGCACCATCTGAAATTCAGGGGAGGAAGCTCAAAAGCCTCTGAGCTGCTGGGGCAACAGGGAGCAGGCTTGATAACAGAGGCTAGTAGCACAGAGCTGACTTCACCCAGAGTGATGGGCAGGCACCTCTGTGGACTGGGGCACTCCCCTCCAGCCACCAGTCACCATCACTGCAGAGACTCATGCGGTGGCAAAGGCTGCTTCCCCCTCCTTCTTACTGACCCCCACCATCCTTCCTTTATGTGTCTTTAAAAAAATCCCAACAGCACACAATGCTTCTTATTCCTTTTTCTTCTCTCCATCCCTCCATCACTGCCCTAGTTCAAGCTCCTCCCCTTCCTGCCTGGGCTGTTGCAGGGCTTTCTCTCCCAGTCTTTCTGCTTCTGGCCCTATCTGTCTCCATCCTTGCTACACACAGCTACTGGGAGGATCATTCCAAAACACAAATCTGAGAGAGTCTTCCCTTGCCCTCAGCATAAAGACTAGACTCCAGCCAGGCCTAGGAAGCCCTGCTCAAGCCAGAGTCCACCTACCTGGGCCCTCTCTCCTATTTCCCATTCTGCTACTCTGCTTAACACACATGGAATTTATGCCAAACTACTTGGTGCTCTCAAAACATGCCATGGTGTCTTTTGCCTCTGTGTCTTCACATATTGTGTGTCTCTGCCTGAAATGCTTTTCCCCGCCTTGATAACCTGGTGAACTTCCAGTCATTCCTTGCTGATGCAGACAGATGGGTGAGTGACTGTACACCTTCCTCTCCCTTGCTACCTTCCATCAGAGAGGCTGGGAAGCAAACCCTCTACTTCCCCAGCCTCCCTTGCAGTGAGGGGTGCCCACATGAGAGACATTGTCTGGCACCAGCCCTTCCCCACTGCTTTCTGTCTTGAACCCAGATGTGATGCCTGGTGCAGCTGCAGCCATCTCATGACCATGTCACAACAAACACCACACCACCCAAGTGACAAGATGAACAGTGCCTGGATGCCTGATGACATGGTTCAGCTGCCAGGCCAACCCCAAGCAGCCAACCTCCGGAATTCTCATGAGATAATTAAACATTGTTAAGACTGAAGACACTGTGAATCAAATTGCCTGTCACTTGCAACTAAAAGCACTCCTGACTGACACTGGGCCTCACCTCAAGCACCCACTACTCACTGAAGTCCTTCTGGATCCCTGCTCCTAGTACACCTTGCACAAGCCCATCTCAGCACTTGTCCTGTTCACTATATTAGATTTGCTCATTGTCTCCCTCCCCCATTATACTGAGACCTTTTAGAGGAAAGAGACTGAGTCTTTCCACTTTAATCTTTAGTACCTAGCCCAGCCCCTAGCACACAGCAAGTCTTTAGTAGGTAGATTTGTAGAATATAGGTCTATTTTCCAGCCTTATATTGTAATTTTATACTTACAGTATTTTTATTACAAGCTGCCTCCATTCCTTATTTTAAAAAGGCAAGAGAAACCTAGATGTCCATCAATAATGGACTGGATAAAGAAAATGTATTATGGCCGGGTACAGTGGTTCACATCTGTAATACTAGCACTTTAGGAAGCTGAGGCAGGAGGATTGTTTGAGCGCAGGAGTTCAAGACAAGCCTGGGCAGCACAGTGAGAACCTATCTCTACAAAAAAAAAAAAAAAAAAAAAAGTTTTGGCCAGGCATGGTGGCTCACACCTGTAATCCTAGCATTTTGGGAGGTCAAGGTAGGTGGATCACTTGAGGTCAGGAGTCCGAAACCAGCCTGGCCAACATGGTGAAACCCCCATCTCTACTAAAAATATTTTCAAAAATTAGCCAACTGTGGTGGCAGGTGCCTGTAATCCCAGCTATTCTGGAGGCTGAGGCAAGAGAATCACTTCAACTCGGGAGGCAGAGGTTGCAGTGAGCACCATCGCACTGTAGCCTAGGCAACAAGAGTGAAACTCTCTCTCAAAAACAAAAAAAGTTTTTAAAATTAACCAGGTGTGGTGGCACATGCCTGTGGTCCCAGGTACTCAGGAGGCTGAGATGGGAGGATTGCTTGAGCACAGGAGGTCGAAGCTGCAGTGAGCTGTGATCATGCCACTGCACTCCAGCCTGGGCAATGGGGCGTGACCCTCTCTCAAAAAAAAAAATAAATAGAAAATGTGGTAGCTCTACACCATGGAATATTATGCAGCCTTAAAAAAAGAATGAAATCACATTATTTGCAGCAACCTGGATAGAAATGGAGTCCTTATCCTAAGTGAATTAACACAGGAACAGAAAACCAAATACCTCATGTCCTCTCTTATAAGTGGGAGCTAAACATTGGGTAGTCATGAACACAAATATATGAACAATAGACACTACTAGGGACTACTGGGGGAGAGGTCGGAAGTGGGGTGCAGGGTGAAAAACTACCTATCGGGTACTATGCTCATTACCTGGGTGACGGGATCATTTGTGCACCAAACCTCAGCGACACGCAATTTACCCATGTAACAAATCTGCATGCGTACCCCTTGAACCTAAAATGAAAGTTTACAGCAAAATTAAAAGAATAAGAATAACTTGGTGCAGATTACCAAAGTATTGCAGAGGAACAAGAAGGCTGCAATATTCCTCAGGACTTTTCTCTTGGCGTTGCCCTGTAAGAAACGAGGAAGGTGGACTGGGCTTGGGTTCCCTCCCCAGCTGCTCTCCTCGTGCTTCTCCTCCTTGTCACAGCTTTCTCTCAGGCACACATTTCCATTGGCTGCTGGTGGCATGTCCCTGCCCCAGGGAGCCACGTCTCCGGCCACACCTCCACTCTTGAGGCAGGAGGAAGCAAGGGGCATGGTGTTGCCATTGCAGACTGTGACCATCCGAAGGGTTCGGATGTCCTCAGAGAGTTTTTTAGGCTCTCGGTGAATGGATTCAAAGATGAAGAGGTTCTGGATGTACTTCTCCACGATCACCACGATGGAGTAGGGCAGGTTGTACCAGGTGTAGTGGGGGTGGTCCTCGGCACAAAGGATGGCCAAGATTGAGCCCCAGGAGATAAGCCAGGAGCCTGAGGCAGTGCCCACCAAGAGGTCCGAGTCCAGTTTGCGGGGCGGATTTTTGGACTCATCCAGTGACTTCTCATCTGTCCTGTAAATCCGGATTCCAGCCAGCCCCGCAGCCCCCATAAGCTTCATCAGGGTGATGACATACAGGTAGAACGTGATGAGTGCTGACTTGCTCTTGGTCTTGGAGCACCCAATATGAATCAGGTACACCACCCACCACCACGGCAATGGTGGCGGCCAGCGCGGTCAGGCCCAGGACTGTGCCCACTCTGACCCCATCAGGCTTGAACTGCATCTTCTGGTGCTGATGGCTGTCAACTTTGCGCCCGATGTTCTTCCATAGGACGTAGAGCACTGTGGAGGCCAGGATCTGATACTCTATGTTGAAGGGGTAGAGGTAGTAGATATAGTAGATCCCGTGGGAGATGGTGGTGCAGAGAGTTGGGGGCGTGCAGTTACATTGCGGTGTGTGGTCATCTAAAACTAGGGGAGACAGGTTGATCACACAGGGGGGCTATTAGCAGGTGCAAGGGGAAGCAGAAAAGCACAGAAAACTGTTTCCACTGTGGATTCAGGCTTGGGTCTTCCCACTGGATTACAAGCTTTTTCATGTCATGGCTTATTATCACGTTTAATATCATGGCTAATTTGATAGCCCTGAGTATCCCCAAAGCATATTCATTACCTAAATCACATTTATTTGGTGAGTTGCCAAAGAGGATAGAGAAGATGACTCTATTGTTGTAAAAAATAGATATGTAGATGATAGATAGATAGATGGATACACACACACACAGACAGATGGAAAAAACCTGGAAGGACACAAACTAAAATGTCAACAATTGTTATCTCTGGGTGGAAAAATGACAGATGATTTTTAATCTCTTCTAGATTTTGCTTCCCTGTATTTTCTAAATTTTCTCTGTGAAGATGATTTACATGTGTGATTTTTTAAGATTATTTTTAAAAAATACTTTCTGGAGAAAATACCCCTTTTAATTAGCAAAAGATATGCCTCTTAAGACTCCAGTGCTAGCAAGCATGCAGGAGACAGGTGCTCTCCGATATCAGTGCGGGGAAAGTAAACGGGCACCACCTTCTGGAAGAGAAGCTGGCTGTCATATGGAGGGCCCTCTCATCACAGGAAGGCAGATGCTGCAAGTAAATGACGAAACAGGTCACCAAAGCCCTGAAGGCGATGCAGTCTCTGACCCATAATTCCATTCTTTCCATTCTACCCTTCTACTCAAAGGGACAAATAAAAAAATGTAATCAAAGAGTCAGGTAAGGCCAGGAGTGGTGACTCAGCCCTGTAATCCCAGCACTTTGGGAGGCCAAGGCAGGTGGATCACTTGAGGTCGGGAGTTCGAGACCAGCCTGGCCAACATGGCGAAACCTCATCTCTATTAAAACTACAAAAATTAGCCAGGTGTGGTGGCAAGCCTGTAATACCAGCTACTGGGGAGGCTGAGGCAGAAGAATCGCTTGAACCTGGGAGGCAGAAGTTGCAGTCAGCTGAGATCACACCACTGCACTCCAGCCTAGGTGACAGAGCGAGACTCAGTCTCAAAAAATAATTTAAAAAAAAGTCAGGTAAAATTGTGTGTGTGTGTGTGTGTGTGTGTGTGTGAGAGAGAGAGAGAGAGAGAGAGAGAGAGGAACAGCTCAAGGTCCAACAACTTAGAAATTGTTAAGTAAATTTTAGTATATCCCAACAATGAGATAGTAGACAGCCACTGCACGTTATAATTAAGATGTGCTTTATGGTTTTGGGTATGGGGGGGGTTGTTTTGTTTTTTGTTTGTTTTGAGACAGAGCCTCCTTCTGTTGCCCAGGCTGGAGTGCTGTGGCACAATCTTGGCTCACTGCAACATCAGCCTTCTGTGCTCAAGCATCCTCCTACTTCAGCCTGCTGAGTAGCTGGGACCACAGGCCCATGCCACCACTCCCGGCTAATTTTTATATTTTTTGTAGAGACAACGTTCCGCCATGTTGGCTAGGCTGGTCTTGAACTCCTGAGCTCATGCGATCTGCCCGCCTCAGCCTCCCGAAGTTCTGGGATTAAAGGCATGAGCCACTGCACCCAGCCAGGATGTGTTTTAATATTAAGAAAGTAATCTCGTTTCAAGGAAAATGGAAAAAAGTAAGAACAAACTGTATATTTCTTTAATGCAAGTCACAACCCAGTACAAGGCTGTAAAATCAGGTAGCAACCAACTTTTTTGTAGCAGAAATAATTTTCAGTGGACTAGAATAGGATAGAATGGAGTGGAATCAACTCCGATAAAATTTGGAAGCATCTCTGATACAGTAAAATTAAGTATTATTTCATCAAGCATACACACATAAGTATGTGCGTGTTTGGATTACAGTGTAAAATCTGTCTCTTATTGAAGGTTGCAATAAAAAAAGATCAAATATATAGTATAAAATCAACTATAAATAAATGGCACACTACAAAAAAATAACCAAACATTCACAGCATTTACTGCATTTCTGGGTAAGTGTTGTGGATTTTTTTGCTTCACACTTTGTCATTGTTTTAGTTTATGATATGTGTATATTACTTATAAAATCTGAGAAAAGCAGCTGGGTGTGGTGGCTCATGCCTGTAATCCCAGCACTTTGGAGGGCCGAGGCAGGTAGATCACAAGGTCAGGAGATTGAGACCATCCTGGCTAACACGGTGAAACCCTGTCTCTACTAAAAATACAAAAAATTAGCCAGGCGTGGTGGTGGGCGCCTGTAGTCCCAGCTACTCAGGAGGCTGAGGCAGGAGAATAGTGTGACCCCCGGGAGGCAGAGCTTGCAATGATCCGAGACCATGCCACTGCACTCCAGCCTGGGCGACAAGCAAGACTCCGTCTAAAAAAAAAAAATCTGAGAAAAACTATATCGTAGCATTAATTTTACTTTCACAGAACACTATGAAATTTTCTTTTTTTTTTTTTATTCTTTTTTATATAGGGTCTCCCTCTGTTGCCCAGGCTGGAGTGCAGTGGCACAAACACAGCTCACTGCAGCCTTGACTTCCTGGGCTCAAGTGATCCTCCTGCGTCAGTCTCCCATGTAGCTATAGCTGGGACCACGAGCCCATGCCACCATGCCTGGCTTTTTTTTTTTTTTTTTTTTCCAGAGCTGGGGTCTCCCTTTGTTGCCCAGGCTGGTCTCAAATTCCTAGGCTAAAGCAATGCTCCTGCCTTAGGATTACAAAGTGCTCAGATTACAGGTGTGAGTCACTGCCCCAGTAATAATCTTCAATTCACACAGGGCTTCCCTAGCACTTACAATTCAATACGGTGTTATGCAGAAGACAAGGGAAGAAATCAGGAGGAAAAGTTCAGAGTAACAGAATGTTACAGCTGACAGAGTCCTTTTTTAGAAAATTAATCCAACCTCATCTTTCACAGAGGGCCTTGAAGCCAGATTGTTAGGATTCAAATCATGGCTGTATCACATGTTCACTGTGTTACCCTGGGCTAACTTCTCCGTGGCTTGATGCCTTCATCCATATAATGAGGTTAATATTGTCTACCTGAGGCCAGGCGCAGTGGCTCACGCCTGTAATCCCAACAGTTTGGGAGGCCAAGGCTGGCGGATCACAAGGCCAGGAGTTCGAGACCAGCCTGGCCAACATAGTGAAACCCCGTCTCTATTAAAAATACAAAAATTAGCCAGGTATGGTGGCATGCACCTGTAGTCCCAGCTACTCAGGAAGCTGAGGCAGGAGAATCACTTGAACATGGGAGGCAGAGGTTGCAGTGAGCCGAGATCACGCTACTGTACTCCAGCTTAGGCGACAGAGTGAGACTCTGTCTCAAAACAAACAAACAACTATATATATATATATATATATATATATGTATATATATATATATACACACACACACATACACACATATATAGCCTACCAGAGAGTGTGGGGGTACAAATTAAATGACATGTGTAAATTTCCAACAACAGTGGCTGGCACTCAGCAAATGCTTAATAAAAATTTACTTTTGTTATTGTGGTCATTGCTGCTACTAATATTGATACCAAGGAGGACATGAGGCCCAAACACCGAGTGCCTGCTGGTTGGGGGTGGTGACTTCGTTGTCTCCACCCCACTGATGACAAAACAGGTTCAAAGTGGCTCTCCAGGACAGCCTGGGTTCACACAGCTGTCACAGACTTGCTGCATGTTAAAGCTGGAAGGGATCTTTGCAAGTGCATGATTTGGATACCCTCACTTTACAAATGAGAAAAGGGAGGCTCAGAGAGATTAAATGTCTTCTAAAGGTCACACAGCTTGTACATGATGGGAACAAACCTGAGACACCCAGTTCCCTGCCCCACATTCCCCTCAGCCTGAATGTTCTCATATAGAAGTGACATATTGTAAATGCTAAAGGATTTTAGATGAAAATATAAAGATTAACCCAACAGGCTCTCAAATAGGAACAAGGTAGAACAGACATGAGCTAGAATTATAAGCCAACTACAGTTAAATTAAAACTTTAAATGAACCACAGCCTATTAACCACAACCTACCATTAGACTTTTATGAATTTTTAAAAGCCATACTTTTACTAGAAAGAACTGGTAGTAGAGGTTTAATTAAAAACACAAGCAGAGGCAACCATCAATCTTCTGTAGTTGAAAACAAAGACATTTATTTCTGCGGCAAACTGGACCATGAGAAATGGCCATCAGAATGATCACCGTGGGTCTTACAAGTCCCTGAGTCATGGAAGAAACCTTTAATTATGCTCAGTACACATCACTTATGAGAGATTCAGGTTTTGGAAGATTTTCAACAACAGGGGGCTGTCTGGCTGATGCTGACTTTGGTGGGCCTGAAGTTCTTTGGAACCTGCACTCCATCTCTGAACACTGTGGACTCTGCAGGTTTCCAAGACATTCCAACATGGCAGAGGGGCCACTCACCTCTCTCAGCACTCACCTGTTGTTATGTTCCCAAAGCCCAGAGTGATGAGCCATTCCTTGTGCTCATTGGTGCTTTGACTCATTGAGGATGCCGTTGGCCCACAGAAGCAGGTTGGTGAACACCAAGTGGATCACCCCAAACCTGAAAAACACAAGGACTCAGTTCTCAAGCAGCCCTGGGAGAGCCTCAGGCACCATAGGGTGAGACAGACATGTGCACACAAATACACGGCTCCTTCTCAGCCATGATTCTGGCTACATCATGGATGACCCTTGAGAACGTTATGCTGTGAGAAATAAGCCAGACACAAGAAGACCAATACTGTATGGTTCAATTCATACGAGGCATCTAGAATATTCAAACTCATAAAGACAGAAAGTAGAACAGAGTTTGCCAAAAGCCAGAGGAGGAGGAAATAGAGAGTTGTGTAGTGGGCTCAGAGTTTCAGTTTTGCAAGATGAAAAACGTTTGCAGATTGGTTGTACAACAAGTGAATGTACTTAACATTAATGAACCATACGCTTAAAATGACTAAGATGGTAAATGTTATGTGATTGTCAACCTGAAAAAAAAAGACACTAGAGAAAATTATCACTAAATATGTTGGATTTACTTGGAAATAGGAATTACAGTCCAGAATGCATGGAATGGCAAGCCACCAGCGCATTCGGTGAGGGAAGGGTAAGGAGGAGCTGTTATTAGCAAAGAGAGATTTACATAATCCACAGAGAAAAAGAGTTCATCGGTTCTAGAGGCTCAAAGCCAGAGTTGTCATCAGTTCATTGGTGGAGATGCCAGTGCTGGACAAGTGTTCTTCCAAGAGCATCTTATCTGCTTTACTGCAGTCCTAAAGAATGTCTAGTAATGTCCAACCTCTTCAAAGCAGGAGATGCATGAAGGGTTTTTAGAAAGTCTTTGGAAACACTTTGTATCTCAGACACGTAGACAGAAGTGCCCTCTCCTTAGCGCCTTCCCAGGCCTATTTTGCCTGGGTCTGACAAAAGCGATTTCATCCTGATATCTACAGGTTTTTCAGTATTTGCCACAATTTTAAAATAAATGCTCTGTTTTTTAGAACAGCGCCTAATTGTTATATATACTTTTTTCCATTCGCCAGTCATCTAATGTAGCAAAAGCACATGGTAAGTGTCCAACAGGTATAGAATGATTAATTCATTGACTTGCCTGGCCAATAAAATGCCTTAAATTAGAAAGCTAGGATCTCCAACCCACCAACTAAGAGGGATATTTTGAAAATTCATATCTGTCCCAGTCATTCTTCTGCCTAAAGCCTTCAGTGGCTCCCCACTGCCCTCGAGGTGAAGCCCAAGCCCCTAGGTGGCGGTCAGCCTTGACCAAGAATTTGCTGCACACCTAGCCCTGTGCCAAGTGCTTTTCATACACATGTGCCTTTAATCTCTACAACGAGCCCATGAAGTAGGTACTGTGATTGTCCTCACCTTGCAAGTAAGACCCATGAGGCCCAGAGAAGTTAAGTAATTTGCCTGAAGTCACACAGCTGTGGTCAGAGCCAGAGTCATGCAATCTGACCAGAGTGCAAGCTTACAAGCCCTACAACAAACAGGGATCCAGCCTGTGCCCACACATCCTCCCGCTACCCCACTGTGAGGAAAGACTGCATGTCCCAAAGACACCCTCTTCCAGTGGCCTCTGACCCACTAACCCTGTGCTCCTCCCTCTCTCACAAACGGTTCTGGGACCTTCCCTGGCAGAAATTGACTGTCACTCCAAGCTGCCAAAATGCCCTCCTTTGTGCTCCCTCATTGCTCTGGGACACTCTGGTCAAAGCACTGAGCCCAGCGTTGTCACTGTTTTGGGGACTGCCTCTCACCTAACTGACACCCCCATGGTGTGTGACACAGACTTTACAGCCTTGTATTCCCCATGCTGAGAACAATGTTCGTCCAGTATTTAAAGATGAACTACAAGAAAAATGAATGAACGAATGCAGTTCGTTCTGGCCTCACGAAAGCTTTCCACATTGTCACTGTATCACTATAAGGCTCTGTCTTCACGGGATTTGGCTCCCCTGGAATGAGCAGCCAGTTATCTTTGATCAGCTTGGGCTGCCATAACAAAGGACCACAGATCATCAACTTCAATAACAGGAATTTCTCTTCTCAGGGTCCTGGGGTTAGAAATCCAAGATCAAGGTATGGGCAGGGTTGGTTCCTTTTGAGGCCTCTCTCTTTGGCTTGTAGATGGTCAATTTCCTCCAGTGTCTTTACATGGCTGTCTCTCTGTGTGTGTCTGTGTCCTTCTCTCCTCTTGTTATAAAGACACCAGGGCCAGGCGCGGTGCCTCACGCCTGTAATCCCAATACTTTGGGAGGCCGAGGCAGGTGGATTGCCTGAGGTCAGGAGTTCGAGACCAGCCTGGCCAACATGGTGAAACCTCATCTCTACTAAAAATACAAAAGTTAGCTGGGCATGGTGGCAGGTGCCTGTAACCCGAGCTACTTGGGAGACTGAGGCAGGAGAATTGCTTGAACCCAGGAGACGGAAGTTGCAGTGAGCCGAGATTATGCCATTGCACTGCAGCCTGGGCAACAAGCAAAATTCCGTCTCAAAAACATAAAAAATAAAGACACTAGGCATATTGAATTTGGGCCAGCCTAATGATCTTATTTAACCTCAATCTCCTCTAAACGACCCTATCTCCAAATACAGTCACATGCTCAGGTACTGAGAATGAGGGTTTTGGCATATGAATTTCACAGGGGATATGACTCAGTTCATAACAGCTTTCAAGTGCAAGGCAGCCCCTCCAAATGAGCCCCTCAGCAAGCTCCCCAGTGATCCCACCATGCCACCATGGAGCTAAACTGTTTCCAGGCTCACTGGGCACGTTCTGTCTGTTAGCTTCACTGTTTGAGAATGTGTTTGATCTAGAGAAACACTCTAAGGTCATCCAGTGCTGTCTGGTAAGTCAGCTGGGAGTACAAGCTGACGGTCACTTTGGATAAAAGATGAAGTTTTAAACATGTCATCCCTGGTTTTCTAGAGGTAGAAAACTTTCCAAAGAACCTTCTCAAACTGGAAATCCAAAAATATTTCCAGCAATGGCAGTATCACCAGAACAAGTTCATGGTCTTCCAGGGTGACTTGTCAGGAAGAAAATAATCATTGTGTCTCCGCAGTGACTTTGAGCAAGTCACTTGTCTTCTCTGAGCTCCAACTTCTTCGTTAGAAAAAAATGAGAGCAGAGCCTGCCATTTGCAACAACATGGGCAAATCTGGAGGACATTGTGCTCAGTGAAATGAGGCAGACACAGAAAGAAAAATACTGCATAATCTCACTTATATGTAGTATCTAGAAAAACGTTTTTAATCCAATGCATAAAAACAGATGGTAGAAGCTGGGCATGGTGATGTGGGCCTGTAGTCCTAGCTACTAGGGAGACTGAGGCGGGAGGATCACTTGAGCTGAATTCAAGGCTGCAGTAATCCGTGATGGCACCACTGCACTCTACCCTGGACAACAGAGCAAGACCCTGTCTCTAAAATTGAATTAAATTAATAAATAAAAACAAAATAACATAAAGAGTAGAATGGTAGTTGGAGGGGAAAAATTAGAAGATTTTGGTCAAAGGGTACAAAGTTGCAAATACGTAAGATGAATAATTCTAGAGATGTAATGGACAACGTGAAGACTGTAGTTAATACTATTGTATTGTATACTGGAAATTTGCTAAGAGAATAGATTTTAGGTGCTCTTACCACATCCAAAAAAAGAAAGGCAACTATGTGAGATGACAGACATAAATATGCTTGACTGTAGTAATCACTTCACTATGGATAGGAATATCAAATAATCATGTTGTATACCTTAAACATATACAACAAAAAACAAAAAAAAAATGAGACTGACAATTCAACAATTCAGATCCTGACTCTGATAACATTACCACGGATTTCTGCCAAGGGCGAACACTACCCTGAAAGCCCATCTAACATTCTTTTCAACCATGAGATTTTTCTGACCCTAAGCTATGTATTTAAATTATATTTATCAAATCCTTCCTTCTGAGCCATACCAAGTTTACCAATGCTGTGGGAAAAAATCCTTATACATTTCTAAGACTTTAATCCCCAAACGAGAAAACAAAAGCGCTTCCATGACCCAGAGGAGGCATTGCAATGGCACAAGGTTTCTATGTAGGAAGAATATTAAATTTTTTTAAAAAATAAAATTGATTTTGGCAATGGTTGCATAACTCTATGAACAGACTAAACCGTTGAATTCCACATGTTAAATGGGTGAATTATATGCCATGTGAATTCTCTCAATAAACCTGTTACATACCCAGAAAATAAAACTCCCTCAAGCTTTTACTGTAGACCCTGGCTTGGCAGAATTTCCTGACTCTTCATCATTAGAAGTTCTGCCTCATAGGATCCCTGCAAAAATGGCCATGGGGACACAGAGTTTTATTTTGCAATGGAGGCAGCTGAAGAATTAAGCCTCAAAGATAGACTTCAGTTCACCTCAGTTCATTGCAGTTCACAGCTGTGCACACTGTCTCCACTTGCCACATGTCTTGATGTTACAAGTTTCTACACAACCTGGGATACACTTCACAGGAATGAGACAACATGAATAAACATCAGTGGTTTACCTGCAACAAAGTATGCACTGAATGGGTGACAGGGAAAACTCCTTCAGTGGCTGATAAACATTCTGAAAATCCAATGAAGTATCTAATTTTAAGGCATCCCAGGATGATGGTAATGACTGCAAACAATGTGATACTACCTAAATGTGGGATAAAGGGGGAAGTGGAAACACACACATTCCATTAATATACATTGATGTCATTTCAAAATAAATTATATTACATATTAAACCCTTATGTATATGGTCAAATGATTTTTTCACAAGGGTGCTGAGACCATTCAATGGGAAAAGGGCAGTCTTTTCAACAAATGTGGGAAAACTGGATGTCCACATGCAAACGAATGAATTTGAACCCTCACCTTACAGCATATACAAAAATTAACTCAAAACAGATAAAAGATCTAAACATAAAAGTATAAACCTTGTAAAAGAAGACATGGGAGAAAGCTTCATGACATTGGCTTTGGCAATAATTTCTTGGCTAGGACACCAAAAATGCAAGCAACAAAAATTAAAATAAATAAGATGAACTACATGAAAATGAAAAATTTTTGCACATCACAGGATGCTACCAATGAAGTGGAAAGACAGCCCACAGAACCGGAGAAAACATTAGCAAATTATATACCTAATAAGTCATTAATATCCACAATATACAGATTTGTTTACATTAAATACCTCATATAATGAAATCGTACAGTACTGTCCTTTGGTGGTTGAGTTTATTTTACTTAGCATAATGTCCTTATGGCTCATCCATACTGTATCGTGTGTCAGAATTTCCTTCCTTTTTAAGCTGAATAATATTTTGTTGTATGTCTATACCTCACTGTGTTTATCCATCTATCTGTTGATGGATGCTGGGTCGCTTCCACCTTTTGGATACTGAAAATAATGCTGCTATGAGAGAATTTATAGAGAATTCTTATACATTGACAGCAATGGGCTGGGCACAGTGGCTCGCACCTGTAATCCCAGCACTTTGGGAGGCCGAGGAGGGTGAATAACTTGAGGTCAGAAGTTGGAGACCAGTCCGGCCAACGTGGTGAAACCTGTCTCTACTAATAATACAAAAATTAGCCTGGTATGGTGGTGCATGCCTATATTCCCAGCTACTTGGGATGCTGAGGCAGGAGAATCCCTTGAACCAGGGAGGCAGAGGTTGCAGTGAGCCGAGATCATGCCATGGCACTCCTGGGCAACAAGAGCGAAACTCTGTCTCCAAAAATCGATCAATCAACAATGACAAAAGCCAATTTAAAAATTGGCAAAGGACTTGAATAAACATATCTCCAAAGAAGACATAAAGATGGCCAGCAAGTACATGAAAAGATGTTCACCATCACTAATTATTAGAGAGATGCAAATCAAAACTACAAAATACTTTCACACTATCAGGATGGCTACTATCAAAAAAAAAAAAAAAAGAAAATAATAGAAAATAACCAGCATTGGTGAGGATATAGAGAAATAGTGCTCTGTTGGTAGGAATGTAAATTGGTACAGCTACTACTGAAAACAGTAGGGAGGGCCTTCAAAAAATTGAAAATACTATTATGGCATGATCTGGCATTTTCACTTCTGAGTATATACCCAAAAGAATTGAAAGCAGGGACCCGAGGGGATATCTGTATTCTCCTGTTCATAGCAGCATTATTTTCAGTATCCAAAAGGTGGAAGCAACCCAGCATCCATCAACAGATGGATGGATAAACACAATGAGGTATAGACATACAACAGAATATTATTCAGCTTAAAAAGGAAGGAAATTCTGACACACGATACAGTATGGATGAGCCATGAGGACATTATGCTAAGTAAAATAAACTCAACCACCAAAGTACAATACTGTAGGATTTCATTATATGAGGTATCAAACGTAAGCAAATTCATAGACAGAAATAGAATGGTGGTTGCCAGGTGCTAGAGGGAGGGAAGAATGAAGAGTTAGTGTTTAATGAGGACAGAGTTTCAGTTTTGCGAGATGAAAAAGTTCTGGAGGTTGGTTGCACAACAGTGCATATGTGCTTAACACCACTGAGCTGTGCACTTGAAAACTGCTAAGTTGGTAAATTTTATGTATATAAATGCATGTTTTACCATAATTAAAAATATATTAATAAAATAAATTCTAGCCCAGGCATGGTGGCTCATGCCTGTAATTCCAGCACTTTGGGAGGCCAAGGCGGGAGGATCACTTGAGGCCAAGAGCCTAAGCAACCCCATCTCTACCCAAAAATAACATAATAATTATTTCTAAATAAATAAACAAATTCTACTGTTGAGCTGCGAAGGTAAAACTAGAAGGCAGGTGTTGTGTCCCGTTCATCATTGTACCCACCCCATAGCCCAGAGTCTGACAAATGATACACAATCAACGAAGCCTGGTCCAGTCAACAGAATGCTCCCAGAAGCTTTTTCAAAAAGGAGAAATCTAAGAATGTCACTGCTCTACTCAAAAATCTCAGTTCTCTAATCCTAAAATCCTGTTCTCTAAAGAATAAGAGTGCAGCTGGCTGGGTGCAGTGGCTCACATCTGTAATCCCAGCACTTTGGAAGGCCGAGGTGGGTGGATCACCTGAGGTTGGGAGTTCGAGACCAGCCTGACCAACATGGAGAAACCCCATCTCTACTAAAAAATACAAAAGTAGCAGGTGTGGTGGTGCATGCCTGTAATCCTGCTACACCGGAGGCTGAGGCAGGAGAATCACTTGAACCCGGGAGGTGGAGGTTGCAGTGAGCCGAGATTGCATGATTGCATTCCAGCCAGGGCAACAAGAGTGAAACTCTGTCTCAAAATATATATATATTAATAAGAAATAATAAGAAATAAGAGTGCAGAGTGTGCAGGTCATACAGGTATACAGGAATTCTCTGAACTGTCTTTGCAACTTTTCCATAAATCTAAAGCTTTTCTAAAATGGAAAGTTTATTTATTTATTTATTTGAGACAGGGTCTTGTTCTGTCACCCAGGCTGGAGTGTAGTGGCACGATCTTGGCTCACTGCAACCTCCACCTCCCAGGTTCAAGTGATTCTTGTGCCTCAACCTCAATCCCAAGTACCTGGGATTACAGGTGTGCTGGCCAGGCTGGTCTTAAACTCCTGGCCTCAAGTGCTCCGCCTGTCTCAGCCTCCCAAAGTGCTGGGATTACAGGCATGAGTCACTGAGCCCGGCTGAAAGTATATTAGAAAAAAAAAAATAGATGGGTAAGGGCTCTATAGTAGTAGCTGAGGAAGGGCCTGTGCTAGGTGTACTGAGGAAAGGAAGCAATCTTTGATAGTATAATGAGCATGGCTTTGCCCAAAACATAAAGACAAACTAATAAAAAATTTGCATATAAAAAAGACTGGAAAGGAATGTACAAAATACATTAAAAAGACACTTGGTGACAAATGAAGAAATTAGTGAGAAAAAGGCAATGATCATGAGTGCTTGATCAAGTCAGAGTTCCTCATCTCCCTCCTGGGCTAGCAATGACTGCCATTTACACATTTGCTCCTGCCAACAGGAGGAAACTGGATCATGTATGACATGCATTAAGGCACTGAGCAGAGAGGAGGGCATGAGCCATAACATTGGGCTATAACGTTACAGCCCCAGCCTGAGAAGCCTCCTCTGAAAAGTAATGCAATCGCCTGGCACTTTTCCACTGCTCAAAGCCTTATAGAAACAACTCTAACTCACATTTTTAATCCTGGAAACACCCCAATGAAATCGGAAACGTTGTAAGAGTGGAGATTCAATCCCAGTGCTTTGAAATGTTTTGACAAATACGTGGTTGGTTTTAATTACAAAAAACATAGCAAGATCAGGTGAGGCAGCGTGGTTGAGTGGCAAGAGTACAGGCCTGAAAGTACGGAGACCTGGACACTCACAGAATACATGAGTCACTTCCTGCTCCCAACCTCAGGATTCCCATACAGAAAATGCGGATGGTCTACAGCAGTGGTTCTCAAACTGGAAACTGCATCAGAATCACCTGCAGGGCTTGTTAAAACACAAATTCCTGGGCTCCACCTCCAGAGTTTCTGATTTAGTAGGTCTGGGTGGTGCCCCAAAATTTTCATCTCTAACAAGTTTTCAAGTGGGGCTGCCACTGTTGATCTAGGCCCCGCTTTGAAAACTACTGGTCTAGACCATCTCTGTGGTTGACATGCCAAGTGTTCAATAATATACTCTTTCAGTCCTCCCTTTCTTCCTGTGTTCATCCATTCATCCATGGATTCATTCAGCCAGTTGTTTATACAACAAACACCTTGGGGACTCCTACTATGCATGAGACATTGTGCCAAGGGCTCAAAGACAGACATAGGAGATTGCTGTAGAAACAAAAATATACGAGTATAATATTGCATAAATTAGGGTGTGCACAAAATATCAGAGAGATGAGCTGGCAACAGACTTCCTCTGTGCAGCCTGGGAAACCAGAAGACAGTGGACATATGTGCCACAAGGAAAGGACTGCACCTCAAAAACCTTATTCTCAGCTAAGATGTCGCCCATGTGTCAGGGCAAAAGGCAGAATGATGTTTGAAGTATACAAAATGTAATTTTTTCAACAGCTATTTATTGAGCAGCAACCATGGGCCAGGCATTGTCCCAGGCACTGAAGATATAAAGGTCAATAAAATAGAGTATCTGCCCTTGAGGAGTTTCACATCTAGTGGGGAAGGCAAAAAATAAACCGGTAAATAGTAAACACATAAAGAATGTCAGGAAGTGCTAAGTGCATGAAGAAAAGTAAAGCAGAAAAGGGGACTGAGGTTGAAGGTACATGGGCAGGAAAGGAGGTGATTGTTGAACAGAGAACAGAGAAAACTGTCATCCACATAACTTGTCTGACAAAGGACTTTAACCAAGGAGCTTGTGAACTGGAAGAGAGTCCCCAAAAGAGGGGAAGATGAGGAGGAGAGCAAATTATAGTGACCAATCAACTCTGTGGAAGGCTAGAGGAGGGTGGAGGTATAATGGATGGAGAGACAGATGGAGATAGATAATTAGATTAATAGGAGAGAAAAGAAGAACTTAAATTCAAATGGATAAACTGCCTGAGATGTGTAATTTACATACCCTATAAAGACTTGTCATACAGAATAGACATTTTGAGGCGAAATTCTATTAACTATCTCTACAAAACCCATAAGTTCGGCCAAGCACAGTGGCTCACACCTGTAATCCCAGCGCTTTGGGAGGCCGAGGCAGATGGATCACCTTTGGTCAGGAGTTCGAGATGAGCCTGGCCAACATGCTGAAACCCCGTCTTTACTAAAAATACAAAAATTAGTCTGGCGTGGTGGCAAGCATCTGTAGTCCCAGCTACTTGGGAGGCTGGGGCAGGAGAATGGTGTGAACCCAAGAGGCAGAGGTTGCAGTCAACTGAGATTGCACCATTGCACTCCAGCATGGGTGACAGAGCGAGACTCCATCTGAAACAAAACAACACAAAACAAAACAAAACAACAACAACAACAAAAAAAAACCTAAGTTGGAAAAGGACTGGATAGGGAACAAAGAAAAACCTTTGAAAGCCCTCAAGGTAAATAAATGGAAAAGGAGAGGGAAGAAGGGAAAGGAATAGGGAGGCAAACGTATCCTAAAGATCTCATCCCATTAGGTAGAGAGGAAGTGGGAGCAGTGAACATCTTGGAGTGGGACACAGTGTGGCTTGCTGAGGGAAATGTTCAATATTTTGTTTTCAAATAAGAATGAAGTAATAGGCAGCTGGGCGCGGTGTCTCACACCTATAATCCCAGCACTTTGGGAGGCCAAGATGGGCGGAACACTTAAGGTCAGGAGTTCAAGACCAGTCAGACCATGATGGTGAAACCCTGTCTCTACCAAAAACACAAGAAATTAGCCCAGTGTGGTGATGGGCACCTGTAGTCCCAGCTACTTAGGAGGCTGAGGCAGGAGAATCGCTTGAACCTGGGAGGCGGAGGTTGCAGTGAGCCGAGATCATGCCACTGCGCTCCAGCCTGGGCAACAAAGTGAGACTCCGGCTCAAAAAAAAAGAATGAAGTAATATGCATCAGATTATGAGAGTGAGGGAAGAAAAAAATGGCCATGAATGGAATAAAAAATCAGAATAAATTTTCAAATGCTCAAAAAAGACAAATGTGGAAGAGGAAAAGGAAGAAATAGGAATGTAAAATATATCATCATAAACATCGAAAAGAAAAATGGAAACAAAAAAGTCAACTACATAAATTATTTCTATAAATTAGAATGATCTAAATCCTCCCACTAAGTAGTCAGCAAGAATAGGAAAATTGAATTAAAAACAAAACCTAGTTACATGATCTTTACACAAATTGCACCTTTAACAAAGTAATAAAGGTTTAAAATAAAGTAGTGGACAAAGAGGAATCAGGCAATGCAAACAAAAAGAAAGTTGGAATGGCAATATTAATATCAGACCATACGGGATTTAATGTATTAAGTAGGATAAAGAATCCTTCCTCTTTTATCACTACATATAATAAAAGACAGACTGTCCAGTGTGGTGGCTCACGCCTGTAATCCCAGCACTTTGGGAGGCCGAGGTGGGCGAATCACAAGGTCAGGAGATCGAGACCATCCTGGCTAACATGATGAAAACCTGTCTCTACCAAAAATACAAAAAATTAGCCGGGCGTGGTGGGGGGTGCCTGTAGTCCCAGCTACTTGGTAGGCTGAAGCAGGAGAATGGCATGAATCCAGGAGGCAGAGCTCGCAGTGAGCCAAGATCGCGCCACTGCACTCCAGCCTGGGCGACAGAGCGAGACTCTGTCCCAAAAAAAAAACAAAAAACAAAAAACACAACGACTGTATGAGGAAGCTATAACAGCCACACATGTGCCCAAATGAAACAGATTTTGATTTATATAAACACATATATATGTATAAATATATATATACAAGTATATATATACACATATACATAGATAAATATATATACACATATACATATATATTTATGCATGTATAAATATATATACATATATAATTTCACAATTACTTAACTTACCTTTGCCTCAGTTTCCCCATCTCTAAGATGTAATGACAGTAATAACACTTATCTCATAGGGGTGCTGAGGAGATTAAGTGAGTCTTTACATGGAAGTCACCTAGAACAGTGTTCCTTACCTAGAAAGTTCTATAAGCGGGATGTTATTATCATCACTCAATCGCCAAGAAAATGTTGATGCATTAGAACCAATTAGAAAGTTTACCAGCTACAATACTTGAGAATAATCCAAAGACTACATAGGGTACCCATCTAGTGATGGCAGAGGGAACCCCCTCCTCTTTGTTAGGCACCCAAATCCCTCCTAGGAGTCTAGAATCTTGAACCCCCCTCTTAGAGGCGGAAAGTCCCACAGAGTTAGTCTGCATTCTATCCCATGCAAGAATGCTTTCCAATGCATCATGACCGGAAGCCATCTGATCTCTACTTGGACAAGCCCAGGGCTGGGAGGCTCAACATCTCTCAAAGCGCACCCTTCCATCACCAGCTGGTACTTACTTTGTGTTTTATTTTTATTTTATTTTAATTTATTTTATTTTATTTTATTGAGATGGAGTCTCACTCTGTTGTTCAGGCTGGAGTGCAGTGGCATGATCTTGGCTCACTGCAAACTCTGCCTCCTGGTTTCAAGCAATTCTCCTGCCTCAGCCTCCCGAGTAGCTGGGATTACAGGCACTCCACATAGCGAGACCCCTGTCTCTACAAAAATCAATTTTTAAAAAATGAGCCAGGCGTGGTAGCACACACCTGTAGTCCCAGCTATTTGGGAGGCTGAGGCGGGAGGAGCACTTGAGCCCCAGAGTTCGAGGCTGTAGTGAGCTATTATCACACCACTTCATTCCAGCCTGGGAGACATAGGGAGACCCTGTCCTTATTAAAAGATAAAAATAAAATAAAGAAAGAAAGAAGATTGTGCAGATGTTGCCTCCTCCCTGAACCTCGCAGCCTTCCTGCAGACTTGGGCTCCTCCCAGGCCCCTGGTGGTAGCCCTGCTCAAGGGTGCTGTGCTGCTTACTCTGTCCCCACCCCCAAGCTCCTAGAAGTTGAGGGCTAAGTCTCACAGGTCACGCTCCCCAACTTCCCAGTGAGGGCTCATTAGCTGTTTGTTTATTGCTGTTTCTCTACCTGAACATCAGCTCCACCTGAGCAGAGCCTTTCATAGCTGAAACCCCAGCACCTAGAACAGAGATCAGCAAATGATTCATAATTTGCTGTGTCCCACCATGCCCAGCTTTTTGTATTTTTAGTGGAGACGGGGTTTCACCATGTTGGCCAGGCTGGTCTCAAACTCCTGACCTCAGGTGATCTGCCCACCTCAGCCTCCCAAAGTGCTGGGATTACAGGCGTGAGCCACCACGCATGGCCTGGTGCTTACTTCAGAATGTTTTTCTTTATATTGAAGTGCAGTTGACTTCCCAGAACTATCATCTTCTTCCCTGGAGCTTCTATCATCATTCACTTATTCATCCACCCATCTAGTCATCCATCCATCCACCCAATCATTCAATCATCCAATTATTCAGTAGCTAGGAATTGGCATTTACTACATGTTAGGCACTGTGCCAGGAGCTCGGGATACAATGGTAAGCACATTCAGACAGGGTCTCTGCCTTTAGGGGCTCAGTCTGGCTACCCCAACAGTCACTGAATAATACAATATCCTGCTTGATTAGTGCTAGAAAGAAAATGAAGAGTGCTATGAGACCATACAACATGGGGGCTTCCCCTGGTCTGAAACTATCGGGAGAGGCTTCCCAGAGGAAATGACTCTTACTTGCTGAAAGACAGAGGATGGCCTGGAGCTGACAGGTGCAAGGCAGCAGCACTTTCTACCCTGTGACCTCCGCATCCTTCTCTCTTCTGGACTGAACCTCCTTTTGCTCCTCCTGCCGCCACTCTTTCCAAGGGCCTGTGAAATGCTCAAGGAGGATGAGACCCTCCACACACAGTCTGATTTCCTTTCCAATGAAAGCCAAGCCTGCATCTGATTTTTTGGCAGCCACATTCGCTCGTTTGTGTTGAAATCGTGACACTATGTCTATATTTTCCATTGGACCAGAAATATCATCTAAGAAAAGAAATAAGTAAGAAAATGCATGCAGTTAAGCAAGACCCTCATAGTGGCCCCAGAATGGATCTTGAGGATCACTGGTCTTTTTCCTGAGGGACTTGCCCTCTGCCTATTGATCTAAGATTGTCACCAACACCAGGGCAGAGCTGAGTTCCCGGGTCAAACCTGTCTTTCCAGCTAGAATTCCAGAGGAAACCCCAGTCCCTGTTGGGCCTGAAGGTGCTTCCTTTTGGCGTCGGGGCCTCTCGACACTAATAATTAGCGTCTTGCTTCTTTGAGGAACCCACAGGAATGGCCAGGGCTTTGCAAACTGCTTCTCTCAACATCCCCCAGCTCCTCCCAGAGAGTCGACTGGGATTCTTATCTTACTGATGAGGAAAGCAGAACTCAGAAAGGTGAAGGTGACAGAGCTGAGACCTCAAGCCAAGCCCTCCAGAGCCAACACCATTTCCATGATACACACACCTCACTTGAATTACATTATTATGGGACAACTCACTGAATGTCTAAAGAGCTACCACCTACTGAACACCTATCACGTGCTCTCTCTACCTTGCCCATTTATTCCCTCTCTACTTAGTGTCCCAAAGACACCTCAAATGTAGCATGTCCATAAGAGAACTGTAACATGTCATTGGTTTTGTGTCCCCACCCTGCTCTTCCCTTTGGCTTCCCAATCTTGGGAAATGGTGCAACCATTCACCCATAGACTCAGGCGCCAATGCTCGGAGTCAACCTGAAAGGAGGCAGAGAGAGAGGAAGAACAAAAAAACACAGATGGATGGATGGACAGATGGATGGATGGATGGAAGGATAGATGGATGGATGGATGATGAATAAGTGTGGATGGGTGGATGGATGCATGGTGGATAAATAAGTGAATGATGATAGAAGCTCCAGGGAAGAGGATGATGGTTCTGGGAAGTTAACTGCACTTCAATATAAAGAAGAGCATTCCTTGGATAAGGATAGACTGAGTAGAAAAAAGAAGAAAGAGGAAGAAGAAGAAGAAGAAGAAGAAGAAGAAGAAGAAGAAGAAGGAGGAGGAGGGGGAAGGGGAGGGTGGGAAGGGGGAAGGGAGGGGGAGGGAGAGGGGGAGAAGGAGAGGAGAAGGAGAAGGAGGCACATTCTAAATGCACCAGGCTGGGCGTGGTGTCTCATGCCTGTAATCCCAGCACTTTGGGAGGCAAAGGCAGGCAGATAACCTGAGCTCAGGAGTTTGAGACCAACTGGGCCAACATGGTGAAACACTGTCTCTACTAAAAAATACAAAAATTAGCCAGGTGTGGTGGCATGTGCACCTGTAGTCCCAGCTAATCAGGAGGCTGAGGCAGGAGAATCACTTGAACCCAGGAAATGGAGGTTGCAGTGACCCATGATCTAGCCACTGCACTCCAGCCTTGGCAACAGAGTGAGATTCCATCTCAAAAACAAAAACAAAAACAGCAGAGGAGAGAGGAAGAGAGGAAGGAAGAGAAAGAGAGGAGAGAGGGAAGAGGGATAGTGGAGGGAAGGCTAGAGGAAGGAAGAGAGGAAGGAAGAATGAAGGAGGAGAAGAGAGAAAGAAAATGAGGAAAAAAATAAGGAAAGGGAGGCTGGGCATGGTGACTCACACTGGTAATCCCATCACTTTGGGAGGCTGAGGCAGGCAGATCACGAGGTCAGGAGTTCGAGACCAGCCTGGCCAACATGATGAAACCCCGTCTCTACTAAAAATACAAAAAATAGCTGGGCATGGTTGCAAGCGCCTATAATCCCAGCTACTTGGGAGGCTGAGTCAGGAGAATCGTTTGAACCCGGGAGGCGGAGGTTGCAGTGAGCCGAGATCGCACCATTGCACTCCAGCCTGGGTGACAGGGCAAGACTCCATCGCAAAAAAAAGATAAAAAGGAAGAAAAGGGAGAGAAAAGGGAAGGGGAGGGAATAGGGAGGGAGGGAAGAGGAAGAAAGGAAAGGAGAAAGAGAGAAGGAAGAAGGGAGAAAAAAGGATGGAGGAGAAAAAGAAGTGAGGAACAAAAAAGGGGGCTTTGACTGTAGGAAAACACAGGTAAAGGCTCATGTGTATAATACTTTTTAGCCTGTGTAAGTCAATATCCTAAAATAACACTTTGTGCCTTGTTTTAAATAGCACCAGATTCACTGTCATTCATAGAGTCACAAAACCATTAACTTCCCTAAAACAACCAATTTCAGAACAGGAATTTGGGCCACCCTGCAATGGTGTCAAATTTCCCCAAAAGCAAGATGAACTAGATCCAGTCCCTGAGCCTAAGAAGTCTAAAATCTCTTCTGGATGATAAGGCTAATATTCAACAGTCATAATACAAGGCAGAAACAGACAAGGACCAAAAGAGCTTTACAGAAGGAGGGCCATGGTGGCCCATGGAAGTGAGGAGTAATTCCTGCCAGGCATTTGTGAAGAAGGTGGCATCTGGCCAGGACCTTTGAAAGAAGTGCAGAAAGGAGGCCTAGTGTGTGCTGGGCAGCCACCTCATCAATCACTGGATCCTATCCAGTGTGAGATCCCCATTCTACAGATGCCGACACCAGGGTTCAGAGTAAGGAAGGCAATCAAGCAACTTGCCCGAGGTCATACATGCAAGGAACACGGAAGCCCCACTCTAATGGAGATTTAAATTCAGGTCTAATATGAGAATCCAAGTGGCAATGTGTGATGTGTCTGGACCACGTGGTGTGAAATGCAGTCGGCTTCTCCTGGGAAGGTTACTCAGACAGAAGCTTTCTTCACAAGCATGCTCCCCACGGCCTCCTCCCTTTCACCTGCACCATGTCTGTCTCCCATTCAAGACTGGCAACCCCAGCCAGGCACAGTGGCTCATGCCTGTGATCCTATCATTTTGGGAGGCCAAGGCAGGAGGATCCCTTGAGGCCAGGAGTTTGAGAACAGGAGACAACACAACGAGGCTCTATCTGTACAAAATATAACAAAACTTAGCCAGGCAAGGCCATGTGTACCTATAGTTCCAGCTATTCAGGAGGCTGAAGTGGGAGGATTGCTTGAGACCAGGAGGAAGAGGCTGTAGTGAGCTGTGACTGTGCCACTGCACTCCAGCCTGGGAGATAGAGCAACATTGTCTCAAAAAAAAAAAAAAAAAAAAAAAAAAAAAAAAAAAAGATGTGGCAGCCCCTTGAGAAAGGAAGAGCTCCTATCTTGACGATTTCAGCCAATGCCCGTGAGTACCAGCAGGAGCCTCTATCCCTCTCTGCCCCACCCTGCATCCACGCATTCATTACATCATTCATCCCCCCTCATTTTCTCAACACCCACTTGTGCCAGGCCCTGAGGTGGCTCTAGGACCGAGAGACAGGGATCACAGAGCTCCCCAGTGGAGTGGAGGGTACAGACATGTCGACAAGAACACTGGAACCCAGTGCGGGCTGGGAGCGTGTGGTCAGACCTGCAAAGCGGGGAAGAGAAGGGGGTCGGAGAAGCTTCGCGGGGAGAATGGGGTGAGGCCTGAGGCCTGTCTCGGAAAGCAGAGGGGCAGGTGGGAGAGTGGAAAAGACATTCCTGGAGGAGGGAACCAAAGGTGCTGAATGTGCAGAGGCAGAGATCCTGTGACAGGAGAGAAAGTCCTCGAGAATGACCCCAGCATAGGATGAGAACAAAGAAGGGGATCAAAGGAAACGGGCCCTCGGTGGCCGGGTGCTAGAAGGCTCTGAGTGTCAGGAGAGGGAGCGTGACCTCCCTCATGGGGTCAGTAGGGCCACTGTATGGCTTTAAGCCAGGGAAGGACAGGAGAGGTTTCTGTAACTGTGGCTGTAATGATGGAAGCGTCTGGAGGCGGAGAGGAGGCTCCTGCGACGACCCAGGCTTCAGAGAGAGAGAGAGAGAGGAAAGAAGGAAGGGCAGATAGGAAAGCTAGGAAAGATGCACAGAGAGACCAAGGCAGAAAAGGCTGAAGGGAAGACGGCAGTGGTAGGAAGGGGGCAGAGCCGTCTCAGGATGCAGCCAGCGGGCGAGGAGGCAGAGACCCGCTTGCCCGGTGCCTGGACTCACCAGCCGGTGCAGCCAGCCGGCGCCGGCGTGCGTGTCCTTGAGGCGGAAGAGGCGGCGGTTCGCGGAGCTGCGGCCCACGTACCACAGCATCTGCAGCAGCATGAGCGCCGTCAGGAAGCACAGCAGGTCGCTCTTGCTCACGCCCGCGGCGTGCACGGCCCAGGCCAGCAGCAGCAGCAGCCCCGCCACGAACACGATCAGCCCATACTGGCTGCTCAGCATCTCGGCCAGCCTCTGTGGGACGCTGGCGCGCACACCGCCCCTCCGGGGGGCCGGGGACTCCGGGCACCTCGGGGCCGACGGCGAGGGAGGCGGGCAGGCCGCGGGCCCCGATGACCTCGCGACTGAGGCGCTCGCAGCTGCCCGGGGCCAGGCGGGCGACCCCAGGCCCTCAAGCATCTTCAAGACACCCGCGCCAAGTCTGGCCCCGGGGGTGGCTGCCGTCGGGCCCCGCCTGCGCTCCTGGCTCCTGTCCTTGCCCCGACGCCTCTGCAACCAGCACCCCCCTTTTCAACTCCCCTCCGATTCCTACCCCACGCCCCCGACAACCTGCCCCGTCTCCTGTCACTTCCCGACGCCCGCCCTCCCCTCTTCTGCCCCTTCGTCCTCAGTCAAGGTACCACCCTGTCCACTTACCCAGCGCCCCACCCCGCTGACCCGGGATTCTACGAGCTCCCTTGCCCACTGCCCCTCACTGGGCAACGCCCGGGGCAGCCATCTGTCCCCTCCGGGACCCACGCGGACCGCTCCCGGCTCCTGATCCCTGGGACACTGGCCAGCCCTGCCCCGACACTAGCGCGTCCTCCCGCACCTCCGCCCGCGCGCCCGGCCCCCGCCCACCGTCTGCAGCCCTCACTCCTGCGCCGACGCCCACCCACCCAGCCCCTGTCCCGGCGCCTCAGAAACGCTGGGTGACGAGAGATGCCTCCCAGAGTCCCGGGGTTGCGGGGCTGGGGAGAGGGGGTCTTCCAGAGCCAGCCCGAAGTGGGGTGTGCGCGGGGGGCGTGGCTGCTGCCAAGTGGGGCGCACGGGGCTCCACAGGGGCGTGCTATGCTCCGGGCCTTCCCCGAGGGTCTCCGTTGGGGAACCCAGAGGTCCAGGTGATCCTGCCTGGGTCCGTGTCCGAGCGTCCGATGGTCTGTCCTTGTCCCTGCGTATTTCTGTATTGTCTTCTCTGTGCCGGTCACTCTGTGTCTGGCCGTCTGTTTTCGGGTGTGTCTGGTTAGGGGTGGAGGAGCGCCAGTCACTGGCTCTCTGAATTGGGGGAGGGGCCGCCTTCTGTGGGTTTTTCTGTTTGTCCATCTGGTGTGCCTGTGTGTCGGCTGCGAGACGCCCAGGCGCAGAATAAGACCTGAGCCACTTTCTAAGAAAAGAGACCATCCCGCACCCTCCCCCAAAGGAGCGGCAGCCATTCTGGACGCAGAGGAGCTGGAATGAGGGAGGCCCCAGGGTCTGCCCTGGGGCAACCGGCGCCCAAGCATCTCCACCAGCCCCTTCCAAAGCCCCGGTGCCTGCCTTGCACCTGCCTGCTCCCGGAAGGAGACTGCGTCTGCCAGGGCGCCCTGCTCGGGTGCCATTAAGTGGAGGTCTGGGAAGTTTCTGCAGAAGAGCGTTCTACCGGTCGGGCGTGGCTGACAGGAGGCGGTGGACCCCAGCCCCCCAGCTGCAGGTTGGAGAGGGGAGTTGGGAGCGAGCCTGGGGCGAGCCCCCATCCCACCATGCAGCAGCCCGGGGCTGGGCCCCGGAAGACACCCTCTCCCTCTTGGTTTAAGGCTCTTGCAGTCTTGAAATTCTTAATTTTTGAACAAGAGGGCCCAGGTTTTTGTTTTGCGCTAAGCGCAGCAAATTGCAATAGCAGGTCCTGACTAGTAAAGGAGGGGTGGGGAGTCCTGGGCCGGCAAGAAGTCAACCTGGGGGACCTTGCCTTGCCGCCATCATTCTTCCAATTCATGCATTCATTCATTTGATCAACACACATGTATGTGTTGACCTATGAATCATTTGCTGGTCTCTGTTGTAGGCGCTGGGGTTTCAGCTATGAAAGGCTCTGTTCAGGTGGAGCTGATGTTCAGGTAGAGAAACAGCAATAAACAAACAGCTAATGAGCCTTGACTGGGAAGCTGGGGAGCGTGACCTGTGAGACTTAGCCCTCAACTTCTAAGAGCTTGGGGGTGGGGACAGAGTAAGCAGCACAGCACCCTTGAGCAGGGCTACCACCAGGGGCCTGGGAGGAGCCCAGGTCTGCAGGAAGGCTGCGAGGTTCAGGGAGGAGGCAACACCTGCACAGTCTTCTTTCTTTCTTTATTTTATTTTTATCTTTTAATAAGGACAGGGCCTCCCTATGTCTCCCAGGCTGGAATGAAGTGGTGTGATAATAGCTCACTACAGCCTCGAACTCTGGGGCTCAAGTGCTCCTCCCACCTCAGCCTCCCAGATAGCTGGGACTACAGGTGTGTGCTACCACGCCTGGCTCAGTTTTTTAAAATTGTTTTTTGTAGAGACAGGGGTCTCGCTGTGTTGCTCAGGTTGATCTCAAACTCCTGGGCTCAAGCCATCCTCCTACCTCAGCCTCCCAAAGCACTGGGATTACAGGCTCCAGCTACCACGTCCAGCCTCCTGCACATTCTTTAGGCTTAGGAGTGGATGGCCAGGTGGAAGGGAGCAGGGGTCTGGAAAGGCAGTCCAGAGAGAGGATCCAGCAAACCTACTGGGAATCCTCCACCTTCTCCCCTCCTCTTCCTACCAACAGCCAGAGCAACCTGGGAGGCTGAGCTGAAGATGGAAGAGCCTGTCTGCGTGTCTCCCCAGTGACTAGTGAGGTGGCTTTTCCTCCCGAAGCTGGACCTTACATCAGTGAGAAATAAACTTCCATTGTGCTAAGCCACCAAAGTCTGAAATGTTACAGCAGCTAGCAGTACCTTAACCCATTGAGTACAAAGATAAATAACACTCAGTCACTATCTGAAAATCAAGTGGAATGCCTGTCTCTGGGCTACCTGCACTTTTGTTTGTTTGTTTGTTTGTTTGTTTGTTTGTTTGTTTGTTTTTGAGATGCAGTCTCACTCTGTTACCCAGGCTGGAGTGCAGTGGCACAATCATCTCAGCTCACTGTAACCTCTGCCTCCTGAGTTCAAGCGATTCTCCTGCCTCAGCCTCCCGAGTAGCTGGGATTACAGGCGCCTGCCACCATGCCCGGCTAATTTCTGTATTTTTAGTAGAGATGTGGTTTCACCATGTTGGTTAGGCTGGTCTCAACTCCTGACCTGGTGATCCACCCCTTGGCCTCCCAAAGTGCTGGGATTACAGGCATGAGCCACCACACCTGGCCTGCATTTTTTTAAGAAGCAATGAAATGAAAGTTTCTGGAGGCTAAAGTCAGCCCCCTTTATTGTAATCTCAAGACAATGTTAAAACTCACTGAGAGCCTGTAATCCCAGCACTTTGGGAGGTCGAGGCAGATCACTTGAGGTCAGGAGTTCGAGACTAGCCTGGCCAACATGGTGAAACCCCGTCTCTACTAAAAATACAAAAAATAGCTGGTGTGGTGGTGCACACCTGTAATCCCAGCTACTTGGGAGGCTGAGGCAGGAGAATCTCTTGAACCCAGGAGGCAGAGGTTGCAGTGAGCCAAGATTGTGCCACCGGACTCCAACCTGGATGACAGAGACTCCATCTCAATAAATACATAAATAAAACTGAGAGATTTACCCACACTGTGTTCTGCCTTCCACCAGTGAGATTTTTTTCAAAAGTCTGAGCCACACGGGGCCCCCAATTTCTTACGACTGACCCCTGCTCCATGATGGGAAGATACAAGGGGTCAGAAATGGTGCTCTGGTGGTGCCCAGGCCTGCTGTTTTCACCACATTTGGTGCATGTTACCCCTGCCCACACTGTGTCCTGAGAACTGTGTGGCATGGCTCAATCAGTGTAAAAGCTGGAAACGTCCTGACCAGGCAGCTGCTTCCCAGTGATGATTCAGTACCACGCAGATGGACAGGGAGGCATGGTGCCCTCGGGCATGGGCTCCCTTCCTTTTTTTCTTTTTTTTTTTTAATATTTTAAGTTCTAGGGTACATGTGCACAACATGCAGGTTTGTTACATATGTATATATGTGCCATGGTGGTGTGCTGCACCCATTAATTCGTCATCTACATTAGGTATTTCTTTTAATGCTATCCCTCCCCCTTCCCCCCACCCCATGACAGGCCCCGGTGTGTGATGTTCCCCATCCTGTGTCCAAGTGTTCTCATTGTTCAATTCCCACCTATGAGTGAGAACATGCAGTGTTTGGTTTTCTGTCCTTGCGACAGTTTGCTCAGAATTATGGTTTCCAGTTTCATCCATGTCCCTACAAACGACATGAACTCATCCTTTTTATGGCTGCATAGTATTCCATGGTGTACATGTGCCATATTTTCTTAATCCAGTCTATCATTGATGGACATTTGGGTTGGTTCCAAGTCTTTGCTATTGTGAATAGTGCCGCCATAATCATACATGTGTATGTGTCTTTATAGTAGAATGATTTATAGTCCTTTGGGCATATACCCAGTAATGGGATCGCTGGGTCAAATGGTATTTCTAGTTCTAGATCCTTGAGGAATCACCACACGGTTTTCGACAATGGTTGAACTAGTTTACACTCCCACCAACAGTGTAAAAGCATTCCTATTTCTCCACATCCTCTCCAGCACCTGTTGTTTCCTTTTTAATGATCACATGAGCTCCCTTCTTCCAGTGAAGTTGACAGGATTTCACAAGGCCAGAGGCCCACTGGCACTCTCAACTACCAGAGATAATAGAAGGTCCCAAGGGGCAATTAGCACATTTTGCCCCCAGTCACCTTTGGTGGTAGCTATGTAATCCCAGTATTTTTAAGAACAAAAGAGTTAGACAGTGTATTCACTTCTTTTTTTTTTTTTTTTTTTTTTTTTTTTTGAGACAGAATCTTACTCTATCACCCAGGCGGGAGTACAGTGGTGTGATCTTGGCTCACTGCAACCTCTGTCTCCTGGGTTCCAGTGATTCTCCTGATTCAGTCTCCCGAGTAGCTGGGATTACAGGCACACACCACCATGCCTGGATAATTTTTTGTATTGTTAGTAGAGATGGGATTTCACCATGTTGGCCAGGTTGGTCTTGAGCTCCTGACCTCATGATCCACCCACCTCGGCCTCCCAAAGTGCTGGGATTACAGGCATGAGTCACTGTGCACAGCCAAGTGGGTGGGTCTAACAAAGTGCCACTGACGGGGTGGCTTCAAAACAATGAAAATTTATTCTCTCACAGTTTGGGAGGCCAGAAGTCCAAAATCTAGACGTCAGAAGAGCCAAGTTCCCTCTGAAGGCTCCAATGGGGGGTCATCGCCAGCCTCTTCCAGTTTCTGCTGGTTGCTGGCAACCCCTAGCATTCCTTGGCTTGTGGCTGTATCACTCCAATCTTTGCCTCTGTTGTGACTTGACCATCTTTCCTTTGTATCTGTGTCTCTTTTCCTCTTCTTATAAAGACACCAGTCATAATGGGTTAAGGGCCCAACCTACTCCAGTATGACTTCATTGTAATTTACATCTTAATTAAATCTACAAAGACTCCATTTCCAAATAGGGCCACAATCAGAGGAACCAGGGGTTAAGATTTCAACAGATCTTCTGGTGAGCAAAAATTTAATCTATAACACACAAATGATAGTCAAGATATGGAATTAACCTGTGCATCCATCAATGGATGAATGAATGGACAAAGAAAATGTGTGTATGTATACACATTGTATACATACACAACAGAATATTATTCAACCTTAAAAAGAAGGAAATGGCCGGGCACAATGGCTCACGCTTGTAAACCCAACACTTTGGGAGGCCATGGTGGGTGGACTGCTTGTGCCCAGGAGTTCAAGACCAACTGGGCAACATGGCAAAACCTCAACTCTACAAAAAAATAAAAATAAAAAGGCTGAGTGTGGTGGCTCATGCCTGTAATCCCAGCACTTTGGGAGGCTGAGGCAGTTGGATCACCTGAGGTCAGGAATTTGAGACCAGCCTGACCAACATGGAGAAACCCCTTCTCTACTAAAAATGCCTGTAATCTCAACTACTCAGGAGGCTGAGGCAGGATAATCACTTGAACCCAGGAGGCAGAGGTTGTGGGTGAGACAAGATCACACCATTGCACTCCAGCCTGGGCAACAAGAGTGAAACTCTCTCTCAAAAAAAAAAAAAAAATTAGCTAAACCCAGTGGTGTGCACCTGTAGTCCCAGCTACTTGGGAGGCTGAGGTAGGAGGATCATTTGAGCCTGGGAGGTCCAGGTTTCAGTGAGCTGAGATTGTGCCACTGCACTCCAGCCTTGGTGACAGAGCCAGACCCTGTCTCAAAAAAGAAAAAAAAGGAAATCCTGACATTTGTAACAGTATGGATATGAACCTGGAAGATACTATGTTAAGTGACATAAGCCAAGCACAGAAAGACAAATGTCACATGATCTCATTTATATGTAGATCTAAAAAAGCTGAGGTCATATAGGTAGAGAGTAGAAGAGTGGCTACCAGGGGCTGGGCAGCAGGTGGAATTTGTGGGTTGGGAGATGTTGGTCAAAGGGTACAAAATTTCATTTAAGTAAGAAGAGTAAGTTCAAGAGATCTATTGTACAGCTTAGTAATTATAGTTAATAACAATTTATAGCATTTTAAAAATTGTGAAGAGTAGATTTTAAGAAATCTCACCACAAAAAATAAGTATGCAAAGTAATGCATATATTAATGAACTCCATCTAGCCATTCCACATGTACCCTTGGACTTCAAAACTTGGAAAAAATGAATTGAAAATATAAACTTTATGTCTCAACATAAGCTCCATCAAGTTCAAGACACTTGTATAAGTCATGCTACAGCCATTTAGCCCATCCTTAAGGAACTGAAGGTCCTGAGAATTTAACCATATCAATGCAGTCTTTTACACATTAACTGAAAAGGGTATCCTTTACAGATTAAGATTACGAAACAAAAAGAAGTTAGGAGGAGCCAAATCAGGACTGTAATGATTTCCCATCAAAATTCTCCCAAAATTGCCCTTGATGACAGGAATAACCAGAAGCATTGTCATGGTGGAGGAGGACTCTGCTGAAATTTTCCCAAGAATTTTCTGCTAAAGCTTTGGGTAACTTTCTCAAAACCCTCTCATAATAAGCAGATGTTACCATTCTTTGGTCCTCCTGAAAGTCAACAAGGAAAGTGCCTTGAGCCCCAAAATACTGTTGCTATGAGTTGTGCTCTTGACTGGTCTGCTTTTGCTTTGACTGACCCACTTCCACTTCTTGGTAGCCATTGCTTTGATTGTGCTTTGTCTTCAGGATAGTACTACGAAATCCATGTTTCATAACTTGTTGCAACTTTTCGAACAAATGCTTCAGGATCTTGATCCCACTGTTTAAATTTCCATTGAAAGCTCTGCTGTTGTTTGCAACTGATCTGGGCACAACAGTTTTGGCACCCATCAAGTGCAAAGTTGGCTTTCAGTCAGAATTGTGTAACCTGAACCAATTTGACGTCTATGACACTGTCTATTGTTTCTGCTATTGTTAACTGCTATTAATCATCAGTCCTCTTTGATTAGGGCATAAACAAGATGAATTTTTTCCTCAAAGATTCGTGTGTAGGGTCTCTTACTGAGGGCTTCCTCTTCAACATCATCTCATACCTTCTTAAAACAAGTTATTCATTTGTAAGCTGTTGATTTCTTTGGGGCATTGTTCCCATAAACTTTTCATGAAGCATTAGTGATTTTACCATTTTTCACCCAAGCTTCATAATAAATTGATGTTTGTTCTTGCTTCGATTTTAGCAGAATTAATGTTGCACTGATGTGGTCTCTTTTCAAACTGATGTCTTATCCTTCTTAGTGTCTCAAACTAGATCCTGTTCAGACATGTTATGACAAGTTAAAGACTCTGTCTCAAAAAGTCTTTTTTTAAGTAATAGGACAATCTTCATACCATCCTAATTGGCCAGTTATTAGCTCTTGGGAAACTGGGTTTTAACTAATTGTTTTAAACACATGCCAGCCTTAGATTTCTATCCATGTTGTAAACATACTCTTCAAGAAAAAAAAAAAGATATAAAATGTGTGAAGGCTGACACTGGGGCACTCTCCACCCAAGCTCCCTCCAGGGAGTGTGATCCAAATGCCCTCCCTTCCCGGGCTGCTGCCTCGGTTGTGCCGGACCCTCACATCACTGCCTGATTCATCACTGCCTGATTCGGCTGCCTGATTGTGGCCTTTGCCTGGCCTTGCTCCCTATTTTAAATGACACTCTCGCCACACCTTCACATACCCATGACAACAAACTGGGTTTACTTCTGTCTACTCATCATGCCTGACTTTCCCCTTTGCAAACATCATGACGGGATGTGATATTCCTGATCCTAGATTCTGCTTTCCCTTTCTTTCCCTCTCCATTACCATTTATTGAGTGGACACCTACTGTGTCAGGCACTGTAATTGGTGTTTTACAAACATTATTACTATTACCCACAACCCTACAAGACAGATATTGTTCCCACTTCACAGCTGAAAAAAGATTACAGGCTGACTACCCCTTCTCTGAAATGCTTGGGACCAGAAGTGTTTTGGATTTTGGAATACTTGCATTGTATTCCAAAACCCGAAATGCTCCAATGAGCATTTCCTTTGAGTGCCATATCAGCAATCAAAAAGTTTCAGATTTTGAAATTAGGGATACTAAACCTGTACTACTGAAGGTCTTGCAGCTAGTAAATGGCAGGGTATGATCTGAACCAGACACAAGTGGTGATTAAGTCAAATCATTACTAGAAGTCACCTTACAGAGAAAACAATCAACATGAGGTACATTCTGTCACAATGCTTATGCTGTTTAGATTTAATGTAGATATATTTGCATTTGAAAGTGCAAATACTGTCTTTATAAAGTCTTTGAAGAACAGAGTTAGCCCTTGTTATTTCTATGGTTAATTCAAAGTGCTAATAGCTAAAAACCAGAAGTCATTCCAAAGTTTGCATGAACAAAACTCACAAGAAAGTTATAAAAATATTTTATTTAAATGGTACAGAAAAAAATATGTATACTTAAAAATGATTAAAACTTCACATTAGGAAATGCTAAAAACCCAGTAATTTACACAATGATAAAATCTAAAGTGATGGGAAAACATAAAATATTTTCATTTGGTCCTGTCACCTAACAAAACGATCATAAATATGAGATTATAGTAATTACTAAAGCTGGTTAAAGGCACATGACAACGTAATTCCTTTATACATATCCAGTCATTTTATACAAGGAACTGCTATCCCTTAAATGGAAGAGTGAACTATTTGTTTAAAATATTAAGAGTGCATCATGTACCTATAATGAAACCACTTTCTCCAAAGACTCAAACAGATTAACATTGCAAAATAGTATTTCTGTATCACTGACTTCTGAAAATTTTAATAATTTAAGAATATGCAAGTGAAATATAATTTATTCTGGTTTCAAAAATAGTTATACAAAGTCACAATTTTCCCCAGGAAACCATTCACTTCATAGCTGCAAAAACACACTGTAGCTTTTCTGTTAGGGTCTGTCATGCTTTCAGCTAGCTGGATGTTTAACCATTCACTTCAAATTTACGTGTCCAGCCATGCACGGTGGCGTGGGCCTGTAGTCCCAACTACTTTGAAGGCTGAGGCAGGAGGATCACTTGATCCCAGGAGTTCAAAGCCAGCCTGGGCAACATAGAAGACCCTATCTCTTAAAAAAAAAAAGTATATATCCTTAAATCTGAAAGAAAACCAGCATTTATGTAACAAGTAAAACATTCTATCTTAAGCTATTGCATTTAACACTAAAAAGCATAGTTCACTCTGTGATCTACAACGTTGTCTGAGTCTCCATTACAATTGTAAATTCATGTCAGGGTAAGAGCTCCCAAACATCTGTAAAAACTCAAAATTCAAGAGTCAAAGAAGGGGCTGAGCACATGAGAAGGGGAGAGATGGGTGACAGGGTCAGGTGAGGAAGTGTTCTGAGATGTGTAGGATTCCTCCGGGCCCAAAGCAGCTTGTGGCACCACATGCATACAGGAACGAAGGGCCTCCTGTGAGGGCTCCCAGTGGTTCCAAGACACAGCAAGGTGCCTGAAAGAGGCTGGAGACATTGGCGTGGGCATGGAGGTGCTAGCAACTATTTTCAGACTGCTAACAATGAGACTGTGTCCATTTCTTCTTTGTACAGTTACCATTGACCTTCCTTTAAAATCCCACAGGGAGAACATGCTGTTTTTAGCAGAAATGTCAGTTTTCATTAACTCCTTGAAAATTTAGCGTATTAACTTTCATTTCCATGAGCTTCAATTTCCACACCTGTCAACTGCTGTATAAAGCAGGTTTCCTGCAAGTTCTGATGTAAGTGACCTGACAGGAGGCACTATCTTTGTCCTTCTCAACATGCCTCTAAGCATCTGGAGTGAGTATTCTCAATATGCACTTATTTAATAACAGAGTTATCCGACACTCAGAAAACAGCCTCCACTGTGTAAGGCAGCAGATCTCAGGATGGGGTGATCTGTAGGGAGGCAGAAATTCTATAAATAACACCAAACAAAAGCTGATTGTGTCATCCAACACATTTTTATGAGGAAGTCAGAATAATTAGAAGATGGTAGAATTTTTTTTCCCAGTTGGGTAAAATTGTCCATTCTTCCTGTATTCCCATTTCTTAAGAATGATCTAGCCAACAGTCATTGAATATAAGCTGACACAAATTAATATAATTTCAACATAAAATGGTCTAATGTGTGAATTTAACTATATTGGAAGGTACAAATCCTGTCTTTATGAGGTCTTTGAAAGGCAGGGTACCTTCTCTAAAAAGTAGTCACTTAGAACCAACTTTTACAAAAGAAAGAGTCTCAGCCCCCAACCCCTGCCAGCCTGGGCAAAATAAGGAGACTCTGTTTCTACAAAAAAAATTTTAAAAATTAGCCAAGCGTGGTAGCACATGTTTGTAATACCAGCTCCTTGGGAAGCTAAGGTGGGAGGATCGCTTGAGCCCCCAGGTGGTCAAGGCTGCAGTGAGCGGTGATCATGCCACTGTACTCCAGCCTGGACAACAGAGTGAGACACTGTCTCAAAAAAAAGGAGTCTATCTCAGAGTTCAACGAATGGATAATTCTAGTGTGGACAACTCTGGTGTAAACATGACTGAAAATAATTCACAAATAGTCTGTTACAGCTCCATCCACTGAAAATTGTCATAAAAGACATTTTTCAAATGAGTTCATTTTTAGAAAAACCATTCCAGATATCTTACCTTCGGAAATCATCCAAGGAGTGTGATAAACATTACAACCCCCATAAACTGGGTAAACAACAACAATGGAGTGAAAAACGACCACACATGCCATAAAGCAATGTTGAAGCTGAAAAGAACAAGACATAAACAGTTGACAACTCAAATATGCATCAATATATTTTATTCTAGAATCCAGATTTAAAGTATTCAATGTAGAAAAGTTCATCCAGTCAGCAACCTTCTCCATGTATCATATTTCTCAGCTATGTGACTTAGCCAATGCTGGAAAGAAAACTCTAGATATACTTACACAAGTATCACAATTTCTTCAAGAAGGCCCTGGAACTGGAACCACTAAAGGTCTCCTAATAGGAGTTGACATGGCTTAATAGAAACTGCAGTCTCTTAGTTTCTGCACTTGAACAAGAATTTAAATGGCTACAGCCCATTTTTATGACATCACACACTAAACTATCATGGTAAAAAAGACCAAAGTATTTTCTCTTAAAAACAGAATGAAAACAGTTATCACTTATAAGCTGCTATTCTATATTTCATTGAGAAGAACACTATTCCTGTCATCAAAGTAAAATTAAAACACTTTCTAAGTGTAAAGATTGTTAGTGACTGAAATTTCTAAGAACAGAATAGGAAAAACTATATTCAAATAAGTTCAGATGGTTATTGGTTTTAACATATAATATTTTGATAAGTATGAGTATTAAATAACTATAATCACACTGTCTAAAAAATTAATATTTCTGGAGATGATCTTAGCCTTATGGGAAAAAGTAAAAAAACATATCTGTATGCCCCCACATACAGGTTAACAATAACCACATCACACTGTCAAACACCCTTGAACTTCAACTACAGAAAATAAGTCATAGAAAGAATATGTATAAAGGTATATGGTTCTTCCAAAATAAAAATTCAATTAGGCCGGGGGTGGTGGTGCATGCCTGTAATCCAGCACTTTGGGAGGCCAACACAAGCAGATGGCTTGAGGCCAGGAGTTTGAGACCTGCCTGAGCAGCATGGCGAAACCCCATCTATACAAAAAATATTAAAAATAGCCAGATGTGGTGGCACATGCCTGTGGTCCCAACTACTCGGGAGGCTGAGTGAGGTAGGAGGATCACTTAAGCCTGGGAAGTCGAGGCTTCAGTGAGCTGTGATCATGCCACTGCACTCTGGCCTGGGTGACACAGTGAGACCCTGTCTCCAAAAAAAAAAAAAAAAAAAAAAAAAAAATCCAATTGATATAAAGAAAGAAAAAACTAGAGAGCTACGCACAACATAGGAAAAGTAGTTTTCTTTCTGGTTGTATCAGAGGATATATTTCCTTTGTGTTTTTCTGTAATTTACAGATTTTTTTTCCTCAGTGAGCAAGTATTACTTTTATAAACTGAAAAAAAACCTGTATTTTTCATCGAGTATTTAATTAACTTATGAAGAAGGTTATTCATTGTGGCATTGTTTGAGTATAAATATAACGAAGTCCAACAACAGAAGACAGGTTAAATAAATCATGTTATGTCCATGCTGTGAAAACTATGCAACTGTTTAAAAAAATGAGACACATCTATATGTACCATTATGGAAGAATCCCAAACTATAAGGATCCACTGAAAAACAAAAGGAAAAAAAGATGAACAACCACTTTGGAAAGCAGTTTGGCATGATTTACTGAAGTCAAAGGTATGTACATCCAACAATTTTACCCCTTGGGGTGTATATATATATATACACACACACACACACACACACACACATATACGTACATCTCTACACCCAACAGAAATGTGTTCACTGTGCTACAAGAGCCATGTACAAGAATGCTCTTTATAGCATCCTTCATAGTAACCCCAAACTGAAAAAAATCTAAACACAACCAACAGTGGAAAAGAAAACTGGGATTCAATTAAACAATGGAATGCTAAAGAGCAATGAAGATGAGTCACTGTTCCCGGCTACAATATGAAACAACTGCACACAATGCTGCACACAGCCAGCTCAATGTGAAGGAATACACCCTGTATGAATCCATTTCTATAAAGTTCAAAAGCACAGCTGAAACAAAAATAGAATATCTAATGGAAGCAAAGCAAGTAGTTACCATGAAGGTCAGGGCAGTATTTACCGGTGGCAGGAGGGATGGTGCAGTAACTGGGAGGGAGAATGAAGGGGGTTCCCAATGTACTGGCTCAGTTTACACCAATGCTCACTTCATGAAAATTCATTCATTTCAGTTTTTTCCACTTTTCTATATGTATTGTACGTCATAATAAAATAGACTTAAAAAGCAAAATGCAGAATATGTACAGAATGTCACCATCTGTGCTTTAAATAACTAGATCCATAAATAGAAGGAGAAAGAGATACTAATGAAAAGGGAACCAGAGAGCATGAATGACCAGGAGACTATTTTTCTGTTTTAACTTTTTTACTTTCGAAGTTTGGACCAAGTATATCACTATCTGATCAGGAGGTGGGGGGCGTTGTCAGCCCAAGCAGCTGCCACCGTGAGCAGTGGACACAGGACCAGCTTCTGGGGATGATCCTGTCCTCTCCTAGCACAGCCCCGTGCATGGACAGGGCATCCATGCCATCCGTGTCACCCAGGGCAGGTCACTAAGCCTCCCGCAGCCCATTTCCCCGAGTCGCCCAGGCGCGGTGGAGCACATGCAGCACAGTTGTTTTAGGAATTGGATGACTCACTGAGCTCCTGACAAGTAGTAGGCTCGGCACGTGGCTGTGGCACTTTTTTCTAACTGCCTGGGTTCCATCTCAACTCCCAGAGAGTGAACATCCCGCCTCTCATCTCAGGACTGGTGCTCTCTGAAGCATTAAGTAGGAAATTGAGAGTAGTAGCAAGTGAGACTTAGGGGGCAGGTAGGCAGAAATCAGTGATGGCATAGCCGCGCCACCATGACCATCCTGGCCATTGTCTCCTGTGTCTCCTGCTCCTCGAGGTCTTCAAAGTCTCATGCTGCCTTCTCCAGCAGCTGCTCTCTGTGATGGGAGGGTGGGCACAGGGTGGGTTTGTGGGTGATTCTGCTGAAGCCAGGGAGATGACGTCTGTCCAAGGACCCTCAGCCTGGAGCCCAGGCTCCAGGAAGCTCTGTGGGGGACAGCTGACGTCACTGGGCATCTCCTTTCTGTCTGCTCTGCTCACAGAAACCTGCAGGACACTGCCCATAAGGTGAAGTGAGCAAAGAGGCCAGGCCAGTCCTTCCCAGCCCCATGGAAGCCAGTTCAGCAGGACCCTACATGGATGGGCTTCTGCAACTGTGAGCAAAGGGGGCCCATCAGGCTGTGCCCAGCCCCTAGGACACACAAGGGAAGGGCTTCTTCCCAATACCTGCCACCTGCTGCCTCTGCACAGCCGTGGTGTGCACACTGCTGCAGGGAGCAGGCACCCTCATCCCTGTGGCCCATCTCCCCCTTCTTGTCCTCATTCTGAGGCCATACAAAACTGGCCTGCAGCATCCTCACCCTCAACCTTGCCCTGCTGGGAAAACTTAGGCCCTCAACTAAACTCGGGCCCCTGGACGCACTCGCTCGGCCGCAGTTCTCAATCTTCCCTCTGCCTGGAAGGCCCTGTCGTGTGTTTCACACTTGCTAAGCAGAGTCCCCTCTGAACTCAGCCCCCTGGATCCAGCCCAGCCCTCCTGGATCCACTTGCCAGAGCAGCCCCGGACCCCGCCAGCCCCTCCCACTGACTCCAGTGCAGGTCAGTGAAGGTGACTATGACAGCTCTGGTAATCCTGGAAGAACCCCCAGGATTGAACACAGCTCTTGGGCTCTGATTACAGCCAATTACCATAATGGAGAGAATATCTGGATTCTCCCCTAATTTCCTCTCCTCTTAAAATTTTCAATTAAGAGCCTAATCTTGATGGAAAATGGCTGCTTTCTGGAGTATCCTCCGCAGTGCTGATTCCTCATTGCTAAGTGCTTTTTCTAGACAGATAGAGGCTCTCGATGATTCCAGATAAAATCAGAGCAAAGGAGCTTACCCAAAGAAAGGAGGAGAGCAGAGCAGCAATAGGCTATGCCCCGGAGCCCTCCCCACTGCTGGAGACACCAGGTGGGTGAGGGGTCTCTTGGGCCCTTCCAGCCTGCAGAGCTGCTGAGAGTCAGGCCTGGCTGCCAACAAAGCAGCTGAAGTCTTGAGAAAACTTCCTGATTGCATTAGCGAGGTTGCAACACCAGGACATAATCAAATCTCCCTGGAGGACGTGGCTTCAGGAAGGGCTGCTACAAGCCAGTGGCAGAACAAGGGCAACCAGGGTCAGACACGGTGGAAGGAGGGAAGTCCCAGAGCCGAGCATGGGTGGACATCAGAGGGGTGTGGGCTGCACCATCTGGGTGCAGGGGCCAGCAGGCAGTGCGGGTCCACCCAGCCCAGGGCCAGCCTTTCCCAGCAGTCGCGTGCAGAAACCTGGCACACGTCATGGGGCAGCGGTCCCATATCATAGGCCCTCCTGGTGTTAGCAGTCAGGAGGGTGCCTAGAAAAGCCTCCCACAGCCACAGGGACAGCAGGATCTGAGCCCACCCTCCACACCAGAAGCCTGCCCAGCACCGTAGGCAGGGCCCGGGTGCCCTGCTCAGGAATGAGCTCTGCTTCCAGCTTGGCCATCCTAGTTCCACCCTGTCTGTAACTTAGCCGACCAGGAAGATGGCTGTGATGACCACAGAAAATCCTGACACAGAGCTGGCATGAAGGAGCTGTGCCTGTGGGAGCTTCAGAGTCCTCAGGCCAGGCTGGCCCTGGCTCTGCCACCTCTTGGCTGGAATGCCTTCAGGCACCTACTGAGCCTCTCAGGGGCTCAGCATCCTCATCTGTGGGACACGGATAATAATAGGGTTGTTTTGAGAGTAAAAGCACAAAACACAGAGCCTGGCTGGAGAAAGCACAGGTAGCTGAAGTCAGCCAAGGCTGAGTTAAGTGTTCTTCTTAGAAAAGCGGACAGGCCATTCCCTGAAGGCATCAGTGCGGGCAGGAGGGAACCTGCACTTTGCAGTTCCAACACCTCAGGACACAATTCCTGCTAACCTGACCCACAAAAGACCAAAGGACACACCCAAGATCCTGGACCAACGTCCCACAAGGATGCCTCCTGGTTTCTTCTCTAAGAATACGTCTTAAAATGTTCCCCAGGAAGCTAACTCTATATTCCTAATGTATGGACCATGGAAAGAAAACAAGTGTCTCAGTAGGTTTGTTCAACAAATGTGCAAATGCAGAGATGAACAAAGATGCCCAAAGTCAAGGAGCAGCTCAGTCGCCTCCGACATGCTCGGGGGCCACAACCACTTCCAACCTCTGCCCTGTTCACACTTTCCTCCACCCAGATTCCCCTCTTGCCCTGGCACTCCAGGAATTGTTTGATGTCCTGGAAGCTCCCTTTCTCTGTTCCACAGCCCCTGAGGCTGGTACCTCCCTGCATGCGTGTCCACCTCACCCACTGAGTTCCAGGAGCAGGCGTCTATCCTGCTCGCCCTGACTCAGCAGGGAGGGCTGAGCTCTGGAGCCTGAGTGCACCCAGACCTGCCCCATGGCCTCCTGTGCCTCTGTGTCCTCCTCACCCTCGACTCACCAAGGAGCCCTGAGGACGTGAGAACTGGAACATGCCCAAGACCCACATCGGGGCCTGGCACACACCAAGCGCCTAGTGAACGCTTGATGATTGAGGACAGCATCGCTTCTTCTAAGAGGGAAAAAAAGGAAAGTCAACCAGAGACAATTTGTAAAAGATGGCTTTTGACTGAGGCCTTGAAGGATGGGCAAGGATGGGCAAGGGGAGGGGGGACTCAAAGTGCAGGATGAGAAGGCTCTAGGTGCCTGAGTGCCTGTGCATGTGAGCATGCATGTGCATGTGTGTGCATGTGTGTGTGCATGAGACTTGCAGCCTTGCATGTGTGCGTGCATATGCATATGTGTGTTCATATGCGCATGCATGTGTGTGTGCCCTAGTCCAGACAGGGTTCTGAGTGCACTGTGGGGGACAGATGATTTCACACTCCGCCCTGAGTCTGAAATCAGTGGGACAGATGACCTTGAAGAAGGCCTTATGGCTCACTTAGTGTGAGCCAGACTCCATAGAGACAGTGACGGCAGGACACATGCATGGGGGTCCACCTTCCCAGAGCTGGAGCCCACATAGCTCCAGGACCTCAAGGGAAGCCCAGGGTCTGAGGGGCCCAGGAGGCCCATCCATGTGATGGACCCAAGGAGACTTTGGTGGCTTCTCTGTTAAGATTTGAAGGGGGCCAGGTGTGGTGGCTCACGCCTGTAATCCTAGCACTTTGGGAGGCTGCAGCAGGGGGATCACGAGGTCAGGAGTTCAAGACCAGCCTGGCCAACATAGTGAAACCTCATCTCTACTAAAAATACAAAAATAAAAATAAAAAATTAGCCGGGTGTGGTGGTGGGTGCCTGTAGTCCCAGCAGTTTGGGAGGCTGAGGCAGGAGAATCGCTTGAACCCAGGAGGCAGAGATTGCAGTGAGCTGAGATTGTACCACTGCACTGCAGCCTGGGAGACAGAGCAGGACTCTGTCTCAAAAAAAAAAAAAAAAAAAGATTTGAAGGGAGCCCAGGGGGCAGGACTGGGTGGGCACAGGATGGAGACAGTGACACCCTTGGTCTTGGGTGGCCCCTGCCAGCCCCAGCATATCCTCAGCAGATAGGGTGACAACAGCGCCTCTACCTCTAGTGGGAGGCGCAAGAGAAATTCACACGATGCACTTGCCTGGGCTTGGTGAGTGGAAAGCTCCCCACTGACTCGAGGGCTGGTGGTGAGGATGGAGAGGGAGGTGGAGATGGAGGCGACAGCATGGGCAGAGCAAGAGCACAGCCGTGGAAGGGAGGTCCTCCCAGCTAGCCTTTGGGAGGCCCATGGCCAGTCTCGGGGCAGGAGGAAAGAATGTGAACCAAAAGCGGAACGTCCAGCCAGGGGAGGCCCCAGCAATGACTGTATCAGGGCTGAGTGTGATCACAGGAAAAGTCACCTAAGGACTGAAATCCAGTGGAGTCAAGACTACGTGGAAGCCTATCTCTCCATGATGGCAACTTTGGAAGAACGTGTGACCTTGTGGAAGTGCACAGAAGGCACTGCTGGCCTGAATGGGTCCTCGGGCTGCGGTCTCGGGGCCGGCTTCTCTCCCTTCCCCAGACCTGCTGTGGCTCCATCCCCTCTCTCCTGCATCCTGGGATTGCCTCCAATTAACTACCTGCTTACAAGCCTTTTCTTTATTTTCTTTTTGCCTTCTTTTCTTTACATGTAAAACATGAGTCCATCTGGAGCTTATTTTAAAGCACAGTATGAGGACTGACATTGACCTGTTTTTTTAAATGAAATAACTAGTTGTCCCAACCCTGCTTGTTGGATAACACTGCTCTGTTTCAGGAGTACCCCCACTGTCATACACCCGTGGGTCCATACCCCTGGGCTCTCCATCTGGGCACTCCCCTGCCTGTGGCACCTCCTTCCTGAGGGCCGGCCTCACCCAGGGCCCAGCTGCCCTCTCCATGGCCTTTGTCTTCCTTTCCTGATGCCTCAGATTTCCCCCATTCTCTGGCACTCTTTCCATCCTCCTGGCCTCACTCTGCACCTCCCCTGAGGTGCAGGACTGCCCTGCCCCAGCCCCCAGCTTCCTCACTCCCAAAGCCTTGTGCCACTGAAGCACGAGCTCCAGAGTGCACCTGGATGGCAGCTTCTCTCCTGGCCAACAAACGCCTGGTGCTGGCTGCCCTCCCAGCATCTCCCCTCAACTCCTCAGCTCCACCCCAGGGCCTTAACACACACATGCATAGCACACACACATACAAACATATGCACACACAGACATGCACACAAATGTACATACGGACTTACACAGACACACACAAATGTGCACACATTCGTGCATACACAGATGTGTTCATGCAAACACACACGTGCACGCTCACGGGCACGTACACATGTGTAGGTTATGCTAAGAAATCCATTTTGTGTAGAAGACACTCAGGCTCAAATATGTGTCCAAAGTCACACAGCTATGGAGCGGCAGAACTCAGGTCTCTAGCGCACACAGCCCCGACTTACCGCAGTTCCACTTAACAGTTTTCAACTTTATAGTGATGCAAAAGCCATCCACAGTCAGCAGAAACCCTCGTGTGAGTCCCACACGGCCAGTTTTTCACTTTCAGTACAGCAGTCAATGATTACATGAGGTATCCGACACTTGACTACAAAACAGGCTTCGTGTTGATGCTTCTGCCCACCGCAGGCTCAGGGCAGTGTTCTCAGCAGGCCAAGGTGGGCCCCCCCACGCTGTGCTATTCGGTAGTCAGGTGGACTCAGTCATTTTCCACTCGCAGCGGCCTTATTGGGCCGCAGCCAGGGGTAAGTTGAGCAGTGTCTGTACTTTTAGCTCCACCCTGGGTATTTTTAAGTGGCAGATTTACAACAAAAAATAAAAATAAAAATGAAAAAATACAGCGTTCCAAATAGTAGGGGCATAAAAGGAGAGAATGCACGTTGTGGACAGCCCATGCCTGGGAGCATAAGCACTTCAGGGGCATCACCAGGCGTGACTGGCTATTGTTCCTGCTCTTCCTGGCAGCAGCGGCCTGGGCCTGAGAGGGATCGCCCTGGCCACAGCTGTAGGCAAGGCTGCTGGGAGCCGCCACGCTCCGCGATAGCGAGTCTGCGGCGCCACCTCGTGGGTGCTGCGTGGAACTCCCCGTGGTGCGGGCGGGGAAGGCCGGGTCCCCACAAAGCCGGAGCCCGAGCACAGCGGTGGGAGCTCGCCCCAGGGCATCCCATAGCACCCGGAGACGGGGGCTGGTCCCCCAAAACCCTCAGGGGTGAGAGGAAGGAGGTCCCCAGCCTGCTGAGAGCTGTCCTCTGAGCACGCACTCGCGCACACTCACACGTGCATGTGTGCATCCTCGGGCACCCTGATGCGTTCACATGCACGTACACGCGTGTGCACACGCACAGTCTTTCACAAGCGTATGACGCGTTCACACAAGAGTGTGACGCGTTCACACGCACGCACACTCCCTCTCCCTCGAGCCTGGAAGGCGCACTGGGCTCATAGGGGTGGAAACCTCTACCGCGGCAGAGGCATGGCGCCAGGGCCAGGATGCTCGCTTTTATTTCAGATGTGAAAACTGAGGCCCGAAAGAGACAGCCAGTGTCCAACCCTGTCCAACGTCTCTGCTGATTGTGCCTCCTGTGTGCGGCCGGGGCCGGTGTGAGGGCTGCGGGCCCACCGCACGCCTGGCCCGCCCCAGGGCCTCGAGCCACTTCCTCAGGAGCTGCTGGCAGCTGCAGCGACAGCGCGCCCAGAGCCCGAGGGTCCCATGGAGCCAGGCTTCCCAGCACACAGGCGCGGTGGAGCCTCGGGGTGGGCATACACCCCGCGAGCTCGCGGGGGCTGGGCACTGCGGGTCCTCGGGTGGGGACTCTGGAGTTCAGTCTTGAAGGACACAGTCACTGAGGGTCAGGGAACCAGGAGGGTAGGGAGAGTAGGGAGGGGTGCCTAGGCCTAGTGGGAGAAGCATGTGAAAGTTCCCTAAGAGGGCTGGGGGTGAACAAGCGCTCGGCCCGGCCTCTCCCGGTAGACTGCTCTGGTGCCCTGAAGCCTCCCTTCTCCAAGGCCCCATGGACGCCCCCAGAGGGGTGACGCCCTCGCCCACGCTGAGCTCTGAGTGCTGCACGAGAACTCCCAGAGCCGTGTGCACACGCGCTCCCCGTGTTATAACTGGCATTAAGTGCACTCACATTGTCGCATATCCCCTACCACCGTCCATCTCCAGAACGTCTTCATCTTCCCAAAAGGAAACCAGACCCATTGAACACCAACTCCCTCCTTTTGTTAACCATTGCTCTTTCTGTATTTGAATTTGCCCATTCTGGGCCCCTCATGTAAGTGAAATCGCAATGTATTTGTCCTTTTGTGGCTGGCTTATTCCATCTAGCACAATGTCCTCAAGGTTCATGTGTGTTGGCACACCTCTCAGAATTTCCCTCCTGGCTGGGTGATATTATAGGCTCACGCCTATTATCCTAGCTGTTAGGGAGGCAGAGGTAGGAAGATAGCTTGAACCCAGGAGTTCGAGACCTGCCTGGGCAATATAGCGAGACTGCATTTTCCACAAAAAGAAAGAAAAAAAAGAATCTCCTTCCTGGTAAAGGTTCAGTAACAGTCTACTGTATGCATAACCACATTTCGCTTGCCCATCCACTCACCCATAGACCCTCAGAATGCTTCTACCTTTTGACTCTTGTGAATCACGCTGCTTTGAACATGGGTGTGCAAATATCTGTGAGAGTGCCTGCTCTCAAAAAAATCCACATTCTTGGCACCATGAAGAATCACCTCTCACAGACACCAGCGAAAACCAAGTCTGTCTGAGAGCAGAGGGTGAGGAGGGGAAAGCCGGGCTGCGGATCACAGTGGGCGGAGGAAAGCCCACCCTTGTGTTCCCATGTGTGGGAGGAGAGAGGAGAGATGCCCTCTAGTGAAGGAACTCTTGTAGCAGCCAGCTCCATTCCTGCTTGGCCTGCGGAGGGCCAGCTCAGGAGCCCAGACCAGGAAGAAGTCAAATGACCGACAAGATCCATCAGGAAGCAGAAGTGTGCTGTGTCTCATCGGCAACAACAAACAGAGCTAGGACCAGCCACCCACCCCCCAACCCAGGGGAAATGCATCCACCACACAACTACCACTGCTGCGCTCATGACACTCTCAGAGACAGGCACGGGAGCTCCTGGCAAGGCACAACCAGGGCAAGTGACAGTTTGCCAGTCCTGGGCAAGCAGACACTTATCCTCTCTCCAGTCCCCAATCCCACCAGCCTGCACAAGCAGAGAAACATCCTGCATAAATTAAAAGATCATCTGGATCATCAAAAGATCTGAGCAAACAAAACGACTGAGACAAAAAACAAACAAAACAAAACAAACAAAAAACAGAACAACAACAACAGAAGAACACTCATTTTTACAGAGAGATTTGAGCCCATCCCAACAGAGTACAATGCTCTTTCCAAGCTCATGGATGGCGTTTGGGAAAATTTAGCTGTGCTAAAGGAGCAGGAAGCCTCAGCCCCTTTCCCAAGAATTGCTGTTACACAAATCACATTCTCTCACCAGGGTGCAACAAAATTAGAAACATGGAATAACAAAGGCCATGTTAAAAGTGCATTTTGGGGCCGGGCATGGTGGCTCATGCCTGTAATCGCAGCACTTTGAGAGGCTGAAGCGGGTGGATCACCCCAGGTCAGGAGATCGAGACCACCCTGGGCAACATGACGAAACCCTGTCTCTACTAAAAATACAAAAAATTAGCCAGGCATAGTGGCAAAAGCCTGTAAACCCGGCTACTAGGGAGGCTGAGGCAACAAAATCACCTAAACTTAGGAGGCAGAGGTTGCAGTGAGATGAGATTGTGCTACTGCACTCCAGCCTGAGCGACAGAGTGAAACTCTGTCTCAAAAAAGAAGAAAAAGTGTGTTTTGGAAACAAAGTTAGTTTTCACAATGAAAATTATAAAATGCCTGGAACTCAATAGCAATAGGGTATTACATATTAAAATTATGAAACTCAACAAAATTGACATTTAGGGAGAAATTTATATCCTCAGATTAATTTGTCAGAAACAGGATAAAAGGAGAAAGCTGATGATAATTTGAGTAAAAGAGAAAATAAAAACTAAAATGAAAAACTTTTCAGAAACAAACTACAATAAGTGTGTGACCTATCAAAATCTCTGGATGTGTCCAAAGCAGTTCTCAGGGGAAACGTTATAGCTGGAAGTGTTTGTTAATATGCTTCAACAGAAGACATATAAAATTATATAAACTAAGTAAACATACAAGAAGCTTTTTTAAGGGAAACAAGAAATAAATGTATTTAATTTTAAAACAGCCATAATAAAAGTAGACTTGATAAATAAAACCCAAAACCACTTCTTTGAAAAGACCATTAAAAAAACCTCTGAGAAGTCAAGCAAAAGAGAAAGAAAAGGCACAAATTTTAAAATGTTAGATTTAGAAAAATGGCATAATAACCAACGTGGAGAAGCTGCTTCAAATCAAGGAGACGGGAGGCCAGCTTCATTCCATGGGAGGCCAGCTTCATTCCAGTAGGTTCTGTTTCACCTGGATGAAATGGAAGATTTTCTTGGAATGTATAAATTGGCTTAGCAGGAGGCAGAAAACCTGAATAAACAGAACAAACAGAAATGGTAAGCAGGTGCTCGAGGGGCTCCATCAGCCTCCAGGGATGGGCTGCTGTGTTAGGGAGGGCCAGAGCACAGGGGAAGTGGAGTGTAATTCTTTCTACAAGATTAGCAAGCTGAACTTGAATCTCACACACGCACACACACCACAGTGACATGGAAAGAATCCACAGGACACTTATGAGAGGTAAAAATAGAAAGTTTCTGCACAAAACAATCGTGTGTGTTTAAAAGATACCATGTGGCAGAAAATAGTGATCTATGTTTGCCAGTGTCTAGGAAGAAACCTTGAAGGCGCACGCCAGACTGGCGGCTGGGTTGGCTAGGGAGGAGACGATGGGGTGGGAGCAGCTAAGGACGACACACACTCTTTTAACTCTGTTCCTGTGTTGTCGGGACGTTTACAAACTGAAGATATATATTTTTAATTAATTATTTTTTTTTTAATTTTACTTTAAGTTCTGGGATACATGTTCAGAACATGTAGGTTTATTACATAGGTATACATGTGCCATGGTGGTTTGCTGCACCTATCAATTTGTCATCTAGGTTTTAAGCCCTGCATGCATTAGGTATTTGTCATAATGCTCTCCTTTCCCTTGCCTCCAACCCCTGGATAGAACCTGGTGTGTGATGTTCCCCTCCCTGTGTCTACGTGTTCTCATTGTTCAGCTCCCATTTATGAGTGAGAACATGAGGTACAAACTGCAGATAGTTATACATTACTTTAAAGTAATTAAGTTAAACTAAACTAAATGTAAGCCAACTACATGTAAATAAATAAAACCAATAATAGCAAGATAAAAGTAATTAATACTTAAATAATTACTAATTTATTTCTCAGCTAAAAATTAAAAATTTAGAAAATGTGGAAATGTGTTTCATAATAGGAGGATATTTAAAATGAAAGGGCATTTCTGTAGTCAAATGGGTAGGAGACTCACCCAAACAAGACACAACCTCAAAACCAAAAGGAAAACTATCAGGTTTGATTATACGAATACTGAAAACCTCTGAATACATGAAAGGCAAATTCTATATCCCATGAAACTACCCTTCAGAAATGAAGAGAGAAATAAAGACATTCTCAGAGGAAGAGAATATAGGAATTTGTCACTGGTCAATTTAGAAATGCTAAAAAGTGGCTACAGAAATATGTTCTGTCATTTCCACAATATAAAAAATTAAAACAAAAAAATCAAAATAAAAAAATGGCTATAGAAAGTTCTTATGCAGAAGGGATGAATATGGGACTATGGGAGGAGGGACAAAGGAAAGACGAGAAATGTGGATACATATGCGAGACAATCCACAGTTCTTAAAATCACATTTGACGACTGAAACAAAAACTATACCACCACCTAATACTCAAGCCAGTGATTTATACAAGTGGAAAAGGTAAAGAGACATAAATGCAAGGCAGGTTTCCACACTTTGAAGTGGTAAATACTGGTACCAGTAGACTACTATATTACAATACACATATTGTAACATCCAGAGCAAACACTTTAAGACTATACAAAGAGATACACGCAACAACATTATACAGAAATAGATCAAGATGGAGGGAAAGAAAAAGGAAACAAAAAAGCAAATAATAAAAACATCAGACATAAGCAATTATGTAACAATAAGCACCTTAAATGTAAATGGTCTAAATAAACCAAAAGACAGATTGATGGAGAGCCTATAATAAACACATGGCCCAACTAAATACTGTTCATAAGAAACTTCAAACTCACTTAAGGACCTAAGTAGGTTGAAAGTAAAAGAATGGAGAAAGATATCCTGTGAAATCATTAATTTTTTAAGGAAGCAGGAGTGAATATATTAATATCTCATGAAGTAGACTTCAAGCAAAATAATTTACCAGAGCTGGAGAGGGTCTTCGCTGAATTTTAAGATCTAAAATTTCCTATGCTGCCTTGACATGTTTGAGCCTCACAGGGCCCCAAAGACCTAGCCGTGGGTTTTCCTGTTTCTACCAGACACCCCCTACCCCGCCACCCAACAGGAAAGGCTCCCCACCTGGCTAGTTCTTTTATCAGCCAGAACAGTTGCACCTCAGCCTAAGAAGTTTCACTTCACCTGTCTGCCAGCCCATGAATTTATTCAAACAAGCCAATTGCATTCCCCCTCGGGAACCATTGGTCATCGTGTGCTCTTGTTACTACCAAGCCCGCCTGCTTCCTCAGCCCGCAGCCCTCACTCCACTACAGAGTGCGGTGCCCATCTGACCCTGTGTGGCATGCAGTGTCCTCCTCTGAGCTGTGGGTATATGTGACTAAAACACTGCTGTCAATCGCATCCATCCACGCCAGGTGTCGTGTTCAGCCATCTCCTACACTTTAGGGCAGGGACCCCTCCTTCACCAATGGGGTGAAAAGAGGAAGTGACCATAACAACTGCTTAATGACAAAAGGATTAACCCACCAAGAAGACATCTACTTCAACATCCTCCTCTTAGCAACTGTTAAAACTAGGCAGAGGCCGGGCACAGTGGCTCATGCCTGTAATCCCAGAACTCTGGGAGGCAAAAACAAAGGATAGCTTGAGGCCAGGAGTTCGAGCCTGGGCAACATAGCAAGGCCTCATCTCTCCAAAAAATTTTAAATTTAGCCAGGTGTGGCGGCACACACCTATAGTACCAGCTACTCAGGAGGTTAAGCCAGGGGAAGTACTTGACCCTAGGAAGTCAAGGCTGCAGTGAGTCATGTTCGTGCCACCGCACTCTAGTGTAAGTGACAGAGTGAAACTAGGCACAAAAGGAGCAAGGATTTACAAAAGATCTGAACAGTCAACCAGCAAAATCTGACATCCGTATAATACCCCACTCCCCAACAGCAAAACACACACATTTTTAAAGCCAATAGAAATCTACCAAGATGAGGTACACTTGGGGCAATAAAAGAACTCACAGCAAATCTCGCTGTGTGCCCCTCTGCACCAGCGCCGTGCCCCTCTCTGCACCTTCTTTTCTCACCATGGGGAAGCGTTTGGGGGCCTCTTGAGGGACACCCTAGATGCTTCTACTCAGAGCCCCCAAAGCCGGGGAGCCTCCACTCCTCTGTCTGCAGCCTCCCCTGTCGGTTCTCCGCTACCCAGGGTTCAGTGGCCTGGGGGTGACGGAGGGGGTCGCCTCTGCCAAGGCCCCTCCCGGCGCCTCCCTGGCTCATCCAGCCCACCTTCCTCCCACGCTGGCTCACGCAAAGTGCTCCGGTCACCAGGAGCCCTTCCTGACCAGCCCCAGCCCCTTCTTGGCCTTCGCCCACCCGGCCTCCCCTGGAGCCCTGACCTGGGTGCCGGGCCTGCTGGGTCCAGAGCCCACCCCGCCCTGAACAACCCCGAGTCTCAGCCACCCTCGGTTCTTACCCTTTCACAGCTGGGGAGTGGAGCCTGGGCCTGCGCCTCTCCGCGCCAGAGCCGGCGCCACGGCCTCTCCGCGCCTGCGCCGCCGCTGCGCGCCTCGCCGCCGCTGTCCGCCTCTCCGCCGCTGTCCGTCTCTCCGCCGCGCCGCCGCTGTGCCGCCGCTGTCCGCCTCTCCGCCGCTGTCCGCCTCTCCGCCGCGCCGCCGCTGTCCGCCTCTCCGCCGCTGTCCGTCTCTCCGCCGCGCCGCCGCTGTCCGCCTCTCCGCCGCTGTCCGCCTCTCCGCCGCGCCGCCGCTGTCCGCCTCTCCGCCTCTGTCCGCCTCTCCGCCGCCGTCCGTCTCTCCGCCGCGCCGCCGCTGTCCGCCTCTCCGCCGCCGTCCGCCTCTCCGCCGCGCCGCCGCTATCCGCCTCTCCGCCGCCGTCCGCCTCTCCGCCGCGCCGCCGCTGGCCGCCTCTCCGCCGCCGTCCGCCTCTCCGCCGCGCCGCCGCTGGCCGCCTCTCCGCCGCCGTCCGCCTCTCCGCCGCGCCGCCGCTGGCCGCCTCTCCGCCGCCGTCCGCCTCTCCGCCGCGCCGCCGCTGTCCGTCTCTCCGCCGCGCCGCCGCTGGCCGCCTCTCCGCCGCTGTCCGTCTCTCCGCCGCGCCGCCGCTGGCCGCCTCTCCGCCACTGGCCCCCTCTCCGCCACGCCGGCGCCAGCGCTGTGTGCCTTTGCGAGGGCGGAGCTGCGGTCTCCTCAGCACAGACCCGGAGAGCATTGCGAGGGCGGAGCTGAGTTCTCCTCTGCAGACTTCGGAGATACAGCGAAGGCAGAGCAATGTTCTCCTCAGCAGAGACGCGGGCGGGCGGGCCGGTGGCACCGCGAGGGCGGAGCTGCGTTCTGCTCTGCACAGACCTTGGGGGCACTGCCTCGCTTTGGGACAACTCAGGGCCGCATGGACAGTGAATAAAATCCTTCCTGTTTGCAGCCCTGTTTGTGGTTGGTGGCAGCGATGGACACTGCAGCCAGCCAGAGCGTAGAAAGGCGTCGGGGTAAGTGCACTATCCAGGCTGCACTGTGGGTGGCCTGGGACGGGTTGGGAGCCCTATCTCAGGCGTCACTGCCCGTCTTGGGTGGCCGGTTGGGTGTGCTATCTGGGGCTGTGCTGCCTGCACCGGGCGGGGGGGGGGTGGTTTGGGGGCCAAACCGGGGCTGCACTGCCTTTGGTGGGGAGCCGGTTGGGGGCACTATCCCAGACTGTATTGCTGGCAACAGTGAGGTGGGCTAAGTGTGCTATCCGGGGCTGCACTGTGCGGCTGTCGGGGGGGTGGCGGTTTCGGGTTGAGGGCGCTATGGGGTGCTGTAATGCCCATGGTGTGGGGAGGCGGGGCAGTTTGGGTATGTTGGGTGTGCTATTGGGGGGGTGACACTGCTGGTGGTAGGGGGCAGGGTGGGTTGGGGGCCATATCAGGGGCTGCACTGATGGCTTTAGCTAGGATTTCTGGTACTATGTTAAACAACAGTGGTGACAGGGGGCATCCTTATGTTCCAGATCTTAGAGGAAAAGCTTTCCATTTTTCCCCATTCCATATGATTCTAGCTGTGGGTGTCTTTCCTGTAGTTTTTATTACGTTGCGGTATGTTTCTTCTGTGCCCGTTTCTTTGAGGATTTATAGCATGAAGGGATGTTGAATTTCATCAAATGCTTTTTCAGTTTCAGTTGACGTGATGATACTGTTTTTGTCGTTTATTTGGTTGATATGATGTATCACATTGTATGTTGAGTGACCCTTGGGTCCCAGGGATACATCCCACTTGATCATGATGAATTATCTTTTTAATGTATTACTGAATTTGATTCACTGGTATTTTGTTGAGGATTTTTGCATCAATATTAGAGATCCTGGCCTGTAGTTTCCTTCTTTGATGCTTTTGTCTGATTTTGGCATCACAGTAATAATGGTCTCATAGAATAAGTTTGGAAGTATTCCCTCCTGTTTTTCAAAATAGTTTGAGCAGGATTCGTACTAGGTCTTTAAATTGTTTGGTGTGAAGCCATCAGCAGTGAAGACATCAGTTCCTGGGCTTTTCTTTACTGGGAGACTTTTTCTGATGGCTTCAATCTCATTACTTGTTACCAATCTGTTCTGGTCTTGGATGTTTTCATTGTTTAACCTAAGTAGGTTGTATGCATCTAGGAATTTGCCAATTTCTACTAGGCTTTCCAATTTATTGGCATATAGTAGCCAGTTATGATCCTTTGAATTTCTGAAGTATTAGTTGTAATGTCTCCTTTTTTTAATCTGTTGATTTTATTTATTTGAATCTTGTCTCTTTTCTTAGCCTGGTTAAAAGTTTGTCAATTTTGTTTAGCTTTCCAGAAAACCAACTTTTCGTTTAATCTTGTCTGTTTTTTATTTCAATTTTGTTTGTGCTATGATCTTATTTATTTTCTTATTTTCAGTTTAGTTTGTTCTTTACTAGTTCTTTAAGATGTATTGTTTATTTGAAGGTTTTCTTTTGTTTGGATGGTAGGCACTTATAGCTGTAAATCTCTGCCTTTGTACTGCTTTCTGCATAACAAGTTTTGGTATACTGTGTTTTCATTACCCTTTGTTTCATGAAATTTTTGAATTTCTGTCTTAGTATCTTCATTGACCCACTAGTCATTTATTCAGGAGGGTAGTGTTTAACTTCCATGTGATTGTATTGTTTCCAAAATTGCTTTTCTTATTGATACCTAGTTTTATTCCTTTGTAGTGAAAGAAGATGGCCACGGAGACAGACAGCAGCGTGGTCAGAGTGGTAGGAGCCGGCCATCAGCGAGAGCTGCTCCATGCCTGGCTGCTGGGTCCTAGAGCCTGTGGCCCACTGGCTTGCCTCACTGTGGTTGGTGGTGGTGGTGACAGAGACTGCAGGACGACCAGAGTGGTAGGACAGGGGCTATCCAGGGCTGCACCTTTCGCAGTGTGGGGTGGGTTGAGGGCGCTATCCAGGGTGTCATTGCCTGCATTAGGGGTACTGGTTGGTAGCACTGTACAGGGCTGCACTGCCCACGGCAGGGAGGGTGGGTTATGGGTGCTCTCTGGGGCTGCAATGCCCATGGAGGAGGACAGGTTAGGGCACTATCAGTTATACGCTACTGGCGGCATTGGGGGACGGAGGTGGGGGGCGCTATTGAGGGCAGGGCTAGCCATGGAGCGGGGGCGAGTTCGGTGCTATCAGGGGCTGCACTGCTGGTGTCGGTCAACAGAGTTGGCATCCAAGGAAGGAGTGGTTCTCCTCTCCCTGACTCCACACTCCAGAGGGCGACCCACTCTTGGTCATACTGGAGTGCAGCAGGGCACACAGCGTTTGCGTGGGAATCCTGAGCATGGCAGAGCCCCCACACCCACCGTGGTTCCTGGGCCTGTGTACTGTGGGTCTGTGCCTCAGAGGCTGCCAGGCACCCCTGGGGACACCACGGGGGACAGGGCCCTGTGCGTGGAGGCGTCCGGAACAGGAATTGGCACCTGGGTGTGGAGGGCTGGCTGGGTCTGAATTTTTCTGCTTCTCCTGCTCCCCGAGGAGTGCAGCCCCAGTGGGCCCAATGGTTCCTGTGGAGTGGGGAGCTGGATGCTGTGGTGTCTCCAGCACCCACCCCAGACCCCAGTTCCTGCCCAGCTTGGGCCAAAAGGAGAGGCTGGACTTTGTAGGGTGGGTGTGAGTGCCTTTGCTGAAACTGGCCCCTGCCACCCAGTGGCCGGCATGACAAGTTGAGGCTCTAACCCTTCCACCCCTCACATCTTTCCCTAGGCTTTTCTGGTTTTGCCCGCCCAGCTGCTCTGTGCCAGGAGGAGGAGGAGACACCTAGAGCCTGCGACACCATGGCTCGCCTCGCTGCGGGTGGGCGGCAGTGACAGAGACTGCGGTGCGCCAGAGCGGTAGGAGAGCGGCTGCGCTAGGAGGGCAGGCGGCTGCAGCCAGGGTTGGGGGTCAGGCTTAGAGCGATGGACGGGCTGCAGCAGTGGCCAGGTGGTAGGAGCCTTGTAGGGAGGGCTGGTGCCTTGGCAATGGGCCTGGCTTTGCCCTGCGCCTGCCGTGGATCTGGCCCTGTACTGCCCTGCCTTGCCCTGTACCTGCCCTACTGTTACTTGGACTCTCGGCCCTGTCCTGCTCTGGTCCCATCCTGACCCTGTCTTGGCCCTGTGCTACCCTGTCCCTGCCCTGGTCTTGCCCTGGCACTGGCCCTGCCCTGAACCTGCACTGGCCTGACCTTGGCTCTGGCCCTGGCTCTGGCCCTGCCTCTTGTCCTGACCCTGGTCGTGTCATGGCACTGGCCCTGCCAATGGTCATGGTCCTGCTCCTGTTCTGGCCCTGACCTGGCCTTGGACATGTCCTGGCCCTGCTTTGGCCCATCCCTGCCCTGGCTCCACCATGGGCCTGCCTGTTCTGCCCTCTCCTGGCACTGACCTTGCCCTGTCATGGCCCAGTGGTGCCATTGCCCTGCCTTACCCTGCGCTGGTTGTGACTTGGCCCCGCTTGGTGCTGGCCACTCCCTGGACCTGCCCTGGACCTGCCCTGACCCTGCCCTTGGCTTTTGCCCTGCCCTCACTATGGCCTGGCCCTGGCCCTAGCCCTGGTCCTGCCATATCCCTGGCCCTGCCCTTATCCAGGCCCTGCCCCTGCTGCTGCCCTGGCCCTGGCCTGGAACCTGGTCCTGTCAAGAACCTGCCCTGACTCTGCCATGGCCCTGGCCCTGCTCTGCCTTGTTCCTGGCCCTGACCCAGACCCAGACCCTTTCCTGGCTCTGCACTGGACTTTCCCTGGCCCTGAGCTGGCAATGGTCTGCCCCTGGTCTTGCCATCACCCTGCCCTGCTGCGCTCTGGATGTGTCATCACCCTGCCCTGGCCCTACTCTGCCTTTGACCCTGCCCTGGCCTTACCTTGGCCCTCACCCTAGCCTGCGCTAGACCCTGCTCTGGAGCTGACCCTAGCACAGACCTGGCCCTGATCCTGGCCGTGGTCTTTGTCCTGCCATAGCCCTGGCCCTGAAGTGGACTTGGAGGTGTCCTGGCCCCGGCATAACATGGCTCTGCATTGGCCTGTCCCTGCCCTGCCGCTACCATCTCCTTGCCCTGCTCTGTCCTGTCCCAGTACTGACCCGGCCGTGCTATTTCCCTTCCCTACCCTGCCTTGGCTGTGCCCTGGCTCGGTTCTGGCCCTGGCCCTGGCCCTGCCCTGGACATGCTCTGACACTGCCTCAGCCTCGGCACTAGCCTGGCTCTTTCTTGGCATCAGCTCTGCTCTCTCTGTGGACCGGCTCTTGTCCTGTCCTGCACTGGCCATACCATGCCCTGCCCTGCCCTGACTCAGTCCCGGGTCAGCCCTGGCCCAACCTTGGCCTTGGCATTGCCCCTGGTCATGCCATATTTCTTGCCCTGTCCCTACCCTGGCCTTGGCCCTGACCCTTACCTTGCTGTGGCCCTGCCCTTGCCCTAACGCAGCCCCTGGCCCTGTCATGGCCCTGCCCTGGACCTGTCCTGGCCCTGGCCCTTCCCTGCTTGAGACCTTGCCCTGGTTCTCCCCTGGCCCTGACCCTGAAATGCCTGGCCCTACCCTGGCCTTGCACTGCTCTGGCCCTTGCCCTGACTCTGGTCCTGTCACTGGCCTAGCCCCAGCCCTGTTGCTGGTCTTACCATGGCCCAGACCCTGCCTTGGCCCTGCCCTGACACTGTCCTGGACCCTGGCTGTGCCAAGAACCTGCACTGTCCTTGCCATTGTTTTGCTCCTGCCCTGAACCTGGTCTTCCCCAGGCCGTGGCCATGGCCCTGGCCCTGGCCCTGCCCAGGTCTTGGCACTGTCCTGGCCCCGCCCTGCCCTGGCCCTGCCCTGCCCTGGCCCTATGCTTTCCTGGCCCTGCCTTGCCGGCCCTGGCCCTGCCTTGGCCCTAGCCTGGCTTTGACCCTGCCCTGGCCCTACCTTGGCCTTCACCCTAGCCTTACCTGGGCATTGTGTTGGACCTGGCCATAGCACAGACCTGGTTGTGGCCCTGGTCCTGCTGTGGCCCTGTCTCAGACCCTAGCCCTGCCAGGTACCTGTCCTGGCCCAGCTCTGGGCCTGGCTTTGTCCCTGGTTCTTAGATGAACCTGGCCCTGCTCCTGCCCTTGCTGTTGCCCTGGCACTGGCCTTGGACATGTCCATGGTCCTAACCCTGGCCCTGCCCAGGAGCTGCCACTGTCTTGGCTGTGCCCTGGCTCTGGCCCTGCCCCGGCCCCAACCATAGACCTGCCCTGGTTGGTCGTGCCCTACCTTAACCCTGTGCTACCCTGGGCCTGCTCCACCCTGCCCTGGCCCTGCCCTCCCTTTGGCCCTGCCCTGACCCTGCCTTGGCCCTCACACTGGCCCTAGCACAGACCTGGTCCTATGTGTGGCCTAGGCCTGGCATTGACCCCTGCTCCTGACCCCGGTCCTGCCATGGCCCTGGCCCTGCCAATGACCCTGGCAGCCCTGACCCTGGCCCTGAACTGGCCCTGCCCTGACCCTGGCCCTGAAGTGGATTTGCAGGTGTCTTGTCCCTGATGTAACCTGGTCTTACCATGGCCCTGTCCCTCCCCTGGCTCTGTCCTGGCCTTCTGCTGACCCTGACCCAGACCTTGGCCCTGCCCCAGCCTTGTCCTAGATCTGGCCATGGCCCTGCATCTTCCCTGGACCAGCACTGGCACTGGCATGGACCCTGGCCCTGACCCTTCGCTACTTAAGGCCATACCCTGGCCCAGCCCTGGTCCTGACCCTGTCCTGGCCCTAATTTGGCCTGGCTCTACCCTGGCATGCTATTCTGGCCCTAGCCCTGACCCTGTCCCTGTCCCTGTTCTGGCCCCAGCCCCATTGCTGGTCCTGCCACGGCCCTTGTCCTGACATTGCCCTTTCCTGGTTCTGGCCCTGGCCCTGTCCCAGCCCTGCTCTGGCCCTGGTCTGAACCCTGGCCCTGCAATAGACCTGCCTTGGTCCTGCCCAGACCCTGGCTCTGGCCCTACCTCTGCCCTGGCCATACCCTTGCCCTGGCCTGGACCCCAGTCCTGGTCCTTGTCCTGCCCCAGCCGTGGCCCTGGCCCTGCCCTGCCTGTGCCCTGTTCTATCCTGGGCTGGCCCTGCCATGGCCTGGTCTTGCCATTTCCCTGCCCTAGCCTGCCCTGCTTGTGCCCTAGATCTGCCCCGGCCTTTGCCCCTGTCTTGGTTCTAGCCTTGACTGAGCCCTGGACCTTCCCTGATCTTGCCTCAGCCCTGGCACTACCACTACCCTGGCCTTGCCTTGGCATTTGCCCTACTCTCTCTATGGCCTGGCTCTGGTCCTGCCCTGCTCTGCTCTTGTTCTGTCCTGGCACAGCCCTGGCCCTGGCCCTGGCCCTGCCGTATCACTGGCTCTGGTCCTGCCCTTATGCAGACCTGACCCTGCCACTGCCTTGGCTTTGGCCTGGACCTTGGCCATACAGTGACCCTGCCATGACCCTTTCCTGGCCCTGGCCTGGAACCTGGCCCTGCCAAGGACTCGCCCTGGCTCTGTCATGGCCCTGGCCCTTTCCTGGATTTGGATGTGTCCTGTCCCTTATTTGCCCTGGCCCTTCCCTGGCTCTGCCATACCCCTTCTCTGGGGTAGGGCCAGGGTCAGGACCAGACCAGGGCAGGGTCAGGACCAGGGTAGGGCCATGGTAAGGCCTGAAGATGGGAAGGGCCAGGGCAGCGGCTGGACCAGGGAAGGGTCAGGGCCAGGGATGTAGTAGGACTAGGGGCAGAGCCGGCACTAGGGCTGAGCCAGGACAGAGCAGGAGAGATTACATTGGGCTATTACATAAAATTTTTATTTTAGATTTTTAAGATAACTATAGTAGTAGTAATGTCTATACTATATTGTTTGTAATAGTAATAATATTTGCAGTAATCACTAAATTTTAACTAATACTATCTTTGCTTCCAGTAGTGTTCTATGAGTATAATTTTATCAATATGTTAATATGTGAGGCATTGATTCTCACAATAATTCTATGTGCTAGGTACTTAAAGCATCCCCATTTTCCAAATGTAGGAAACAGGTATAAAGAAGTTAAATACTTGGCCAGATTACTCCTGTAATCCCAGCACTTTGGGAGGCCAAGGCAGGCAGATGGCTTGAGCTCAGGAGTTTGGAACCAGCCTGGGCAACATTGTGAAACCCCATCTCTACTAAAAATGCACAAAAAGAACTAATTTAAGTTTCTTGTAGGATTCTGGTTATAAAACACTGGTCAAACACACAGGGCATGGATAGGGCAGGGCCAGGGACAAGGTCAGGCCAGGAAGGGGCCAGGGCCAAGGCAGGGCCAGAGATGGACTTGGAGGTGTCCTGGTCTGATTTGCCCTGCCCCAACGTTGGTCCAGCCCTGCTCTGGCACTTCCTGTCATGCCCTGTCCCTGGCCTGAGCATTGGCCCTGGCCCTGTCCTGCTTCTGGCCCTGCCCGGGAGTTGACCAGGCACTGCCATGGCCCAGTCCTGCATTGCCCTGCCCTCCTCTGCCCTGGTGCTACCATGGCCCTGCTTGGGCCCTAGCTCTGCCTCGACTCTGGACCTGCCCTGACTCTGCTCAGCCCTGGATCTACCCTGACTCTGCCTTGGTGTTGCCCTCCCATCTCTATGGCCTGGCTCTGGCCGTGCCTTGCACAGATCATGCTCTGCCCTGCGTGTCCCAGCCTGGGCCCAGCCCTCGTCCTACCACATTCCTGACCCCAGCCATACCCTTGTTCTGGCCGTGACCCTGCCGTGGCCCTCTCCTGGCCCTTCCTTGGTCCTGCCCTGCCCTTCCATGCCCTGGCCTTGCCCTCACCCTGCATTGGCCCTGCACTGGTCCTGCCCTGCCCTGGCACTGCCTTGGCCCCGGCCCTGCCTTCTCCCTGGTCTTGCCTTTGCCCTGCCCTGGCCTGACCCCAGGCCTACCGAGTCCATGAAATGGCCCTGGACCTGCCTTGCCATCGTCTGTCCTGGCCCTGTATTGTCCCCACCATGCTCTGGTCCAGCGCTTGCCCTGGCCCTGTTGCTAGTCCTGCCACTGTTATGGCCCTGCCCTGTTTTTGGCCATGCCCTGTGCTACCCTAGCCCTGCCCTGCCTTGGCCTTGGCCCTACCATGGCCTTCTCCTACCCTGGCCTGGCCCTACACTGGCCTTTTCTACTCTGGCCTTGCCCTTCCCTGGTCTTGCCTTGCCCTGGCCTTGCCCTGCCCTGGCCTTGGCTTTGCCTTATCCTGGTCCTGGTTCTGCCCTGACCCTGGCCTTGCTCTGGATCCTCTCTGGTTCTGCTTTCTCCCTGGCCCTGCCCTTGCTCTGGCCCTGTCCCTGGCCCAGCCTTGACCCTGACCCTGGCCCTGACAATCCCCAGGTCTGACACTGGCCATGCTTGGCCCTGGCCCCTCCTTTTGGCCCTGCCCTGGCCCTGCCTTGGCCCTGTGCTATCTTAGTCCTGCCCTGGCCCTGAACTCACCCTGGCCCTACCCTCACCCTACACTGGCCCCGCCCTACCCTGGCCTTGCCCTGCCCTGGCCCTGCCTTTGGCCTGCTCTGGCTCTGGTTCTGCCCTGGCCTTGCCCTTGCCCTGGACCCTCCCTGGCCGTGTTTTTTCCATGGTCCTTCTCTGGCCTTGCCCTTGCCCTGTCCCCTTTCTGGTCCTGCCATATTTCTGGCCCTGTCCTGTCCATGTCCTGGACCTGACTCTGGCCCTGGACCTCCCTGTCCCTGCCCTGCCATACCCTGGCCCGTTCCTTGCTCTACACTGACCCTGCCCTGCCTTGGCCCTGCGCTACCCTAGCCCTGCCCTGGCCTTCTGCTGACCCTGATCCTGCCATGGCCCTGGCCCTGCCATGTCCCTGCCCTGGCCCTGGTTCTGCCCTGCTTCTGGCCCTGGCCTTGGTCCTCTCATGTCCCTGGCCGTGACCCTGCCCCTGGTTTTTCTCTGGCCATGACCCTGCCCCTGTTCTGTCCTATCCCTGGCCCTGTCTCAGTTCTGTCCTAGCCCTGGCCTTTCACAGTACTTTATGCTTAGTAAGGGCTCCATGGTGTCTGTGAGTTGAATGTAGTGTTCATAGTATCTGCCAAAACAGAAAGAAAAAAAACAAAATATTTTGATAAGAAGTTAAAGCTTTGTATATAATATGCCTTGAATTGTAAATGCCTGTTATTAGTTGTATTACATATAGGTCATGGTTTTGTACACATAACTCCAAACCATTGATACTGTTAAAAGAATATATGAATATATGAAAGAATGTATAAACGTAAGAATGTATCAGTATCTAATGACCTTTCCAAATTAATATTTATTTTTAGCTCTATTAGATTTTTCTCAGTGTAACAAACGTTTATTCCTATGTAATTAAGGGCGTATTTCCTGTACAGAATATTCATATTACCTAATTGAAAATTATATGATACAAAAATATAATACTATTTTTAGGCCAGGCATGGTGGCTCATACCTGTAATCCCAACATTTTGAGAGGCCAAGTTTGGAGAATCATTTGAGTCCAGGAGTTGACCAGCCTGGGCAACATAGTGAGACCTTGTCCTTATTAAATAAATAAATAAATAGGTTGGGCACTGTGGCTCATATCTGTCATCCCAGCATTTTGGGTTGCCAGTGCAGGAGGATTGCTTGAGCCCAGGAGTTTGAGACCAGCCTGGGCAGAATAGCAAGACTCCATCTCTACAAATAATAAAATATTAACCAGGTGTGGTGGTGCGCACCTGGGGTCCCAGCTACCTGGGAGGCTAATGTGGGAGGTTTTCTCGAGGCTGCAGTGAACTGTGAATGCACCACTGCATTCCAGCCTAGGCCACAGAACAGGACCTTGTCTATGAATAAAGAAATAAGTAAAAATATAAATAAAAATAAGTAAAAAGAAATATTAGTAAATATAAATATAAATACATATAAATATAAAAATGCATGCATGAAAAGAAACAATTTTTAAATTTAACATCACTGAGGGCATCCTATCCATTTCATTTCATGATTCCATTATGTCATTTCACTTAGATGAAATGATAAGATGACTTGAGATGAGATGAAATGATGAGATGAAATGACAAAATGATGAGATGAGATGAGATGATGAGAAGAAATTTTGAGATGAAATGGAGAGTGGAAATGATGAGATTAAATGATGAGATGAAATGACAAAGTTGAAAAGAAATTGAAAGGAGATGAGATGAGATGAAATGAGATGAAATGATGAGATGATGAAATGATGAGATGAAACGAGATGAAATGATGAGATGAAATGAAATGAAATAATGAAATGATATGAAATAATGAAATTGAAATGAGATGAGATGAAATAATGAGATAAAATGAGATGAAATGAGATGAACGATGAGATGACATGATGAGATGAAATGAGATGAAAAATGATGAGATGAAAAATGAGATGAAATGAAATAATGAAATGAAATAATGAAATGAGATGAAATGAAATGAAATAATGAAAGGAAATTATGAAATGTAATGAAATTGAAATGAAATTGAAATGAGATGAGTTGAAATGATGAGATGTAATGATGAAATGAAATGATGAAATGAGATGAGATGAAATGAGATGAAATAATGAGATGAAATGAGATGATGAGATGAGATGAAATCATGAGATGAAATGATGAAATGAAATGAAATGATGGATGAAATGATGAGATGAAATGAGATGAAATGTAATGAGATGAAATGAAATGACATAATGAAATGAAATAATGAAATGAGATGAAATAATGAAATGATGAAATAATGAAATGAAAATGAAATGGAAATGATGAGATGAGAAGAAATGATGAGATGAGATGAGATAAAATGAGATGAAATGATGAGATGAAATGAAATGATGAGATGAGATGAAATGAGATGAAATATGATGAGGTGAAATGACATAATGAAATGAAATGATGAAATGGAATAATGAAATGGAAAAGAGATGAGATGCAATGAGTTGAAATGAGATGAAATGATGAAATGATGAGATGAAATGATGAGATGAGATGTGATGAAATGATGAGATGAGATGTGATGAAATGATGACATGAAATGATGACATAAAATGAGATGAAATGTAATGATGAAATGAGATGAAATGAGATGAGATAAAATGATATGAAATGAGATGAATGATGAGATGAAATGATGAGATGAGATGAGATGATGAGATGAAATGATGAGATGAACTGATGAGATGAAATGAAATTGAAATAAATAAATAAAATTGAAATGAGATGAGATGAAATGAGATGATGAAATAAAATGATAAAATGATGAGATGTGATGAGATGAAATGATGAGATGACATGAAATAATGAAATGAAATAATGAAATGAAATTGAAATGAGATGAGAAGATACGAGATGAAATGAAGTGATAAGATGAAATGATGAAATGATAAGATGAAAAGAGTTGATGAGATGAAAAGAGATGAGATGCAATGAGTTGAAATGAGATGAAATGATGAAATGATGAGATGAAATGATGAGATGAGATGTGATGAAATGATGAGATGAGATGTGATGAAATGATGACATGAAATGATGACATAAAATGAGATGAAATGTAATGATGAAATGAGATGAAATGAGATGAGATAAAATGATATGAAATGAGATGAATGATGAGATGAAATGATGAGATGAGATGAGATGATGAGATGAAATGATGAGATGAACTGATGAGATGAAATGAAATTGAAATAAATAAATAAAATTGAAATGAGATGAGATGAAATGAGATGATGAAATAAAATGATAAAATGATGAGATGTGATGAGATGAAATGATGAGATGACATGAAATAATGAAATGAAATAATGAAATGAAATTGAAATGAGATGAGAAGATACGAGATGAAATGAAGTGATAAGATGAAATGATGAAATGATAAGATGAAAAGAGTTGATGAGATGATAAGATGAAATGATGAGATGAAAAGATGAGATGAAATGAAATGATGAGATGAAATGAGATGAAATGAAATGACATAATGAAATGAAAAAATGAAATAATGAAATGAGGTGAAATTAAATGAGATGATGAAATTAAATGATGAAATAATGAAATGGAAATGATGAGATGAGATGAAATGACGAGATGAATGATGAGACGAAATGAGATGAAATGATGAGATGCAATGATGAGATGCAATGATGAAATGATGAGATGAGATGAGATGTAATGATGAGAGGAAATGATGAGATGTAATGAAATGAGATGAAATGAATGAGATGAAATAATGAAAGGAAATTGAATTGATATATGAGATGAAATGAGATAATGAAATGATGAGATGAGACGAGAAGAAATGAGATGAAATGAGATGAGATAAAATGAGATGAAATGAAATGAAGTGAAATGAAATGAAATAATGAAATTGAAATGAGATGAGATGAAATGAGATAAAATGATGAGATGAAATGATGAGAAATGAGATGAAATGATGAGATGAGATGATGAGATGAAAAATGATGAGATGAAAAATGATGAGATGAAAAATGATGAGATGAAATGATGAGATGAAATGAAATGAAATAATGAAATAATGAAATGAGATGAAATGAAAAGAAATGATGAAATGATATTGAAATGAAAGTGAAAGATGAGATGAAATGATGCGATGAAATGATGAAATGTTGAAATGAAATGATGAAATGAATAGATGTGACTTGAAATGAGCTGAAATGATGAGATCAAATGAAATGAAATGAGATTAAATGATGAGATGAAAAATGATGAGATGAAAAATGATGAGATGAAATGCTGAGATGAAATGAGATCAGATGAACTGAGATGAGATGAGATGAAATAATGAAATTAGGTGAAATAATGAAATGAGATGAAATAATGAAATTGAAATGAGATGAGAAGAAATGAGATGAAATGTTGTAATGAAAGGAGGAAATGATGAGATGAGGAGATGAAATGATGAGATGAATTGAGATGAAATGAGATGAAAAATGATATCAAAAATATGAGATGAAATGAAATGAGTATATGAAATGACAATGAATTAAATGAAATTAGATGAAATGAAATGAAATACTGAAATGAAATGATGAAATGAAATAATGAAAATGAAATGGAATGAGATGATAAGATGAAATGATGAGATGAAAAGATGAGATGAAATGAAATGAGATGAAAGGAGATGAAATGAAATGACATAATGAAATGAAAAAATGAAATAATGAAATGAGGTGAAATTAAATGAGATGATGAAATTAAATGATGAAATGAAATAATGAAATGGAAATGATGAGATGAGATGAAATGACGAGATGAATGATGAGACGAAATGAGATGAAATGATGAGATGCAATGATGAGATGAAATGATGAAATGATGAGATGAGATGTAATGATGAGAGGAAATGATGAGATGTAATGAAATGAGATGAATGAGATGAAATAATGAAAGGAAATTGAATTGATATATGAGATGAAATGAGATAAAATGAGATGAAATAAGAAATGATGAGGTGAAATGATGAAATGCTGAGGTGATATGAAATGAAATGAGGAGATGAAACGAGGAGGATGGAAATGAGATGAAATAATGAGATGAAATGAGATGAGATGAGATGAAATCATGAGATGAAATGATGAAATGAAATGAAATGATGGATGAAATGATGAGATGAAATGAGATGAAATGTAATGAGATGAAATGAAATGACATAATGAAATGAAATAATGAAATGAGATGAAATAATGAAATGATGAAATAATGAAATGAAAATGAAATGGAAATGATGAGATGAGATGAGATAAAATGAGATGAAATGATGAGATGAAATGAAATGATGAGATGAGATGAAATGAGATGAAATATGATGAGGTGAAATGACATAATGAAATGAAATGATGAAATGGAATAATGAAATGGAAATGAGATGAGATGCAATGAGTTGAAATGAGATGAAATGATGAAATGATGAGATGAAATGATGAGATGAGATGTGATGAAATGATGACATGAAATGATGACAAAATGAGATGAAATGTAATGATGAAATGAGATGAGATGAGATAAAATGATATGAAATGAGATGAATGATGAGATGAAATGATGAGATGAGATGAGATGATGAGATGAAATGAGATGAACTGATGAGATGAAATGAAATTGAAATAAATAAATAAAATTGAAATGAGATGAGATGAAATGATGAGATGATGAAATAAAATGATAAAATGATGAGATGTGATGAGATGAAATGATGAGATGAGATGACATGAAATAATGAAATGAAATAATGAAATGAAATTGAAATGAGATGAGAAGATACAAGATGAAATGAAGTGATAAGATGAAATGATGAAATGGTTGATGAAAAGAGTTGATGAGATGATAAGATGAAATGATGAGATGAAAAGATGAGATCTGAGGTGAGATGAGATGAAATGAGGAGATGAAACGATGAGATGAAATGAAAGGATGAGATGAAATGATGATATGAGGTGAGATGAGATGAAATGAGATGAAACGAGATGAAATGGTGAAATGATGAGATGAGACGAGAAGAAATGATGAGATGAAATGAGATGAGATAAAATGAGATGAAATGAAATGAAGTGAAATGAAATGAAATAATGAAATTGAAATGAGATGAGATGAAATGAGATAAAATGATGAGATGAAATGATGAGAAGAAATGAGATGAAATGATGAGATGAGATGATGAGATGAAAAATGATGAGATGAAAAATGATGAGATGAAATGATGAGATGAAATGAAATGAAATAATGAAATAATGAAATGAGATGAAATGAAAAGAAATGATGAAATGATATTGAAATGAAATTGAAAGATGAGATGAAATGATGCGATGAAATGATGAAATGTTGAAATGAAATGATGAAATGATGAAATGATGAAATGAAATGAGAAGATCAAATGGTGAAATGAAGAAATGATATGAAATGATGAAATGAAATGAAGTGATGAAATGAAGTTAAATGATTAAATGATGAAATAATGAAATGAAATGATGAAATGATGAATTGATGAAATGATCAAATGAAATGAGATGAAAAGATGAGATGAAATGAAATGATGAAATGAAATGACGAGATGAAAAGATGAAATGAGATGAAATGAGATGAAATGAAATCGTGAGATGATGAAATGATGAGATGAAGTGAAATGATGAAATGATGGAATGACAAAATGCAACAATGAGAAGAAATTATGAAATGAAATAATGAAATGAAAGGATGAAATGATGAGATGAAATGATGAAAGGATGAAATGAAATGATGAAATGAGGAAATGAAAAGATGAAATGAAATGAATAAGTGAAATGATGAAATGATTGAATGAAAACATGAAATGATGAAATGATATGAAATGATGAAATGATGACATGAAGTCAAATGATGCAATGATGAAATAAATGAAATGAAATGATGAAATGAAATGAGATGAAATGATGAAATGATGAGATGAAAAGATGAAATGAAATGATGAGATGAAATGAAATGAGATGAAATGAAATGAGATGAAATGAAATCATGAGATGAAAAGATGAAATGAGATAAAGTGAAATGACGAAATCAAATGTCGAGATGAAGTGATGAAATGAAATGATGAAATGAAACAATGAAATGAAGTGAAATGAAATGAGATGAAATGATGAATTGATGAAATGAAATGAGATGAAAAGATGAAATGAAATGATGAAATGATGAGATGAAAAGATGAAATGATGAGATGAAATGAAATGATGAGATGAAATGAAATGGTGAGATGAAATGAAATGATGAGATGAAATGATGAAATGATGAGATGAAGTGAAATGATGAAATGAAATGTTGAGATGAAATGATGGAATGAAATGAAAGAATGAAATGAAATGATAAAATGAGATGAAATGATAAGATGAAATGATGAAATGATGAAATGGAAGGATGAAATGAAATGATGAAATGAGGAAATGAGATGAAATGATGAAATGAAAGGATGAAATGAGGAAATGAGATGAAATGATGAAATGAAAGGATGAAATGAGGAAATGAAATGAAATGATGAAAAGAAATGAAATAATGAAATGAAATGATGTAATAGATGAACCAGAAATTCTTATTCACTTTTATTCTGGGCATCTTTCTAAGAGTATTTTAGTGAGGTTAATTTCTAAATATAAATTGCTATTCAATGGCTATAGAGTTGGCCTTTGCACCACAGGGGTTTGAACTGTGCACGTCCACTTAGCAAAACCAACAATTCTACATCCTTATCCACATCCTGCCCATGAGAAAGATGAGGATGAAGACCTGTTTGATCATCTACTTCCATTTAATAACTAGTAAATCTATTTTCCTTATGATTTTCTTTTTTCATTTCTCTGGCATGTTTGTTAAGAATACAGTATATAAGACATATAACATATTAAATATGTGTTAATTGACTGTGTTATTTGTCAGGCTTACAGTAGGCTATTAGTAGTTAAGTTTTGGGGGAGTCAAAGTTATAGTGGATTTTCTACCGTGCAGGGGGGCCAGCACCCCAACCTCCGTGTTGCTTAAGGGTCAACTGTACATGTTATTTCCTTTCCTGTAAGAGAAAAATGATGAGAAGGTCTTTTCTCCAATAAGTGTCTTCAAAATGTAGCAGATTTGAAATGTGTTGGCGCCACCATTTTGCGTCTCACTTTGAAAACTTATTATTTAAAATCTTACTAAAGCCTACCTTACTTTTCCAACCTTAGAAAAAATGTTCCAAAGAAAAGGGGCGAAACCATGCTAGTTTGCCCTGAAATTTGAAATTACCTTTTAAAAATATATTTTGACATTAATTACTTCCAAACTAGAGATCAGTTGCATACAAATGGCAGGTCACCCTAATCCACCCTATGACTGCACTTAGATTCATGAGGGATTGTGCCATCTAGAAAGGGCAGAGAGGAGGAATAGAGTGCTCTGCGTCTTGAAATATAAACATGCACATAGCCACATGCTTTGATTCTGTTGTCACTGTGTACTTACTGCTAGGAAGAGGGCATGTTTGTGTATTTTTATGCTAGTTATTATCCAAGTTGTTAATGATTTACGCTTTCAGAACCATATAAAGATTTTTTTCCTTTCAGATATAAACTATCTTGCATTGTTCTTCTGATCATATGAGGGATAAATTTGCCTAAATATTCTTCAGACCATAATAGTATGTCCATATAAATGCCAGTAGCAAGAGTAGAATCAACCACAACTGCCTTAGTAATTATTTAAAGCATGTCTGCCTATAAGTAATTGACATTTTATATAATCAAGAATCTTTGATATAATAATCTCTCAACTATTTGAAACACGGCTCACATGTATTAATTTTTTAAGCAAATATATATATATAATATCAGTGTATATGAAACTGAATTTTGGACTTTAGAACAGCTTCTTAGAATCCTGACTTAAATGTCTACAGTAATAGTTGGCTTAAAAAAATTTAGCACACTGTCACTATGATGAAAAAAATTACTATAAAATATTTAAAAATTTTTTCCACCCTAACATTTAGAATATTCTCACATTTGTGGTTAAAACCTATTGTGATTGTTCTTAGAATTTAGATAAGAAATGTCCCAGAAAGATTGAAGAGAAGCACTTTAGTCAATTTTTAGTTGTTGAAGCATGAAGAAATGGCATTTCATTGACATTTTAAAAATTATTCAGATTCCCTCTTTGAATTCAAGAGTTTCAAAGATGTCTTATTTTAAAATACCAAAATAGGAATAGAATATGAAGGGCTGGTTATGAGTAATGTGATACAATTTTATGAGATGATGAGATTACAATAACAATACCTCCTCTCATAGAATAGCCAGCAAGTCTCCACTAAATAACAGTGCCTTGATTTTATAGATGTTTCATCATGGATATTGAGTTAATGTGAACCATTTGTAGACACAGGAGTTTATTAAAGACTTATATAATATCTTTCAAGTATTTAGAATAGTGTTGAAATTAAGCCTGCATCCCCACGATTTTCAGCGGTGCTGATGCCTAATAAACTCAACCCCTTGCATGCCAAAATTGGCTTAAAGCCCATCTGTTACCCAAGCTACACTTCAAGCATCGAGGTTCAAAAATGTGATTTTGAATATGCAAGAGTTTGAGGAATTCACTACTCACACTTTCTTGAACAGTCTATCCAAGTGCATCAAGCAAAATGTGAGTAAAGAAATTTTGAGCAAAGGATTGATAGTAATGTTGAATACATTTAATAGTAGATCAAAGATTAAAAGGTGAAAGTGAGGGTGAGAAGAGTGTATGAATGCTTTGTGTTCTGACAAAGAGAATGTAGCACCCAGGTCCTACCTGCTTGGATGCATTGCCAGTGCCCACGGTAGGCCATTTTATCCAGGTTTTTAGGTATTGTCTTATTTTGTTTGTTTTTTTTCTTTTCAGGAGTCTTAGTCCAAGACCAATAACTCCGTAACTGGTAGATTTGGAAGACTTTAATAGTGCTTAACATTTTGTACATAGCTTTATAACAGTTTTCTTTTTCTTTTTTTCTGAGAGATTCTTTTCAATATACCCCATCATGGTTGAACTCAAAAATCATTGCTTATTTAAAATCTACAACTGCTGACGTTTTGTAACGTTCGCATTCCAGGTAATTGCTTTTTTGTGCATTTTCTGTATTTTTCTCCATCAGTCTACCTAGATATTTGTTAGATTTAATATTTTAATATTTTTCTGAAAAAGTGAGCTTTTGCATTTTTAAATATATACCCAGTTGCTTTAATTCTGCTTTTTCGTGTACTATTTCCTCGTTTTTTTCTTTCTTGTTTTTTGTTTTTTTTTTTTTCTGACACGGAGTCTTGCTCTGTCGCCCAAGCTGGAGTGCAGTCGCGTGATCTCTACTCACTGCAACTTCCAGCCCCCACGTTCAAGCAATTCTCCCACCTCAGCCTCCCGAGTAGCTGGGGTTACAGATGCATGCCACCATGCCAGGCTAATTTTTGTATATTTAGTAGAGAGTGGGTTTCACCATGTTAGACCAGGCTGGTCTCGAACTCCTGACCTCAGGTGACCCACCTGCCTCGGCCTCCCAAAGTGCTGGGATTACAGGCGTGAACAATGGCGCCTGGCTATCTCCTTCATTCTTTATGTTTATTTTACTGCTTTTATCTCTCTCTCTCTCACTGTTTCTCTCCTTCTCACATTCACTTTGCAGTTGTCAAATAGCCCAGGTGATGTTACAGATTTACTCCTTATAAAAGGAGGCATTACACATTACACATGCATCTTAGTGGCCTCACAAAAGTGTTTGGTTTATTTGTAGTGACTATTCACCTTTAAAATATTTCAATATTCAATAAAATGGCTTCCAACCAATATTATTACACTTATGTTTCTAACTTTCGTTTTTGTATTGATATCTGCCTTCATTGCTGTTTGTTTAGGACATATATTCTGTGTCACGTTATTTCCGTGAAAATTGTTTGAATTTGTGGTATGGTCTAGAAAATGTTAATTTTTGTAAGTATTCTGTATGAACATGAAAATAACATGAATTATAATATTCAAGTTCCTTATATAATATTTGCCCGTTTTAAAATCCACTAGCTTCTTTTAAAACTTACTCTTTTAATTTTTTCTTTTATCTATTACTGAAAGACGTGTGTTTGAAATGTCTATAATATTTGGGGGCTTATCCATTTCTACTTACTTTCTGATATTTTTGCTTTATATAATTTGACTCTCTCTCTAAATACGTGTGTGTCTGTGTGTGTGAGAGAGAGTGTGTGGTTTGTGTGTATATATATGTATGTATCAGGCTAATACACATTGAAGTCATCACATCTTCTTAATAACTTAAAACTTTTATCACACTGGTTACACTAACTTATTTTAATAAATGTTTCTAACTTACATTCTATTTGGTCTACATAGCAACTTTTTAAAAAATTATATTCATGTAGTATGTTTGTATGTATATCATATATACACAGTATCTGTATTGTTTGAACTTCAAAGTTTCTGTAAATTTATATATTAGTTGTGTCTCTTGTAACTATGATAGAGACGGATGTTTTAAATTTTGCCAATCTTTGTATTTTAACAAAAACATTGTCTACTTAGGTTTAAGTTAATCTTTGATCATTTATACTTAATTTTGTATTAGTAATTTGTTGTGTATATATATATATATATATAATGTCTCATTTTCTCCTATCACTTTCTGTCTTCTTGTTTTAAAATTATGACTTTTATTTTTATTGTTTTCATAGATACAACAGAGAAATGCATAATGTCCAGTCAATTTATTAAAGTTCCAAAGTCGGTCGCGCGCAGTGGCTCACGCCTGTAATCTCAACACTTCGGGAGGCCGAGGCGTGTGGATCACGAGGTCAGGAGTTGGAGACTAGCCTGATCAACATGGTGAAACCCCGTCTCTACTAAAAATACAAAAATTAGCCAGGCAGGGTGGCACGCGGCTGTAATCCCCGCTACTCAGGAGGCTGAGGCAGGAGAATTGCTTGAACCTGGGAGGCAGAGGTTGCAGTGAGCAGAGATGACGCCACCATACTCCAGCCTGGGAGAAAGGGTGAATGAGACTCCTTCTCAAAAAAAAAAAAAAAAAAGAGTTGCAAAGTCATATCTTTCTGCTCTTGTCAGACAATTAAGGGGTCTTTGAATACTTCAGCCCTAATAATTTGCTTCCTAACATACATATTGCAGTGCTTATCTAATTTTAAATATTCTTTTGTTTCAACACCTAATTTTCTATTTTGATCTATCTTTATGTTTACAATATATTTTGCTCTGTGTTCATTCTTTGATTTCAGAACTTCAATCTTTCTGAAGCGTGTTTTCAGAGTTTCCTTTGAGTTTCTTTAGTGGAATTCTGCTGGTGGTATTTTGTTTTTTGTCTCTAAATATGTGATTTAGCCATAGGTTGATGAATATTTTTCTTGGTTGAGAATTTCAGAATGGCATTATTATTCTTAACAAATAATATTGTTTATTTTACCTTTCATGCTTTCAGATTTCAATATGATTAAAGGTAATTTGATTTTTCTAGTGCTAATTGAAATATTTTTCCCTTCCTGATTGTTTACTATTTCTCTAGGAGATATGTAGATGTAGGTTTATCTCCATCGTAGCTTGCTTAGCATGCATAGAAGTTTTGAATATGTGGATTAGTGTCTTACAGAACTCTAGAGAACTTTCAGCCAAAATACCATCACATATTGTCCCTTCCCCGTTCCCTTCCTCTATGAGAACACTCACTAAACACATGCTACACTTTCTCACTGTATCTTCCATGTCTCTTCATGATTCTGTCCACATTGTGCCTTTTTTTAAATTTTCTGTAATGCATTCTGAAATATTTATGAGCTCTCACCATGGCCATGTCTAATCTGATGAGTTCATTTTTGAGTTTTTAATTTAAAATACTATATACAAACTACTTTTCAAATTTACTACATCAACTTTTTAGTCTCCTAAAAATATATTCCTTTTTTTAAATTTTTTGAAAGCAAATGTGCTTTATAATCTAACAGTGATATTTCTACTAATGAACCTCTGTGGATCTGTTTGTACTCTTTTTCTGCTTTCCTTTCAAATGGTGGAATATCATTTCCTTGCGTACTTAGATGCCTTTGAATGACAAAGATTTATTTTTCTCTGAAAATTATTATTGTGCACTTTTGCATATTAGTAAGAAGAAAATTTGCCAAAGAGAATTTGAATTTTTTGTGAGTCTACTAAAGGCACCACCATTCTGGGACCACATTATATTAATTCTTGGCCTAAAGGTGTTTGGACGTATGTTTGGACAGCACATTTAAACAATTTTTAAATTAATTGCTGTAAATCATTAATGATTGAGTTTCTTTAAATCTGTCCAATCTCAAGTCATTTTTATTTGCCATTTCCAGGGAATGTGAAATGAGACTAATTTACCTCTGATTCTTCTTTATACTGAGGAGATAAATTTTGGTGCTAGCTTTAGGGAAGAGCTCCTGTGTGATGCCCTATCTTGGGAAACACTATGTATTTCTTTACTGTCCTATGTGATGTATGACCATAGGAATCTGCACTCATTCATTTTGCTACATGTCCGTAGGGCAAAATCAGTATCAGTGTTTAGGTGTATTTTGTCTGCTCCCTGCATTCCCATGGTTTTGACCTTATCTTTTACTTTTTTTTGTGAACATACCAATGCTTCAATTTTTTTCCAGTAATATAATCAACCATACTATAAGAGAAAAATTTCGATAAAACACAAATTTCATGTTTTCCTACTCTAATTGGCTTTTACGTAAAAATACAGGTAAAATTTATTTGTGCTTTTTTGCTATTTCTGTTTTGCTATTTTCTGTTTGTCTATGTCTTCACCACATAGACACAATTAGGGAATTTTGTACACTCTTGTGCCAACTGCTTTGATAGTAACAAAATGTATTTCTCGAACTCCTAGGTATAAAACTCAAGTATCCACTATTTAAATTCTTTTTTGCTCACTTCTAGTATGTTTCCAGTCTCAATAGAAATCGATGCCAATCCAGAAATACAAGCATTATTCTAATACTTCTCACACATTACTGGTATGGATGACATTTTCTAGATCTCCTTAAATACTATCATTTTTCACTACTTGTATCTTAACTGTTAAGTTCAACATTTTCTGTAATATTAATATATTGTGAAAATTTCCTTTCTTTCTTATTTGTCCCAGGTTCAATGTTTTGCAGTCTCTACCTCACCCTGTGAAGCATAAACATTGTACATGCTGTACAAATAATACATCGTTCATGTACTTAGAGATTGCACAATTTTTATTTGGTTGACAATAGCTAATGTTTTCTTCTTCATTTTCTATTTCCTGATTTTTCTTTATTTAGTATATACTACACTGCCATAAAAATAAGAACGTTTTACAAACTAAAGCAAAAGGAACCCTAGGAATAAAATGCACAAATAAAATATATAAACATACGTTTAGGTGTACCACGTACACTTGTAATTTATTTAGACTTTTAATTTTAGTACAATTTTAATTAAAGTCTGTGTATTATCTGTCATCGTCTTAGTATTTTTTATATAACAAATTGTGTAAATCAAAAAGTATCAATGTCATTGTAAACTATCTTGGCAGAGGTTGATCTCCAAGGAATAATTTCTCTCCTAAATTATGCCAATCCAAATTTCACTCTACCGTCATTCTTTTCATCAGTTTCAGAGGAATAATAAATTTCAAAATTGTTCAAGGTACTTCTTTTAGTTCAAGTAACATTTGACAGGTGTAAAACTGTAGACAGACTGATACAAACGTATTCTAATTGACTCAAAATTATATGGGACCTATTTTAAAATCTAGATTTTAAAATGTCGTGTCAACATACACATGTTCTCCTTGTGAAATAATTGTTTTTTATTCTCTGGATAGAATAATTTAATCTTTAAACCTTCCATTCACTCTTAGAAACAATATATTACATAAGGATATGCTTATAAAAATAATTCCCAACTAGCTTTTCAGTTCAGAAATATATGTGAAGAATCATCAAACATCTAATGGATTTCAAGGAGAAATGGGTTAGTAATTTATTCCATATGTCTCAATTTTTCCTAGACTCAAGGCTTCCTTTAAAATAATTGTAGGCATTTAAGAAACCATGCAAACTAAAAAGAAGAAACTGTGACGCTGCCGCTTAGGCTTTTTAAGTCTTTGGACATGATTCAATATATTTTTTAAATTGTATCTTAATTAGACATTGTGAGTTCACCATCTTCCTGTCAATACAGCATCCAAGCTGATTATCATAGATTACAAGTTCAACTATCAACTGTGTTCTGAGAGTCTAAAAAAATAAATGAACGTATTTGTTTGGGTATTCTTAAAGCAGGAGTGAGGACACAGCGAAAGTGAGACAAGGAAAAGAGAACAAAATAAAACAGGAAAGACAGAAAAGCCAATACCACACGTGTTAAGAGGTAAGTTCCTGTGTTAGATATCTGGGCTTAATTTTATGGGAAGCTATGTGGAGCATGCCTCAGAATTACATCACTGAATCCAGGGAGATTCTTCTTAGTTACCCTCACCTTTTCTTCCCACTTCATGCCCAGTAACAAGCTCCCGTGCTGCTAGAGAAAGTCCTCAGCTAGAAACTGGTGCAAATTCTGGAGATGAGACCTTGTAGAGTGTTAAGAATGGTTTTCTTCCCAGCAGCTACAGCTAAGGAATAGGGGCTGGGCTATGAATACATCTGCTACAAACCAATAAAGCCCTTATGCTCCTTTTGGTGATCGACAATGTATTTAAAAATATTAGATGATCAAGAAGGGCTGCAGAAAGGAGGAAACAGAAACAAACAGCACACCTCTTGGTTTATTTTTTTTCATTTCATCAGTTTCAAGGAAAATATGTTGGGAGTTCCTGGCATAGAGAATGTCACAAAGACATGTTTTCAATAGTAGTGCTATCCCGAGGGCAGAGAAGACCCAGAGAAAGCCCAAGTGGCTGCTGGAACAAAATCAGACACCGTGCCACCTGTCCACACTCCTTGGCTCTGCCATCATGCTGAAGATCGCTTTAAAGGACTGGCTTCCCTCCCCCCAAAATTAAAAGAGCACAGACTGAGAAACTGAATGTGGGAGACAGCAGTGGATTATGCTGTTCTCAGGGGTCACCTCAGGTTTGGAAGCATTCTTTCAAATTAACCCATCTCAGGCCATCTGCAGAGAAGAAAGGTGGTACCTAACTTTTTTTCTTGTCGGCATTTGGTAGGGGTGTTTTATTGACCAAATATGTTCCCACAACCTCGTTTTTTGTGACTAACTAAATATAGTAGAGTTTTAAATTTTATCATCAAAATCTATAGACAATTTTTGATGAAAATAGACTCCATCTCTATGTCCTGCTTTTCTTCTTCTTATTAATTACATTGCTGTATAAAAGAACAAGACTTCAGCATCAAGAATATCTTGTCTCTTGGCATTGAATTTATACAAGGTGCTCTTTCTTTAATGCTGTCTCAAAGGACATATTTTTACTCATTAAAAAGGAAGATCGGAATCTAGTTGTATGCACTGCTCCAACATATTAATAATTAAAATTAGGAGGTAAATGTGGTCAAAGCTATAGAAAGACGGAGATGTCATTTATATGGATTACTCTATAGCACTCTACAAACAGAAATTGTTAAATAATAGTTTATATAAATATTTTGTAGCATTTCAAATATTTGAGTGCTTGAAGTTTCTCCTCTTCTATAGTTCAGATTATCAATTTGAAGACTTACTCCGCTAGTTAATATGTTTTTAGTCTCGTTTGAGTATTATATAAAAGCAATTTTCAGTTAAATGTGTTCCGCTTACATAAAACGTTACAAATTATTGAGGATTTAATTACTTATTCATGTTCCTGTAATGTCTTTAGAAGATTTTCTTATTATTACCTATCAATATATGTATGCTTTGTCAAAGAAAAATCAAACATATATATCATTGAAATTGAAACTTTTTAAAAGTACTTATTAATTCTATTGAAAAACCACATCCATAGGAACAATTACAATATAATATTGTGAACATGTAAACATATACCCTATGTCTATTTTATGTATAAGCATGTATGATTAAAAATATAGTGAAGAATTTTTAAACCTAGTATTATAAAGTAAAAATTAGTTAACTTCCGATGATTATTTGTTAATTAAGATAAAATTATTTTGATTTGGGTGATTTTAAATAAAGAAAAATATTAAATTACATGACAAAAATTCTTTATAAAATGTTTATGATTTTTACATTGGTTTTATCACTTTTCCCACTATTTTATTTTAAGATGACCTGCCTTGTTTAAAACACTGTATTCATCTTAGTTAAATTAGATTCCATTTGTAAAATAATTAACAAATGATTTGCTCTATTGTACAGTGCGGTTATAAACTGAGTCAGTATCTCAAGATTTGATCCCCATTATCATCATCTGTGGCCCTATTTGTTTTATAAATGTGTTGTCTTTTTCCATGCCTGTCACATCTCTATTGCTCTTTCATTTTTCTCTTTGTCCCTTATAGGGAGCATTGCCTATCTCTAGATTAAGCAAAAGTTGCATCATAAAAAAGCACAATAACCTGCTCAATCTTTCTCACACAGAGAAATGTTTGTTAAGTAATTAAAGTGTAGATGATGATACAAAGAGCTTGATTAAATTAGATGCCAAAGTACCCTTGTGATTCAGAATATGAATGGTATTTAATTTCTTTGAAATCATTAATTGCTGAGTGAGATTAATTAATGCCAATATTCCAGAAGATGTTCTACTTAGTGAAATGTATACAACGAAAAGCACAATAACCTGCTCAATCTTTCTCACACAAAGAAATGTTTGTTAAGTAATTAAACTGTAGATGATGATACAAAGAGCTTGATTAAATTAGGTGCCAAAGTACCCTTGTGATTCAGAATATGAATGGTATTTAATTTCTTTGAAATCATTAATTGCTGAGTGAGATTAATTAATGCCAATATTCCAGAAGATGTTCCAGTCAGTGAAATGTATACAACGTGCAAAAGATTCAGAACTCTGAAGGGCAACATTATTCTATAATTAAGAATTAAGAATTAATTCACATTAATTACTGGGGAGAAATACTTTTTAAGAATTAATGACTGAGAAAATGTTTTTATTTTTTATTTAGAAAATTATTTTGTGCATGAGCATTACCGCAAGTTTTGCAAGAAACATAAATTTAAAGAAACAATTATGTGCACAAGATGAATTTAATAACATCTTGATATATTCCACGATTGCGGTTTTATTTGGTAAATCTTTCAAGGCACACCATTTAAAGAGAATAAATGAGTCTTGGAAATCTTGTAGGTAAGGGTAAATATTAGGATGCATCCAGTTACATTTACACACACATACAGTTACATTTACACACACATACACGCATACAGACTGAGTCACGTGTGTGTATATATATATATGAATTTACCAATTGATGTTAACTAATATTTATAAGAGCCAGTTGGATTGATATATATTGTTGAACCTGAAAAATATTTATTATATACATGTTTAAAATACACACAGAAATAAATAGCAATTGCACTAGGCATTTGAAACTGTACTAAAATATAAGCTGTGAACATTTTGTGATCATTACAAATTCTTACACTGAATAAATATTTTTATTTTTACAATATTAATATGTTTGATACCTGTGTATATTTTTTTACAATGTGTTATTTTATTTTTGTCATAGAGTCATGTCATGCATAATAACATTTTAGTCAAAGATGGATTACATATACAAAAGTGGTCCCATGAGATTATAATAGATATTTTTACATACTTTTCTACGTTTAATTATGTTTAGATACATAACCTCTTACCACTGTGTTCTTATTGCCTGCAGTATTCAGTACAGTAATGTAGTGCACAGATTTGTAGCCTGGGAGAAAGAGGCTATACCATATAACCTAAACGTGGTAGGCTGTACAATCTAGGTGTTTGTAATACTCTCTGTGATGTTTGCAAAATGGTAAAATTGCCTACGAATACATCTGTTAAAACGTATCCCTATCATTCAGTGATGTGTGACTGTACTAAAATGCTCAATGTAAGTTTCAATGCCCTCCATAAAATTGTTGTACTGTGAAATACAAATCTCTCACCCATGGCCTGAATATGTTTGCAAACTAAGCAGATCATGGGAAGGAGAATGTGCTGGCACCGCTGGGATGATTTTCTCACTCTACATGAATAATATCTACAGACTTCGTGAATATGAGCCACTTGCATAGAGTTAAAGTAGGCATCTCTTTGCTGGGAAAATTATCAAATGGGAGTATGAAGTGTTTTTACAAGATACTCGTTTGTTTGTAGCTGGTAGGCCTACAGTGGCTCTTGGTAATGGTTGAGGTTGCTAAGATTTGGTGGAAGAAGGCAAAATGAAATGGCCACTTATATGGTATATGGTATATGGATCACTTATTTCTGTTGAGTTACAAACTCAGCTGGCTATTTCTCCTATGTTAGTTATTTGGAGAAAAAAAAACGTGATGGTAATTTTGGGGTAACAAATACAATATTTGATGAAAGCAAATTTATTGAGGGTTAGACAAACTACAAGATACTTTAGGCTACAAAGTCAACACGAGAGTTCTGGCCCAAATTGTGCAGAGTTTGCGTCCAGCTGCACAGTTCAAAGGAAGAGGCCATGTAAGAAGATTCTCACTTCTGACACCAACTGCCAGTTCAGGGATTTCCCCTGAACACCCTCAGTTTCAAGAATTTACTAGAAAGACTCACAGAACTCATTGAATGCCATTGTACTCATGGTTTATAATAGAGAAAGGGTAGAAATTAGGACCAATAGAAGAGACATATCATATAAGGTGGAATCTAGGAGATTTTGAAGGTTAAGTTTCCATTGTCTTCAGGACATATTACCTGTCATTGTTGTACAGCAACAAACATGGAGTACTACCAACCTGGGGAGCTCACCTGATGCTAAGAAGACACTATTTACAAAATGAAAAGACAAATGAAAGGATGAGATAAGATGACGTTCCACATTAAGGCACTGGAACGAATAGCAAACTAAACCTAAAGCAAGCAGAAGGAAGAAAATTAAAATTAGAGAAATTAATAATTTATAATAATAATATTTGTTAGTGTTGAATAATTGATATTAATTCTTGACTAGCTTTTTTAAAAAAGAGAAATATTCACTTTCCAATTTATTCTGTGGGGCCAGTGTTACTTTGATACAAAAATTAGTCCAAATAGCATAGAAAAATAAAACTATTATAAGTATAAATGCAAAATTCCTTAAAAAATACTAACAAATCAGATCTAGCAACATATAAAAGAATTATACACTATGACAAAGTGAAATTTATACAAGTAATCCCAGGTTGGTTTAACAGCCCAAAATCCATTAAGGTAATACATCTTATCCATAGAATAAGAAAAGAGAATTCATGATCATCTCGATAGATTCGGAAAACACATTTAACAGAATCCAAATGCTTTAATGATTAAAAATAAAAATAAAAACTCAATGAACCAGGAATAGAGAACTTTCTACACCAGATACATGGCACCTGTGAAAAGCCAACAGCAAGCAGGCAACTTAATGGTAAAGGATGCTTTCCCGCTATGGTCAGAGATAAGAATAGGATATATACTTTGACCTCTTCTAGTCAACACTGTACTAAAGATTTTATGCAGGGCAAATCGGCAACTAAAATAATAAGAGTCACCCATATTGAACAGGAAGAAATAAAACTTTATTTGAAAATAACATTGTTGTATATAGAAAATTTTAAGGAATCCACCGAACGATAGAACTCGTAAATTATTTCAGCAATATTACAGCAGACAAGGTAAATGTACAAAAATCAATTACACACATCTTCAATGAAAACCCCAAAATGAATTTAAGAAAACACTTCAATTTAAAATAGCATAAAAAAAGAAACATTAATTAATTTGGAAAATGTGATACAAGATTTTACTCTGAAAATTAAAAATTATTGTTTAAAGAATATTTAAATAATTAGTAAACACCTTACACCCATGAATTGGACGATTTGATATTGTAGTACTTTACAATTTGAACTACAGATTTGATGAAATCCCTGCAAGTATCCCAACAGACTTGTGTCTAGAAACTGACAAGCTGATTCTAAAATACACATGAAATTGTAAGGGTCTCAAAATAGCCAAAATAATCTTGAAGAAAGAAAACATATTAGGATAATTCACACCCCATGCTCCAAACCTTACTGCAAAGTATCAGTAATCAAGACAACACAATATTGATGAAGGAAAAATATATAGATTGATGGAAGAGAATTGAGAGTCCATATATAAAACTATGTGTCTACAGTCAATGGATTCTTAAAGTGGTGCCATGTGCAATTCAATGAGGAAGAGACAGTCTTTGAACACACTGGGTCAACAACGTACACGTGGATCACCACTTGCAAAATAATAAATTAGAACCCTTACCCCAAAGCATACAAAAATATTAACTCAAATGAATTAAAGACACACATGCAAGAGGTAGAATAAAGCATATGGGAAAATCTTCAGGATTTTGGATCTAGCAAAGAAATAGCTGTAACCCCAAAAACATGAGCAACAGAATAAAAATTAGATATTTAAAATTTCTTAAAAATTAAAGACATCGGTGTTTCAGAGGACAACCAAGCAAGTCAAAAGGCAGCTCCAAAATTGTGAGAAGATATTTGAAAAACACGTATCTATATGTCTGTATATATATATGTATCTTGAATATAGAAAAATTGGTTTAACTCCGTCACAAATATCCCAACTCAAAACTGATAAATGATAGGAATAGATGTGTTTCCCAAGAAGATACATGAACGGTCAATAATCCCATAAAAATATACTCAACAGCATCACTCTTCAGGCAACTACAAATCAAAACCACAGTTAGATACTCTATGGCTAGAACTGGCCACTTTGGAAAATAATTTGATGGCTTCTAAATATATGAAACATAGAATTGTCATATGACCCAGAAAGTTATTCCTAGGTATACACCCAGATTATTGGAAAGAGGTGTTCAAACACAAATTGTACACAAGTATTTTTAGCAGCAGTACCTAAAATAGCCAAAGGCTGAACACAACTCAAATGTCAATAAAAATATTATTGGATAAACAAAAGGTTATATCCATGAAATTGAATGTTATACAGTTATAAAAAGAAATAAAGTACCAATACGTACATGAACCTTGATAGCATTATGCCAACTGAACGAAGCCGGGCAGAAAAGGCCACCTATTGTACGATTCTATTTAGATGAAAACAGAATAGGAAAATCTATAGAGACAGAAAACAGATTTGTGGTTGCTTAGGATTGAGTAGGGGATGGGTGCATAGGAGGTTAACAGCTAGGGAAGGTGGGGTTTCTTTTTGAAGTGATGAAAATGCTCTAAAATTCATTGTGATGGTGGCTCCACTTATCTGTGCATATACTAAAAGCCACTGACTTGTAGACATTAATGTGTGCACTCTACACTATGTAAATTATATCTCAATAAATCCTTTCAAAAATACACAGAAGAGTAAGGGGTTTTGGAATGTTGCAGCTGGGATGCAGTTTGAAATACTGAATAGGCCTCATCGAGAATGTGAAGTTTCAGTAAAGACCTGAGGAAGTTGAATGAGCTGATCAATGGATATATGGAGGGCTATCTTTCCAAGCCAAAAAATTAACTAGAGTCTTGATCATAAGGCAGCAGCATGTTGGTATGTCCAGAGGACAGTGAGGTGGCCAGGACCACTGGTAAGATCAAGGGTGAAGATATAAAAGAACTTTGGCGGTTAACATGAGGCAGATGATGATGGGCTTGCAGACCATTGTAAGAAATGTTGTTTTTAGTGTACATGAAATGGGGAGACAACTCATTATCCCATTATCAATATTTTAATAAATTGGATCCATGAACCAAATCCAATGAGATTAAATCAATTAATAATAATATGCAAATTTGTATTAAAATTACAAGAATTACTTGCACATTTGAGAACAGGAGAGACATGATTTTTATCAGCAATAATAAACATTATTAATTTTAATTGTGATCAGCTAATTGAGATTAATTGCAATACATCTTGATTTATAATGTGACTGTCAAAAGGAAAATATGATTGTAATCTTATACTACATCTATCAATGTCTTTTATTCATAAGAGTATAGAGTAAGCCCCTAGTTTTCAAAGCCAACCTATGAAGCAGTGACATCTTATGCAAGTTTGCTGCTTTCTGCCACAGTGATCCTTGGTCAGTGGGCACAAATTGTTTACAAAGGCCCCTAGGTCTAGAAATAGTTTGGATCACAATGAACACAGAAACACCTTCATCCCTTCAGAAATACCCATCAATTACTTCCAATACAGAATGAAAAACTGACAAAGGAAATATGTGGATTGTAAAAATGCCAGTTAGCTTGCAACTACATGAAAGAAAAACGCCATTTTTATTACATTAGGTCATTGTCTCACATGAGTTTTGGTATAGCAAAATGTTGAACCAAGGGAAAAGAGAGATGAATTAATGAAGTCTTAAGATATCAAGAATTTGAAAGAAAAGGCAGGTCATCTTTGAAGGTTAGTGACATAGCATTCATCTTCTGTTGTCACCTTTCCCGTCATTCCCTGTATGCCTGACGGACAGGTTACACTCAAGTTCAGAGAACAGCATGCAAAATTACCTACCAATTACTCTTTAGGAAGTGAGCTGCATTTCTAGCCAGACTGAGCTTACGTTTTAGCAGGAAGCATTTTTGAGAAATGTTTATGTTAGACTTTGCTCTTCTTGACAAGGTGAGACATAAACGTCTACTTTATAGACATGAATTGAGATGGGAAGATATTTGGGGGAATCATTTACTCAAACGCTAAATAATAAAGGTACACAAAGGGCAAATTATACTAGATTTCTTTCCCACTTGTTTTCTATGTCTCATGCAATTCACCTTGATTCCCTTCAGTTTCTGTTTAATGTAGAAAGTGGCATTTTCATTATTTTAAGCTTCTAGCACAATGAAAGAATTTCTCTTTTTCATGAACAGGATCATACATGAAAAGGAGGAAGAGTGTCCTATATCATATTTATTGTTCAACAAAACACTGCTCCACGGCTTAAATTCAGTTTAAAAAAGAGAATTTGTTGAACATCTAACACATACATAAAAGGCAGTAAAGACACATGAGAAGAGGGCAGGATATTGAAGTATACAGACTTCAATGCTGAGTTTTATATCTTAGGAAGTTACTCCACCTGACAGAAGCTCAATTTCCCCTGATTTAGGAAGGCGATGCTAATGGGTATTGCATAGGTGTAAGTATAAAAATGTTGTATTTAAGAGAAACCCACAAGCTTGGTATAAGGCAGAAAATAAATAGATGCGACATGAATAAGTAGTTTATTACATTTGTATGCTACCTGCGGACTAGAGGAAGCAAGAAACACAGCCACTATGCTTGATTAGCATTATAGAGATGGTACGATGATGGTTGCCAGAAGCTGGGGGGAGGAGGAAATGGGGAAGTATTGTTTAATGGGTATAGAGTTTCAGTTTTACAAGATGAAACGAATTATGGAGATGGATGGTAGGGACGGCTGGACAATGTTATGACTATATTTAGTACCACTGAACTGTACACTTAAAATGGTTAACAGAGTACATTTTATGTTATGTGTATTTTACCACAATAAAAAAATAAAATACCTTAGGAACATTTTCATGAAAAAGCCCACATAAAATTCATTTTAATGCACGTGTTTATGCATAGCTTTCTATTTTTCTCTTTTCTCTTTATATTCCAAATTCTAATCAGAGAAGGGAATCCCCTCTGTACCTCCAGGATATTCAGTAAAGACCACTGGAGGTCCATGCCCTAGTGACAGTGCTCATTTAACTCCAAATTACAGATGGCTCTAGACTAACTCAACAAAGTTTAAAGAGAAGATTTAAAACAACAGACAAATACTCATCCTGAAGTTACTGAACTGCCTGTCACAACATTATTCAAAGGTAGCCAATAAAATCTAGATATTCAATAGCATAACATCAAAATACCCAAAAAAAAACTCTGAAATGCAAAGAAGCTGTAAGACATATATAATTAAAATATATATTAACAGGATAAAAATAAGTCATTTATAAATGACAGACAAGAAGGAAATTTCAAGATCCTTAAAGTAAATATATTTTATAAATACATATAGATAAATACATATATATGTCAAGGTACTTAAATGAAAATTAAATATAGGAGAAAAATAAAAGTTATAAAATGAAAAATGTGACATATATAGATGAAAAATAAATACTTGAAATAAAAATTCCATGAGATAGAATAAGTAATGGATTTTACCCTAACATCAGAACATTTATAGAACAAATTGGAAGCATTACAAACTAAAGGACAAACGGTAAACTAAAATAAGAAAACCAGAAACTCACTCATAGGTCAGACAATGTGCATCAGTGTAACATACATGTAGTCAATATCTCAAAAAGGATGGGTGGGGTAATCATAGGTGAATAAGGAATGGTACACTCATTCCTGAGGGCACCGAGGAGGGAGGATAGCTTTAGATTTCTAAGGGAGAGTTTTATCCATTCATGAAGGTCCAACCCCATGACCAAACACCTCCCAGTGAGCCCCACCTGCAACATTGAGGATCAAATTTTAACATGAGATTGGAAGGGGCAAGCATTCAAACCATAGCAAGAGTTAAATTTCCTTTTTAAAAAATTCACTGATATGATTCCATTTCGCCATAGATAAAAACTAGTATTTCAGCCTACCATTGAGTGTGCTTATAGCTCACCAAAAGGGCACTCAGTCTCGGGAATACAGATTTGCATAGAGGTATCCTATTGCAGTCAAAGAAAGAGCAATGAGGGATAGAAAAGGTTAGTGATGGAGACACCAGCGCTGCATTTTGCAACAAACAATGTAAAAACTTTATGGATTGGTTCTGTTAACTTACTTCAGTTTACATTCCTCTCAGGTGGGAGAATCGTTGCGTTTTTTCTTAAGATAGAAAAGCAATTCAGGTAATCTGAAATCTCCACAAGAAGGATAAGAAGCACAGCAGAAACTATTCTAGGCAGGAAGTCAATCCTTTCAACTGTCTGTGCTCCATAGAAACAATTGTCTGCACTGGGAGTCATATGAGGTACAGACAACAGCCAGACCTCTGATCCTCTCATTAGTGATTTCAGAAGAAATTACCAGTCAACTGAGTAACTCACTGAGTATAGTAAACATTTGGCACTGAAAGAGGTTAGATGAATAACTATTTGTATCACCATATTCATGAAGCTGGAATATGTTCCATTACTGGTATCACATCCGAATGGAAGATATTAAAAGGTCTCTCATCTTGTAAGATAGATATGAAAGAATATTTTCTGAGAAATGAAATTATTAACACACCTGCGAGGTGCATGGAAGAGAAAAAAAAGAATAATCACCTTGAGATCTTCTCCTTGATAAGAGAACTCACTAAAAACATAAAGAGAAAAATACAAGTTTAAAATAATTAACCAGAAGAAGATGACTCTAGAGATTTTAAATTGCTGATAAGATTTTAATTTGCTCCAAGTTGAAAATAATTATATTGCTTGTGTTTTAAGGCACATAATGAGCAATTATATCACACAGGATAGTTTCAGCAGTAAAATAGTATCCGTTAACAGCTGGAACTCATAAAAGCATAGCACAATGTGAAGATGGAATTTGCTAAAATAAACCATCTGCTGAAAACTGCTATTCTGCAAATTTAAAAATAAAGTTTAAATGTTATTTGTCTTATTTAATAGGTCTGTGAAAAAAATGCGCTATTTGGAAAGCAGCTGCTACCTTAATTCTTTATATTAGACGGCTGGTTACAATAATGCACAGTAAGGTGCTACATAGATATATTGCTAAATTTTCTGCATATACTATGTATTTGGCTTAAATTAATTGAAATTTTATTGTTAAAATAACAAATGTACATTTCAATGTTTTGACACAAATTGCAAATATACCTTTAAAAAGCGTCTTACACTCTAAATATTATTTGTCACCTATATGTTTGTCTTTTCTCTATAGGAAAATTTAAATTTTTCCCTTGAAGCTTTAATTATTTGAGTCTATAAAACAAACTGATAATGTACAAATTAACAGGAAAAAAAGGTTTACAGATATGTGCACAAGTATGCACTTGGAGTTTACATAATATATATATTATATCTATACAAATATTTGTATATTATAAAGAGATATACAAATATATACTCTTTATATAAAAACTCCAGGAAAGGCAAGGTAGTCAACACGCCTATGCTGTCTTGAGGTTGCAGAAAACACAGAGCTGTAGGTTGGTAAATCAGGCTTTGTGGAAGACAGGTGACGACAAGGAAGAAAGAGGAGCCTGGCAGCAGAGGTGGTCTTGTTACATGGATGAAACCTCACAGGGAGCAGCCCTCCTCTTGGGAAGTATAGATAGGAAATGGCTTTTAGAAATGTAAACGTGCCAGGCTCAGTTAATCATTCCTATACCCAGACAAGGGAGTATCTCAGGGAAAGCCTGTCTATATCAATGCAGATTTTCTCTACAAATGCAAATCTCCCCAACAAACACAGCTTTTCAGCTATTCTTGTAGAAGAAGCTATCTCCAGTCTTCCGAGTAGCCATCGTGAAATATGTCAAAAAGCTGGCCAGGCGCATGCCTGTAATCCCAGCACTTTGGGAGGCTGAAGTGGGTAGATCACCTGAAGTCAGGAGTTGGAGACCAGCCTGACCAACATGGTGAAACGCCGTCTCTACTAAATACAAAAAATTAGCCGAGTGTGGTGGTGCATGCCTGTAATCTCAGCTACTTGGGAGGCCGAGCTAGGAGAATTACCTGACCCTGGGAGGCTGAAGTTGCAGTGAGCCAAGATTGTGCCATTGCACTCTAGCCTGGGCAATAAAAACAAAACTCCATCTCAAAAAAATAATGTATTTTAGGGTAATATTTTGAGTATCTTTACCTCCATATGTACAATAAAAATTATTGCGATTTTTAATCTTTTCTGTGGAGAAAACACAGGTGTGATTTCTAGTGTAGCTGAACATCGTTTATTTGACAGTATTGCACTTGTGTGTGGGTGTGTGCGTGTGTAGCTACTTTTTAATTTGGTTCTCACAAAATGATTAGATACTAACAATTAATTCAGTAAAATGTATGTTTTGCAATATTTCTCCATGTTATTATGCTTTAAATTAGTTTAATCATGCCCCTATAATGTGTACATTTTAACCTTTGACTATAGCTCTCAATCTTACTTTGGTTCCTGTATTTGAATTTATGCTAATAAAGTCCCACAGCTTAATAAGATTACATAAATTTTTTGTATAATTTTTACTAGCATTCTGGTGTCATTTTAAATTATGTAATGAAATCCAATTTTAATTTGGATTATTCTTATCTGAGTTAAGGATATAAATTTTTAATTTTCTTATAAATATTACATAATTATTTCTGAACCATACATTGACTAATCTGCCCTTTATATGATGTGTATTATAAGAGCTTGGGATCGTTTCATTTGCAAAGATGAATGCTTGAGAAGTAGATATTTAATCAGAACATTTCAAAATCTACTGGATAACCTAGAATTGAAACATAGCCTATAGGTTGAAAAACTCCTGTAGTGAAGAAAGAAAATAACTAATATACAGTGACAATATAAATATTATAAGTATTTATTTTATTATCACCCTGAAATTTGATAATACAAACATGTAATATCTACATATCATCCATATATCAGGTCATAAAATATCAATACATTCTTCAAAAATTTAGCATAACAGAAAATGCACTCTCTCTCCTTGATGGAATTAAGTTACAAATAAAAGTAAAAATAAGTAGATAAGTAGATGGAAGTAGATGTTTAAAAACAAAGAAAAATATTTGTTTTGGATAACATAAAATCTCAATTGACAATTCCAATATTTCCAGAACTTTGCCTGTCAACTGGTGGAGAGTTTTCCCCAGGAGACATTTGTCAATGTCTAGGGTTATCGTGGGGATGTCAAGACTGGTGGAGGTGTGAAATTTAGAGGTCACAAGAAACACCTAGCATTGCTAGGGCAGCCTCCCACAACAAAGAATCCTCTGGTCCTAAAGGTAAGTAGCACCAAGGTTGAGAAACCATAATCTAGACAGGAAACACTACGTAGCTATTCCAAGTGCTCAGGAAAACACATCAGTGCCCTCGAGGGGAAAAGTGTAAACATTTTAATTGCTGTACATGGTGACACAAATCCATGTTGTTAATCTAAGTGGAAGGGGCTGAAGCACAAAACGTAATTCAAAGAGTTTACTTAAGCCACAGTGAGGACAGCTGCCTGGAAGAAACAGACCCAAGTATCCTTGGATGTGAACTCCCTTTGGAGCTTTGCAACAAGCAGTTTCTTAAAGGTAAAAAAGGGTCCAGAAGTGGGATGATGCAAAGAGGTTTGTCACAAATTCTCATTGGCTTATGGAAATAACATTTATTAGTGACTGGCTATACACGGTTACACTATTATGGGGTGTGGATTATAGTGTCTGGTGTGGCGTTATTGGTTAATTCATAGCTACTGTGGCAACAGCAAGGAGCCTAGATGAACACACAGCTCAAAGAGGAGCAGGACAGAACTGCTGTCTCATTTGAATATCTCTCTGGGCCTGATTATTTCAAAGGACTTGCATTTCTCACATGAAAGTTATTTTCTTTTCTCGATGTCCATAAATGAGAATAAATAGACGTAAAATAGATCTTTTCGAGGATGAAGTAAATGGAATGAAAAACAAAACCCAAGCTGACCAGAAATCATAGAGGGAAGAAAAGGATATAAATATATGTATTTTTCAAAGTGATTTTAAGCTATTAGGAATCAGTTAAATGTTGGGGGAATTTGTCTGATAATGGGCTAAAGGAGAATGTCCCTTTTGCCTTCTGAAGTCTCCCTGAAAATCACTAATAGGAGGCAGATAAATAGTAGAAAAGGCATACAGGTTTCTGCAATGTGTGTACACTGGAACCCTTAGAACGAAGACCCAGTCACACGATGCGTGCAGAAGCTTATCTACCACATGAAGTTTACAGAAAAATGGGGTCTTGGATCACAGGGAAAAGAAAGAAAAAGGTTATGTGAGAAAACGACCCTGGCTAGCAACAGTGGACTTATTACACAGGTGGAATCTCACTGGGAGTAGTCCTCAGAGAGAATAGACAGAAAATGTTTCTTTCAGACCTTTGGAGACCTCAGCCTCTCAGTTAACCTTTCCTAGATCCAGACAAGGGGGCAGACCTCAGAGAAAACCTGGCTGCATCAGGGCAGATTCTCTACCGATGCAAATCTCCCCAAGACAGCTTTGCAGCTAACTTTGCATTTCCAGCCCTTCTCAATAGCCATTTTGAAATATATCAAGGAAATATATTTAGGGGTAAAATATATTAGTTTCCTTCATACAGCTATAAAACATACAGGAATAATTTTTGTCAATGTCTACTACAAATCCAATATAGCAGTAACTATGAAACCCACCAGATATTGATGAAAAAATATGTAGAGTACCTCAATTACAAATGTTGATACTAAAATGCCAAATAAAATACAAATAATATCCAACAATATTTGAAACAATTAGACAAGAAATTGGCAAAAAAAAAAAAATCCACCTTCGGGATGAAAGTGTGTTTCCAAATTTGGTAATCCAGTAATATTAATAATCATATTGATTAGCCCAAATTAAAAATAAATAGGGGATTCTCAGTACATGCTATAATATATTTGTTAAAAGGCAATATTCATGTCTTTAAAGATTTTAAATGCTATAAAGAGTCTGATATTCTATATGCAAACATGTGTATGTCCATTAGAAGAAGAGAGGCCTGATTTTCATATGTTACTACATAGAGATAGAGAAGTGGATACATTAATTTACATATGCATAGAGAAAGCATAAAATAGAAATTGACTATCATATTAAAGGAATTTTAATTCAACAATAAAATAATTCAAGGTAAAATTTTAGAAATTTTTAACAGGTACATTATTAGTATTAGATAATATTTATAATAATTGTGAAAATATTCAGCGCTAAAATAAGATACAATGTCTAAACATCAGTATTAATACTAGTATAAATATTTGCTTGTTTATACAAGGAAAATTCAAGCTCGACCTAAAATTATAAGGGAAATAAAAGAAAAATATTAAGGGAGCTCTTTCACGACATAAACATATATATATAAACACACACATATAACATGTATATATGTTATATGGGATAGATATAGATTTAGCAGGTTATATCTATATTTGTATCTGTAACTACAGCTGTATGTATCCACATTTCTACATATTTACTCAGTGATATAAATATAGACTGGAATAAATATAAAGACATATATGATTCTTGGATAAAAAGGATTTAGTATCATAAAGACAAATTCTTTCCAAATTCACTTATGAATTCACAACAATATACAGTTTCATTAGTATAATTTAATATTTCTAAATAAATTTCAAGATTCATTTAAAGGAATATAAATGTATACAAGCAGTCAAGAAAGAAGCAAGAGGGCACTAAACTAACTTGCTATTAAAATACATTTTTAAACTTAGTCACTAAAACCGAGCAGTACTGATTTGGAGTACTGGAATTTAGGTGTATGAGATCTCAAAAGCACAGAGCTCAAAGGAGACCCCTGTATGCACGAGAGCTTAGGATGTGCTTTAGAAGGCATTACCAAACCACGGGCAAAGTTACCTTAGTGTCTTAGTCTTACTAGGTTTGAAAAGCCAGAGAAAAGACTCAAGACCACCATATAAGAGCAAAACAAAAGGACAGGGAGAGAATGTGAAGATACTGAAACATTTTACATAAAGTTCTATAAAACATATTTTAAAGAAAATATAAAGTTTTGGATATACATCAAAATCAGCAGAGCCACTAAATAAATAAATAGGCATTGTAAAATAACAAGAGAAAATTTAAACGGATTTCTAAAAAAATTGACACCTATGATTTTTAAAATATGTTTAAGAAATCCCATATTTCACAGGGCAGCCTTTCACAACACAGATATGTTAGGACATAAAGGTCCTTCTGTTTTTAATTTACTAGTGTTTATGGGGTTACAAAAGTCTTCTACCCTTGTCTTTTGTCTGATGGTGCAAAAAATTTTCATAAGCCTGTATTTCTGAATGCCTGATGGATTGACATATATAATAAGCTGCTAGTATTGAAATACGTGACATAAAACGCATCCAACCTTCTCACTGTTTACAGAAATTCTAGGTTTCTCCTATTTACCTCAAGCACATATGGAGCGAATTCTTACCTTTTAATATTGCCATGGCATTCACATTGAACATAAGTTGAACTCTCTCATATGGTAGCTGGGTTCGGATTCTCTTGACAATTTCCAGTTCTAACCCTCACACTTCCTCAGTGTGGTTGGCCCAGATATTGACCCTACACAGTTATCTCCTCGTGGTGACTACCAGCTATGGAACCGTTGGATACAACCTACCTGACTCACCCCACAGACCTCACAGCGCACATGGACAGCCCCCACACGCCACAGTAACCTGCTCGCTTGCAGCGGGAGTCAAGAAATGTGCCTGCTGGCACTCACCCCACCGACTAGTGCCCCGTGGAAAACTTATTTGGGTAATGTTCTGGGCCAAATAATGGCTGGAGTCCCACAGACCCCTTTTCTCTCTCCTGCTCCCCACTCATCTTCCCCATTTTGTTCAGCCCTATGAGGTGTGCTACTGTATTAGTCCATTTTCACACCGCCGGTAAAGACATGCCCAAGACTGGGTAATTGCCAGAAGAAAGAGGTTTAATAGACGAACAGTTCCACATGGCTGGGTAGGCCTCACAATCATGGTGCAAGCTGAAAGGCACGTCTCACATGGCAGCAGACAAGACAAGAGAGCTTGTGCAGGGAAACTTCCCTTTATAAAACCATCAGATCTTGTGAGACTTATTCACTATCAGAAGAACAGCATGAGAAAGACCTGCCCCCATGATTCAATTACCTCCCACCTGTTCCCTCCCACAACATGTGGGAATTCAAGATGAGATTTGGCTGGGGACACAGCTAAACCCTCTTCTCAGCTACCCTCTTCTCTCTGGATCTGTGAGTAATAAACCTACTTCTGTGATTTCCCATGTTTGGTTCTGTGGCCTCCATGTGTCTGAGCTGAGCTACACTAGAACCTAACTCTCCTCCTGGCCAGGGTCTCTGAGAGTGGCTCTTGTCAGAAATACACAGGACACAGGTCAGGCAACAGTCACCAGGCATCTCCTAGTCTCAACAGATGTTCCGTGAGAGGGAGGCCTGGTCGTGGGATGCACACCTGGCCACTGCTGGGGTAAGGAAGTGTCCTGTGAAAGGCACATGTTAAGCATCCACAACCCCCTGACCAGAACCCCAGAAAGGCAGGGCTCCAATTGACAGTCACTCTCCAGAGACAAACCTGAAGCCCTAACTGGAGGAAAAGACAACAATGTAAAAAGTTGAATTTATCTTACTATTTCAATGATCCAGTAAAGACATTCTATGCCTGTACACCACATATTTTCTTCGATTGTGGATTTATTTTAGATAGAATTTTAGGTCTGGCTTTCACTTTAGCCTGGTCCCTACCTCAAGCATAAGGTAAAGATTTTCCATGCGTTCTTTTCTGGTACTACTACCTGCCAGTGTGGGGTCATGTCCTAGTCTATCTTGAGGGAATCCCCCTGTTCATTATTGTCAGAGTGAGACTGTTAAGTCTTGATTTCCCTGGACAACTTCACTGCATGACTTTTAATATGATTTTTTAATATACCCTTTACTGGACAATAAATTCTATAGTTATCTGAGTAAGAGATATGCTCAGGAAGAGGCATTGCCTCATTCAGCTTTTCTCTTTGGTGAACTCGCATATGTTCTCCTCACCCGCCAGTCACCTCTAAACCGTATTGTTCCAAGACAACAAACAGAACTCGAGTGTTTATCTTTCACCACTGGATTTGTGTTTGCTCCATAAAGCTTCATGCTTAACAGAGTTTCTGTTAGCATTTTCTCAATTTATTTTCCCATAAAATATCACAGGCCTTCTTCTTATGGAATTATGGGTGATTTCCTTCAATCTGCATCATATCAAGTTGAGGTTCATGTTGATGAAAAGTAAAACATACGTTGAAAATATCAGTAAGGATGTTTTCCCCTCCTTTTTAGCACCTGTGCTTGTGATACAAGCACATTTTAATACAATTGTAGTCTCATGCTTTGATCATTCCTATGATGAAAATAACATTTTTAGATAAAATATCTGAGTTTTATGAGGCCTTTAGTATGTGATGTGATAGAATATCAGAAGACCATACATTTTTCTAGTTGTCCGTGCAATTCTATCATTGTTTCATCTTTACTCCTACCAGAGTAATTTTCCAAAATAGATATCCTGTCATTCCTCCTGTTGTTATCAGTAAATAAGTGAAATGAAAAGCTAGATTATATAATTTATCTAGAACAAGAAAGTAGAATTGAATCTATATTCATTAATGAGACTAACCAGTCAATTACACAGACAGGCATTTTACATTTTGAAGATCATATGGACCCATTGTCAGAAATATTATTATTTATGTCTATATGGACATCACCTGTGCATATTTACATAGAAATCAATGATAGTTGATGTTTATTTTTATTATATATATTTTTTGAGATGGGGTCTTTCTTTGTTGCCTAGGCTGGAGTGTAGTGGTGCAATCACTGCTCACTGCAGCCTCAGCCTCCCAAGCTCAAGCAATCCTTCCACCTTGGCCTCCCAAATGGCTAGGACAACAGGTGCACATCACCTTGCCCACTTTTTTTTTTTTAACTTTTGATAGAGACTGGGTCTTGCTATGTTGCTCAGGTTGCTTGTGAACTCCAGGGCTCAAGGAATGCTCTCATGTCAGGCTCTTCAACTGCTGGTATTACAAGCATGAACCACCATATGGGCTGGAAGCTGATTTTTAAAATACTGAGATCATATAGATGACAGCATCTGAAAAATAGACAACACCAAGTTTTACGTTAAAAGGTGTGAGGGTAGCAATATGGTTGTGGCTATTGGGGAGGAAACCATTAGTAAAACCAGTAAGTTAAAGCTCTTGCTTTAAACTTTGGCTATAATTTAACAAATGTTCTATGGAGTGACAGTATGTATGTAACCATGCTATACCCATTCACAGATGCAGTAGAGGGAAGAATTTCTCAAAGACAACTGTTCTAAGACTCAAATTAAACCGTCCTGGGTTTGAAAAGAGAAAGTCCAGGAATTACCAAATATTTTAGATATCAGATACAAGAGAATGCCAGGTATGCGATGATAATCAGCAATGGTTGTTCACACAATACATCAAATCAGTATTTGAATTAGCTTTTGAATTACAAGGACAAATGGATCAAGTCTAGACTCTTTAGTAGAGAAATCTTATCAGGCTGAGATGTGTTTTCCCTGATTTTCCACAAGGAGATTACTAATTTGGAAACCTCAGCTGCTCTTATTTTATGCTCTCACCAAGCCAAAAGCTGAAGTTCATCAATCAGTGTGTCTAAGTGTTCACTGGTTATATACCATTTTGTAGTTTCAGCTATCTTTCCAACTTCCTAAATCATCACCTTCATTTGATCTTGTTTTTTTCCACTATCACTTCTTTATTGACCATATAAAGAATATAAGTAAGTTCTTATTTTGTTATTGTTCATTTTAATCTAATTTCATCAAAAGATCACAATCTTTTAATTTCATTTTAATTTCAAAGATTAAATGAAACCTACATAGAAATGAGTGTAAGATTTGCATTTGCAATATTTTGGCATCAATTTGCTATCCTCCCTCATGCACATAGAGATCATTTCCATGTATGTGATTTCAAACATCCAAGGGCAGTATTAAAAGCAGTTGTAAATTATGGTTCTCATTTTCGTGATACAATTACAATATAAACTTCCTCTTGCTGCTGTAACCAATTACCACAAACTTCATATATTACAATAAAGTGACCGTTAATCCCACAGTTCTGTAGTACAGAAGCCTTAAATGAAACTCGCAGGGCTAACATCAAGTTTTGGGTAGGGCTGCAGTCTTTCTGAGGGCTATGTGGCATAATCTATTACTTGATATTTTTCAGCATCCAGAGGCCACCTTTATTCTTTGGAACATGACCTCATTCTTATATCCTATTTTTCTTTTTTTTTTTTCAGATGGAGTCTCCTTCTGTCACCAAGGCTGTAGTGCAGTGGCACGATCTCAGCTCACTGCAACCTCTGCCTCCCGGGTTCAAGTGATTCTTCTGACTCAGCTTCCTGAGTAGCTTGGACTACAGACACTTGCCACCACACCCAGTTAATTTTTTGTATTTTTAGTAGGGATGGGGTTTCACCATGTTAGCCAGGATGGTCTTGATCTCCTGATCTCGTGATAAACCCACCCTAGCCTCCCAAAGTGCTGGGTTTAGGCGTGAGCCACCCCACTGGGTCCTCATTCTTGTATCTTAAAAGTCAGTGATGTTGAGTAATTTCTCATGCCACCACCTCCAAGGTTGCCTTTCTTCTGCCTTCTTCTTTCACTTAAAAGGAAGGTTGTGATTTCATTGATCCCACCCATTTAAGACAATCTCTCTATCATTGTTCTGCAACCTTAATTTCACTTGAAATCTAATTTCACACTGCCGTGCAACCTAACATATTTGTATGTTAGACTCTGGGAATTAGGACATGAAAATTTTTGGGAGGCCATTCTTTGGCCTACAGCAGACATAGTCTATTTACCTGCAGATTAAAGCTTTCTATATGTTTCTGACTCCCTCTCTTAATTTTCTAAAATAATATTAATTACAGTAAAGAGAAAGAAAGAAAAGAAAACAAAGAAAGAAAAAGATGGAAGGAAAGAAGGAAGGAAGGAATAAAGAAAGAAAGAGAAAAGAAGGAGGAAATGAGGGAAGGATGGGAGGGAGGGAGGAAGGGAGAAAGGCAGGAAGGGAGAAAACAGAAAACATGAACACAAGAAAGAAAGAAGGAAAGAAAGAAAGAAAGAAAGAAAGAAAAAAGAAAGAAAGAAAGAGAAAGAGAGAGAGAAAGAGAGAAAGAAAGAAAGAAAGGAGGAAGGGAGGAAGGAAAGGAGGAAGAGAGAATGGTAAAAGGGAGGAAGGCAAAGAAACAAAGAAAACAAACAGGCGAAGGAAGGAAAGAAAAAGGGGAAAGGAAGGGAGGGAGGAAGGAAGAAAAAAGGAAAGAAAGCAAGAACGTGAGAAAGAAAGAATATGAGAAAAGAAGGAAGAAAAGGGAGGGAGAAAGGAAGGGAGGGATTAGGGAAGGAAGAATAAGAGGAAAGAAACAAAGAAGGAAAGAAGGAAGGAAGGAGAAAAAAGAAGGAAAAGAAAGAAAGGAAAAGAAAAAAGAAAAGGAAGAGGAAAAGAAGAAAGGAAGGAAGAAGGCAAGTGAAGGGAAGAGAAGAGAAAGGAAGATGGAAAGAAGTAAGGAAGAACGCAAATGTTATAAATTCTGGGTTTGTTAGAGAATATGCCATATTGTTTTTTTTTCACTAGAAAGGAAAGATTATCTGCCATTGAAGATTGGATGTCTTGTTGGTGATATTGTTGTTCTTAACTTCCACATGATTATTGAGTTTGTGCCTTGTCTTTCCATTACTAAGACAAAAGTGTTGAAGTCTGCAAATATAATTTTGATTTTTTCTAGTTCACCTTTGATTTCTTTCTTGTTTTACCTCATGTATTTGGAGGTTCTGTTGTTAGCTGCATACCCTAATTAGTAGGATGTTTACATCTTCTTGTATGTAATTGATGATTCTATTATGTATTATCTCTCATCTCTGATACTATTTCTTGTTCCGAACTCTGTTGTGGCTAATATCGATGTAGTCCTTCCACAGCCTTATTTTAGTGTTTCCATGATATGGCTTTCTCCATATCTTGATGATAACCTATTTATATCTCTATATATTTGGAGCAAGATATAAAATTTAGACCTGACTTTTTAAAGATTTTTCAAGATGTAATTCTTATTTCTTTTTGTTCTATTTGACATTCTCTGAGTTTCCTATATTTGAAGTTTGATTTTCTGTCACTTCTTTTACAATGTTTTTGGCAGTTATTTTGAAAAATATTTCTTTTGCTCCATTATTTTTCCCTCTTTTATTTTGGGATTTCAATCATAACTAGAGTAGGTAATTTGATCTCAGTCTTATGCAGGTACTTTTTCTCAGGGTCTCAGGAATGTAGCCTTCTCACACTTCTGTTCTTTTCCTGGCTGTGTTGGTGAGCTCAGTGATATTCCTCCTTCACCTCCTAGAGCAGGTTTGTTTTGTTTTTCTTGTTTTCATACTCCCAGCATCAGGATTATTCTAAGTGTGGCAGTTGTTGTTGCCTTCCCCTACATATTAAGTGGAATATCTTGCTCTATTTGGACTCTTATAACAAAATAACATAAACTGAGTGACTAAAAAGCAACAGATTTTTTTTTTCACACTTCTTGAGGCTGTAAGATCTCAGGTCAAGATGCTCACAAATTCAGTGTTGATGAGAGCCCATTTCATGGTTCATAGATAGTGCCTTCTTTCTATGTCCTCACGTAGTGGAAGGCACACAAGAACTCCATTGAGCTTCTTTTATAAAGACACTAATCCCATTCATATGGGCTCGACCCCCAAGATCTGGTCACCTCCCAAGTGTTCTGCTCTCCCTGATCTGTGTCATATACAGACTCTCTTGAATTCCTTACCAATTGCTTGAGAGATCGCATTGGGTTTGTTGGGAAAATGTTTTCAAGATGATGGATCTTTCCCAACTTCTGCAGCTGTCAGCGGTCTCCCAATCTCACCAGCCCCACTTAGTCTTTAGGAATTTATTGATTATTCCAGCTTTACTTGTCATAGTGGTGTCTATATGCATCTGTCCTATGTAAGTGCGTCTGTCCTTTTTCTCCTTGCAGGTGCAAGTACTCAGGAGTACACTGTTGTTACTAATTACTCAGTATTGGTTGGTATATTGTCAAAGATCAAAGAACATTTTTAAAGATAAAAAAAGTCTTGGAGGTTGTGTAATGAAGGGTTAATTCTGCAGACATGGCTTTCCAAAATCTTGCGCATTCCAAAGGTCTTCAGGACTGGCCCTTGACAAGCTCCTGGGAGATGTTAACCTATGAGCCCTTGGTATATGTTGCCTGATGTGAGTCTTTGCATACATGAAAACGTAGGTCATATCAAATAGCTGATGCTAACAACGTGATTTCTTGTGAGCACCTGTTTCTGTATGCCTATGACTTTGTGTAATGCCATATTAATATGACCTCTCTTAACGCATAGGGAGGTTGGGAACTGAGTAGCTATGTTCAGTCACAGGACGCTTGATGCATATGTGGTGGAATCCTAATAAAAATCCTGGACTCAAGACTGACTGAGCTTCCCTAGGTGGTAATAAGTTCACACATGTCTCACACCATTGTAAAGAAAATTAGTCAGTGTGAAGTCCCCACTATGAAAGGACACCTGTAAGCTCACATCTGGTTTGTCCTGGACTCAACTTTATGTGCTTTTATGCTTCTGATTATTTTAATCTGGTTTCTTTCACTGTTAGAAACTATAACCGCAAAAAAAAAAATCAGCTTTCTTGGGTTATGTGAATCATTAAGCCAAAGGGGGACTTGGGGACCCCCAATAAAATGTATATATATTCTTAAAAAGAAAAAGTAAACTGGCTATAGCAGATATTGCTGATGACTTGTCTTCTATGTCCTGGACTCAATGTGTTCATCTGAAATTCACCTGATTCCAGATAACTGAGAGCTCCCCACATCATGCCTGTCTTTCTGATTTTTGGGCCTGCCTGCAAGCTCCTTGAGGCTAACCAGTGCTTCTCAACCACACATAGGAACAAAGAAGGAGTTAGGGGTGGAGAGTTAATGATTCTAAGGCAATCCTTAAGCAATAAGACTTGGGGATTCCAGCATCCCCATCTCTTTGTAAAGTTATTTTGACACAATCTCCATACCTCCATCATTACTGAGCACACAGTAGTAACTACTCATTGACACTGGCTTCGTGTTCTGTTTCATTTTCTCCACTTCTGTGCTTTCTCACTCAATTTCTGATTAAAGTATCTGACCCCAGATATTTGTTTCATAGTCTATTTTTGAGGGAATCCAGAGCCAAGACAATAACAATGGGAGCTTTGCAATGAGGGAGGGTGAGTATAATCATCAGAAGTTTATCTACCTCACTGGGAACATGAAGGCCTGGAGAGCTTGCTGTTTCAATGAGAGAAACATGTTGAATCTCAGTTCAATACATATATATATATATATATATGTGCAATAAGACGTGCCCTTTATTTATATCAAAGGAAAGTGCTCTTTACCTCTCTTTGTTGTTGTGTTTTTATCACTATTGCCTACACAAGCAGAATATCATACCCAGGATTTAAAGCCCTCTCTGCAGGATTTTCAAGCTCATGTTTTTATCATAAGTCACTCTGCTTCCATGTGTTTTCAATCTAATCCTCATTCCTCTGCTTTTACACCAGAGAATTCATCACTGACTTATTTTTGACTGACCTCCTTATAGAGCTGTCAAGTACACAATTTCTGCTGTGACCTTTCTCTTAGAGTTCAGTCATATAGCCTCTCACTAGATATCATTTCCTCTTATCTTTCCTAATAATGAATTGTCAGTTAAAACTCAACATTTTTAAGATTGAGCTTACCATCTGCACACACACACACACCATTATTGGTGTATTCTCATAGCCTTGAAACACTAATGTCACCTTGATGTCTGCCTTTTCTCTCTCTGCTACCTCATTCCTCATCCTTAGATTGTTCTAAAAGATTCAATTAGATCAAATTGGCTAATTATATTTTTAAGATCCTCTCTACCCTTCCCAACATTTCGTTTAACAAAATTTAAACATTTCTGGCAGGAGACTGTTGAAATCCCCATGGATGACTATGGTTTTACTATTTTACCTTTCAGTTTTAATAGGTTTTATATTAAGTATTTTGAAGTAATGCTATTGTGTGCATACATATTTCTTATTTACATGACTTCTTGGTGTATTTTCCCCTTTTTCATTTTGAAATGTTATTCTTCATCCCTAGTGATATTTCCTGTTCTGATGTCTACTTTCCTCATCACAGTTTTAGGGAGTTTTGGTTTGTTTGTTTTTCTATTGTTTGGTTCAAGTAAGTTTCTTATAAATCTCTTCGATTCCATTCGATGATTCCATTTGTTTCCATTCGAAGATTCCACTCGATTCCATTCGATGATGATTCCATTCGAGTCCATTCAATGATTCCATTCGAGTCCATTCGATGACGATTCCATTAGAGTCCATTCGATGATTCCATTCGAGTCCATTTGATGATTCCATCCGATTCCATTCAATGATGACACAATTCAAGTCCCTTCATTGATTCCATTCAATTCCATTCTATGATGACTGCATTCGGTTCCATAAGATGATGATTCCAACGGATTCCATTCAATTTCTCCATTCGATTCCATTCCTTGCTGATTCCATTCAATTCCATTAGATGATAACTCCACTAGATTCCTTTCAATGTTGATTTCATTAGATTCTATTCGATGATGATCCAATTTCATTCTGTTCAATGATGATTCTATTTGATTCCGTTCAATAATTTCATTCAATTCCATTCGAAGATTCCATTCGTTTCCATTCAATGGTGATTCCATTCCTGTCCAATCATTTATTCCATTCGATTCCATTCGATGATGATTACATGTGAGTCCATTCGACGATTCCATTTGATTCCATGCGATGATGATTCCATTGAGTCCATTCGATGATTCCAATTGATTCCATTAGATGAGGACTGCAATCGGTTCCATTCGATGATGATTCTAACGGACTCCATTCGAAGACTCCATTCGATTCCATTCATTGATGATTCTATTTGATTCCATTCGATGATGATTCCATTCGATTCCATTCGATGATGATTTCATTGGAGCCCATTCGGTGATTCCATTCAATGATGATTCCATTCCAGTCCATTCGAGGACTGTATTCGAATCCATCTGATGATTGCTTTTGATTATATTCGACGATGATTCCACTCGAGTCTATTCGATGATTCCATTCGTTTCCATCCGATGATGATTGCATTCGATTCCGTTCAATGATTATTTCATTCGAGTCCATTCGATGATTCCATTCCATTCCATTCGATGATGATTGCATTCAAGTCCATGGATTATTCCATTCCATTCCATTAGATGATTCCATTCGAGTCCATTCGATGATTCTCTTCGATTCCATTCGATAATTCCGTTTGATTCCGTTTGATGTTGATTCCATTCGAGTCCATTCGATGATAATTCCATTCGATTCTATGTGATGATTCCATTCCATTCCATTTGAAGATGACTCCATAAGAGACTATTCGATGACTGCATTCAATTCATTCGATGACGATTCATTCAATTACGTTCAATGATTAAATTAGATTCCATTTGATGATGATTCCATTCGATTCCATTTGATGATGATTCCATGCGATTCCATTAGATGATGAATCCTTTCATTTCCATTCGATGATGATTCCATTCGTTTCCATCCGATGATGATTCCATTCGATTCCGTTCAATGATTATTCCAATCGAGTCTATTCGATGACTATATTCGATTCTCTTCGATGGTGATTGCATTCGAGTCTATGGATTATTCCATTCCATTCCATTAGAGGATTCCATTCGAGTCCATTTGATGACTACATTCGATTCTATTCGATGGTGATTGCATTCGAGTCCATGGATTATTCCATTCCATTCCATTAGATGATTCCATTCGAGTCCATTCGATGATTCTCTTCGATTCCATTCGATAATTCCGTTTGATTCCGTTTGATGCTGATTCCATTCGAGTCCATTCAATGATAATTCCATTCGATTCAATGCGACGATTCCATTACTTTGCATTTGAAGATGATTCCATTCGAGACCATTCGATGATTGCATTCAATTGATTCGAAGACGATTCCATTCAATTCTGTTCAGTGATTCCATTAGATTCCATTTGATGATGATTCCATTCGATTCCGTTTGATTATGATTCCATGCGATTCCATTAGATGATGATTCCTTTCATTTCCATTCAACGAGGACTCCATTCGGTTCCATTTGATGATGATTCCTTTGAATTCCATTTGATGACAATTCCATTCAATACCAATTGATGATGGTTATTTTTGATTCCATTTAATGATGATTACATTCGATTCCATTTGATCATGATTCCATTCGATTCCACTCGATGATTCCATTCGATTCCATTCAATGATGATTCCATTCGATTTCATTGACTATTCCATTCCATTTCATTTGATGATTCCATCGAGGAGTCCATTCGATGATTCTCTTTGATTCCATTTCAATAATTACATTTGGATTGCATTCGATAATTCCCATTTGGAGGGATAAATTCCATTTGAGTCCATTTCGATGATTGTTCCATTCGATTCTATTTCGGTGATTTCCATTCGATTCCATTTGATAAATGATTCCAAATCGAGACCATTCGATGATTCCATTCAATTCCATTCAATAATGATTCCATTCGAGTCCATTCACAGATTCCATTCAAGTCCATTCGATGATTCCATCTGATTTCATTCAATGAATCCATTAGATTCCATTCTATGATGATTCCATTCATTTCCATGGGATGATGATTCCATTCGATTCCATTCAATGATTCCATTCGATTCCATTTGATGATGATTTCAATCAATTTCATTCGATGACTCCTTTCGAATCCATTCGATTATGAGTCCGTCCACTTCAATTTCATGATAATTACATTCGTTTCAATTCGATGGTGTTTCCAATCGATTCCATTCGATGTTGATTCCATTAGTTTCCATTGGATGATGATTCCTTTCGAGTCCATTCGATGATGATCACATTGGATTTCATTCCGTAATTCTATTCGATTCCATTCGATGATGATTGCATTCGAGTCCATGGATTATTCCATTCCATTCCATTAGATGATTCCATTCGAGTCCGTTCAATGATTCTCTTCAATTCCATTCGATTATTCCGTTTGAATCCGTTTGATGTTGATTCCATTTGAGTCCATTCAATGATAATTCCATTCGATTCTATGCGATGATTCCATTCCTTTCCATTGGAAGATGATTCCATTCGAGACCATTCGATGATTTCATTCAATTCATTCGATGACGATTCCATTCAATTCCGTTCAATGATTCCATTAGATTCCATTTGATGATGATTCCATTCGATTCCATTTGATGATGATTCCATGCGTTTCCAATAGATGATGACTCCTTTCATTTCCATTCAATGAGGATTCCATTCGGTTCCATTGGATAACAATTCCTTTGAATTCCATTTGATGACAATTCCATTCAATACCAATTGATGATGGTTATTTTTGATTCCATTTGAAGATGACTACATTCGATTCCATTTGATCATGATTCCATTCGATTCCACTCAATGATTCCATTCGATTCCATTCAATGATGATTCCATTCGAGTCCATTCGATGATGATCACATTGGACTTCATTCCATAATTCTATTCGATTCCATTTGATGATGCTTCCATCTGACTCCATTTGATGATTCCATTCGATTCCATTCGATGATGATTCCATTAGATTCCGATCAATGATTATTCCATTCGAGTCCATTCGACGATTCCATTCGATTCCATTCGATGATGATTGCATTCGAATCCATGGATTATTCAATTCCATTCCAGTAGATGATTCCATTGGAGTCCATTCGATGATTCTCTTCAATTCATTCGATAATTCCGTTTGATTGCATTTGATGTTGATTCTATTAGAGTCCATTCGATGATAATTGCATTCGATTCTATGCGATGATTCCATTAATTTCCATTTGAAGATGATTCCATTCGAGACCATTCGATGATTGCATTCAATTCATTCGATGACCATTCCATTCAATTCCGTTCAATGATTCCATTAGATTCCATTTGATGATGATTCCATGTGATTCCATTAGATGATGATTCTTTCATTTCCATTCAATGAGGATTCCATTCGGTTCCATTTGATGATGATTTCTTTGAATTCAATTTGATGACAATTCCATACAATACAAATTGATGATGGTTATTTTTGATTCCATTTGACGATGATTACATTCGATTCCATTTGATCATGATTCCATTCGGTTCCACTCGATAATTCCATTCGATTCCATTCAATGACGATTCCATTCGAGTTCATTGACTATTCCATTCCATTCCATTCAATAATTCCATTCGAGTCCATTCGATGATGATCACATTGGATTTCATTCCATAATTCTATTCGATTCGATTTGATGCTGATTCCATCTGATTCCATTTGATGATTCCGTTCGATTCCATTCGATGATGATTCCATTCGATTCCGTTCAATGATTATTCCATTCGAGTCCATTCGACGATTCCATTCGATTCCATTCGATGATGATTGCATTCGAATCCATGGATTATTCCATTCCATTCCATTAGATGATTCCATTCGAGTTTATTCGATGATTCTCTTCGATTCCATTCGATAATTCCGTTTGATTCCATTTGATGTTGATTGCATTCGAGTCCATTCGATGATAATTGCATTCGATTCTATGCGATGATTCTATTCGTTTCCATTTGAAGATGATTCCATTCGAGACCATTCGATGATTGCATTCCATTTATTCGATGAGGATTCCATTCAATTACGTTCAATGATTCCATTAGATTCCACTTGATGATGATTCCATGCCATTCCATTAGATGATGACTCCTCTCATTTCCATTCGATGATGATTACATTCGTTTCCATCCAATGATGATTCCATTCAATTCCGTTCAATGATTATTCCATTCGGGTCCATTCGATTATTCCATTCGATTCTAATCGATGATGATTGCATTCGAGTCCATGGATTATTCCATTCCATTCCATTAGATGATTCCATTCGAGTCCATTCAATGTTTCCATTCAACTCCATTCGATGATTCCATCTGATTCCATTCAATGAATCCATTCAATTCCATTCTATGATGATTCCATTCGTTTCCATCTGATGATGATTCCATTCGAATTCATTCAATGATTCCATTCGATTCCATTTGACGATGATTTCAATCAATTTCATTCGATGATTCCATTCAAATCCATTCGATGATGAGTCCATCCATTTCAATTTCATGATAATTCTATTCGTTTCAATTCGATGGTGTTTCCACTCGATTCCATTCGATGTTGATTCCATTAGTTTCCATGGGATGATGATTCCTTTCGAGTCCATTCGATGATGATCACATTGGATTTCATTCCATAATTCTATTCGATTCCATTTGATGATGATTCCATCTGATTCCATTTGATGATTCCATTCGATTCCATTCGATGATGATTCCATTCGTTTCCATCCGATGATGATTCCATTCGCTTCCGTTCAATGATTATTCCATTCGCGTCCATTCGATGATTCCATTCGATTCCATTCGATGATGATTGAATTCGAGTCCATGGATGATTCCATTCCATTCCATTCCATTAGATGATTCCATTCGAGTCCATTCGATGATTCTCTTCAATTCCATTCGATAATTCCGTTTGATTCGTTTTGATTTTGGTTCCATTCGAGTCCATTCAATGATAATTCCATTCGATTCCATGCGATAATTCCATTCCATTCCATTTGGAGATGATTCCATTCGAGACCATTCGATGATTGCATACAATTCATTCCATGACGATTCCATTCAATTCCGTTGAATAATTCCATTAGAATCCATTTGATGATGATTCCTTTCGATTCAATTTGATGATGATTCCTTTGAATTCCATTTGATGACAATTCCATTCAATACCAATTGATGATGGTTATTTTTGATTCCATTTGATGATGATTACATTCGATTCCATTTGATCATGATTCCATTCGACTCCACTCGATGATTCCATTCGATTCCATTCAATGATGATTCCATTCGTTTCCATCCGATGATGATTCCATTTGATTCCGTTCAATGATTATTCCATTCGAGTCCATTCGATGACTCCTTTCGATTTTATTCGATGGTGATTGCATTGGAGTCCATGGATTATTCCATTCCATTCCATTATATGATTCCATTCGAGTCCATTCGATGATTCTCTTCGATTCCATTCGATAATTCTGTTTGATTCCGTTTGATGTTGATTCCATTCGAGTCCATTCAATTTTAATTCCGTTCGATTCTATGCGATGATTCCATTCCTTTCCATTTCAAGATGATTCCATTCGAGACCATTCGATGATTGCATTCAATTTATTCGATGACGATTCCATTCAATTCTGTTCAATGATTCCATTAGATTCCATTTGATGATGATTCCATTCGATTCCATTTGATGATGATTCCATGCGATTCCATTAGATGATGACTCCTTTCATTTCCATTCAGTGAGGATTCCATTCGGTTCCATTTGATGATGATTTCATTCGGTTCCATTGGATGATGATTCCATGCGTTTCCATTAGATGATGACTCCTTTCATTTCCATTCAATGAGGATTCCATTCGGTTCCATTTGATGATGATTCCTTTGAATTCCTTTTGATGACAGTTCCATTCAATACCGATTGATGATGGTTATTTTTGATTCCATTTGATGATGATTACATTCGATTCCATTTGGTCATGATTCCATTCGATTCCATTCAATGATGATTCCATTCGAGTTCATTGACTATTCCATTCCATTCCATTCGATTATTCCATTCGAGTCCATTCGAAGATTCTATTCGATTGCATTCGATAATTCCATTCGATTGCATTCGATAATTCCATTTGATTCCATTTCAGGATAATTCCATTTGAGTCCATTCGATGATTGTTCCATTCGATTCTATTCGGTGATTCCATTCGATTCCATTTGATAATGATTCCATTCGAGAACATTCGATGATTCCATTCAATTCCATTCAATAATGATTCCATTCGAGTCCATTCACAGATTCCATTCAAGTCCATTCGATGATTCCATCTGATTTCATTTGATGAATCCATTCGATTCCATTCTATGATGATTCCATGCATTTCCATCTGATGATGATTCCATTCAATTCCATTCAATGATTCCATTCGATTTCATTTGATGATGATTTCAATCAATTTCATTCGATGATTCCATTCGAATCCATTCGATGATGAGTCCATCCATTTCAATTTCATGATATTTCCATTCGTTACAATTCGATGGTGTTTCCATTCGATTCCATTCGATGTTGATTCCATTAGTTTCCATTGGATGATGATTCCATTCGAGTCCATTCGATGATGATCACTTTGTATTACATTCCATGATTCTATTAGTTTCCGTTTGATGATGATTCCATATGATTCCATTTAATGATTGCATTCGATTCCATTCGATGATGATTCCATTCGTTTCCATCCGATGATGATTCCATTCGATTCCGTTCAATGATTATTCCATTCGAGTCCATTCGATGATTCCATTCGATTCCATTCGATGACGATTTCATTCGAGTCCATGGATTATTCCTTTCCATTCCATTAGGTGATTCCATTCGAATCCATTCGATGATAATTCCATTCGATTCTATGCGATGATTCCATTCCATTCCATATGAAAATGACTCCTTTCGAGACCATTCGATGATTGCATTGAATTCATTCGATGACGATTCCAGTCAATTCCGTTCAATGATTCCATTAGATTCCCTTTGATGATGATTCCATTCGATTCCATTTGATGATGATTCCATGCGATTCCATTAGATGATAACTCCTTTCATTTCCATTAATTGAGGATTCCATTCAGTTGCATTTGATGATGATTCCATTCGATTCCATTTGATGATGTTTCCATGCGATTCCATTAGATGATGACTCCTTTCATTTCCATTCTATGAGGATTCCATTCGGTGCCATTTGATGATGATACCTTTGTATTCCATTTGATGTCAATTCCTTTCAATACCAATTTATGATGGTTATTTTTGATTCTATTTGATGATGAATACTTTCGATTCCATTTGATCATGATTCCATTCGACTCCACTCGATGATTACATTCGATTCCATTCAATGATGATTCCATTCGAGTTCATTGACTATTCTATTCCATTCAATTCGATGATTCCTTTCGAGTCCATTTGATGATTCTGTTCGATTGCATTCGATAATTCCATTCGATTGCATTCGATAATTTCATTCGATTCCATTTGAGGATAATTCCATCTGAGTCCATTCGATGATTGTTCCATTCGATTATATTCGGTGATTCCATTCGATTCCATTTGATAATGATTCCATTCGAGACCATTCGATGATTCCATTCAATTCCATTCAGTAATGATTCCATTCGAGTCCATTCAATGATTCCATTCAAGTCCATTCGATGATTCCATCTGATTCCATTCAATGAATCCATTCGATTCCATTCTATGACGATTCCATTCATTTCCATCTGATGATGATTCCATTCGATTCCATTCAATGATTGCATTCGATTCCATTTGATGATGATTTCAATCAATTTCATTCGATGATTCCATTCGAATCCATTCGATGATGAGTCCATCCATTTCAATTTCATGATAATTCCATTCTTCTGAATTAGATGGTGTTTCCATTCGATTCCATTCGATGTTGATTCCATTAGTTTCCATTGGATGATGATTCCATTCGAGTCCATTCCATGATGATCACATTGGATATCATTCCCTAATTCTATTCGATTCCATTTGATGTTGATTCCATCTGATTCCATTTGATGATTCCATTCGATTCCATTCGATGATGATTCCATTCGTTTCCATCCGATGATGATTCCATTGGATTCCGTTCGATGATTATTCCATTCGAGTCCATTCGATGATTCCGTTCGATTCCATTCGATGATGATTTCATTCGAGTCCATGGATTATTCCATTCCATTCCATTAGCTGATTCCATTCGAGTCCATTCGATGATTCTTTTCGATTCCATTCGATATTTGCGTTTGATTCCGTTTGATGTTGGTTCCATTCGAGTCCAATCGATGATAATTCCATTCAATTCTATGCGATGATTCCATTCCAATCCATTTGAAGATGATTCCATTCGAGACCATTCGATGATTGCATTCAATTCATTCGATGATGATTCCATTCAATTCCGTTCAATGATTCCATTAGATTCCATTTGATGATGATTCCATTCGATTCCGTAGAATGATTATTCCATTAGAGTCCATTTGATGATTCCATTCGATTACATTCGATGATTCCATTCGATTCCATTCGATGATGATTTCATTCGAGTCCGTGGATTATTCCATTCCATTCCATTAGATGATTCTGTTCGAGCCCATTTGATGATTCTCTTCGATTCCATTCTATAAATCCGTTTGATTCCGTTTGATGTTGATTCCATTCGAGTCCATTCGATGATAATTCCATTCGATTCTATGCGATGATTCCATTCCTTTCCATTAGAAGATGATTCCATTCGATACCATTCGATGATTGCATTCAATTCATTCGATGACGATTCCATTCAATTCTGTTCAATGATTCCATCAGATTCCATTTGATGATGATTCCATTCGATTCCATTTGATGATGATTCCATGCGATTCCATTAGATGATGACCCCTTTCATTTCCATTCAATGAGGATTCCATTCGGTTCCATTTTATGATGTTTCCTTTGAATTCCATTTGATGACAATTCCATTCAATACCAATTGATGATGGTTATTTTTGATTCCATTTGATGATGATTACATTCGATTCCATTTGATCATAATTCCATTCGATTCCACTCGATGATTCCTTTCGATTCCATTCAATGATGATTCCATTCGAGTTCATTGACTGTTCCATTCCATTCCATTCGATGATTCCATTCGAGTCCATTCGATGATTCTATTCGATTGCATTCGATAATTCCATTCGATTGCATTCGATAATTCCATTCGATTGCATTCGATAATTCCATTCCATTCCATTTGAGGATAATTCCATTTGAGTCCATTCGATGATTGTTCCATTCGATTCTATTCGGTGATTCCATTCGATTCCATTTGATAATGATTCCAATCGAGACCATTCGATGATTCCATTCAATTCCGTTCAATAATGATCCCTTTCGAGTCCATTCAATGATTCCATTCCAGTCCATTCGATGATTCCATCTGATTCCATTCAATGAATCCATTCGATTCCATTCTATGACGATTCCATTCATTTCCATCTGATGATGATTCCATTCGATTCCATTCAATGATACCATTCGATTCCATTTGATGATGATTTCAATCAATTTTATTCGATGATTCCATTCGAATCCATTCGATGATGAGTCCATCCATTTCAATTTCATGATAATTCCATTCGTTTCAATTCGATGGTGTTTCCATTAGATTCATTCAATGTTGATTCCATTAGCTTCCGTTGGATGATGATTCCATTCGGGTCCATTCGATGATGATCACACTGGATTTCATTCCATAATTCTATTCGATTCCATTCGATGATGATTCCATTCATTTCCATCCGATGATGATTCCATTCGATTCCGTTCAATGATTATTCCATTCGAGTTCATTCGATGATTCCATTCGATTCCATTCGATGATGATTGCATTCGAGTCCATTGATTATTCCATTCCATTCCATTAGATGATTGCATTCGGGTCCATTCGATGATTCTCTTCGATTCCATTCGAAAATTCCGTTTTTTTCCGTTTGATGTTGATACCATTCGATTCCATTCGATGATAATTCCATTCGATTCTATCCGATGATTCCATTCCATTCCATTTGAAGATGATTCCATTCGAGACCATTTGATGATTGCATTCAATTCATTCGATGACGATTCCATTCAATTCCGTTCAATGATTCCATTTGATTCCATTTGATGTTGATTGCATTCGATTCCATTTTATGATGATTCCATGCAATTTCCATTAGATGATGACTCCTTTCATTTCGAATCGATGATGATTCCATTCGTTTCCATCCGATGATGATTCCATTCGATTCCGTTCAATGATTATTCCATTCGAGTCCATTCGATGATTCCATTCGATTCCATTCGACGATGATTGCATTCGAGTCCGTGGATTATTCCATTCCATTCCATTAGATGATTCCATTCGGGTCCATTCGATGATTCTCTTCGATTCCATTCGATAATTCCGTTTTTTTCCGTTTGATGTTGATTCCATTCGATTCCATTCGATGATAATTCCATTCGATTCTATGCGATGATTCAATTCCATTCCATTTGAAGATGATTCCATTCGAGACCATTCGATGATTGCATTCAATTCATTCGATGACGATTCCATTCAATTCCGTTCAATGATTCCATTTGAATCCATTTGATGTTGATTCCATTCGATTCCATTTGATGATGATTCCATGCAATTCCATTAGATAATGACTCCTTTCATTTCCATTCGATGATGATTCCATTCGTTTCCATCCGATGATGATTCCATTCGATTCCGTTCAATGATTATTCCATTCGAGTCCATTCGATGATTCCATTCGATTCCATTCGATGATGATTGCATTCGAGTACATGGATTATTCCATTCCATTCCATTAGATGATTCCATTCGGGTCCATTCGATGATTCTCTTCGATTCCATTCGATAATTCCTTTTTTTTCCGTTTGATGTTGATTCCATTCGATTCCATTCGATGATAATTGCATTCGATTCTATGCGATGATTCCATTCCTTTCCATTAGATGATGATTCCATTCAAGACCATTCGATGATTGCATTCAATTCATTCGATGACGATTCCATACAATTCTGTTCAATGATTCCATCATATTCCATTTGATGATGATTCCATTCGATTCCATTTGATGATGATTCCATGCGATTCCATTAGATGATGACGCCTTTCATTTCCATTCAATGAGGATTCCATTCGGTTCCATTTTATGATGTTTCCTTTGAATTCCATTTGATGACAATTCCATTCAATACCAATTTATGATGGTTATTTTTGATTCCATTTGATGATGATTACATTCGATTCCATTTGATCATAATTCCATTCGATTCCACTCGATGATTCCTTTCGATTCCATTCAATGATGATTCCATTCGAGTTCATTGACTGTTCCATTCCATTCCATTCGATGATTCCATTCGAGTCCATTTGATGATTCTATTCGATTGCATTCGATAATTCCATTCGATTGCATTCGATAATTCCATTCGATTGCATTCGATAATTCCATTCCATTCCATTTGAAGATGATTCCATTCGAGACCATTCGATGATTGCATTCAATTCATTCGATGACGATTCCATTCAATTCCGTTCAATGATTCCATTTGATTCCATTTGATGTTGATTCCATTCGATTCCATTTGATGATGATTCCATGCAATTCCATTAGATGATGACTCCTTTCATTTCCATTCGATGATGATTCCATTCGTTTCCATCCGATGATGATTCCATTCGATTCCGTTCAATGATTATTCCATTCGAGTCCATTCGATGATTCCATTCGATTCCATTCGATGATGATTGCATTCGAGTCCATGGATTATTCCATTCCATTCCATTAGATGATTCCATTCGGGTCCGTTCGAAGATTCTCTTCGATTCCATTCGAAAATTCCGTTTTTTTCCGTTTGGCGTTGATACCATTCGATTCCATTTGATGATAATTCCATTCGATTCTATGCGATGATTCCATTCCTTTCCATTAGAAGATGATTCCATTCGAGACCATTCGATGATGCATTCAATTCATTCGATGACGATTCCATTCAATTCTTTTCAATGATTCCATTAGATTCCATTTGATGATGATTCCATTCGATTCCATTTGATGATGATTACATGCGATTCCATTAGATGATGACCCCTTTCATTTCCATTCAATGAGGATTCCATTCGGTTCCATTTGATGATGATTCCTTTGAATTCCATTTGATGACAATTCCATTCAATACCAATTGATGATGGTTATTTTTGATTCCATTTGATGATGATTACATTCGATTCCATTTGATCATAATTCCATTCGATTCCACTCGATGATTCCATTCGATTCCATTCAATGATGATTCCTTTCGACTTCATTGACTGTTCCATTCCATTCCATTCGATGATTCCATTCGAGTCCATTCGATGATTCTATTCGATTGCATTCGATAATTCCATTCGATTGCATTCGATAAATCCATTCGATTGCATTTGAGGATAATTCCATTTGAGTGCATTCGATGATTGTTCCATTCGATTCTATTCGGTGATTCCATTCGATTCCATTTGATAATGATTCCAATCGAGACCATTCGATGATTCCATTCAATTCCATTCAATAATGATCCCTTTCGAGTCCATTCAATGATTCCATTCCAGTCCATTCGATGATTCCATCTGATTCCATTCAATGAATCCATTCGATTCCATTCTATGACGATTCCATTCATTTCCATCTGATGATGATTCCATTCGAGTCCATTCGATGATTCCATTCGCTTCCATTCGATGATGATTGCATTCGAGTCCATGGATTATTCCATTACATTCCATTAGATGATTCCATTCGGGTCCATTCGATGATTCTCTTCGATTCCATACGATAATTCCGTTTTTTTCCGTTTGATGTTGATTCCATTCGATTCCATTCGATGATAATTCCATTCGATTCTATGCGATGATTCCATTCCATTCCATTTGAAGATGATTCCATTCGAGACCATTCGATGATTGCATTCAATTGATTCGATGACGATTCCATTCAATTCCGTTCAATGATTCCATTGGATTCCATTTGATGTTGATTCCATTCGATTCCATTTTATGATGATTCCATGCAATTCCATTAGATGATGACTCCTTTCATTTCCATTCAATGAGGATTCCATTCGGTTCCATTTTATGATGTTTCCTTTGAATTCCATTTGATGACAATTCCATTCAATACCAATTGATGATGGTTATTTTTGATTCCATTTGATGATGATTACATTCGATTCCATTTGATCATAATTCCATTCGATTCCACTCGATGATTCCATTCGATTCCATTCAATGATGATTCCATTCGAGTTCATTGACTATTCCATTCCATTCCATTCGATGATTCCATTCGAGTCCATTCGATGATTCTATTCGATTGCATTCGATAATTCCATTCGATTGCATTCGATAATTCCATTCGATTCCATTTGAGGATAATTCCATTTGAGTCCATTCGATGATTGTTCCATTCGATTCTATTCGGTGATTCCATTCGATTCCATTTGATAATGATTCCAATCGAGACCATTCGATGATTCCATTCAATTCCATTCAATAATGATCCCTTTCGAGTCCATTCAATGATTCCATTCCAGTCCATTCGATGATTCCATCTGATTCCATTCAATGAATCCATTCGATTCCATTCTATGACGATTCCATTCATTTCCATCTGATGATGATTCCATTCGATTCCATTCAATGATACCATTCGATTCCATTCGATGATGATTTCAATCAATTTTATTCGATGATTCCATTCGAATCCATTCGATGATGAGTCCATCCATTTCAATTTCATGGTAACTCCATTCGTTTCAATTCGATGGTGTTTCCATTCGATTCATTCGATGTTGATTCCATTAGCTTCCGTTGGATGATGATTCCATTCGGGTCCATTCGATGATGATCACACTGGATTTCATTCCATAATTCTATTCGATTCCATTCGATGATGATTCCATTCATTTCCATCCGATGATGATTCCATTCGATTCCGTTCAAAGATTATTCCATTCGAGTCCATTCGATGATTCCATTCGATTCCATTCGATGATGATTGCATTCGAGTCCATGGATTATTCCATTCCATTCCATTAGATGATTCCATTCGGGTCCATTCGATGATTCTCTTCGATTCCATTCGATAATTCCGTTTTTTTCCGTTTGATGTTGATTCCATTCGATTCCATTCGATGATAATTCCATTCGATTCTATGCGATGATTCTATTCGTTTCCATTTGAAGATGATTCCATTCGAGACCATTCGATGATTGCATTCAATTCATTCGATGACGATTCCATTCAATTCCGTTCAATAATTCCATTAGATTCCATTTGATGATGATTCCATTCGATTCCATTTGATGATGATTCCATGCGATTCCATTAGATGATGACTCCTCTCATTTCCATTCAATGAGGATTCCATTCGGTTCCATTTGATGATGATTCCTTTGAATTCCATTTGATGACAATTCCATTCAATACCAATTGATGATGGTTATTTTTGACTCCATTTGATGATGATTACATTCGATTCCATTTGATCATGATTCCATTCGATTCCACTCGATGATTCCATTCGATTCCATTCAATGATGATTCCATTCGAGTTCATTGACTATTCCTTTCCATTCCATTCGATGATTCCATTCGAGTGAATTCGATGATTCTGTTTGATTGCATTAGATGATTCCATTCGATTGCATTCGATAATTTCACTCGATTCCATTTTAGGATAATTCCATTTGAGTCTATTCTATGATTGTTCCATTCGATTCTATTCGGTGATTCCATTCGATTCCATTTGATAATGATTCCATTCGAGACCATTCGATGATTCCATTCAATTCCACTCAATAATGATTCCATTCGAGTCCATTCAATGATTCCATTCAAGTCCATTCGATGATTCCATCTGATTCCATTCAATGAATACATTCGATTCCATACTATGATTATTCCATTCATTTCCATCTGATGATGATTCCATTCGATTCCATTCAATGATTCCATTCGATTCCATTTAATGATGATTTCAGTCAATTTCATCTGATGATTCCATTCGAATCCATTCGATGATGAGTCCATCCATTTCAGTTTCATGATAATTCCATTCGTTTCAATTCGATGGTGTTTCCATTCGATTCCATTCGATGTTGATTCCATTAGTTTCCATTGGATGATGATTCCATTCGAGTCCATTCGATGATGATCACATTGGATTTGATTCCATAATTGTATTCGATTCCATTTGATGATGATTCCATCTGATTCCATTTGATGATTCCATTCGATTCCATTCGATGATGATTCCATTCGTTTCCATCCGATGATGATTCCATTCGATTCCGTTCAATGATTATTCCATTAGTGTCCATTCGATGATTCCATTCGATTCCATTCGATGATGATTGCATTCGAGTCCATGGATTATTCCATTCCATTCCATTAGATGATTCCATTCGAGTCCATTCGATGATTCTCTTCGATTCCATTCGATAATTCCGTTGGTTTCCGTTTGAGGTTGATTCCATTCGAGTCCATTCGATGATAATTCCATTCGATTCTATGCGATGATTCCATTACATTCCTTCGGAAGATGATTCCGTTCGAGACCATTCGATGATTGCATTCAATTCATTCGATGACGATTCCATTCAATTCCGTTCAATGATTCCATTAGATTCCATTTGATGATGATTCCATTCGATTCCATTTGATGGTGATTACATGCGATTCCATTAGATGATGACTCCTTTCATTTCCATTCAATGAGGATTCCATTCGTTTCCATTTGATGATGATTCCTTTGAATTCCATTTGATGACAATTCCATTCAATACCAATTGATGATGGTTATTTTTGACTCCATTTGATGATGATTACATTCCATTCCATTTGATCATGATTCCATTCGATTCCACTCGATGATTCCATTCGATTCCATTCAATGATGATTCCATTCGAGTTCATTGACTATTCCTTTCCATTCCATTCGATGATTCCATTCGAGTGAATTCGATGATTCTGTTTGATTGCATTCGATTATTCCATTCGATTGCATTCGATAATTTCACTCGATTCCATTTGAGGATAATTCCATTTGAGTCTATTCTATGATTGTTCCATTCGATTCTATTCGGTGATTCCATTCGATTCCATTTGATAATGATTCCATTCGAGACCATTCGATGATTCCATTCAATTCCACTCAATAATGATTCCATTCGAGTCCATTCAATGATTCCATTCAAGTCCATTCGATGATTCCATCTGATTCCATTCAATGAATACATTCGATTCCATTCTATGATGATTCCATTCATTTCCATCTGATGATGATTCCATGCGATTCCATTCAATAATTCCATTCGATTCCATTTGATGATGATTTCAATCAATGTAATTCGGATGGAATTATCCTCAAATGGAATCGAATGGAATCATTGAGTGGAATCGAATGGAATCATGATCAAATGGAATCGAATGTAGTCATCTTCAAATGGAATCAAAAATAACCATCATCAATTGGTATTGAATGGAATTGTCATCAAATGGAATTCAAAGGAATTGTTATCCAATGGAACCGAATGGAATCCTCATTGAATGGAAATGAAAGGAGTCATCATCTATTGGAAACGCATGGAATCATCATCAAATGGAATCGAATGGAATCATCATCAAATGGAATCTAATGGAATCATTGAACGGAATTGAATGGAATCGTCATCGAATGAATTGAATGAAATCATCGAATGGTCTCGAATGGAATCATCTTCCAATGGAAAGGAATGGAATCATCGCATAGAATCGAATGGAATTATCATTGAATGGACTCAAATGGAATCAACATCAAACGGATTCAAACGGAATAATCGAATGGAATTGAAGAGAATCATTGAACGGACTCGAATGGAATCATCTAATGGAATGGAATGGAATAATCCATGGACTCGAATGCAATCATCATCGAATGGAATCGAATAGAATTACGGAATGAAATCCAATGTGATCATCATCGAATGGACTCGAAAGGAATCATCATCCAATGGAAACTAATGGAATCAACATCGAATGGAATCGATTGGAAACACCATCGAATTGAAACGAATGTAATTATCATGAAATTGAAGTGGACGGACTCATAATCGAATGGATTCGAAAGGAGTCATCGAATGAAATTGATTGAAATCATCATCAAATGGAATCGAATGGAATCATTGAATGGAATCGAATGGAATCATCATCCCATGGAAATGAATGGAATCATCATAGAATGGAATCGAATGGATTCATTGAATGAAATCAGATGGAATCATCGAATGGACTTGAATGGAATCATTGAATGGACTCGAATGGAATCATTATTGAATGGAATTGAATGGAATCATCGAATGGTCTCGATTGGAATCATTATCAAATGGAATCGAATGGAATCACCGAATAGAATCGAATGGAACAATCATCGAATGGACTCAAATGGAATTATCCTCAAATGGAATTATCGAATGCAATCGAATGTAATTATTGAATGCAATCGAAGAGAATCTTCGAATGGACTCGAATGGAATCATCGAATGAAATGGAATGGAATAGTCAATGAAATCGAATGGAATCATCATTGAATGGAATCGAATGGAATCATCGAGTGGAATCGAATGGAATCATGATCAAATGGAATCGAATGTAATCATCATCAAATGGAATCCAAAATAACCATCATCAATTGGTATTGAATGGAATTGTCATCAAATGGAATTCAAAGGAATCATCATCAAATGGAACCGAATGGAATCCTCGTTGAATGGAAATGAGCGGAGTCATCATCTAATGGAATTGCATGGAATCATCATCAAATGGAATCGAATGGAATCATCATCAAATGGAAACTAATGGAATCATTGAACGGAATTGAATGGAATCTTCATCGAATGAATCGAATGCAATCATCGAATGGTCTCGAACGGATTCATCTTCAAATGGAATGGAATGGAATCATCGCATAGAATGGAATGGAATTATCATCGAATGGACTCGAATGGAATCAACATCAAACGGAATCAAACTTAATTATCGAATGGAATCGAAGAGAATAATCGAATGGTCTCGAATGGAATCATCTTCTAATGGAATAGAATGGAATAATCGATGGACTCGAATGGAATTAACATTGAATGGACTCGAATGGAATCATCGAATGGACTCGAATGGAATAATCATTGAACGGAATCGAATGGAATCTTCACTGGATGGAAACGAATGGAATCCTCATTGAATGGAAATGAAAGGAGTCATCATCTAATGGAATAGCATGGAATCATCATCAAATGGAATCCAATGGAATCATCATCAAATGGAATCTAATGGAATCATTGAACGGAATTGAATGGAATCGTCATCGAATGAATTGAATGCAATCATCGAATGGTCTCGAACGGAATCATCTTCCAATGGAATGGTATGGAATCATCGCATAGAATCGAATGGAATTATCATCGAATGGACTCGAATGGAATCAACCTCAAACGGAATCAAACGGAATTATCGAATGGAATCGAAGAGAATCATCGAATGGGCTCGAATGGAATCATCTAAAGGAATGGAACGGAATATTCCATGGACTCGAATGCAATCATCATCGAATGGAATCGAATGGAATCATCGAATGGACTCGAATGGAATAATCATTGAACGGAATCGAATGGAATCATCATCGGATAGAAACGAATGGAATCATCATCGAATGGAATCGAATGGAATCATCAAATGGAATCAGACGGAATCATCATCAAATGGAATCGAATAGAATTATGGAATCAAATCCAATGTGATCATCATCAAATGGACTCGAATGGAATCATCATCCAATGGAAACTAATGGAATCAACATCGAACGAAATCGACTGGAAACACCATCGAATTGAAACGAATGGAATTATCATGAAATTGAAATGGATGGACTCATCATTGAATGGATTCGAATGGAATCATTGAATGAAATTTATTGAAATCATCATCAAATGGAATCGAATGGAATCATTGAATGGAATCGAATGGAATCATCATCAGATTGAAATGAATGGAATCATCACAGAATGGAATCGAATGGATTCATTGAATGCAATCAGCCGGAATCATCGAATGGACTTGAATGGAATCATTGAATGGACTCGAATGGAATCATTATTGAATGGAATTGAATGGAATCATCGAATGGTCTCGCATGGAATCATTATTAAATGGAATCGAATGGAATCACCGAATAGAATCGAATGGAACAATCATCGAATGGACTCCAATGGAATTATCATCAAAAGGAATCGAATGGAATTATCGAATGCAATCGAATGGAATTATCGAATGCAATCGAATAGAATCATCGAATGGACTCGAATGGAATCATCGAATGGAATGGAATGGAACAGTCAATGAACTCGAATGGAATCATCATTGAATGGAATCGAATGGAATCATCGAGTGGAATCGAATGGAATTATGATCAAATGGAATCGAATGTAATCATCATCAAATGGAATCAAAGATAACCATCATCAATTGGTATTGAATGGAATTGTCATCAAATGGAATTCAAAGGAATCATCACCAAATGGAACCGAAAGGAATCCTAATTGAATGGAAATGAAAGGGGTCATCATCTAATGGAATCGCATGGAATCATCATCAAATGGAATCGAATGGAATCATCATCAGATGGAATCTAATGGAATCATTGAACAGAATTGAATGGAATCGTCATCGAATGAATTGAATGCAATCATCGAATGGTCTCGAATGGAATCATCTTCAAATGGAATGGAATGGAATCATCGCATAGAATCGAATGGAATTATCATCGAATGGAATCGAATGGAATCAACATCAAACGGAAAAAAACGGAATTATCGAATGGAATCGAAGAGAATCATAGAATGGTCCCGAATGGAATCGTCTAATGGAATGGAATGGAATAATCCATGGACTCGAATGCAATCATCATCGAATGGAATCGAATGGAATCATCGAATGGACTCGAATGGAATAATCACTGAACGGAATCGAATGGAATCATCATCGGATGGAAATGAATGGAATCATTATCGAATGGAATCGAATAGAATTATGGAATGAAATCCAGTGTCATCATCATCGAATGGACCTGAATGGAATCATCATCCAACGGAAGCTAATGGAATCAACATCGAATGAATCGAATGGAAACACCATCGAATTGAAACGAGTGGAATTATCATGAAATTGAAATGGATGGACTCATCATCGAATGGATTCGAATGGAATCATCGAATAAAATTGATTGAAATCATCATCAAATGGAATCGAATGGTATCATTGAATGGAATCGAATGGAATCATCATCAGATGGAAATGAATGGAATCGTCATAGAATGGAATCGAATGGATTCATTGAATGGAATCAGATGGAATCATCGAATGGACTGGAATGGAATCATTGAATGGACTCGAGAGGGATCATTATTGAATGGAATTGAATGGAATCATCGAATGGTCTCGATTGGAATCATTATCAAATGGAATCGAATGGAATCACCGAATAGAATCGAATGGAACAATCATCGAATGGACTCAAATGGAATTATCCTCAAATGGAATGGAATGGAATTATCGAATGCAATCGAATGGAATTATCGAATGCAATCGAATAGAATCATCGAATGGACTCGAATGGAATCATCGAATGGAATGGAATGGAACAGTCAATGAACTCGAATGGAATCATCATTGAATGGAATCGAATGGAATCATCGAGTGGAATCGAATGGAATTATGATCAAATGAATCGAATGTAATCATCATCAAATGGAATCAAAAATAACCATCATCAATTGGTATTGAATGGAATTGTCATCAAATGGAATTCAAAGGAAACATCATCAAATGGAACCGAATGGAATCCTCATTGAATGGAAATGAAAGGGGTCATCATCTAATGGAATCGCATGGAATCATCATCAAATGGAATCGAATGGAATCATCATCAAATGGAATCTGATGGAATCATTGAATGGAATCGTCATCGAATGAATTGAATGCAATCATCGAATGGTCTCGAATGGAATCATCTTCAAATGGAATAGAATGGAATCATCGCATAGAATCGAATGGAATTATCATCGAATGGAATCGAATGGAATCAACATCAAACGGAAAAAAAACGGAATTATCGTATGGAATCGAAGAGAATCATCGAATGGACCCGAATGGAATCATCTAATGGAATGGAATGGAATAATCCATGGACTCGAATGCAATCATCATCGAATGGAATCGAGTGGAATCATCGAATGGACTCGAATGGAATAATCATTGAACGGAATCGAATGGAATCATCATCGGATGGAAATGAATGGAATCATCATCGAATGGAATCGAATAGAATTATGGAATGAAATCCAGTGTGATCATCATCGAATGGACCCGAATGGAATCATCATCCAACGGAAGCTAATGGAATCAACATCGAATGAATCGAATGGAAACACCATCGAATTGAAACGAATGGAATTATCATGAAATTGAAATGGATGGACTCATCTTCGAATGGATTCGAATGGAATCATCGAATAAAATTGATTGAAATCATCATCAAATGGAATCGAATGGTATCATTGAATGGAATCGAATGGAATCATCATCAGATGGAAATGAATGGAATCGTCATAGAATGGAATCGAATGGATTCATTGAATGGAATCAGATGGAATCATCGAATGGACTGGAATGGAATCATTGAATGGACTCGAAAGGGATCATGATTGAATGGAATTGAATGGAATCATCGAATGGTCTCGATTGGAATCATTATCAAATGGAATCGAATGGAATCACCGAATAGAATCGAATGGAACTATCATCGAATGGACTCAAATGGAATTATCCTCCAATGGAATGGAATGGAATAATCCATGGACTCGAATGCAATCATCATCGAATGGAATCGAATGGAATCATCGAATGGACTCGAATGGAATAATCATTGAACGGAATCGAATGGAATCATCTTCGGATGGAAACGAATGGAATCATCATCGAATGGAAATGAAAGGAATCATCATCTAATGGAATTGCATGGAATCATCATAAAATGGAATCGAAAGGAATCATCATCAGATGGAAATGAATGGAATCGTCATAGAATGGAATCGAATGGATTCATTGAATGGAATCAGATGGAATCATAGAATGGACTGGAATGGAATCATTGAATGGACTCGAAAGGGATCATTATTGAATGGAATTGAATGGAATCATCGAATGGTCTCGATTGGAATTATTATCAAATGGAATCGAATGGAATCACCGAATAGAATCGAATGGAACAATCATCGAATGGACTCTAATGGAATTATCCTCCAATGGAATCGAATGGAATTATCGAATGCAATCGAATGGAATTATCGAATGCAATCGAATAGAATCATCGAATGGACTCGAATGGAATCATCGAATGGAATGGAATGGAACAGTCAATGAACTCGAATGGAATCATCATTGAATGGAATCGAATGGAATCATCGAGTGGAATCGAATGGAATTATGATCAAATGGAATCGAATGTAATACATCATCAAATGGAATCAAAAATAACCATCATCAATTGTTTTTTTTTGCCCCCCCTCATCAAATGGAATTCAAAGGAATCATCATCAAATGGAACCGAATGGAATCCTCATTGAATGGAAATGAAAGGGGTCATCATCTAAAGGAATCGCATGGAATCATCATCAAATGGAATCGAATGGAATCATCATCAAATGGAATCTAATGGAATCATTGAACAGAATTGAATGGAATCGTCATCAAATGAATTGAATGGAATCATCGAATGGTCTCGAATGCAATCATCTTCTAATGGAAAGTAATGGAATCATCGCATAGAATCGAATGGAATTAAAATTGAATGGACTCGAATGGAATCAACATCAAATGGAATCAAGCGGAATTATCGAATGGAATCGAAGAGAATCATCGACTGGACTCGAATGGAATAATCTAATGGAATTGAATAGAATAATCCACGGACTCGAATGCAATCATCATCGTGTAGAATCGAATGGAATCATCGAATGGACTCGAATGGAATAATCATTGAACGGAATCGAATGGAATCATCATCGGATGGAAACGAATGGAATCATCATCGAATGGAAATGAAAGGAGTCATCATCTAATGGAATTGCATGGAATCATCATAAAATGGAATCGAATGGAATCAACATCAAATGGAATCAAATGGAATCATTGAACGGAATTGAATGGAATCGTCATCGAATGAATTGAATGCAATCATCGAATGGTCTCGAATGGAATCATCTTCAAATGGTATGGAATGGAATCATCGCATAGAATCGAATGGAATTATCATCGAATGGAATCGAATGGAATCAACATCAAACGGAAAAAAACGGAATTATCGAATGGAATCGAAGAGAATCATCGGACGGACCCGAATGGAATCATCTAATGGAATGGAATGGAATAATCCATGGACTCGAATGCAATCATCATCGAATGGAATCGAATGGAATCATCGAATGGACTCGAATGGAATAATCATTGAACGGAATCGAATGGAATCATCATCGGATGGAAATGAATGCAATCATCATCGAATGGAATCGAATAGAATTATGGAATGAAATCCAGGGTCATCATCATCGAATGGACCCGAATGGAATCATCATCCCATGGAAACTAATGGAATCAACATCGAATGGAATCGAGTGGAAACACCATCGAATTGAAACGAGTGGATTTATCATGAAATTGAAATGGATGGACTCATCATCGAATGGATTCGAATGGAATCATCGAATAAAATTGATTGAAATTGTCATCAAATGGAATCGAATGGAAGCATTGAGTGGAATCGAAAGGAATCATCATCAGATGGAAATGAATGGAATCGTCATAGAATGGAATCGAATGGATTCATTGAATGGAATCAGATGGAATCTTCGAATGGACTGGAATGGAATCATTGAATGGACTCGAAAGGGATCATTATTGAATGGAATTGAATGGAATCATCGAATGGTCTCGATTGGAATCATTATCAAATGGAATCGAATGGAATCACCGAATAGAATCGAATGGAACAATCATCGAATGGACTCAAATGAAATTATCCTCAAGTGGAATCGAATGGAATTATCGAATGCAATCGAATGGAATTATCGAATGCAATCGAATAGAATCATCGAATGGACTCGAATGGAATCATCGAATGGAATGGAATGGAACAGTCAATGAACTCGAATGGAATCATCATTGAATGGAATCGAATGGAATCATCGAGTGGAATCGAATGGAATTATGATCAAATGGAATCGAATGTAATCATCATCAAATGGAATCAAAAATAACCATCATCAATTGGTATTCAATGGAATTGTCATCAAATGGAATTCAAAGGTATCATCATCAAATGGAACCGAATGGAATCCTCATTGAATGGAAATGAAAGGGGTCATCATCTAATGGAATCACATGGAATCATCATCAAATGGAATCGAATGGAATCATCATCAAATGGAATCTAATGGAATCATTGAACAGAATTGAATGGAATCGTCATCGAATGAATTGAATGCAATCATCGAATGGTCTCGAATGGAATCATCTTCTAATGGAAAGGAATGGAATCATCGCATAGAATCGAATGGAATTATCATCGAATGGACTCGAATGGAATCAATCTCAAACGGAATGAAACGGAATTATCGAATGGAATCGAAGAGAATCATCGAATGGACTCGAATGGAATCATCGAATGGAATGGAATGGAATAATCCATGGACTCGAATGCAATCATCATCGAATGGAATCGAATGGAATCATCGAATGGACACTAATGGAATAATCATTGAACGGAATCGAATGGAATCATCATCGGATGGAAACGAATGGAATCATCATCGAATGGAATCGAATGGAATCATCAAATGGAATCAGATGGAATCATCATCAAATGGAATCGAATACAATTATGGAATCAAATCCAATGTGATCATCATCGAATGGACTCGAATGGAATCATCATCCAATGGAAACTAATGGAATCAACATCGAATGGAATCGAATGGAAACACCATCGAATTGAAACGAATGGAATTATCATGAAACTGAAATGGATGGACTCATCATCGAATGGATTCGAATGGAATCATCAGATGAAATTGACTGAAATCATCATTAAATGGAATCGAATGGAATCATTGAATGGAATCGAATGGAATCATCATCAGATGGAAATGAATGGAATAATCATAGTATGGAATCGAATGGATTCATTGAATGGAATCAGATGGAATCATCGAATGGACTTGAATGGAATCATAGAATGGACTCGAACGGAATCATTATTGAGTGTAATTCAAAGGAATCATCGAATGGTCTCGGATGGAATCATTATCAAATGGAATCGAATGGAATCACCAATTAGAATCGAATGGAACAATCATCGAATGGACTCAAATGGAATTATCCTCAAATGGAATCGAATGGAATTATCGAATGCAATCGAATGGAATAATCGAATACAATCGAATAGAATCATCGAATGGACTCGAATGGAATCATCGAATGGAATGGAAAGGAATAGTCAATGAAATCGAATGGAATCATCATTGAATGGAATCGAATGGAATCATGATCAAATGGAATCGAATGTAATCATCATCAATGGAATCAAAATAACCATCATCAATTGGTATTGAATGGAATTGTCATCAAATGGAATTCAAAGGAATCATCATCAAATGGAACCGAATGGAATCCTCATTGAATGGAAATGAAAGGGGTCATCATCTAATGGAATCACATGGAATCATCATCAAATGGAATCGAAAGGAATCATCATCAAATGGAATCTAATGGAATCATTGAACAGAATTGAATGGAATCGTCATTGAATGAATTGAATACAATCATCGAATGGTCTCGAATGGAATCATCTTCTAATGGAAAGGAATGGAATCATCGCATAGAATCGAATGGAATTAACATTGAATGGACTCGAATGGAATCAATATCTAACGGAATCAAGCGGAATTATCGAATGTAATCGAAGAGAACCATCGAATGGACTCGAATGGAATCATCTAATGGAATGGAATGGAATAATCCACGGACTCGAATGCAATCATCATCGTATAGAATCGAATGGAATCATTGAATGGACTCGAATGGAATCATCATTGAACGGAATCGAATGGAATCATCATCGGATGGAAACGAATGGAATCATCATCGAATGGAAATGAAAGGAGTCATCATCTAATGGAATTGCATGGAATCATCATAAAATGGAATCGAATGGAATCATCATCAAATGGAATCAAATGGAATCATTGAACGGAATTGAATGGAATCGTCATCGAATGAATTGAATGCAATCATCGAATGGTCTCGAATGGAATCATCTTCAAATGGAATGGAATGGAATCATCGCATAGAATCGAATGGAATTATCATCGAATGGAATCGAATGGAATCAACATCAAATGGAAAAAAACGGAATTATCGAATGGAATCGAAGAGAATCATCGAATGGACCCGAATGGAATCATCTAATGGAATGGAATGGAATCATCATCAAATGGAATCGAATGGAATCATCATCGAATGGAATCGAATGGAATCATCGAATGGACTCGAATGGAATAATCATTGAACGGAATCGAATGGAATTATCTTCGGATGGAAACGAATGGAATCATCATCGAATGGAATCGAATAGAATTATGGAATGGAATCAGATGTGGTCATCATCGAATGGAATCGAATAGAATCATCATCCAATGGAAACTAATGGAATCAACATCCAATGGAATCGAATGGAAACACCATCGAATTGAAACGAATGGAATTATCATGAAATTGAAATGGATGTACTCATCATCGAATGGATTCGAATGGAATCATCGGATGAAATTGACTGAAATCATCATCAAATGGAATCGAATGGAATCATTGAATGGAATCGAATGGAAGCATCATCAGATGGAAATGAATGGAATAATCATAGAATGGAATCGAATGTATTCATTGAATGGAATCAGATGGAATCATCGAATGGACTTGAATGGAATCATAGAATGGACTCGAATGGAATCATTATTGAGTGGAATTCAAAGAATCATCGAATGGTCTCCGATGGAATCATTATCAAATGGAATCGAATGGAATCACCGAATAGAATCGAATGGAACAATCATCGAATGGACTCAAATGGAATTATCCTCAAATGGAATCGAATGGAATTATCGAATGCAATCGAATGGAATAATCGAATGCAATCGAATAGAATCATCGAATGGACTCGAATGGAATCATCGAATGGAATGGAAAGGAATAGTCAATGAACTCGAATGGAATCATCATTGAATGGAATCGAATGGAATCATCGAGTGGAATCAAATGGAATCATGATCAAATGGAATTGAATGTAATCATCATCAAATGGAATCAAAAATAACCATCATCAATTGGTATTGAATGGAATTGTCATCAAATGGAATTCAAAGGAATCATCATCAAATGGAAACGAATGGAATCCTCATTGAATGGAAATGAAAGGAGTCATCATCTAATGGAATCGCATGTAATCACCATCAAATGGAATCGAATGGAATCATCATCAAATGGAATCTAATGGAATCATTGAACAGAATTGAATGGAATCGTCATCGAATGAATTGAATGCAATCATCGAATGTTCTCGAATGGAATCATCTTCTAATGGAAAGGAATATAATCATCGCATAGAATCGAGTGGATTTAACATTGAATGGACCGAATGGAACCATCATCGAATAGACTCAAATGTAATTATCCTCAAATGGAATCGAATGGAATTATCGAATGCAATCGAATGGAATAATCGAATGCAATCGAATACAATCATCGAATGGACTCGAATGGTATCATCGAATGGAATGGAACGGAATAATCCATGGACTCGAATGCAATCATTATCGAATGGAATCGAATGGAATCATCGAATGGACTCGAATGGAATAATCATTGAACGGAATCGAATGGAATCATCATCGAATGGAAACGAATGGAATCATCATCGAATGGAATCGAATGGAATCATCAAATGGAATCAGATGGAATCATCATCAAATGGAATCGAATAGAATTATGGAACAAAATCCAATGTGATCATCGTCGAATGGACTCGAATGGAATCACCATCCAATGGAAACTAATGGAATCAACATCGAATGGAATCGAATGGGAACACCATCGAATTGAAACAAATGGAATTATCATGAAACTGAAATGGATGGACTCATCATCGAATGGATTCGAATGGAATCATCGAATGAAATTTATTGAAATCATCATCAAATGGAATCGAATAGAATTATGGAATCAAATCCAATGTGATCATCATCGAATGGACTCGAATGCAATCATCATCCAATGGAAACTAATGGATTCAACATCCAATGGAATCGAATGGAAACACCATCGAATTGAAACGAATGGAATTATCATGAAATTGAAATGGATGGACTCATCATCGAATGGATTCGAATGGAATCATTGAATGAAATTTATTGAAATCATCATCAAATGGAATCGAATGGAATCATTGAATGGAATCGAATGGAATCATCATCAGATGGAAATGAATGGAATCATCACAGAATGGAATTGAATGGATTCATTGAATGGAATCAGATGGAATCATCGAATGGACTTGAATGGAATCATTGAATGGACTCGAATGGAATCATTATTGAATGGAATTGAATGGAATCATCGAATGGCCTCGATTGGAATCATTATCAAATGGAATCGAATGGAATCACCGAATAGAATCGAATGGAACAATCATCGAATGGACTCAAATGGAATTATCCTCAAATGGAATCGAATGGAATTATCGAATGCAATCGAATGGAATTATCGAATGCAATCGAATAGAATCATCGAATGGACTCGAATGGAATCATCGAATGGAATGGAATGGAACAGTCAATGAACTCGAATGGAATCATCCTTGAATGGAATCGAATGGAATCATCGAGTGGAATCGAATGGAATTATGATCAAATGGAATCGAATGTAATCATCATCAAATGGAATCAAAAATAACCATCATCAATTGGTATTGAATGGAATTTTCATCAAATGGAATTCAAAGGAATCATCATCAAATGGAACTGAATGGAATCCTCATTGAATGGAAATGAAAGGGGTCATCATCTAATGGAATCGCATGGAATTATCATCGAATGGAATCGAATGGAATCAACATCCAACGGAAAAAAACGGAATTATCGAATGGAATCGAAGAGAATCATCGAACGGACCCGAATGGAATCATCTAATGGAATGGAATGGAATAATCCATGGACTCGAATGCAATCATCATCGAATGGAATCGAATGGAATCATCGAATGGACTCGAAAGGAATCATCATTGAACGGAATCGAATGGAATCATCAAATGGAATCAGATGGAATCATCATCAAATGGAATCGAATAGAATTATGGAATGAAATCCAATGTGGTCATCATCGAATAGACTCGAATGGAATCATCATCCAATGGAAACTAATGGAATCAACATCGAATGGAATCGAATGGAAACACCATCGAATTGAAACGAATGGAATTATCATGAAATTGAAATGGATGTACTCATCATCGAATGGATTCGAATGGAATCATCGGATGAAATTGACTGAAATCATCATCAAATGGAATCGAATGGAATCATTGAATGGAATCGAATGGAAGCATCATCAGATGGAAATGAATGGAATAATCATAGAATGGAATCGAATGTATTCATTGAATGGAATCAGATGGAATCATCGAATGGACTTGAATGGAATCATAGAATGGACTCGAATGGAATCATTATTGAGTGGAATTCAAAGGAATCATCGAATGGTCTCCGATGGAATCATTATCAAATGGAATCGAATGGAATCACCGAATAGAATCGAATGGAACAATCATCGAATGGACTCAAATGGAATTATGCTCAAATGGAATCGAATGGAATTATCGAATGCAATCGAATGGAATAATCGAATGCAATCGAATAGAATCATCGAATGGACTCGAATGGAATCATCGAATGGAATGGAAAGGAATAGTCAATGAACTCGAATGGAATCATCATTGAATGGAATCGAATGGAATCATCGAGTGGAATCAAATGGAATCATGATCAAATGGAATTGAATGTAATCATCATCAAATGGAGTCAAAAATAACCATCATCAATTGGTATTGAATGGAATTGTCATCAAATGGAATTCAAAGGAATCATCATCAAATGGAAACGAATGGAATCCTCATTGAATGGAAATGAAAGGAGTCATCATCTAATGGAATCGCATGGAATCATCATCAAATGGAATCGAATGGAATCATCATCAAATGGAATCTAACGGAATCATTGAACGGAATTGAATGGAATCGTCATCGAATGAATTGAATGCAATCATCGAATGGTCTCCAACGGAATCATCTTCCAATGGAATGGAATGGAATCATCGCATAGAATCGAATGGAATTATCATCGAATGGACTCGAATGGAATCAACCTCAAACGGAATCAAACGGAATTATCGAATGGAATCGAAGAGAATCATCGAATGGACTCGAATGGAATCATCTAATGGAATGGAACGGAATAATCCATGGACTCGAATGCAATCATCATCGAATGGAATCGAATGGAATCATCGAATGGACTCGAATGGAATAATCATTGAACGGAATCGAATGGAATCATCATCGGATGGAAATGAATGGAATCATCATCGAATGGAATCGAATAGAATTGTGGAATGAAATCCAGTGTGATCAGCATCGAATGGACCCGAATGGAATCATCATCCAACGTAAACTAATGGAATCAACATCGAATGGAATCGAATGGATACACCATCGAATTAAAACGAATGGAATTATGATGAAATTGACATGGATGGACTCATCATCGAATGGATTCGAATGGAATCATCGAATGAAATTTATTGAAATCATCATCAAATGGAATCGAATGGAATCATTGAATGGAATCGAATGGAATCATCGAATGCAATCGAATAGAATCATCGAATGGACTGGAATGGAATCATCGAATGGAATGGAATGGAATACTCAATGAACTCGAATGGAATCATCATTGAATGGAATGGAATGCAATCATCGAGTGGAATCGAATGGAATCATGATCAAATGGAATCGAATGTAATCCTCATCAAATGGAATCAAAAATAACCATCATCAATTGGTATTGAATGGAATTGTCATCAAATGAAATTCAAAGGAATCATCATCAAATGGAACCGAATGGAAACCTCATTGAATGGAAATGAAAGGAGTCATCATCTAATGGAATCGCATGGAATCATCATTAAATGGAATCGAATGGAATCATCATCAAATAGAATCTAATGGAATCATTGAACGGAATTGAATGGAATCGTCATCGAATGAATTGAATGCAATCATCGAATGGTCTCGAACGGAATCATCTTCCAATGGAATGGAATGGAATCATCGCATAGAATCGAATGGAATTATGATCGAATGGACTCGAATGGAATCAACCTCAAACGGAATCAAACGGAATTATCGAATGGAATCGAAGAGAATCATCGAATGGAGTCGAATGGAATCATCTAATGGAATGGAATGGAATAATCCATGGACTCGAATGCAATCATCATCGAATGGAATCGAATGGAATCATCGAATGGACTCGAATGGAATAATCATTGAACAGAATCGAATGGAATCATCATCAGATGGAAAAGAATGGAATCATCATCGAATGGAATCGAATGGAATCATCAAATGGAATCAGACGGAATCATCATCAAATGGAATCGAATAGAATTATGGAATCAAATCCAATGTGATCATCATCGAATGGACTCGAATGGAATCATCATCCAATGGAAACTAATGGAATCAACATCGAATGGAATCGAATGGAAACACCATCGAATTGAAACGAATGGAATTCTCATGAAACTGAAATGGATGGACTCATCATTGAATGGATTCGAAAGGAATCATCGAATGAAATTTATTGAAATCATCATCAAATGGAATCGAATGGAATCACTGAATGGAATCGAATGGAATTATCATCAGATGGAAATGAATGGAATCATCACAGAATGGAATCGAATGGATTCATTGAATTGAATCAGATGGAATCATCGAATGGACGTGAAATGGAATCATTGAATGGACTCGAAGGGAATCATTATTGAGTGGAATTCAAAGGAATCATCGAATGGTCTCGAATGGAATCATTATCAAATGGAATCGAATGGAATCACCGAATAGAATCGAATGGAACAATCATCGAATGGACTCAAATGGAATTATCCTCAAATGGAATCGAATGGAATAATCGAATGCAATCGAATGGAATAATCGAATGCAATCGAATAGAATCATCGAATGGACTCGAATGGAATCATCGAATGGAATGGAAAGGAATAGTCAATGAACTCGAATGGAATCATCATTGAGTGGAATCGAATGGAATCATCGAGTGGAATCGAATGGAATCATGATCAAATGGAATCGAATGTAATCATCATCAAATGGAGTCAAAAATAACCATCATCAATTGGTATTGAATGGAATTGTCATCAAATGGACTTCAAAGGAATCATCATCAAATGGAAACGAATGGAATCCTCATTGAATGGAAATGAAAGGAGTCATCATCTAATGGAATAGCATGGAATCATCATGAAATGGAATCCAATGGAATCATCATCAAATGGAATCTAATGGAATCATTGAACGGAATTGAATGGAATCGTCATCGAATGAATTGAATGCAATCATCGAATGGTCTCGAACGGAATCAACTTCCGAAGGAATGTAATGGAATCATCGCATAGAATCGAATGGAATTAACATTGAATGGACTCGAATGGAATCAACATCAAACGGAATCAAGAGGAATTATCGAATGAAATCGAAGAGAATCATCGAACGGACCCGAATGGAATCATCTAATGGAATGGAATGGAATAATCCATGGACTCGAATGCAATCATCATCGTATAGAATCGAATGGAATCATCGAAAGGACTCGAAAGGAATAATCATTGAACGGAATCGAATGGAATCATCATCGGATGGAAACGAATGGAATCATCATCGAATGGAAATGAAAGGAGTCATCATCTAAAGGAATCGCAAGGAGTCACCATCAAATGGAATCGAATGGAATCATCATTAAATGGAATCTAATGGAATCATTGAACGGAATTCAATGGAATCGTCATCAAAAGAATTTAATGCAATCATCGAATGGTCTCGAAGGGAATTGTCTTCAAATGGTCGAGACCATTCGATGATTGCATTCAATTCATTCGATGATGATTCCATTCAATTCCGTTCAATGATTCCATTAGATTCCATTTGATGATGATTCCATTCGATTCCGTAGAATGATTATTCCATTAGAGTCCATTTGATGATTCCATTCGATTACATTCGATGATTCCATTCGATTCCATTCGATGATGATTTCATTCGAGTCCGTGGATTATTCCATTCCATTCCATTAGATGATTCTGTTCGAGCCCATTTGATGATTCTCTTCGATTCCATTCTATAAATCCGTTTGATTCCGTTTGATGTTGATTCCATTCGAGTCCATTCGATGATAATTCCATTCGATTCTATGCGATGACTCCATTCCATTCCATTTGAAGATGATTCCATTCGAGACCTTTCGATGATTGCATTCAATTCAATCGATGACGATTCCATTCAATTCCGTTCAATGATTCCATTAGATTCCATTTGATGATGATTCCATTCGACTCCATTTGATGATGATTCCATTCGATTCCATTAGATGATGACTCCTTTGATTTCCATTCGATGATGATTCCATTCGTTTCCATCTGATGATGATTCCATTAGTTTCCATCCGATGATGATTCCATTCGATTCCGTTCAATGATTATTCCATTCGAGTCCATTTGATGATTCCATTCGATTCTACTCGATGATGATTGCATTCGAGTCCATGGATTATTCCATTCGATTCCACTAGATGATTCCATTCGAGTGCATTCGATGATTCTCTTCGATTCCATTCGATAATTCCGTTTGATTCCTTTTGATGTTGATTCTATATGAGTCCATTCGATGATTGTTCCATTCGATTCTGTTCGGGGATTCCATTCGATGATTCTATTCAGTGAATCCATTTGATAATGATTCCATTCGAGTCCATTCGATGATTCTCTTCGATTCCATTCGATAATTCCGCTTGATTCCGTTTGATGTTGATTCCATTCGAGTCCATTCAATGTTAATTCCATTCGATTCTATGCGATGATTCCATTCCTTTCCATTAGAAGATGATTCCGTTCGAGACCATTCGATGATTGCATTCAATTCATTCGATGACGATTCCATTCAATTCTGTTCAATGATTCCATTAGATTCCATCTGATGATGATTCCATTCGATTCCATTTGATGATGATTCCATGCGATTCCATTAGATGATGACTCCTTTCATTTCCATTCAATGAGGATTCCTTTCGGTTCCATTTGGTGATGATTCCTTTGAATTCCATTTGATGACAATTCCATTCAATACCAATTGATGATGGTTATCTTTGATTCCATTTGATGATGATTACATTCGATTCCATTTGATCATAATTCCATTCGATTCCACTCGATGATTCCTTTCGATTCCATTCAATGATGATTCCATTCGAGTTCATTGACTGTTCCATTCCATTCCATTCGATGATTCCATTCGAGTCCATTCGATGATTCTATTCGATTGCATTCGATAATTCCATTCGATTGCATTCCATAATTCCATTCGATTCCATTTGAGGATAATTCCATTGGAGTCCATTCGATGATTGTTCCATTCGATTCTATTCGGTGATTCCATTCGATTCCATTTGATAATGATTCCAATCGAGACCATTCCATGATTCCATTCAATTCCATTCAATAATGATCCCTCTCGAGTCCATTCAATGATTCCATTCCAGTCCATTCGATGATTCCATCTGATTCCATTCAATGAATCCATTCGATTCCATTCTATGACGATTCCATTCATTTCCATCTGATGATGATTCCATTAGATTCCATTCAATGATACCATTCGATTCCATTTGATGATGATTTCAATCAATTTTATTCGATGATTCCATTCGAATCCATTCGATGATGAGTCCATCCATATTCAATTTCATGATAATTCCATTCGTTTCAATTCGATGGTGTTTCCATTCGATTCATTCGATGTTGATTCCATTAGCTTCCGTTGGATGATGATTCCATTCGGGTCCATTCGATGATGATCACACTGGATTTCATTCCATAATTGTATTCGATTCCATTCGATGATGATTCCATTCATTTCCATCCGATGATGACTCCATTCGATTCCGTTCGATGATTATTCCATTCGAGTCCATTCGATGATTCCATTCGATTCCATTCGATGATGATTGCATTCGAGTCCGTGGATTATTCCATTCCACTCCATTAGATGATTCCATTCGGGTCCATTCGATGATTCTCTTCGATTCCATACGATAATTCCGATTTTTCCGTTTGATGTTGATTCCATTCGATTCCATTCGATGATAATTCCATTCGATTCTATGCGATGATTCCATTCCATTCCATTTGAAGATGATTCCATTCGAGACCATTCGATGATTGCATTCAATTCATTCGTTGACGATTCCATTCAATTCCGTTCAATGATTCCATTTGATTCCATTTGATGTTGATTCCATTCGATTCCATTTTATGATGATTCCATGCAATTCCATTAGATGATGAATCCTTTCATTTCCATTCGATGATGATTCCATTCGTTTCCATCCGATGATGATTCCATTCGATTCCGTTCAATGATTATTCCATTCGAGTCCATTCGATGATTCCATTCGATTCCATTCGATGATGATTGCATTCGAGTCCATGGATTATTCCATTCCATTCCATTAGATGATTCCATTCGGGTCCGTTCGATGATTCTCTTCGATTCTATTCGATAATTCCGTTTTTTTCCGTTTGATGTTGATTCCATTCGATTCCATTCGATGATAATTCCATTCGATTCTATGCGATGATTCCATTCCATTCCATTTGAAGATGATTCCATTCGAGACCATTCGATGATTGCATTCAATTCATACGATGACGATTCCATTCAATTCCGTTCAATGATTCCATTTGATTCCATTTGATGTTGATTCCATTCGATTCCATTTTATGATGATTCCATGCGATTCCATTAGATGATGACTCTTTTCATTTCCATTCGATGATGATTCCATTCGTTTCCATCCGATGATGATTCCATTTGATTCCGTTCAATGATTATTCCATTCGAGTCCATTCGATGATTCCATTCGATTCTATACGATGATGATTGCATTCGAGTCCGTGGATTATTCCATTCCATTCCATTAGATGATTCCATTCGAGTCCATTCGATGATTCTCTTCGATTCCATTCGATAATTCCGCTTGATTCCGTTTGATGTGGATTCCATTCGAGTCCATTCAATGTTAATTCCATTCGATTCTATGCGATGATTCCATTCCTTTCCATTAGAAGATGATTCCATTCGAGACCATTCGATGATTGCATTCAATTCATTCGATGACGATTCCATTCAATTCTGTTCAATGATTCCATTAGATTCCATTTGATGATGATTCCATTCGATTCCATTTGATGATGATTCCATGCGATTCCATTAGATGATGACCCCTTTCATTTCCATTCAATGAGGATTCCATTCGGTTCCATTTGATGATGATACCTTTGAATTCCATTTGATGACAATTCCATTGAATACCAATTGATGATGGTTATTTTTGATTCCATTTGATGATGATTACATTCGATTCCATTTGATCATAATTCCATTCGATTCCACTCGATGATTCCATTCGATTCCATTCAATGATGATTCCATTCCAGTTCATTGACTGTTCCATTCCATTCCATTTGATGATTACATTCGAGTCCATTCGATGATTCTATTCGATTGCATTCGATAATTCCATTCGATTGCATTCGATAATTCCATTCGATTCCACTTGAGGATAATTTCATTTGAGTCCATTCGATGATTGTTCCATTCGATTCTATTCGGTGATTCCATTCGATTCCATTTGATAATGATTCCAATCGAGACCATTCGATGATTCCATTCAATTCCATTCAATAATGAGCCCTTTCGAGTCCATTCAATGATTCCATTCCAGTCCATTCGATGATTCCATCTGATTCCATTCAATGAATCCATTCGATTCCATTCTATGACGATTCCATTCATTTCCATCTGATGATGATTCCATTCGATTCCATTCAATGATACCATTCGATTCAATTTGATGATGATTTCAATCAATTTTATTCGATGATTCCATTCGAATCCATTCGATGATGAGTCCATCCATTTCAATTTCATGATAATTCCATTCGTTTCAATTCGATGGTGTTTCCATTCGATTCATTCGATGTTGATTCCATTAGCTTCCGTTGGATGATGAATCCATTCGGGTCCATTCGATGATGATCACACTGGATTTCATTCCATAATTCTATTCGATTCCATTCGATGATGATTGCATTCATTTCCATCCGATGATGATTCCATTCGATTCCGTTCAATGATTACTCCATTCGAGTACATTCGATGATTCCATTCGATTCCATTCGATGATGATTACATTCGAGTCCATGGATTATTCCATTCCATTCCATTAGATGATTCCATTCGGGTCCATTCGATGATTCTCTTCGATTCCATTCGATAATTCCGTTTTCTTCCGTTTGATGTTGATTCCATTCGATTCCATTCGATGATAATTCCATTCGATTCTATGCGATGATTCCATTGCATTCCATTTCAAGATGATTCCATTCGAGACCATTCGATGATTGTATTCAATTCATTCGATGACGATTCCATTCAATTCCGTTCAATGATTCCATTTGATTCCATTTGATGTTGATTCCATTCGATTCCATTTTATGATGATTCCATGCAATTCCATTAGATGATGACTCCTTTCATTTCCATTCGATGATGATTCCATTCGTTTCCATCCGAAGATGATTCCATTCGATTCCGTTCAATGATTATTCCATTCGAGTCCATTCGATGATTCCATTCGATTCCATTCGATGATGATTGCCTTCCAGTCCATGGATTATTCCATTCCATTCCATTAGATGATTCCATTCGGGTCCGTTCGAAGATTCTCTTCGATTCCATTCGAAAATTCCGTTTTTTTCCGTTTGCTGCAGATACCATTCGATTCCATTCGATGATAATTCCATTCGATTCTATGCGATGATTCCATTCCTTTCCATTAGAAGATGATTCCATTCGAGACCATTCGATGATTGCATTCAATTCATTCGATGACGATTCCATTCAATTCTGTTCAATGATTCCATCAGATTCCACTTGATGATGATTCCATTCGATTCCATTTGATGATGATTCCATGCGATTCCATTAGATGATGACCCCTTTCATTTCCATTCAATGAGGATTCCATTCGGTTCCATTTGATGATGTTTCCTTTGAATTCCATTTGATGACAATTCCATTCAATACCAATTGCTGATGGTTATTTTTGATTCCATTTGATGATGATTACATTCGATTCCATTTGATCATAATTCCATTCGATTCCACTCGATGATTCCATTCGATTCCATTCAATGATGATTCCATTCGAGTTCATTGACTGTTCCATTCCATTCCATTCGATGATTCCATTCGAGTCCATTCGATGATTCTATTCGATTGCATTCGATAATTCCATTCGATTGCATTCGATAATTCCATTCGATTCCATTGGAGGATAATTCCATTAGAGTCCATTCGATGATTGTTCCATTCGATTCTATTCGGTGATTCCATTCGATTCCATTTGATAATAATTCCAATCGAGACCATTCGATGATTCCATTCAATTCCATTCAATAATGATCCCTTTCGAGTCCATTCAATGATTCCATTCCAGTCCATTCTATGATTCCATCTGATTCCATTCAATGAATCCATTCGATTCCATTCTATGACGATTCCATTCATTTCCATCTGATGATGATTCCTTTCGATTCCATTTTATGATGATTCCATGCAATTCCATTAGATGATGACTCCTTTCATTTCCATTCGATGATGATTCCATTCGTTTCCATCTGATGATGATTCCATTCGATTCCGTTCAATGATTATTCCATTCGAGTCCATTCGATGATTCCATTCGATTCCATTCGATGATGATTCCATTCAGTTCCATCCGATGATGACTCCATGCGATTCCGTTCAATGATTATTCCATTCGAGTCCATTCGATGATTCGATTCGATTCCATTCGATGATGATTGCATTCGAGTCCATGGATTATTCCATTCCATTCCATTAGATCATTCCATTCGGGTCCATTCGATGATTCTCTTCGATTCCATTCGATAATTCCTTTTTTTTCCGTTTGTTGTTGATTTCATTCGATTCCATTCGATGATAATTACATTCGATTCTATGCGAGGATTCCATACCGTTCCATTTGAAGATGATTCCATTCGAGACCATTCGATGATTGCATTCAATTCATTCGATGACGATTCCATTCAATTCCGTTCAATGATTCCATTTGATTCCATTTGATGTTGATTCCATTCGATTCCATTTTATGATGATTCCATGCAATTCCATTAGATGATGACTCTTTTCATTTCCATTCGATGATGATTCCTTTCGTTTCCATCCGATGATGATTCCATTTGATTCCGTTCAATGATTATTCCATTCGAGTCCATTCGATGATTCCATTCGATTCTATACGATGATGATTGCATTCGAGTCCGTGGATTATTCCATTCCATTCCATTAGATGATTCCATTCGAGTCCATTGGATGATTCTCTTCGATTCCATTCGATAATTCCGCTTGATTCCGTTTGATGTGGATTCCATTCGAGTCCATTCAATGTTAATTCCATTCGATTCTATGCGATGATTCCATTCCTTTCCATTAGAAGATGATTCCATTCGAGACCATTCGATGATTGCATTCAATTCATTCGATGACGATTCCATTCAATTCTGTTCAATGATTCCATTAGATTCCATTTGATGAAGATTGCATTCGATTCCATTTGATGATGATTCCATGCGATTCCATTAGATGATGACCCCTTTCATTTCCATTCAATGAGGATTCCATTCGGTTCCATTTGATGATGATTCCTTTGAATTCCATTTGATGACAAATCCATTCAATACTAATTGATGATGGTTATTTTTGATTCCATTTGATGATGATTACATTCGATTCCATTTGATCATAATTCCATTCGATTCCACTCGATGATTCCATTCGATTCCATTCAATGATGATTCCATTCGAGTTCATTGACTGTTCCATTCCATTCCATTCGATGATTCCATTCGAGTCCATTCGATGATTCTATTCGATTGCATTCGATAATTCCATTCGATTGCATTCGATAATTCCATTCGATTCCATTTGAAGATAATTCCATTTGAGTCCATTCGATGATTGTTCCATTCGATTCTATTCGGTGATTTCATTCGATTCCATTTGATAATGATTCCAATCGAGACCATTCGATGATTCCATTCAATTCCATTCAATGATGATCCCTTTCGAGTCCATTCAGTGATTCCATTCCAGTCCATTCGATGATTCCATCTGATTCCACTCAATGAATCCATTCGATTCCATTCTATGACGATTCCATTCATTTCCATCTGTTGATGATTCCATTCGATTCCATTCAATGATTCCATTCGATTTCATTTGATGATGATTTCAATCAATTTTATTCGATGATTCCATTCGATTCCATTCGATGATGAGTACATCCATTTCAATTTCATGATAATTTCATTCGTTTCAATTCGATGGTGTTTCCATTCGATTCCATTCGATGTTGATTCCATTCGTTTCCATTGGATGATGATTCCATTCGAGTCCATTCGATGATGATCACATTGGATTTCATTCCATAATTCTATTCGATTCCATTTTATGATGATTCCATCTGATTCCATTTGATGATTCCATTCCATTCCATTCGATGATGATTCCATTCGTTTCCATCCAATGATGATTCCATTCGATTCCGTTCAATGATTACTCCATTCGAGTCCATTCGATGATTCCATTCGATTCCATTCGATGATGATTGCATTCGAGTCCATGGATTATTCCATTCCTTTCCATTAGAGGATTCCATTCGAGTCCAATCGATGATTCTCTTCGATTCCATTCGATAATTCCGTTTGATTCCGTGTGAGGTTGATTCCATTCGAGTACATTCGATGATAATTCCATTCGATTCTATGCGATGATTCCATTCCATTCCATTCGAAGATGATTCCGTTCGAGACCATTCGATGATTGCATTGAATTTATTCGATGACGATTCCATTCAATTCCGTTCAATGATTCCATTAGATTCCATTTGATGATGATTCCATTCGAATCCATTTGATGATGATTCCATGCGATTCCATTAGATGATGACTCCTTTCATTTCCATTCAATGAGGATTCCATTCGGTTCCATTTGATGATGATTCCTTTGAAGTCCATTTGATGACAATTCCATTCAATACCAATTGATGATGGTTATTTTCGATTCCATTTGATGATGATTACATTCGATTCCATTTGATCATGATTCCATTCGATTCCATTCAGTGATGATTCCATTCGAGTTCATTGACTATTCCATTCCATTCCATTCGATGATTCCATTCGAGTCCATTCGATGATTCTATTCGATTGCTTTCGATTATTCCATTCGATTGCATTCGATAATTCCATTCCATTCCATTTGAGGATAATTCCATTTGAGTCCATTCGATGATTGTTCCATTCGATTCTATTTGGTGATTCCATTCGATTCCATTTGATAATGATTCCATTCGAGACCATTCGATGATTCCATTCAATTCCATTCAATAATGATTCCATTCGAGTCCATTCAATGATTCCATTCAAGTCCATTCGATGATTCCATCTGATTCCATTCAATGAATCCATTCGATTCCATTCTGTGATGATTCCATTCATTTCCAACTGATGATGATTCCATTCGATTCCATTCTATGATTCCATTCGATTCCATTTGATGATGATTTCCATAAATTTCATTCGATGATTCCATTCGAATCCATTCGATGATGAGTCCATCCATTTCAATTTCATGATAATTCCACTCGTTTCAATTCGATGGTGTTTCCATTCGATTCCATTCGATGTTGATTCCATTAGTTTCCATTGGATGATGATTCCATTCGAGTACATTCGATGATGATGTCATTGGATTTGATTCGATAATTCTATTCGATTCCATTTGATGATGATTCCATCTGATTCCATTTGATCATTCCATTCGATTCCATTCGATGATGATTCCATTCGTTTCCATCCGATGATGATTCCATTTGATTCCGTTCGATGATTATTCCATTCGACGAAGATTCTCTTCGATTCCATTCGATAATTCCGTTTTTTTCCGTTTGATGTTGATACCATTCGATTCCATTCGATGATAATTCCATTCGATTCTATGCGATGATTCCATTCCTTTCCATTAGAAGATGATTCCATTCGAGACCATTCGATGATTGCATTCAATTCATTCGATGACGATTCCATTCAATTCTGTTCAATGATTCCATCAGATTCCATTTGATGATGATTCCATTCGATTCCTTTTGATGATGATTCCATGCGATTCAATTAGATGATGACCCCTTTCATTTCCATTCAATGAGGATTCCATTCGGTTCCATTTGATGATGATTCCTTGAATTCCATTTGATGACAATTCCATTCAATACCAATTGATGATGGTTATTTTTGATTCCATTTGATGATGATTACATTCGATTCCATTTGATCATAATTCCATTCGATTCCACTCGATGATTCCATTCGATTCCATTCAATGATGATTCCATTCGAGTTCATTGACTGTTCCATTCCATTCCATTCGATGATTCCATTCGAGTCCATTCGATGATTCTATTCGATTGCATTCGATAATTCCATTCGATTGCATTCGATAATTCCATTCGATTCCATTTGAGGATAATTCCATTTGAGTCCATTCGATGATTGTTCCATTCGATTCTATTCGGTGATTCCATTCGATTCCATTTGATAATGATTCCAATCGAGACCATTCGATGATTCCATTCAATTCCATTCAATAATGATCCCTTTCGAGTCCATTCAATGATTCCATTCCAGTCCATTCGATGATTCCATCTGATTCCATTCAATGAATCCATTCGATTCCATTCTATGACGATTCCATTCATTTCCATCTGATGATGATTCCATTCGATTCCATTCAATGATACCATTCGATTCCATTTGATGATGATTTCAATCAATTTTATTCGATGATTCCATTCGAATCCATCCGATGATGAGTCCATCCATTTCAATTTCATGATAATTCCATTCGTTTCAATTCGATTTTGTTTCCATTCGATTCATTGGATATTGATTCCTTTAGCTTCCGTTGGATGATGATTCCATTCGGGTCCATTCGATGATGATCACACTGGATTTCATTCCATAATTCTATTCGATTCCATTCGATGATGATTGCATTCATTTCCATCCGATGATGATTCCATTCGATTCCGTTCAATGATTATTCCATTCGAGTCCATTCGATGATTCCATTCGATTCCATTCGATGATGATTGCATTCGAGTCCATGGATTATTCCATTCCATTCCATTAGATGATTCCATTCGGGTCCATTCGATGATTCTCTTCGATTCCATTCGATAATTCCCTTTTTTTCCGTTTGATGTTGATTCCATTCGATTCCATTCGATGATAATTCCATTCGATTCTATGCGATGATTCCATTAATTTCCATTTGAAGATGATTCCATTCGAGACCATTCGATGATTGCATACAATTCATTCGATGAAGATTCCATTCAATTCCGTTCAATGATTCCATTTCATTCCATTTGATGTTGATTCCATTCGATTCCATTTTATGTTGATTCCGTGCAATTCCATTAGATGACTCCTTTCATTTCCATTCGATGATGATTCCATTAGTTTCCATTCGATGATGATTCCATTCGATTCCGTTCAATGATTATTCCATTAGAGTCCTTTCAAAGATTCCATTCGATTCCATTCGATGATGATTGGATTCGAGTCCATGGATTATTCCATTCCTTTCCATTAGATGATTCCATTCGGGTCCGTTCGATGATTCTCTTCGATTCCATTCGATAATTCCGTTTTTTTCCGTTTGATGTTGATACCTTTCGATTCCATTCGATGATAATTCCATTCGATTCTATGCGATGATTCCATTCCATTCCATTTGAAGATGATTCCATTCGAGACCATTCGATGATTGCATTCAATTCATACGATGACGATTGCATTCAATTCCGTTCAATGATTCCATTTGATTCCATTTGATGTTGATTCCATTCGATTCCATTTTATGATGATTCCATGCGATTCCATTAGATGATGACTCCTTTCATTTCCATTCGATGATAATTCCATTCGTTTCCATCCGATGATGATTCCATTTGATTCCGTTCAATGATTATTCCATTCGAGTCCATTCGATGATTCCATTCGATTCTATACGATGATGATTGCATTCGAGTCCGTGGATTATTCCATTCCATTCCATTAGATGATTCCATTCGAGTCCATTCGATGATTCTCTTCGATTCCATTCGATAATTCCGCTTGATTCCGTTTGATGTTGATTCCATTCGAGTCCATTCAATGTTAATTCCATTCGATTCTATGCGATGATTCCATTCCTTTCCATTAGAAGATGATTCCATTCGAGACCATTCGATGATTGCATTCAATTCATTCGATGACGATTCCATTCAATTCTGTTCAATGATTCCATTAGATTCCATTTGATGAAGATTGCATTCGATTCCATTTGATGATGATTCCATGCGATTCCATTAGATGATGACCCCTTTCATTTCCATTCAATGAGGATTCCATTCGGTTCCATTTGATGACGATTCCTTTGAATTCCATTTGATGACAAATCCATTCATTACCAATTGATGATGGCTACTTTGATTCCATTTGATGATGATTACATTCGATTCCATTTGATCATAATTCCATTCGATTCCACTCGATGATTCCATTCGATTCCATTCAATGATGATTCCATTCGAGTTCATTGACTGGTCCATTCCATTCCATTCGATGATTCCATTCGAGTCCATTCGATGATTCTATTCGATTGCATTCGATAATTCCTTTCGATTGCATTCGATAATTCCATTCGATTCCATTTGAAGATAATTCCATTTGAGTCCATTCGATGATTGCTCCATTCGATTCTATTCGGTGATTTCATTCGATTCCATTTGATAATGATTCCAATCGAGACCATTCGATGATTCCATTCAATTCCATTCAATGATGATCCCTTTCGAGTCCATTCAGTGATTCCATTCCAGTCCATTAGATGATTCCATCTGATTCCATTTCAATGAATCCATTCGATTCCATTCTATGACGATTCCATTCATTTCCATCTGATGATGATTCCATTCGATTCCATTCAATGATACCATTCGATTCCATTTGATGATGATTTCAATCAATTTTATTCGATGATTCCATTCGAATCCATTCGAAGATGAGTCCATCCATTTCAATTTCATGATAATTCCATTCGTTTCAATTCGATGGTGTTTCCATTCGATTCATTCGATGTTGATTCCATTAGCTTCCGTTGGATGATGATTCCATTCGGGTCCATTCGATGATGATCACACTGGATTTCATTCCATAATTCTATTCGATTCCATTCGATGATGATTCCATTCATTTCCATCCGATGATGATTCCATTCGATTCCGTTCAATGATTATTCCATTCGAGTCCATTCGATGATTCCACTCGATTCCATTCGATGATGATTGCATTCGAGTCCATGGATTATTCCATTCCATTCCATTAGATGATTCCATTCGGGTCCATTCGATGATTCTCTTCGATTCCATACGATAATTCCGTTTTTTTTCCGTTTGATGTTGATTCCATTCGATTCCATTCGATGATAATTCCATTCGATTCTATGCGATGATTCCATTCTATTCCATTTGAAGATGATTCCATTCGAGACCATTCGATGATTGCATTCAATTCATTCGATGACGATTCCATTCAATGATTCCATCAGATTCCATTTGATGATGATTCCATTCGATTTCCATTTGATGATGATTCCATGCGATTCCATTAGATGATGACCCCTTTCATTTCCATTCAATGAGGATTCCATTCGGGTTCCATTTGATGATGTTTCCTTTGAATTCCCATTTGGATGACATTCCATTCAATACCAATTGATGATGGTTATTTTTTGATTTCCATTTTGATGATGATTACATTCGATTCCATTTGATCATAATTCCATTCGATTCCACTCGATGATTCCATTCGATTCCATTCAATGATGATTCCTTTCGACTTCATTGACTGTTCCATTCCATTCCATTCGATGATTCCATTCGAGTCCATTCGATGATTCTATTCGATTGCATTCGATAATTCCATTCGATTGCATTCGATAAATCCATTCGATTGCATTTGAGGATAATTCCATTTGAGTGCATTCGATGATTGTTCCATTCGATTCTATTCGGTGATTCCATTCGATTCCATTTGATAATGATTCCAATCGAGACCATTTGATGTTGATACCATTCGATTCCATTCGATGATAATTCCATTCGATTCAATGCGATGATTCCATTCCTTTCCATTAGAAGATGATTCCATTCGAGACCATTCGATGATTGCATTCAATTCATTCGATGACGATTCCATTCAATTCTGTTCAATGATTCCATCAGATTCCATTTGATGATGATTCCATTCGATTCCTTTTGATGATGATTCCATGCGATTCAATTAGATGATGACCCCTTTCATTTCCATTCAATGAGGATTCCATTCGGTTCCATTTGATGATGATTCCTTGAATTCCATTTGATGACAATTCCATTCAATACCAATTGATGATTGTTATTTTTGATTCCATTTGATGATTATTACATTCGATTCCTTTTGATCAAAATTCCATTCGATTCCACTCGATGATTCCATTCGATTCCATTCAATGATGATTCCATTCGAGTTCATTGACTGTTCCATTCCATTCCATTCGATGATTCCATTCGAATCTATTCGATGATTCTATTCGATTGCATTCGATAATTCCATTCGATTGCATTCGATAATTCCATTCGATTCCATTTGAGGATAATTCCATTTGTGTCCATTCGATGATTGTTCCATTCGATTCTATTCGGTGATTCCATTCGATTCCATTTGATAATGATTCCAATCGAGACCATTCGATGATTCCATTCAATGCCATTCAATAATGATCCCTTTCGAGTCCATTCAATGATTCCATTCCAGTCCATTCGATGATTCCATCTGATTCCATTCAATGAATCCATTCGATTCCATTCTATGACGATTCAATTCATTTCCATCTGATGATTCCATTCGATTCCATTCAATGATACCATTCGATTCCACTTGATGATGATTTCAATCAATTTTATTCGATGATTCCATTCGAATCCATTCGATGACGAGTCCATCCATTTCACTTTCATGATAATTCCATTCGTTTCAATTCGATGGTGTTTCCATTCGATTCATTCGATGTTGATTCCATTAGCTTCCGTTGGATGATGATTCCATTCGGGTCTATTCGATGCTGATCACACTGGATTTCATTCCATAATTCTATTCGATTCCATTCGATGATGATTCCATTCAGTTCCATCCGATGATGACTCCATGCGATTCCGTTCAATGATTATTCCATTCGAGTCCATTCGATGATTCGATTCGATTCCATTCGATGATGATTGCATTCGAGTCCATGGATTATTCCATTCCATTCCATTAGATCATTCCATTCGGGTCCATTCGATGATTCTCTTCGATTCCATTCGATAATTCCTTTTTTTTCCGTTTGTTGTTGATTTCATTCGATTCCATTCGATGATAATTACATTCGATTCTATGCGAGGATTCCATACCATTCCATTTGAAGATGATTCCATTCGAGACCATTCGATGATTGCATTCAATTCATTCGATGACGATTCCATTCAATTCCGTTCAATGATTCCATTTGATTCCATTTGATGTTGATTCCATTCGATTCCATTTTATGATGATTCCATGCAATTCCATTAGATGATGACTCTTTTCATTTCCATTCGATGATGATTCCATTCGTTTCCATCCGATGATGATTCCATTTGATTCCGTTCAATGATTATTCCATTCGAGTCCATTCGATGATTCCATTCGATTCTATACGATGATGATTGCATTCGAGTCCGTGGATTATTCCATTCCATTCCATTAGATGATTCCATTCGAGTCCATTGGATGATTCTCTTCGATTCCATTCGATAATTCCGCTTGATTCCGTTTGATGTGGATTCCATTCGAGTCCATTCAATGTTAATTCCATTCGATTCTATGCGATGATTCCATTCCTTTCCATTAGAAGATGATTCCATTCGAGACCATTCGATGATTGCATTCAATTCATTCGATGACGATTCCATTCAATTCTGTTCAATGATTCCATTAGATTCCATTTGATGAAGATTGCATTCGATTCCATTTGATGATGATTCCATGCGATTCCATTAGATGATGACCCCTTTCATTTCCATTCAATGAGGATTCCATTCGGTTCCATTTGATGATGATTCCTTTGAATTCCATTTGATGACAATTCCATTCAATACAAATTGATGATTGTTATTTTGATTTCCATTTGATGATGATTACATTCGATTCCATTTGATCATGTTTCCATTCGATTCCACTCAATGATTCCATTCGATTCCATTCAATGATGATTCCATTCGAGTACATTGACGATTCCTTTCCTTTCCATTCGATGATTCCATTCGAGTCCATTCGATGATTCTATTCAATTGCATTCGATTATTCCATTCGATTGCATTCGTTAATTCCATTCGATTCCATTTGAGGATAATTCCATTTGAGTCCATTCGATGATTGTTCCATTCGATTCTATTCGGTGATTCCTTTCGATTCCATTTGATAATGCTTCCATTCGAGTCCATTCGATGATAATTCCATTCGATTCTATGCGATGATTCCATGCCATTCCATTGGAAGATGATTCCGTTCGAGACCATTCGATGATTGCATTCAATTCATTCGATGACGATTCCATTCATTTTCGTTCAATGATTCCATTAGATTCCATTTGATGATGATTCCATTCGATTCCATTTAATGATGATTCCATGCGATTCCATTAGATGATGACTCCTTTCATTTCCATACAATGCGGATTCCATTCGGTTCCATTTGATGATGATTCCTTTGAATTTCATTTGATGACAATTCCATTCAATACCAACTGATGATGGTTATTTTTGATTCCATTTGATGATGATTACATTCGATGCCATTTGATCATGATTCCATTCGATTCCACTCGATGATTCCATTCCATTCCATTCAATGATGATTCCATTCGAGGATTCCGTTTGATGCTGATTCCATTCGAGTCCATTCAATGATAATTCCATTCGATTCAATGCGACGATTCCATTACTTTGCATTTGAAGATGATTCCATTCGAGACCATTCGATGATTGCATTCAATTGATTCGAAGACGATTCCATTCAATTCTGTTCAGTGATTCCATTAGATTCCATTTGATGATGATTCCATTCGATTCCGTTTGATTATGATTCCATGCGATTCCATTAGATGATGATTCCTTTCATTTCCATTCAACGAGGACTCCATTCGGTTCCATTTGATGATGATTCCTTTGAATTCCATTTGATGACAATTCCATTCAATACCAATTGATGATGGTTATTTTTGATTCCATTTAATGATGATTACATTCGATTCCATTTGATCATGATTCCATTCGATTCCACTCGATGATTCCATTCGATTCCATTCAATGATGATTCCATTCGATTTCATTGACTATTCCATTCCATTTCATTTGATGATTCCATTCGAGTCCATTCGATGATTCTATTCGAATTCAATCGATAATTCCATTCGATTGCATTCGATAATTCCATTTGATTCCATTTGAGGATAATTCCATTTGAGTCCATTCGATGATTGTTCCATTCGATTGTATCAGATGATTCCATTCGATTCCATTTGATAATGATTCCATTCGAGACCATTCGATGATTCCATTCAATTCCATTCAATAATGATTCCATTCGAGTCCATTCAATGATTCCATTCAAGTCCATTCGATGATTCCATCTGATTCCATTCAATGAATCCATTCGATTCCATTCTATGATGATTCCATTCATTTCCATCTGATGATGATTCCATGCGATTCCATTCAATAATTCCATTCGATTCCATTTGATGATGATTTCAATCAATGTAATTCGGTGATTCCATTCAAATCCATTCGATGATGAGTCCATCCATTTCAATTTCATGATAATTCCATTCGTTTCACTTCGATGGTGTTTCCATTTGATTCCATTCGATGTTGATTCCATTAGTTTCCATTGGATGATGATTCCATTCGAGTCCATTCGATGAGGATCACTTTGGATTTCATTCCATAATTCTATTCGATTCCATTTGATGATGATTCCATCTGTTTCCATTTGATGATTCCATTCTATTCCATTCCATGATGATTCCATTCGTTGCCATCCAATGATGATTCAATTCGATTCTGTTCAATGATTATTCCATTCGAGTCCATTCGATGATTCCATTCGATTCCATTCGATGACGATTGCATTCGAGTCCGTGGATTATTCCATTCCATTCCATTAGATGATTCCATTCGAGTCCATTAGATGATTCTCTTCGATTCCATTCGATAATTCCGTTTGATTCCATTTGATGTTGATTGCATTCGAGTCCATTCGATGATAATTCCATTCGATTCTATGCGATGATTCCATTCCATTCCATTTGAAGATGATTCCATTCGAGACCATTCGATGATTGCATTCAATTCATTCGATGACGATTCCATTCAATTCGGTTCAATGATTCCATTAGATTCCATTTATTGATGATGATTCCATTCGATTCCATTTGATGATGATTCCACCCGATTCCATTAGATGATGACTCCTTTCATTTCCATTCGATGATGATTCCATTCGTTTACATCCAGTGAAGATTCCATTCGATTCCGTTCAATGATTATTCCATTCGAGTCCATTCGATGATTCCATTCGATTCTATTCGATGGAGATTGCATTCGAGTCCATCGATTATTCCATTCTATTCCATTAGATGATTCCATTCGAGTCCATTAGATGATTCTCTTCGATTCCATTCGATAATTCCGTTTGATTCCGTTTGATGTTGATTGCATTCGAGTCCATTTGATGATAATTCCATTCGATTCTATGCGATGATTCCATTCCATTCCATTTGAAGATGATTCCATTCGAGACCATTCGATGATTGCATTCAATTCATTCGATGACGATTCCATTCAATTCGGTTCAATGATTCCATTAGATTCCATTTATTGATGATGATTCCATTCGATTCCATTTGATGATCATTCCATCCGATTCCATTAGATGATGACTCCTTTCATTTCCATTCGATGATGATTCCATTCGTTTACATCCAGTGAAGATTCCATTCGATTCCGTTCAATGATTATTCCATTCGAGTCCATTCGATGATTCCATTCGATTCTATTCGATGGAGATTGCATTCGAGTCCATCGATTATTCCATTCTATTCCATTAGATGATTCCATTCGAGTCCATTCGATTATTCTCTTCGATTCCATTCGATAATTAAGTTTGATTCCGTTTGATGTTGATTCCATTCGAGTCCATTCGATGATAATTCCATTCCATTCTATGCGATGATTCCATTCCATTCCATTTGAAGATGAATCCGTTCGAGACCATTCGATGATTGCATTCGATTCATTCGATGAAGATTCCATTCAATTCCGTTCAATGATTCCATTAGTTTCCATTTGATGATGATTCCATTCGATTCCATTTGATGATGATTCCATGCAATTCCATTAGATGATGACTCCGCTCATTTCCATTCAACGAGGATTCCATTCGGTTCCATTTGATGATGATTCCTTTGAATTCCATTTGATGACAATTCCATTCAATACCAATTGATGATGGTTATTTTGGATTCCATTTGATGATGATTACATTCGATTCCATTTGATCATGATTCCATTCGATTCCACTCGATGATTCCATTCGATTCCATTCAATGATGATTCCATTCGATTTCATTGACTTTCCATTCCATTCCATTCGATGATTCCATTCGAGTCCATTCGATGATTCTATTCGATTGCATTCGATAATTCCATTCGATTGCATTCGATAATTCCATTCCATTCCATTTGATGATAATTCCATTTGAGTCCATTCGATGATTGTTCCATTCGATTCTATTCGGTGATTCCATTCGATTCCATTCGATAATGATTCCAATCGAGACCATTCCATGATTCCATTCCATTCCATTCAATAATGATCCCTTTCGTGTCCATTCAATGATTCCATTCCAGTCCATTCGATGATTCCATCTGATTCCATTCAACGAATCCATTCGATTCCATTCTATGACGATTCCATTCATTTCCATCTGATGATGATTCCATTCGATTCCATTCAATGATACCATTCGATTCCATTTGATGATGATTTCAATCAATTTTATTCGATGATTCCATTCGAATCCATCCGATGATGAGTCCATCCATTTCAATTTCATGATAATTCCATTCGTTTCAATTCGATGGTGTTTCCATTAGATTCATTCGATGTTGATTCCATTAGCTTCCGTTGGATGATGATTCCATTCGGGTCCATTCGATGATGATCACACTGGATTTCATTCCATAATTCTATTCGATTCCATTCGATGATATTTCCATTCATTTCAATCCGAAGATGATTCCATTCGATTCCGTTCAATGATTATTCCATTCGAACCCATTCGATGATTCCATTCGATTCCATTCGATGATGATTGCATTCGAGTCCATGGATTATTCCATTCCATTCCATTAGATGATTCCATTCGGGTCCATTCGATGATTCTCTTCGATTCCATTCGATAATTCCGTTTTTTTCCGTTTGATGTTGATTCCATTCGATTCCATTCGATGATAATTCCATTCGATTCTATGCGATGGTTCCATTCCATTCCATTTGAAGTTGATTCCATTCGAGACCATTCAATGATTGCATTCAATTCATTCGATGACGATTCTATTCAATTCCGTTCAATGATTCCATTTGATTCCATTTGATGTTGATTCCATTCGATTCCATTTTATGATGATTCCATGCAATTCCATTAGATGATGATTCCTTTCATTTCCATTCGATGATGATTCCATTCGTTTCCATCCGATGATGATTCCATTCGATTCCGTTCAATGATTATTCCATTCGAGCCCATTCGATGATTCCATTCGATTCCATTCGACGATGATTGCATTCGAGTCCGTGGATTATTCCATTCCATTCCATTAGATGATTCCATTCGGGTCCATTCGATGATTCTCTTCGATTCCATTCGATAATTCCGTTTTTTTCCGTTTGATGTTGATTCCATTCGATTCCATTCGATGATAATTCCATTCGATTCTATGCGATGATTCCATTCCATTCCATTTGAAGATGATTCCATTCGAGACCATTCGATTATTGCATTCAATTCATTCGATGACCATTCCATTCAATTCCGTTCAATGATTCCATTTGATTCCATTTGATGTTGATTCCATTCGATTCCATTTTATGATGATTCCATGCAATTCCATTAGATGATGACTCCTCTCATTTCCATTCGATGATGATTCCATTCGTTTCCATCCGAAGATGATTCCATTCGATTCCGTTCAATGATTATTCCATTCGAGTCCATTCGATGATTCCATTCGATTCCATTCGATGATGATTGCATTCGAGTCCATGGATTATTCCATTCCATTCCATTAGATGATTCTATTCGGGTCCGTTCGAAGATTCTCTTCGATTCCATTCGATAATTCCGTTTTTTTCCGTTTGATGTTGATACCATTCGATTCCATTCGATGATAATTCCATTCGATTCTATGCGATGATTCCATTTGTTTCCATTACAATATGATTCCATTCGAGACCATTCGATGATTGCATTCAATTCTTTCGACGACGATTCCATTCAATTCTGTTCAATGTTTCCATTAGATTCCATTTGATGATGATTCCATTCGATTCCATTTGATGATTATTCCATGCGATTCCATTAGATGATGACCCCTTTCATTTCCATTCAATGAGGATTCCATTTGGTTCCATTTGATGATGATTCCTTTGAATTCCATTTGATGACAAATCCATTCAATACCAATTGATGATGGTTATTTTTGATTCCATTTGATGATGATTACATTCGATTCCATTTGATCATAATTCCATTCGATTCCACTCGATGATTCCATTCGATTCCATTCAATGATGATTCCATTCGAGTTCATTGACTGTTCCATTCCATTCCATTCGATGATTCCATTCGAGTCCATTCGATGATTCTATTCGATTGCATTCGATAATTCCATTCGATTGCATTCGATAATTCCATTCGATTCCATTTGAGGATAATTCCATTTGAGTCCATTCGATGATTGTTCCATTCGATTCTATTCGGTGATTTCATTCGATTCCATTTGATAATGATTCCAATCGAGACCATTCGATGATTCCATTCAATTCCATTCAATGATGATCCCTTTCGAGTCCATTCAGTGATTCCATTCCAGTCCATTCGATGATTCCATCTGATTCCACTCAATGAATCCATTCGATTCCATTCTATGACGATTCCATTCATTTCCATCTGATGATGATTCCATTCGATTCCATTCAATGATACCATTCGATTCCATTTGTTGATGATTTCAATCAATTTTATTCGATGATTCCATTCGAATCCATTCGATGATGAGTCCATCCATTTCAATTTCATGATAATTCCATTCGTTTCAATTCGATGGTGTTTCCATTCGATTCATTCGATGTTGATTCCATTAGCTTCCGTTGGATGATGATTCCATTCGGGTCCATTCGATGATGATCACACTGGATTTCATTCCATAATTCTATTCGATTCCATTCGATGATGATTCCATTCATTTCCATCCGATGATGACTCCATTCGATTCCGTTCGATGATTATTCCATTCGAGTCCATTCGATGATTCCATTCGATTCCATTCGATGATGATTGCATTCGAGTCCATGGATTATTCCATTCCACTCCATTAGATGATTCCATTCGGGTCCATTCGATGATTCTCTTCGATTCCATACGATAATTCCGATTTTTCCGTTTGATGTTGATTCCATTCGATTCCATTCGATGATAATTCCATTCGATTCTATGCGATGATTCCATTCCATTCCATTTGAAGATGATTCCATTCGAGACCATTCGATGATTGCATTCAATTCATTCGATGACGATTCCATTCAATTCCGTTCAGTGATTCCATTTGATTCCATTTGATGTTGATTCCATTCGATTCCATTTTATGATGATTCCATGCAATTCCATTAGATGATGAATCCTTTCATTTCCATTCGATGATGATTCCATTCGTTTCCATCCGATGATGATTCCATTCGATTCCGTTCAATGATTATTCCATTCGAGTCCATTCGATGATTCCATTCGATTCCATTCGATGATGATTGCATTCGAGTCCATGGATTATTCCATTCCATTCCATTAGATGATTCCATTCGGGTCCGTTCGATGATTCTCTTCGATTCCATTCGATAATTCCGTTTTTTTCTGTTTGATGTTGATTCCATTCGATTCCATTCGATGATAATTCCATTCGATTCTATGCGATGATTCCATTCCATTCCATTTGAAGATGATTCCATTCGAGACCATTCGATGATTGCATTCAATTCATTCGATGACGATTCCATTCAATTCCGTTCAATGATTCCATTTGATTCTATTTGATGTTGATTCCATTCGATTCCATTTTATGATGATTCCATGCAATTCCATTGCATGATGACTCCTTTCATTTCCATTCGATGATGATTCCATTCGTTTCCATCCGATGATGATTCCATTCGATTCCGTTCAATGATTATTCCATTCGAGTCCATTCGATGATTCCATTCGATTCCATTCGATGATGATTGCATTCGAGTCCATGGATTATTCCATTCCATTCCATTAGATGATTCCATTCGGGTCCATTCGATGATTCTCTTCGATTCCATTCGATAATTCCGTTTTTTTCCGTTTGATGTTGATTCCATTCGATTCCATTCGATGATAATTCCATTCGATTCTATGCGATGATTCCATTCCATTCCATTTGAAGATGATTCCATTCGAGACCATTCGATGATTGCATTCAATTCATTCGATGACGATTCCATTCAATTCTGTTCAATGATTCCATTTGATTCCATTTGATGTTGATTCCATTCGATTCCATTTTATGATGATTCCATGCAATTCCATTAGATGATGACTGCTTTCATTTCCATTCGATGATGATTCCATTCGTTTCCATCCGATGATGATTCCATTCGATTCCGTTCAATGATTATTCCATTCGAGTTCATTCGATGATTCCATTCGATTCTATACGATGATGACTGCATTCGAGTCCGTGGATTATTCCATTCAATTCAATTAGATTATTCCATTCGAGTCCATTCGATGATTCTCTTCGATTCCATTCGATAATTCCTCTTGATTCCGTTTGATGATGATTCCATTCGAGTCCATTCAATGTTAATTCCATTCGATTCTATGCGATGATTCCATTCCTTTCCATTAGAAGATGATTCCATTCGAGACCATTCGATGATTGCATTCAATTCATTCGATGACGATTCCATTCAATTCTGTTCAATGATTCCATCAGATTCCATTTGATGATGATTCCATTCGATTCCATTTGATGATGATTCCATACGTTTCCATTAGATGATGACCCCTTTCATTTCCATTCAATGAGGATTCCATTCGGTTCCATTTGATGATGATTCCTTTGAATTCCATTTGATGACACTTCCATTCAATACCAATTGATGATGGTTATTTTTGATTCCATTTGATGATGATTACATTCGATTCCATTTGATCATAATTCCATTCGATTCCACTCGATGATTCCATTCGATTCCATTCAATGATGATTCCATTCGAGTTCATTGACTGTTCCATTCCATTCCATTCGATGATTCCATTCGAGTCCATTCGATGATTCTATTCGATTGCATTCGATAATTCCATTCGATTGCATTCGATAATTCCATTCGATTCCATTTGAAGATAATTCCATTTGAGTCCATTCGATGATTGTTCCATTCGATTCTATTCGGTGATTTCATTCGATTCCATTTGATAATGATTCCAATCGAGACCATTCGATGATTCCATTCAATTCCATTCAATGATGATCCCTTTCGAGTCCATTCAGTGATTCCATTCCAGTCCATTCGATGATTCCATCTGATTCCACTCAATGAATCCATTCGATTCCATTCTATGACGATTCCATTCATTTCCATCTGATGATGATTCCATTCGATTCCATTCAATGATACCATTCGATTCCATTTGATGATGATTTCAATCAATTTTATTCGATGATTCCATTCGAATCCATTCGATGATGAGTCCATCCATTTCAATTTCATGATAATTCCATTCGTTTCAATTCGATGGTGTTTCCATTCGATTCATTCGATGTTGATTCCATTAGCTTCCGTTGGATGATGATTTCATTCGGGTGCATTCGATGATGATCACACTGGATTTCATTCCATAATTCTATTCGATTCCATTCGATGATGATTCTATTCATTTCCATCCGATGATGATTCCATTCGATTCCGTTTGATGATTATTCCATTCGAGTCCATTCGATGATTCCATTCGATTCCATTCGATGATGATTGCATTCGAGTCCATGGATTATTCCATTCCATTCCATTAGATGATTCCATTCGGGTCCATTCGATGATTCTCTTCGATTCCATTCGATAATTCCGTTTTTTTCCATTTGATGTTGATTCCATTCGATTCCATTCGATGATAATTCCATTCGATTCTATGCGATGATTCCATTCCATTCCATTTGAAGATGATTCCATTCGAGACCATTCGATGATTGCATTCAATTCATTCGATGACGATTCCATTCAATTCCGTTCAATGATTCCATTTGATTCCATTTGATGATGATTCCATTCGATTCCATTTTATGATGATTCCATGCAATTCCATTAGATGATGACTCCTTTCATTTCCATTCGATGATGATTCCATTCGTTTCCATCCGATGATGATTCCATTCGATTCCGTTCAATGATTATTCCTTTCGAGTCCTTTCGATGATTCCATTCGATTCTATACGATGATGATTGCATTCGAGTCCGTGGATTATTCCATTCCATTCCATTAGATGATTCCATTCGAGTCCATTCGATGATTCTCTTCGATTCCATTCGATAATTCCGCTTGATTCCGTTTGATGTTGATTCCATTCGAGTCCATTCAATGTTAATTCCATTCGATTCTATGCGATGATTCCATTCCTTTCCATTAGAAGATGATTCCATTCGAGACCATTCGATGATTGCATTCAATTCATTCGATGACGATTCCATTCAATTCTGTTCAATGATTCCATCAGATTCCATTTGATGATGATTCCATTCGATTCCATTTGATGATGATTCCATGCGATTCCATTAGATGATGACCCCTTTCATTTCCATTCAATGAGGATTCCATTCGGTTCCATTTGATGATGTTTCCTTTGAATTCCATTTGATGACAATTCCATTCAATACCAATTGATGATGGTTATTTTTGATTCCATTTGATGATGAATACATTCGATTCCATTTGATCATAATTCCATTCGATTCCACTCGATGATTCCATTCGATTCCATTCAATGATGATTCCATTCGAGTTCATTGACTGTTCCATTCCATTCCATTCGATGATTTCATTCGAGTCCATTCGATGATTCTATTCGATTGCATTCGATAATTCCATTCGATTGCATTCGATAATTCCATTCGATTCCATTTGAGGATAATTCCATTTGAGTCCATTCGATGATTGTTCCAATCGATTCTATTCGGTGATTCCATTCGATTCCATTTGATAATGATTCCAATCGAGACCATTCGATGATTCCATTCAATTCCATTCAATCATGATCCCTTTCGAGTCCATTCAATGATTCCATTCCAGTCCATTCGATGATTCCATCTGATTCCATTCAATGAATCCATTCGATTCCATTCTATGACGATTCCATTCATTTCCATCTGATGATGATTCCATTCGATTCCATTCAATGATACCATTCGATTCCATTTGATGATGATTTCAATCAATTTTATTCGATGATTCCATTCGAATCCATTCGATGATGAGTCCATCCATTTCAATTTCATGATAATTCCATTCGTTTCAAATCGATGGTGTTTCCATTCGATTCATTCGATGTTGATTCCATTAGCTTCCGTTGGATGATGATTCCATTCGGGTCCACTCGATGATGATCACACTGGATTTCATTCCATAATTCTATTCCATTCCATTCGATGATGATTCCATTCATTTCCATCCGATGATGATTCCATTCGATTCCGTTCAATGATTATTCCATTCGAGTCCATTCGATGATTCCATTCGATTCCATTCGATGATGATTGCATTCGAGTCCATGGATTATTCCATTCCATTCCATTAGATGATTCCATTCGTGTCCGTTCGATGATTCTCTTCGATTCCATTCGATAATTCCGTTTTTATCCGTTTGATGTTGATTCCATTCGATTCCATTCGATGATAATTCCATTCGATTCTATGCGATGATTCCATGCTATTCCATTTGAAGATGATTCCATTCGAGACCATTCGATGATTGCATTCAATTCATTCGATGACGATTCCATTCAAATCCGTTCAATGATTCCATTTGATTCCATTTGATGTTGATCCCATTCGATTCCATTTTATGATGATTCCATTCAATTCCATTAGATGATGACTCCTTTCATTTCCATTCGATGATGATTCCATTCGTTTCCATCCGATGATGATTCCATTCGTTTCCGTTCAATGATTATTCCATTCGAGTCCATTCGATGATTCCATTCGATTCCATTCGATGATGATTGCCTTCCAGTCCATGGATTATTCCATTCCATTCCATTAGATGATTCCATTCGGGTCCGTTCGAAGATTCTCTTCGATTCCATTCGATAATTCCGTTTTTTTCCGTTTGATGTTGATACCATTCGATTCCATTCGATGATAATTCCATTCGATTCTATGCGATGATTCCATTCCTTTCCATTAGAAGATGATTCCATTCGAGACCATTCGATGATTGCATTCAATTCATTCGATGACGATTCCATTCAATTCTGTTCAATGATTCCATCAGATTCCATTTGATGATGATTCCATTCGATTCCTTTTGATGATGATTCCATGCGATTCAATTAGATGATGACCCCTTTCATTTCCATTCAATGAGGATTCCATTCGGTTCCATTTGATGATGATTCCTTGAATTCCATTTGATGACAATTCCATTCAATACCAATTGATGATGGTTATTTTTGATTCCATTTGATGATGATTACATTCGATTCCATTTGATCATAATTCCATTCGATTCCACTCGATGATTCCATTCGATTCCATTCAATGATGATTCCATTCGAGTTCATTGACTGTTCCATTCCATTCCATTCGATGATTCCATTCGAGTCCATTCGATGATTCTATTCGATTGCATTCGATAATTCCATTCGATTGCATTCGATAATTCCATTCGATTCCATTTGAGGATAATTCCATTTGAGTCCATTCGATGATTGTTCCATTCGATTCTATTCGGTGATTCCATTCGATTCCATTTGATAATGATTCCAATCGAGACCATTTGATGATTCCATTCAATTCCATTCAATAATGATCCCTTTCGAGTCCATTCAATGATTCCATTCCAGTCCATTCGATGATTCCATCTGATTCCATTCAATGAATCCATTCGATTCCATTCCATGACGATTCCATTCATTTCCATCTGATGATGATTCCATTCGATTCCATTCAATGATACCATTCGATTCCATTCGATGATGATTTCAATCAATTTTATTCGATGATTCCATTCGAATCCATTCGATGATGAGTCCATCCATTTCAATTTCATGGTAATTCCATTCGTTTCAATTCGATGGTGTTTCCATTTGATTCATTCGATGTTGATTCCATTAGCTTCCGTTGGATGATGATTCCATTCGGGTCCATTCGATGATGATCACACTGGATTTCATTCCATAATTCTATTCGATTCCATTCGATGATGATTCCATTCATTTCCATCCGATGATGATTCCATTCGATTCCGTTCAAAGATTATTCCATTCGAGTCCATTCGATGATTCCATTCGATTCCATTCGATGATGATTGCATTCGAGTCCATGGATTATTCCATTCCATTCCATTAGATGATTCCATTCGGGTCCATTCGATGATTCTCTTCGATTCCATTCGATAATTCCGTTTTTTTCCGTTTGATGTTGATTCCATTCGATTCCATTCGATGATAATTCCATTCGATTCTATGCGATGATTCCATTCCATTCCATTTGAAGATGATTCCATTCGAGACCATTCGATGATTGCATTCAATTCATTCGATGACGATTCCATTCAATTCCGTTCAATGATTCCATTTGATTCCATTTGATGTTGATTCCATTCGATTCCATTTTATGATGATTCCATGCAATTCCATTAGATGATGACTCCTTTCATTTCCATTCGATAATGATTCCATTCGTTTCCATCCGATGATGATTCCATTCGATTCCGTTCAATGATTATTCCACTCGAGTCCATTCGATGATTCCATTCGATTCCATTCGATGATGATTGCCTTCCAGTCCATGGATTATTGCATTCTATTCCATTAGATGATTTCATTCGGGTCCGTTCGAAGATTCTCTTTGATTCCATTCGATAATTCCGTTTTTTTCCGTTTGGTGTTGATACCATTCGATTCCATTCGATGATAATTCCATTCGATTCTATGCGATGATTCCATTCCTTTCCATTTGAAGATGATTCCATTCGAGACCATTCGATGATTGCATTCAATTCATTCGATGACGATTCCATTCAATTCTGTTCAATGATTCCATTTGATTCCATTTGATGTTGATTCCATTCGATTCCATTTTATGATGATTCCATGCAATTCCATTAGATGTTGACTCCTTTCATTTCCATTCGATGATGATTCCATTCGTTTCCATCCGATGATGATTCCATTGGATTCCGTTCAATGATTATTCCATTCGAGTCCATTCGATGATTCCATTCGATTCCATTCGATGATGATTGCCTTCCAGTCCATGGATTATTCCATTCCATTCCATTAGATGATTCCATTCGGGTCCGTTCGAAGATTCTCTTCGATTCCATTCGAAAATTCCGTTTTTTTTCGTTTGGTGTTGATACCATTCGATTCCATTCGATGATAATTCCATTCGATTCTATGCGATGATTCCATTCCTTTCTATTAGATGATGATTCCATTCGAGACCATTTGATGATTGCATTCAATTCATTCGATGACGATTCCATTCAATTCTCTTCAATGATTCCATTAGATTCCATTTGATGATGATTCCATTCGATTCCATTTGATGATGATTCCATGCGATTCCATTAGATGATGACCCCTTTCATTTCCATTCAATGAGGATTCCATTCGGTTCCATTTGATGATGATTCCTTTGAATTCCATTTGATGACAATTCCATTCAATACCAATTGATGATGGTTATTTTTGATTCCATTTGATGATGATTACATTCGATTCCATTTGATCATAATTCCATTCGATTCCACTCGATGATTCCATTCGATTCCATTCAATGATGATTCCATTCGAGTTCATTGACTGTTCCATTCCATTCAATTCGATGATTCCATTCGAGTCCATTCGATGATTCTATTCGATTGCATTCGATAATTCCATTCGATTGCATTCGATAATTCCATTCGATTCCATTGGAGGATAATTCCATTTGAGTCCATTCGATGATTGTTCCATTCGATTCTATTCGGTGATTCCATTCGATTCCATTTGATAATGATTCCAATCGAGACCATTCGATGATTCCATTCAATTCCATTCAATAATGAGCCCTTTCGAGTCCATTCAATGATTCCATTCCAGTCCATTCGATGATTCCATCTGATTCCATTCAATGAATCCATTCGATTCCATTCTATGACGATTCCATTCATTTCCATCTGATGATGATTCCATTCGATTCCATTCAATGATACCATTCGATTCAATTTGATGATGATTTCAATCAATTTTATTCGATGATTCCATTCGAATCCATTCGATGATGAGTCCATCCATTTCAATTTCATGATAATTCCATTCGTTTCAATTCGATGGTGTTTCCATTCGATTCATTCGATGTTGATTCCATTAGCTTCCGTTGGATGATGATTCCATTCGGGTCCATTCGATGATGATCACACTGGATTTCATTCCATAATTCTATTCGATTCCATTCGATGATGATGCCATTCAGTTCCATGCGATGATGACTCCATGCGATTACGTTCAAGGATTATTCCATTCGAGTCCATTCGATGATTCGATTCGATTCCATTCGATGATGATTGCATTCGAGTCCATGGATTATTCCATTCCATTCCATTAGATGATTCCATTCGGGTCCGTTCAAAGATTCTCTTCGATTCCATTCGATAATTCCGTTTTTTTCCGTTTGGTGTTGATGCCATTCGATTCCATTCGATGATAATTCCATTCGATTCTATGCGATGATTCCATTCGATTCCATTCGACGATGATTCCATTCGAGACCATTCGATGATTGCATTCAATTGATTCGATGACGATTCCATTCAATTCCGTTCAATGATTCCATTGGATTCCATTTGATGTTGATTCCATTCGATTCCATTTTATGATGATTCCATGCAATTCCATTAGATGATGACTCCTTTCATTTCCATTCGATGATGATTCCATTCTTTTCCATCCGATGATGATTCCATTCGATTCCGTTCAATGATTATTCCATTCGAGTCCATTCGATGATTCCATTCGATTCCATTCGATGATGATTGCATTCGAGTCCATGGATTATTCCATTCCATTCCATTAGATGATTCCATTCGGGTCCATTCGATGATTCTCTTCGATTCCATTCGATAATTCCGTTTCTTTCCGTTTGATGTTGATTCCATTCGAGTCCATTCAATTTTAATTCCATTCGATTCTATGCGATGATTCCATTACTTTCCATTAGAAGATGATTCCATTCGAGACCATTCGATGATTGCATTCATTTCATTCGATGACGATTCTATTCAATTCCGTTCAATGATTCCATTTGATTCCATTTGATGTTGATTCCATTCGATTCCATTTTATGATGATTCCATGCAATTCCATTAGATGATGACTCTTTTCTTTTCCATTCGATGATGATTCCATTCGTTTCCATCCGATGATGATTCCATTTGATTCCGTTCAATGATTATTCCATTCGAGTCCATTCAATGATTCCATTCGATTCTATACGATGATGATTGCATTCGAGTCAATCGAATGGAACAATCATCGAATGGACTCAAATGGAATTATCGGAAGGGAATCGAATGGAATTATCGAATGCAATCGAATGGAATAATCGAATGCAATCGAATAGAATCATCGAATGGACTCGAATGGAATCATCGAATGTAAAGGAATGGAATAGTCAATGAACTCGAATGGAATCATCATTGAATGGAATCGAATGGAATCATCGAGTGGAATCGAATGGAATCATGATCAAATGGAATCGAATGTAATCATCATCAAATGGAATCAAAAATAACCATCATCAATTGGTTTTGAATGGAATTGTCATCAAATGGAATTCAAAGGAATCATCATCAAATGGAACCGAATGGAATCCTCATTGAATGGAAATGAAAGGAGTCATCATCTAATGGAATCGCATGGAATCATCATCAAATGGAATCGAATGGAATCATCATCAAATGGAATCTAAGGGAATCATTGAACGGAATTGAATGGAATCGTCATCGAATGAATTGAATGCAATCATCGAATGGTCTCGAATGGAATCATCTTCAAATGGAAAGGAATGGAATTATCGCATAGAATCAAATGGAATTACCATTGAATGGACTCGAATGGAATCAACATCAAACGGAATCAAATGGAATTATCGAATGCAATCGAAGAGAATCATCGAATGGACACGATATGGAATCATGTAATGGAATGTAATGGAATAATCCATGGACTCGAATGCAATCATCATCGAATGGAATCGAATGGAATCATCGAATGGACTCGAATGGAATAATCATTGAACAGAATCAAAAGGAATCATCATCGGATGGAAACGAATGGAATCATCATCGAATGGAAACGAAAGGAGTCATTATCTAACGGAATCGCATGGAATCATCATCAAATGGAATCGAATGGAAACATCATCAAATGGAATCTAATGCAATTGTTGAACGGAATTCAATGGAATCGTCATCGAATGAACTGAATTCCATCATCGAAAGGTCTCGAATTGAATCATCTTCAAATGGAATGGAATGGAATCATCGCATAGAATCGAATGGAATTATCATCGAATGGACTCGAATGGAATCAACATCAAACGGAATCCAACGGAATTATCGAATGGAATCGAAGAGAATCATCGAATGGACTCGAACGGCATCATCTAATCTAATGGAATGGAATAATCCACGGACTCGAATGAAAACATCATCGAATGGAATCATCGAATGGATTCGAATGGGAATCATCGAATGGACTCGAATGGAATAATCATTGAACGGAATCGAATGGAATCATCTTCTAATGGAATCTAATGGAATAAATGAGCAGAATTGAATGGAATCATCATCGAATGAATTGAATGCAATCATCACATGGTCTCGAAAGGAATCATCTTCAAATGGAAAGGAACGGAATCATTGCATAGAATCAAATGGAATTATTGAATGGACTGGAATGGAATCAACATCAAACGGAATCAAACGGAATTATCGAATGGAATCGAAGAGAATCATCGAATAGTCTCGAATGGAATCATCGATGGGAGTGGAATGGAATAGTCAATTAACTCGAATGGAATGATCATTGAATGGAATTGAATGGAGTCATCGAGTGGAATCGAATGGAATCATGATCAAATGGAATCGAATGTAATCATCATCAAATGGAATCAAAAATAACCATCATCAACTGGTATTGAATGGAATTGTCATCAAATGGAATTCAAAGGAATCATCATCAAATGGAACCGAATGGAATCCTCATAGAATGGAAATGAAAGGAGTCATCATCTAATGGAATCGCACGGAATGATCATCAAATGGAATCGAATGGAATCATCATCAAATGGAATCTAATGGAATCATTCAACGGAATTGAATGGAATCGTCATCGAATGAATTGAATGCAATCATCGAATGGTCTCGAATGGAATCATCTTCAAATGTAAAGGAATGGAACGATCCCATAGAATCGAATGGAATTATCATTGAATGGACTCGAATGGAATCAACATCAAACGGAATCAAATGGCATTATCGAAGGGAATCGAAGAGAATCATCGAATGGACTCGAACGGAATCATCTAATGGAATTTAGAGGAATAATCCACGGACTCGAATGAAAACATCATCGAATGGAATCGAATGGAATCATTGAATGGAATCGAATGGAATCACCGAATGGACTCGAATGGAATAATCATTGAACAGAATCGAATGGAATCATCATCGGATGGAAACGAATGGAATCATTATCGAATAGAAATGAAAGGAGTCATCATCTTATAGAATAGCATGGAATCATCATCAAATGGAATCTAATGGAATCATTGAACGGAATTGAATGGAATCATCATCGAATGAATTGAATGCAATCATCGAATGAATTGAATGCAATCATCGAATGGTCTCGAACGGAATCATCTTCCAATGGAATGGAATGGAATCATCGCATAGAATCGAATGGAATTATCATCGAATGGACTCGAATGGAAACAACCTCAAAAGGAATCAAACGGAATTATCAAATGGAATCGAGGAGAATCATAGAATGGACTCGGACGGAATCATCTAATGGAATTTAAAGGAATAATCCAAGGACTCGAATGAAATCATCGTCGAATGGAATCGAATGGAATCTTCGAAAGGAATCGATTGGAATCATCGAATGGACTCGAATGGAATAATCATGAACGGAATCGGATGATGATTCCATTCGAGTCCATTCGATGATGACCACATTGGATTTCATTCCATAATTCTATTCGATTCCATTTGATGATGATTCCATCTGATTCCATTTGATGATTCCATTCGATTCCGTTCAATGATGATTCCTTTCGAGTCCATTCGATGATTCCATTCGATTCCATTCGATGATGATTGCATTCGAGTCCATGGATTATTCCATTCCATTCCATTAGATGATTCCATTCGAGTCCATTCGATGATTCTCTTCGATTCCATTCAATAATTCCGTTTCATTCCGTTTGAGATTGATTCCATTCGAGTCCATTCGATGATAATTCCATTCGATTCTATGCGATGATTCCATTCCATTTAATTGAAAGATGATTCCGTTGGAGATCATTCGGTGATTGTATTCAATTCATTCGATGACGATTCCATTCAATTCTGTTCAATGATTCCATTAGATTCTATTTGATGATGATTCCATTCGATTCCATTTAATGATGATTCCATGCGATTCCATTAGATGATGACTCCTTTCATTTCCATTCAATGAGTATTCCATTCCGTTCCATTTGATGATGATTCCTTTGAATTTCATTTGATGACAATTCCATTCAATACCAATTGATGATGGTTATTTTTGACACCATTTGATGATGATTACATTCGATTCCATTTGATCATGATTCCATTCGATTCCACTCGATGATTGCATTCCATTCCATTCAATGATGATTCCATTCGAGTTCATTGACTATTCCATTCCATTCCATTCGATGATTCCATTCCAGTCCATTCGATGATTCTATTCGATTGCATTCGATTATTCCATTCGATTGCATTCGATAATTCCATTCGATTCCATTTAAGGATAATTCCATTTGAGTCCATTCGATGATTGTTCAATTCGATTTTATTCGGTGATTCCATTCGATTCCATTTGATAAAGATTCCATTCGAGACCATTCGATGATTCCATTCAATTCCATTCAATAATGATTCCATTCGAGTCAATTCAATGATTCCATTCAAGTCCATTCGATGATTCCATCTGATTCCATTCAATGAATCCATTCGATTCCATTCTGTGATGATTCCATTCATTTTCATCTGATGATGATTCCACTCGATTCCATTCAATGATTCCATTCGATTCCATTTGATGATGATTTCAATAAATTTCATTCGATGATTCCATTCGAATCTATTCGATGATGAGTCCATCCATTTCAATTTCATGATAATTCCATTCGTTTCAATTCGATGGTGTTTCCATTCGATTCCATTCGATGTTGATTCCATTAGTTTCCATTGGATGATGATTCTATTTGAGTCCATTCGATGATGATCACATTGGATTTGATTCCATAATTCTATTGGATTCCATTTGATGTTGATTCCATCTGATTCCATTTTATGATGATTCCTTTCATTTCCATTCGATGATGATTCCTTTCTTTTCCATCCGATGATGATTCCATTCGATTCCGTTCAATGATTATTCCATTCGAGTCCATTCGATGATTCCATTCGATTCCATTCGATGATGATTGCATTCGAGTCCATGGATTATTCCATTCCATTCCATTAGATGATTCCATTCGGGTCCATTCGATGATTCTCTTCGATTCCATTCGATAATTCCGTTTTTTTCCGTTTGGTGTTGATTCCATTCGAGTCCATTCAATTTTAATTCCATTCGATTCTATGCGATGATTCCATTCCTTTCCATTAGAAGATGATTCCATTCGAGACCATTCGATGATTGCATTCAATTCATTCGATGACGATTCCATTCAATTCTGCTCAATGATTCCTTTAGATTCAATTTGATGATGATTCCACTCGATTCCATTTGATGATGATTCCATGCGATTCCATTAGATGATGACCCCTTTCATTTCCATTCAATGAGGATTCCATTCGGTTCCATTTGATGATGATTCCTTTGAATTCCATTTGATGACAATTCCATTCAATACTAATTGATGATGGTTATTTTTGATTCCATTTGATGATGATTACATTCGATTCCATTTGATCATAATTCCATTCGATTCCACTCGATGATTCCATTCGATTCCATTCAATGATGATTCCATTCGAGTTCATTGACTGTTCCATTCCATTCCACTCGATGATTCCATTCGAGTCCATTCGATGATTCTATTCGATTGCATTCGATAATTCCATTCGATTGCATTCGATAATTCCATTCGATTCCATTGGAGGATAATTCCATTTGAGTCCATTCGATGATTGTTCCATTCGATTCTATTCGGTGATTCCATTCGATTCCATTTGATAATGATTCCAATCGAGACCATTTGATGATTCCATTCAATTCCATTCAATAATGATCCCTTTCGAGTCCATTCAATGATTCCATTCCAGTCCATTCGATGATTCCATCTGATTCCATTCAATGAATCCATTCGATTCCATTCCATGACGATTCCATTCATTTCCATCTGATGATGATTCCATTCGATTCCATTCAATGATACCATTCGATTCCATTCGATGATGATTTCAATCAATTTTATTCGATGATTCCATTCGAATCCATTCGATGATGAGTCCATCCATTTCAATTTCATGGTAATTCCATTCGTTTCAATTCGATGGTGTTTCCATTTGATTCATTCGATTTCGTTTCATCAATTGGTATTGAATGGAATTGTCATCAAATGGACTTCAAAGGAATCATCATCAAATGGAAACGAATGGAATCCTCATTGAATGGAAATGAAAGGAGTCATCATCTAATGGAATAGCATGGAATCATCATCAAATGGAATCCAATGGAATCATCATCAAATGGAATCTAATGGAATCATTGAACGGAATTGAATGGAATCGTCATCGAATGAATTGAATGCAATCATCGAATGGTCTCGAACGGAATCATCTTCCGAAGGAATGTAATGGAATCATCGCATAGAATCGAATGGAATTATCATCGAATGGACTCGAATGAAATCAACCTCAAACGGAATGAAACGGAATTATGGAATGGAATCGAAGAGAATCATCGAATGGACTCGAATGGAATCATCTAATGGAATGGAATGGAATAATCCATGGACTCGAATGCAATCATCATCGAATGGAATCGAATGGAATCATCGAATGGACTCGAATAGAGAAATCATTGAACGGAATCGAATGGAATCATCGTCGGATGGAAACGAATGGAATCATCAAATGGAATCAGGTCGAATCATCATCAAATGTAATCGAATAGAATTATGGAATGAAATACAATGTGATCATCATCGAATGGACTCGAATGAAATCATCATCCAGTGGAATCTAATGGAATCAAGATCGAATGGAATCGAATGGAAACAGCATCAAAATGCAACGAATGTAATTATCATGAAATTGAAATGGATGGACTCATCATCGAATGGATTCGAATGCAATCATCGAATGAAATTTATTGAAATCATCATCAAATTGAATCGAATGGAATCATTGAATGGAATCGATTGGAATCATCATCAGATGGAAATGAATGGAATCATCATAGAATGGAATCGAATGGATTCATTGAATGGAATCAGATGGAATCATCGAATGGATTTGAATGGAATCTGTGAATGGACTCGAAGGGAATCATTATTGAATGGAATTGAATGGAATCATCGAATGGTCTCGAATGGAATCATTATCAAATGGATTCACTGAATAGAATCATCGAATGGAATCCCCGAACAGAATCGAATGGAACAATCATCGAATGGACTCATATAGAATCAACATCAAAAGGAATCAAACGGAATTATCGAATGGAATCGAAGAGAATCATCGAATGCACTCGAATGGAATCATCTAGTGGAATCGAATGGAATAATCCATGGACTCGAATGCAATCATCATCGAGTAGAATCGAATGGAATCATCAAATGGACTCGAATGGAATAATCATTGAACGGAATCGAATGGAATCATCATCGGATGGAAACTAATGGAATCATCATCAGATGGAAACGAATGGAATCATCATCGAATGGAAATCAAAGGAGTCATCATCTAATGGAATCGAATGGAATCATCATCAAATGGAGTCGAATGGAATCATCATCAAATGGAATCTAATGGAATCATTGAACGGAATTGAATGGAATCGTCATCGATTGAATTGAATGCAATCATCGAAAGGTCTCGAATGGAATCATCTTCAAATGGAATGGAATGGAGTCATCGCATAGAATCGAATGGAATTATCATCGAATGGACTCGAATGGAATCAACATCAAACGGAATCAAACGGATTTATAGAATGGAATCGAAGAGAATCATCAAATGGGCTCGAACAGAATCATCTAATGGAATGGAATGGAATAATCCACGGACTCGAATGAAATCATCATCGAATGGAATCGAATGGAATCATCGAATGTAATCGAATGGAATCATCAAATGGACTCTAATGGAATAATCATTCTACGGAATCGAATGGAATCATCATCAAATGGAATCTAATGGAATCATTGAACGGAATTGAATGGAATCATCATCGAATGAATTGAATGCAATCATCGAATGGTCTCGAATGGAATCATCTTCAAATGGATTGGAATGGAATCATCGCATAGAATTGAATGGAATTATCATCGATTGGACTCGAATGGAACCAACATCAAACGGAATCAAACGCAAATATCGAATGGAATCGAAAAGAATCATCGAATGGACTCGAATGGAATCAGCTAATGGAATGGAATTCATTCGATTCTATGCGATGATTCCATTCCTTTCCATTAGAAGATGACTCCATTCGAGACCATTCGATGATTGCATTCAATTCATTCGATGACGATTCCATTCAATTCTGTTCAATGATTCCATCAGATTCCATTTGATGTTGATTCCATTCGATTCCATTTGATGATGATTCCATGCGGTTCCATTAGATGATGACCCCTTTCATTTCCATTCAATGAGGATTCCATTCGGTTCCATTTGATGATTATTCCTTTGAATTCCATTTGATGACAATTCCATTCAATACCAATTGATGATGGTCATTTTTGATTCCATTTGATGATGATTACATTCGATTCCATTTGATCATAATTCCATTCAATTCCACTCGATGATTCCATTCGATTCCATTCAATGATGATTCCATTCGAGTTCATTGACTGTTCCATTCCATTCCATTCGATGATTCCATTCGAGTCCATTCGATGATTCTATTCGATTGCATTCGATAATTCCATTCGATTGCATTCGATAATTCCATTCGATTCCATTTGAGGATAATTCCATTTGAGTCCATTCGATGATTGTTCCATTCGATTCTATTCGGTGATTCCATTCGATTCCATTTGATAATGATTCCAATCGAGACCATTCGATGATTCCATTCAATTCCATTCAATAATGACCCCTTTCGAGTCCATTCATGATTCCATTCCAGTCCATTCGATGATTCCATCTGATTCCATTCAATGAATCCATTCGATTCCATTCTATGACGATTCCATTCATTTCCATCTGATGATGATTCCATTCGATTCCATTCAATGATTCCATTCGATTCCATTTGGTGATGATTTCAATCAATTTTATTCGATGATTCCATTCGATTCTATGCGATGTTAATTCCATTCCTTTCAATTTCATGATAATTCCATTTGAGACCATTCGATGGTGTTGCCATTCGATTCATTCGATGACGATTCCATTAGCATTCGTTGGATGATGATTCCATTCGGGTCCATTCGATGATGATCACACTGGATTTCATTCCATATTTCTATTCGATATCCATTCGATGATGATTCCATTCATTTCCATCCGATGATGATTCCATTCGATTCCGTTCAATGATTATTCCATTCGAGTCCATTCGATGATTCCATTCGATTCCATTCGATGATGATTGCATTCGAGTCCATGGATTATTCCATTCCATTCCATTAGATGATTCCATTCGGGTCCATTCGATGATTCTCTTCGATTCCATTCGATAATTCCGTTTTTTTCCGTTTGATGTTGATTCCATTCGATTCCATTCGATGATAATTCCATTCGATTCTATGCGATGATTCCATTCCATTCCATTTGAAGATGATTCCATTCGAGACCATTCGATGATTGCATTCAATTCATTCGATGACGATTCCATTCAATTCCGTTCAATGATTCCATTTGATTCCATTTGATGTTGATTCCATTCGATTCCATTTTATGATGATTCCATGCAATTCCATTAGATGATGACTCCTTTCATTTCCATTCGATAATGATTCCATTCGTTTCCATCCGATGATGATTCCATTCGATTCCGTTCAATGATTATTCCACTCGAGTCCATTCGATGATTCCATTCGATTCCATTCGATGATGATTGCCTTCCAGTCCATGGATTATTGCATTCTATTCCATTAGATGATATTCCATTCAATTCTGTTCAATGATTCCATTAGATTCCATCTGATGATGATTCCATTCGATTCCATTTGATGATGATTCCATGCGATTCCATTAGATGATGACCCCTTTCATTTCCATTCAATGAGGATTCCTTTCGGTTCCATTTGGTGATGATTCGTTTGAATTCCATTTGATGACAATTCCATTCAATACCAATTGATGATGGTTATCTTTGATTCCATTTGATGATGATTACATTCGATTCCATTTGATCATAATTCCATTCGATTCCACTCGATGATTCCTTTCGATTCCATTCAATGATGATTCCATTCGAGTTCATTGACTGTTCCATTCCATTCCATTCGATGATTCCATTCGAGTCCATTCGATGATTCTATTCGATTGCATTCGATAATTCCATTCGATTGCATTCCATAATTCCATTCGATTCCATTTGAGGATAATTCCATTGGAGTCCATTCGATGATTGTTCCATTCGATTCTATTCGGTGATTCCATTCGATTCCATTTGATAATGATTCCAATCGAGACCATTCCATGATTCCATTCAATTCCATTCAATAATGATCCCTCTCGAGTCCATTCAATGATTCCATTCCAGTCCATTCGATGATTCCATCTGATTCCATTCAATGAATCCATTCGATTCCATTCTATGACGATTCCATTCATTTCCATCTGATGATGATTCCATTCGATTCCATTCAATGATACCATTCGATTCCATTTGATGATGATTTCAATCAATTTTATTCGATGATTCCATTCGAATCCATTCGATGATGAGTCCATCCATTTCAATTTCATGATAATTCCACTCGTTTCAATTCGATGGTGTTTCCATTCGATTCATTCGATGTTGTTTCCATTAGATTCCGTTGGATGATGATTCCATTCGGGTGCATTCGATGACGATCACACTGGATTTCATTCCATAATTCTATTCGATTCCATTCGATGGTGATTCCATTCATTTCCATCCGATGATGATTCCATTCGATTCCGTTCTATGATTATTCCATTCGAGTCCATTCGATGATTCCATTCGATTCCATTCGATGATGATTGCATTCGAGTCCATGGATTATTCCATTCCATTCCATTAGATGATTCCATTCGGGTCCATTCGATGATTCTCTTTGATTCCATTCGATAATTCCTTTTTTTTCCGTTTGTTGTTGATTTCATTCGATTCCATTCGATGATAATTACATTCGATTCTATGCGATGATCCCATTCCATTCCATTTGAAGATTATTCCATTCGAGACCATTCGATGATTGCATTCAATTGATTCGATGACGATTCCATTCAATTCCGTTCAATGATTCCATTGGATTCCATTTGATGTTGATTCCATTCGATTCCATTTTATGATGATTCCATGCAATTCCATTAGATGATGACTCCTTTCATTTCCATTCGATGATGATTCCATTCTTTTCCATCCGATGATGATTCCATTCGATTCCGTTCAATGATTATTCCATTCGAGTCCATTCGATGATTCCATTCGATTCCATTCGATGATGATTGCATTCGAGTCCATGGATTATTCCATTCCATTCCATTAGATGATTCCATTCGGGTCCATTCGATGATTCTCTTCGATTCCATTCGATAATTCCGTTTTTTTCCGTTTGGTGTTGATTCCATTCGAGTCCATTCAATTTTAATTCCATTCGATTCTATGCGATGATTCCATTCCTTTCCATTAGAAGATGATTCCATTCGAGACCATTCGATGATTGCATTCAATTCATTCGATGACGATTCCATTCAATTCTGCTCAATGATTCCTTTAGATTCAATTTGATGATGATTCCACTCGATTCCATTTGATGATGATTCCATGCGATTCCATTAGATGATGACCCCTTTCATTTCCATTCAATGAGGATTCCATTCGGTTCCATTTGATGATGATTCCTTTGAATTCCATTTGATGACAATTCCATTCAATACCAATTGATGATGGTTATTTTTGATTCCATTTGATGATGATTACATTCGATTCCATTTGATCATAATTCCATTCGATTCCACTCGATGATTCCATTCGATTCCATTCAATGATGTTTCCATTCGAGTTCATTGACTGTTCCATTCCATTCCATTCGATGATTCCATTCGAATCTATTCGATGATTCTATTCGATTGCATTCGATAATTCCATTCGATTGCATTCGATAATTCCATTCGATTCCATTTGAGGATAATTCCATTTGTGTCCATTCGATGATTGTTCCATTCGATTCTATTTGGTGATTCCATTCGATTCCATTTGATAATGATTCCAATCGAGACCATTCGATGATTCCATTCAATGCCATTCAATAATGATCCCTTTCGAGTCCATTCAATGATTCCATTCCAGTCCATTCGATGATTCCATCTGATTCCATTCAATGAATCCATTCGATTCCATTCTATGACGATTCAATTCATTTCCATCTGATGATTCCATTCGATTCCATTCAATGATACCATTCGATTCCACTTGATGATGATTTCAATCAATTTTATTCGATGATTCCATTCGAATCCATTCGATGACGAGTCCATCCATTTCACTTTCATGATAATTCCATTCGTTTCAATTCGATGGTGTTTCCATTCGATTCATTCGATGTTGATTCCATTAGCTTCCGTTGGATGATGATTCCATTCGGGTCCATTCGATGCTGATCACACTGGATTTCATTCCATAATTCTATTCAATTCCATTCGATGATGATTCCATTCAGTTCCCATCCGATGATGACTCCATGCGATTCCGTACAATGATTATTCCATTCGAGTCCATTCGATGATTCGATTCGATTCCATTCGATGATGATTGCATTCGAGTCCATGGATTATTCCATTCCATTCCATTAGATGATTCCATTGGAGTCCATTCGATGATTCTCTTCGATTCCATTCGATAATTCCGTTTCATTCCGTTTGAGATTGATTCCATTCGAGTCCATTCGATGATAATTCCATTCGATTCTATGCGATGATTCCATTCCATTCCATTGGAAGATGATTCCGTTGGAGACCATTCGATGATTGCATTCAATTCATTCGATGACGATTCCATTCAATTCCGTTCAATGATTCCATTAGATTCCATTTGATGATGATTCCACTCGATTCCATTTGATGATGATTCCATGCGATTCCAGTAGATGATGACTCCTTTCATTTCCATTCAATGAGGATTCCATTCGGTTCCATTTGATGATGATTCCTTTGAATTCCATTTCATGACATTTCCATTCAATAACAATTGATGATGGTTATTTTTGATTCCATTTGATGATGATTGCATTGGATTCCATTTGATCATTATTCCATTCGATTCCATTCAATGATGATTCCGTTCGAGTTCATTGACTATTCCATTCCATTCCATTCGATGATTTCATTCGAGTCCATTCGATGATTCTATTCGATTGCATTCGATTATTCCATTCAATTGCATTGGATAATTCCATTCGATTCCATTTGAGGATAATTCCATTTGAGTCCATTCGATGATTGTTCCATTCGATTCTATTCGGTGATTCCATTCGATTCCATTTGATAATGATTCCATTCGAGACCATTCAATGATTCCATTCAATTCCATTCAATAATGATTCCATTCGAATCCATTCAATGATTCCATTCAAGTCCATTCGATGATTCCATCTGATTCCATTCAATGAATCCATTCGATTCCATTCTATGATGATTCCATTCATTTCTATCTGATGATGATTCCATTCGATTCCATTCAATGATTCCATTCGATTCCATTTGATGATGATTTCAGTCAATTTCATTCGATGATTCCTTTCGAATCCATTCGCTGATGAGTCCATCCATTTCAATTTCATGATAATTCCATTCGTTTCAATTCGATGGTGTTTCCATTCGATTCCATTCGATGTTGATTCCGTTAGTTTCCATTGGATGATGATTCCATTCGAGTCCATTCGATGATGATCACATTGGATTTGATTCCATAATTCTATTCGATTCCATTTGATGATGATTCCATCTGATTCCATTTGATGATTCCATTCGATTCCATTCGATGATGATTCCATTCTTTTCCATCCGAAGATGATTCCATTCGATTCCGTTCAATGATTATTGGGGGTCGAGTCCATTCGATGATTCAATTCGATTCCATTCGATAATTACGTTTCATTCCGTTTGAGGTTGATTCCATTCGAGTCCATTCGATGATAATTGCATTCGATTCTATGCGATGATTCCATTCCATTCCATTGGAAGATGATTCCGTTGGAGACCATTCGATGATTGCATTCAATTCATTCGAAGACGATTCCATTCAATTCCGTTCAATGTTTCCATTAGATTCCATTTGATGATGATTCCATTCGATTCCATTTGATGATGATTCCATGTGATTCCATTAGATGATGATTCCTTTCATTTCCATTCATTGAGGATTCCATTCGGTTCCATTTGATGATGACGCCTTTGAATTCCATTTGATTACAACTCCATTCAATACCAATTGATGATGGTTATTTTTGATTCCATTTGATGATGATTACATTCGATTCCATTTGATCATGATTCCATTCGATTCCACTCGATGATTTCCATTCGATTCCATTCAATGATGATTCCATTCGAGTTCATTGACTATTCCATTCCATTCCGTTCGATGATTCCATTCGAGTCTATTCGATGATTCTATTCGATTGCATTCGATTATTCCATTCGATTGCATTCGATAATTCCATTCGATTCCATTTTAGGATAATTCCATTTGAGTCCATTCGATGATTGTTCCATTCGATTCTATTCGGTGATTCCATTCGATTCCATTTGATAATGATTCCATTCGAGTCCATTCAATGATTCCATTCAAGTCCATTTGATGATTCCCTCTGATTCCATTCAATGAATCCTTTCGATTACATTCTGTGATGATTCCATTCATTTCCATCTGATGATGATTCCATTCGATTCCATTCAATGATTCCATTCGATTCCATTTGATGATGATTTCAATACATTTCATTCGATGATCCCATTCGAATCCATTCGATGATGAGTCCATCCATTTCAATTTCATGATAATTTCATTCGTTTCAATTCGATGGGGTTTCCATTCGATTCCATTCGATGTTGATTCCGTTAGTTTCCATTGGATGATGATTCCATTCGAGTCCATTCGATGATGATCACATTGGATTTCATTCCATAATTCTATTCGATTCCATTTGATGATGATTCCATCTGATTCCATTTGATGATTCCATTCGATTCCATTCGATGATGATTCCATTCATTTCCATCCGATGATGATTCCATTCAATTCCGTTCAATGATTATTCCATTCGTGTCCATTCGATGATTCCATTCGATTCCATTTGATGATGATTGCATTCGAGTCCATGGATTATTCCGTTCCATTCCATTAGATGATTCCATTCAAGTCCATTCGATGATTCTTTGGATTCCATTCGATAATTCCGTTTGATTCCGTTTGAGGTTGATTCCATTTGAGTCCATTCGATGATAATTCCATTCGATTCTATGCGATGATTCCATTCCATTCCATTGGAAGATGATTCCGTTCGAGACCATTCGATGATTGCATTCAATTCATTCGATGACGATTCCATTCAATTCCGTTCAATGATTCCATTAGATTCCATTTGATGATGATTCCATTTGATTCCATTTGATGATGATTCCATGTGATTCCATTAGATGATGACTCCTTTCATTTCCATTCAATGAGGATTCCATTCGGTTCCATTTGATGATGATTCCTTTGAATTTCATTTGATGACAGTTCCATTCAATACCAACTGATGATGGTTATTTTTAATTCCATTTGATGATGATTACATTCGATTCCATTTGATCATGATTCCATTCCATTCCATTCAATGATGATTCCATTCGAGTTCATTGACTATTCCATTCCATTCCATTCGATGATTCCATTCCAGTCCATTTGATGATTCTATTCGATTGCATTCGATTATTCCATTCGGTTGCATTCGATAAATCCATTCGATTCCATTTGAGGATAATTCCATTTGAGTCCATTCAATGATTGTTCCATTCCATTCTATTCGGTGATTCCATTCGATTCCATTTGATAATGATTCCATTCGAGAGCATTCGATGATTCCATTCAATTCCATTAAATAATGATTCCATTCGAGTCCATTCAATGATTTCATTCACGTCCATTCGATGATTCCATCTGATTCCATTCAATGAATCCATTCGTTTCCATTCTGTGATGATTCCATTCATTTCCATCTGATGATGATTCCATTCGATTCCATTCAATGATTCCATTCGATTCCATTTGATGATGATTTCAATAAATTTCATCCGATGATCCCATTCGAACCCATTCGATGATGAGTCCATCCATTTCAATTTCATGATAATTCCATTCGTTTCAATTCGATGGTGTTTCCATTCGATTCCATTGGATGTTGATTCCATTAGCTTCCATTGGATGATGATTCCATTTGAGTCCATTCGATGATGATCACACTGGATTTCATTCCATAATTCTATTCGATTCCATTCGATGATGATTCCATTCATTTCCATCCGATGATGATTCCATTCGATTCCGTTCAATGATTATTCCATTCGAGTCCATTCGATGATTCCATTCGATTCCATTCGATGATGATTGCATTACAGTCCATGTATTATTCCATTCCATTCCATTAGGTGATTCCATTCGGGTCCGTTCGAAGATTCTCTTCGATTCCATTCGATAATTCCGTTTTTTTCCGTTTGTTGTTGATACCTTTCGATTCCATTCGATGATAATTCCATTCGATTCTATGCGATGATTCCATTCCATTCCATTTGAAGATGATTCCATTCGAGACCATTCGATGATTGCATTCAATTCATTCGACGACGATTCCATTCAATTTCTTTCAATGATTCCATTTGATTCCATTTGATGTCGATTCCATTCGATTCCATTTTATGATGATTCCATGCAATTCCATTAGATGATGACTCCTTTCATTTCCATTCGATGATGATTCCATTCGTTTCCATCCGATGATGATTCCATTCGATTCCGTTCAATGATTATTCCATTCGAGTCCATTCGATGATTCCATTCGATTCCATTCGATGATGATTGCATTCGAGTCCATGGATTATTCCATTCCATTCCATTAGATGATTCCATTCGAGTCCATTCGATGATTCTCTTCGATTCCATTCGATAATTCCGCTTGATTCCGTTTGATGTTGATTCCATTCGAGTCCATTCAATGTTAATTCCATTCGATTCTATGCGATGATTCCATTCCTTTCCATTAGAAGATGATTCCATTCGAGACCATTCGATGATTGCATTCAATTCATTCGATGACGATTCCATTCAATTCTGTTCAATGATTCCATTTGATTCCATTTGATGTTGATTCCATTCGATTCCATTTTATGTTGATTCCGTGCAATTCCATTAGATGACTCCTTTCATTTCCATTCGATGATGATTCCATTCGTTTCCATCCGATGATGATTCCATTCGATTCCGTTCAATGATTATTCCATTCGGTTCCATTCGATGATTCCATTCGATTCCATTCGATGATGATTGCATTCGAGTCCATGGATTATAACATTCCATTCCATTAGATGATTCCATTCGGGTCCGTTCGATGATTCTCTTCGATTCCATTCGATAATTCCGTTTTGTTCCGTTTGTTGTTGATACCATTCGATAACATTCGATGATAATTCCATTCGATTCTATGCGATGATTCCATTCCATTCCATTTGAAGATGATTCCATTCGAGACCATTCGATGATTGCATTCAATTCATTCGATGACGATTCCATTCAATGATTCCATCAGATTCCATTTGATGATGATTCCATTCGATTCCATTTGATGATGATTCCATGCGATTCCATTAGATGATGACCCCTTTCATTTCCATTCAATGAGGATTCCATTCGGTTCCATTTGATGATGTTTCCTTTGAATTCCATTTGATGACAATTCCATTCAATACCAATTGATGATGGTTATTTTTGATTCCATTTGATGATGATTACATTCGATTCATTTGATCATAATTCCATTCGATTCCACTCGATGATTCCATTCGATTCCATTCAATGATGATTCCATTCGAGTTCATTGACTGTTCCATTCCATTCCATTCGATGATTCCATTCGAGTCCATTCGATGATTCTATTCGATTGCATTCGATAATTCCATTCGATTGCATTCGATAATTACATTCCATTCCATTTGAGGATAATTCCATTTCAGTCCATTCGATGATTGTTCCATTCGATTCTATGCGGTGATTCCATTCGATTCCATTTGATAATGATTCCAATTGAGACCATTCGATGATTCCATTCAATTCCATTCAATCATGATCCCTTTCGAGTCCATTCAATGATTCCATTCCAGTCCATTCGATGATTCCATCTGATTCCATTCAATGAATCCATTCGATTCCATTCTATGACGATTCCATTCATTTCCATCTGATGATGATTCCATTCGATTCCATTCAATGATACCATTCGATTCCATTCGATGATGATTTCAATCAATTTTATTCGATGATTCCATTCGAATCCATTCGATGATGAGTCCATCCATTTCAATTTCATGATAATTCCATTCGTTTCAATTCGATGGTGTTTCCATTCGATTCATTCGATGTTGATTCCATTAGCTTCCGTTGGATTATGATTCCATTCGGGTCCATTCGATGATGATCACACTGGATTTCATTCCATAATTCTATTCGATTCCATTCGATGATGATTCCATTCATTTCCATCCGATGATGATTCCATTCGATTCCGTTCAATGATTATTCCATTCGAGTCCATTCGATGATTCCATTCGATTCCGTTCGATGATGATTGCATTCGAGTCCATGGATTATTCCATTCCATTCCATTAGATGATTCCATTCGGGTCCATTCGATGATTCTCTTCGATTCCATACGATAATTCCGTTTTTTTTCCGTTTGATGTTGATTCCATTCGATTCCATTCGATGATAATTCCATTCGATTCTATGCGATGATTCCATTCCATTCCATTTGAAGATGATTCCATTCGAGACCATTCGATGATTGCATTCAATTCATTCGATGACGATTCCATTCAATTCCGTTCAATGATTCCATTTGATTCCATTTGATGTTGATTCCATTCGATTCCATTTTATGATGATTCCATGCAATTCCATTAGATGATGACTCCTTTCATTTCCATTCGATGATGATTCCATTCGTTTCATTCCGATGATGATTCCATTCGATTCCGTTCAATGATTATTCCATTCGAGTCCATTCGATGATTCCATTCGATTCCATTCGATGATGATTGCCTTCCAGTCCATGGATTATTCCATTCCATTCCATTAGATGATTCCATTCGGGTCCGTTCGAAGATTCTCTTCGATTCCATTCGATAATTCCGTTTTTTTCCGTTTGATGTTGATACCATTCGATTCCATTCGATGATAATTCCATTCGATTCTATGCGATGATTCCATTCCTTTCCATTAGAAGATGATTCCATTCGAGACCATTCGATGATTGCATTCAATTCATTCGATGATGATTCCATTCAATGATTCCATCAGATTCCATTTGATGATGATTCCATTCGATTCCATTTGATGATGATTCCATGCGATTCCATTAGATGATGACCCCTTTCATTTCCATTCAATGAGGATTCCATTCGGTTCCATATGATGATGTTTCCTTTGAATTCCATTTGATGACAATTCCATTCAATACCAATTGATGATGGTTATTTTTGATTCCATTTGATGATGATTACATTCGATTCCATTTGATCATAATTCCATTCGATTCCACTCGATGATTCCATTCGATTCCATTCAATGATGATTCCATTCGAGTTCATTGACTGTTCCATTCCATTCCATTCGATGATTCCATTCGAGTCCATTCGATGATTCTATTCGATTGCATTCGATAATTCCATTCGATTGCATTCGATAATTCCATTCGATTCCATTTGAGGATAATTCCATTGGAGTCCATTCGATGATTGTTCCATTCGATTCTATTCGGTGATTCCATTCGATTCCATTTGATAATGATTCCAATCGAGACCATTCTATGATTCCATTCAATTCCATTCAATAATGATCCCTCTCGAGTCCATTCAATGATTCCATTCCAGTCCATTCGATGATTCCATCTGATTCCATTCAACGAATCCATTCGATTCCATTCTATGACGATTCCATTCATTTCCATCTGATGATGATTCCATTCGATTCCATTCAATGATACCATTCGATTCCATTTGATGATGATTTCAATCAATTTTATTCGATGATTCCATTCGAATCCATTCGATGATGAGTCCATCCATTTCAATTTCATGATAATTCCACTCGTTTCAATTCGATGGTGTTTCCATTCGATTCATTCGATGTTGTTTCCATTAGATTCCGTTGGATGATGATTCCATTCGGGTGCATTCGATGATGATCACACTGGATTTCATTCCATAATTCTATTCGATTTCCATTCGATGATGATTCCATTCATTTCCATCCGATGATGATTCCATTCGATTCCGTTCTATGATTATTCCATTCGAGTCCATTCGATGATTCCATTCGATTCCATTCGATGATGATTGCATTCGAGTCCATGGATTATTCCATTCCATTCCATTAGATGATTCCATTCGGGTCCATTCGATGATTCTCTTTGATTCCATTCGATAATTCCTTTTTTTTTCCGTTTGTTGTTGATTTCATTCGATTCCATTCGATGATAATTACATTCGATTCTATGCGATGATTCCATTCCATTCCATTTGAACATGATTCCATTCGAGACCATTCGATGATTGCATTCAATTGATTCGAAGACGATTCATTCAATTCCGTTCAATGATTCCATTGGATTCCATTTGATGTTGATTCCATTCAATTCCATTTTATGATGATTCCATGTAATTCCGTTACATGACTCCTTTCATTTCCATTCGATGATGATTCCATTCGTTTCCATCCGATGATGATTCCATTCGATTCCGTTCAATGATTATTCCATTCGAGTCCATTCGATGATTCCATTCGATTCCATTCGATGATGATTGCATTCGAGTCCATGGATTATTCCATTCCATTCCATTAGATGATTCCATTCGGGTCCATTCGATGATTCTCTTTGATTCCATTCGATAATTCCTTTTTTTTCCGTTTGTTGTTGATTTCATTCGATTCCATTCGATGATAATTACATTCGATTCTATGCGATGATTCCATTCCATTCCATTTGAACATGATTCCATTCGAGACCATTCGATGATTGCATTCAATTGATTCGATGACGATTCCATTCAATTCCGTTCAATGATTCCATTGGATTCCATTTGATGTTGATTCCATTCGATTCCATTTTATGATGATTCCATGCAATTCCATTAGATGATGACTCCTTTCATTTCCATTCGATGATGATTCCATTCTTTTCCATCCGATGATGATTCCATTCGATTCCGTTCAATGATTATTCCATTCGAGTCCATTCGATGATTCCATTCGATTCCATTCGATGATGATTGCATTCGAGTCCATGGATTATTCCATTCCATTCCATTAGATGATTCCATTCGGGTCCATTCGATGATTCTCTTCGATTCCATTCGATAATTCCGTTTTTTTCCGTTTGGTGTTGATTCCATTCGAGTCCATTCAATTTTAATTCCATTCGATTCTATGCGATGATTCCATTACTTTCCATTAGAAGATGATTCCATTCGAGACCATTCGATGATTGCATTCAATTCATTCGATGACGATTCCATTCAATTCCGTTCAATGATTCCATTTGATTCCATTTGATGTTGATTCCATTCGATTCCATTTTATGATGATTCCATGCAATTCCATTAGATGATGACTCTTTTCTTTTCCATTCGATGATGATTCCATTCGTTTCCATCCGATGATGATTCCATTTGATTCCGTTCAATGATTATTCCATTCGAGTCCATTCAATGATTCCATTCGATACTATACGATGATGTTTGCATTCGAGTCCGTGGATTATTCCATTCCATTCCATTAGATGATTCCATTCGGGTCCATTCGATGATTCTCTTCGATTCCATTCGATAATTCCGCTTGATTCCGTTTGATGTTGATTCCATTCGAGTCCATTCGATGATAATTGCATTCGATTCTATGCGATGATTCCATTCCATTCCATTGGAAGATGATTCCATTCGAGACCATTCGATGATTGCATTCAATTCATTCGATGACGATTCCATTCAATTCCGTTCAATGATTCCATTTGATTCCATTTGATGTTGATTCCATTCGATTCCATTTGATGATCATTCCATGCAATTCCATTAGATGATGACTCCTTTCATTTCCATTCGATGATGATTCCATTCGGTTCCATCTGATGATGATACCTTTGAATTCCGTTCAATGATTATTCCATTCGAGTCCATTCGATGATTCCATTCGATTTCCATTCGATAATGATTGCATTCGAGTCTATAGATTATTCCGTTCCATTCCATTAGATGATTCCATTCGAGTCCATTCGATGATTCTCTTCGATTCCATTCGATAATTCCGTTTGATTCCGTTTGAGGTTGATTCCATTCGAGTCCATTCGATGATAATTCCATTCGATTCTTTGCAAAGATTCCATTCCATTCCATTGGAAGATGATTCCGTTCGAGACCATTCGATGATTGCATTCAATTCATTCGATGACGATTCCATTCAATTCCGTTCAATAATTCCATTAGATTCCATTTGATGATGATTCCATTCGATTCCATTTGATGGTGATTACATGCGATTCCATTAGATGATGACTCCTTTCATTTCCATTCAATGAGGATTCCATTCGTTTCCATTTGATGATGATTCCTTTGAATTCCATTTGATGACAATTCCATTCAATACCAATTGATGATGGTTATTTTTGACTCCATTTGATGATGATTACATTCGATTCCATTTGATCATGATTCCATTCGATTCCACTCGATGATTCCATTCGATTCCATTCAATGATGATTCCATTCGAGTTCATTGACTATTCCTTTCCATTCCATTCGATGATTCCATTCGAGTGAATTCGATGATTCTGTTTGATTGCATTCGATTATTCCATTCGATTGCATTCGATAATTTCATTCGATTCCATTTGAGGATAATTCCATTTGAGTCTATTCTATGATTGTTCCATTCGATTCTATTCGGTGATTCCATTCGATTCCATTTGATAATGATTCCATTCGAGACCATTCGATGATTCCATTCAATTCCACTCAATAATGATTCCATTCGAGTCCATTCAATGATTCCATTCAAGTCCATTCGATGATTCCATCTGATTCCATTCAATGAATACATTCGATTCCATTCTATGATTATTCCATTCATTTCCATCTGATGATGATTCCATTCGATTCCATTCAATGATTCCATTCGATTCCATTTAATGATGATTTCAGTCAATTTCATCTGATGATTCCATTCGAATCCATTCGATGATGAGTCCATCCATTTCAGTTTCATGATAATTCCATTCGTTTTCAGTTCGATGGTGTTTCCAATCGATTCCATTCGATGTTGATTCCATTAGTTTCCATTGGATGATGATTCCATTCGAGTCCATTCGATGATGATCACATTGGATTTGATTCCATAATTCTATTCGATTCCATTTGATGATGATTCCATCTGATTCCATTAGATGATTCCATTCGAGTCCATTCGATGATGATTCCATTCGTTTCGATTCCATTCAATAATTCCGTTTCATTCCATCTGATGATGATTCCATTCGAGTCCATTCGATGATTCCATTCGATTCCATTCGATGATGATTGCATTCGAGTCCATGGATTATTCCATTCCATTCCATTAGATGATTCCATTCGAGTCCGTTCGATGATTCTCTTCGATTCCATTTGATAATTCCGTTTCATTCCGTTTGAGATTGATTCCATTCGAGTCCATTCGATGATAATTCCATTCGATTCTATGCGATGATTCCATTCCATTTCATTGAAAGATGATTACGTTGGAGATCATTCGGTGATTGCATTCAATTCATTCGATGACGATTCCATTCAATTCTGTTCAGTGATGCCATTAGATTCTATTTGATGATGATTCCATTCGATTCCATTTAATGATGATTCCATGGCGATTCCATTAGATGATGACCCCTTTCATTTCCATTCAATGAGGATTCCATTCGGTTCCATTTGATGATGATTCCTTTGAATTCCATTTGATGACAAATCCATTCAATACCAATTGATGATCGTTATTTTTGATTCCATTTGATGATGATTACATTCGATTCCATTTGATCATAATTCCATTCGATTCCACTCGATGATTCCATTCGATTCCATTCAATGATGATTCCATTCGAGTTCATTGACTGTTCCATTCCATTCCATTCGATGATTCCATTCGAGTCCATTCGATGATTCTATTCGATTGCATTCGATAATTCCATTCGATTGCATTCGATAATTCCATTCGATTCCATTTGAAGATAATTCCATTTGAGTCCATTCGATGATTGTTCCATTCGATTCTATTCGGTGATTTCATTCGATTCCATTTGATAATGATTCCAATCGAGACCATTCGATGATTCCATTCAATTCCATTCAATGATGATCCCTTTCGAGTCCATTCAGTGATTCCATTCCAGTCCATTCGATGATTCCATCTGATTCCACTCAATGAATCCATTCGATTCCATTCTATGACGATTCCATTCATTTCCATCTGATGATGATTCCATTCGATTCCATTCAATGATACCATTCGATTCCATTTGATGATGATTTCAATTAATTTTATTCGATGATTCCATTCGAATCCATTCGATGATGAGTCCATCCATTTCAATTTCATGATAATTCCATTCGTTTCAATTCGATGGTGTTTCCATTCGATTCATTCGATGTTGATTCCATTAGCTTCCGTTGGATGATGATTCCATTCGGGTCCATTCGATGATGATCACACTGGATTTCATTCCATAATTGTATTCGATTCCATTCGATGATGATTCCATTCATTTCCATCCGATGATGATTCCATTCGATTCCGTTCAATGATTATTCCATTCCAGTCCATTCTATGATTCCATTCGATTCCATTCGATGATGATTGCATTCGAGTCCATGGATTATTCCATTCCATTCCATTAGATGATTCCATTCCGGTCCATTCGATGATTCTCTTCGATTCCATTCGATAATTCCGTTTTTTTCCGTTTGATGTTGATTCCATTCGATTCCATTCGATGATAATTCCATTCGATTCTATGCGATGGTTCCATTCCATTCCATTTGAAGTTGATTCCATTCGAGACCATTCAATGATTGCATTCAATTCATTCGATGACGATTCCATTCAATTCCGTTCAATGATTCCATTTGATTCCATTTGATGTTGATTCCATTCGATTCCATTTTATGATGATTCCATGCGATTCCATTAGATGATGACTCCTTTCATTTCCATTCGATGATAATTCCATTCGTTTCCATCCGATGATGATTCCATTCGATTCCGTTCAATGATGATTCCATTCGAGTCCATTCAATGATTCCATTCGATTCTATACGATGATGATTGCATTCGAGTCCGTGGATTATTCCATTCCATTCCATTAGATGATTCCATTCGAGTCCATTCGATGGTTCTCTTCGATTACATTCGATAATTCCGCTTGATTCCGTTAGATATTGATTCCATTCGAGTCCATTCAATGTTAATTCCATTCGATTCTATGCGATGATTCCATTCCTTTCCATTAGAAGATGATTCCATTCGAGACCATTCGATGATTGTATTCAATTCATTCAATGACGATTCCATTCAATTCTGTTCAATGATTCCATTAGATTCCATTTGATGATGATTCCTTTCGATTCCATTTGATGATGATTCCATGTGATTCCATTAGATGATGACCCCTTTCATTTCCATTCAATGAGGATTCCATTCGGTTCCATTTGATGATGATTCCTTTGAATTCCATTTGATGACAATTCCATTCAATACCAATTGATGATTGTTATTTTTGATTCCATTTGATGATTATTACATTCGATTCCTTTTGATCAAAATTCCATTCGATTCCACTCGATGATTCCATTCGATTCCATTCAATGATGATTCCATTCGAGTTCATTGACTGTTCCATTCCATTCCATTCGATGATTCCATTCGAATCTATTCGATGATTCTATTCGATTGCATTCGATAATTCCATTCGATTGCATTCGATAATTCCATTCGATTCCATTTGAGGATAATTCCATTTGAGTCCATTCGATGATTGTTCCATTCGATTCTATTTGGTGATTCCATTCGATTCCATTTGATAATGATTCCAATCGAGACCATTCGATGATTCCATTCAATGCCATTCAATAATGATCCCTTTCGAGTCCATTCAATGATTCCATTCCAGTCCATTCGATGATTCCATCTGATTCCATTCAATGAATCCATTCGATTCCATTCTATGACGATTCAATTCATTTCCATCTGATGATTCCATTCGATTCCATTCAATGATACCATTCGATTCCACTTGATGATGATTTCAATCAATTTTATTCGATGATTCCATTCGAATCCATCCGATGATGAGTCCATCCATTTCAATTTCATGATAATTCCATTCGTTTCAATTCGATTTTGTTTCCATTCGATTCATTGGATATTGATTCCTTTAGCTTCCGTTGGATGATGATTCCATTCGGGTCCATTCGATGATGATCACACTGGATTTCATTCCATAATTCTATTCGATTCCATTCGATGATGATTGCATTCATTTCCATCCGATGATGATTCCATTCGATTCCGTTCAATGATTATTCCATTCGAGTCCATTCGATGATTCCATTCGATTCCATTCGATGATGATTGCATTCGAGTCCATGGATTATTCCATTCCATTCCATTAGATGATTCCATTCGGGTCCATTCGATGATTCTCTTCGATTCCATTCGATAATTCCGTTTTTTTCCGTTTGATGTTGATACCATTCGATTCCATTCGATGATAATTCCATTCGATTCTATGCGATGATTCCATTCCATTCCATTTGAAGATGATTCCATTCGAGACCATTCGATGATTGCATACAATTCATTCGATGACAATTCCATTCAATTCCGTTCAATGATTCCATTTGATTCCACTTGATGTTGATTCCATTCGATTCCATTTTATGATGATTCCATGCAATTCCATTAGATGATGACTCCTTTCATTTCCATTCGATGATGATTCCATTCGTTTCCATCCGATGATGATTCCATTCGATTCCGTTCAATGATTATTCCATTCGAGTCCATTCGATGATTCCATTCGATTCCATTCGATGATTATTGCATTCGAGTCCATGAATTATTCCATTCCATTCCATTAGATGATTCCATTCGGGTCCGTTCGAAGATTCTCTTCGATTCCATTCGAAAATTCCGTTTTTTTCCGTTTGGTGTTGATACCATTCGATTCCATTCGATGATAATTCCATTCGATTCTATGCGATGATTCCATTCCTTTCCATTAGAAGATGATTCCATTCGAGAGCATTCGATGATTGCATTGAATTC